>NC_000020.11:63100405-63717286 GCF_000001405.40 Homo sapiens | reverse complement strand
GAAAAATTAGGGGAAAAAAAGAGCAAATTAAACCCAAACCAGCAGAAAAAAGGAAACAAAGGTTAAAATGGAAATAAATGAAACAGAATGGGAAAACAATAGAGATCAGCAACAAAAAAGATCAACAAAATTGACAAACCTTTAGCGAAAATGACCAAGAAGAAAAGACAGGCCATGCGTGGTGGCTCATGCCTGTAATCCTAGCACTTTGGGAGGCCAAGGCTGGTGGATAACCTGAGGTCAGGATTTCAAGACCAGCCTGGCCGACAGGGAGAAACCCCATCTCTACTAAAAATACAAAAACTGGCTGGGCATGGTGGCTCATGCCTATAATCCCAGCACTTTGGGAGGCCAAGGTGGGCGGATCACCTCAGGTAGGGAGTCCAAGACCAGCCTGGCCAACATGGTGAAATCCCATCTCTACTAAAAATATAAAAATCAGCCAGGCGTGGTGGTGCACGCCTATAGTTCCAGCTACTCAGGAGGCTGAGGCAGGAGAATTGCTGGAATCTGGGAGTCGGAGGTTGCAATGAGTGAGATTGCACCACTGCACTCCAGCCTGGGAGACAGAAACAGACTCCGTCTCAAAAACAAAAAAACAAAACAAAACTAGCTGGGTGTGGTGGCTCACACCTGTAATCCCAGCTACTCAGGAGGCTAAGGCAGAATTGCTTGAACCTGGGAGGCAGGGGTTGCAGTGAGCCAAGATCATGCCACTGCACTCCAGCCTGGGTGACACAGTGAGACTCCATCTCAAAAAAAAAAAAAGAGGAAGAAAAGAGATGACTCAAATTGCTAAAACCAAGAGAGAAAGTGGAGCTATTACTACTGATCTTACAGAAATAACTAGGGCTATAAAAGGATACTATGAACAATTGTATGGTAACAGATTAGATAACATAAACAAAATGGACAAATTCCTAGAAACATGCATGCAAACTATCTAAACTGACTCAAGGCTGGACGCGGTGGCTTATGTCTGTAGTCCCAGCACTTTGTGAGGCCGAGGCGGGTGGATCACCTGAGGTCAGGAGTTCGAGACCAGCCTGGCCAACATGGTGAAATGCTGTTCCTACTAAAAATACAAAAATTAGCCAGGTATGCTGGCGTGCGCCTGTAGTCCGAGATACTGGGGAGGCTGAGGTGGGAGAATCACTTGAACTCGGGAGGTAGAAGTTGCAGTGAGCCAAGATGGCACCACTGCACTCCAGCCTGGGCGACAGAGCGAGACCAAACTGACTCAAGAAGAAACAGAAAATCTGAATAGACCTATAACAAATAAAGAATCAGTAGTCAAAAAACTTCCAATGAAAGAAAAGTTCAGAAACTTTCACTACAGTTATACGTTTTAGCTTCCAAAAAGAAAAGTCAATTTCAATAAGGAAATTGAATCAATAGTCAATAAACTTCCAACAAAAGAAAAGTCCATCTCTCTCTCTCTCTCTCTCTCTCTATATATGATTGTATATATCACTTCACTGTTGAATTCTATCAAACATTTGAAGAAGAATTAACACCAATCCCTTTTTACCTCTTCCCATAATATAAAGAATACTTCCTAACTCATTCTATGAGGCCAATATTATGCTGGCATCAAAGCTATACAAAGACATGCCAAGAAAAGAAAACTACAGACCAATATCCCTTATCAATACAGATGCAAATATTCTCAACAAAACAGCAGCAAATCAAATCCAGCAATGTTATTACATGATAAGGCCTTAAACTTTTAACTGTTAAAAAGATAAGGCTCGCTGCGGTGGCTCACGCCTGTAATCCCAGCACTTCGGGAGGCCAAGGTGGGTGAATCACGAGGTCAGGAGTGCAAGACCAGCCTGTCCAACATGGCAAAACACCGTCTCAACTAAAAACACAAAAAATTAGCTGGGCATAGTGGCGGGCACCTGTAGTCCCAGCTACTCAGGAGGCTGAGGCAGGAGAATTGCTTGAACCCGGGAGATGGAGGTTGCAGTGAGCCGAGATCGCGCCACTCACTCCAGCCCGGCGACAGAGTGAGACTCTGTCTCAAAAAAAAAAAAAAAGAAAAAGAAAAAAGATAGGGCCAAGTGGCTCATGCCTATAATCCCAGCGCTTTCGGAGGCTGAGGCAGGAGGATCACTTTAGCCCAGGAGTTTGAGACCAGCTTGGGCAACAGAGTGAAATCTCATCTCTACAAAAATAATAATAATAAAGAGATAATACGCCATGAATATGCGTGCTTTATCTGAGGAATTCAAGGATGGTTCAACATACGAAAATCAATATACCACATTAACAAAATGAAAGGAAAAAAACCACACATGATCATCTAAAGGAAAAAAGCATTTGAAAAATCCCACACAGCTGGGTGCAGTGCAGTGACTCACCCCTGTAATCTCAGCACTTTGGGAGGCTGAGGCAGGATTGCTTGAGCCCTGGAGTTTAAGACCAGCCTGGGCAGCAAAGCAGGACCCTACCTCTACAGAAAAATTAAAAAATTAGCTGGGCATGGTGGCTCATGCCTGTAGTCTCACCTACTCAGGAGGATGAAGTAGGAGGATCCCCTGAGCCCAGGAATTCGAGGTTGCAGTGAGCCATGATCATGCCACTGCCCTCCAGCCTGGGTGACAGAACAAGACCCTATCTTTAAAAAAAAAATCAACACCCTTTCATGATAAAAAACACTCAACACACTATGAATATAAGAGAATTTCCTCAACTCGATAAAGGGAATCTACAGAAAACCTACAAGTAACATCATATTCAACAGTGAAAGACTAAAAGTTTTCCACCTAATATCAGGAACAAAAAAGTTTTCCACCTAAGATCAGGAACAAGATAAAGATGTTTGTTCTAGCCACTTTTTTTTTTTTTTTTTTTAAAGACAGGGTTCTTGCTCTGTCGTCCAGGCTGGAGTGGAGTGGCATGATCTTGGCTCACTGCAACCTCCGCCCCCCAGGTTCAAGCAATTCTCATGTCTCACCCTCTCAAGTAGCTGGGACTACAGGTGCACATCACCTCACCCAGCTAATTTTTGTATTTTTAGTAGAGATGGGGTTTCGCCGTGTTGGCCAGGCTGGTCTCAAACTGCTGATCTCAAGTGATCTGCCCACTTCCACCTCCCAAAGTGCTGGGAACACAGGTGTGAGCCACCACCCCCGGCCCGCTCTAGTCACTTTTATTCAACATTGTACTTGAAGTTCTAGCTAAGGCAGTTAAGCAAGAAAAAGAAATAAATGCCATGCAAACTAGAAACAAAGACTACAATTATCTCTATTCACATATATATTAATTGTATATATTGAATATATATGATTGTATATATCGAAAATCCTAAATAGTGCATAAAAAATCCTATTAGCACTAATAAACCAATTCAGCAATCAATACAGGATTAACATAAAAAAATCCACTGTATTTCTTTTTTTTTTTTTTTGAGATGAAGTCTCACTCTTGTTCCCCAAGCTGGAGTGCAATGGCGCGATCTCAGCTCACTGCAACCTCCGCCTCCCAGGTTCAAGCAATTCTCTTGCCTCAGCCTCCTGAGTAGATGGGATTACAGGCACCTGCCACCATGCCAGACTAATTTTTGTATTTTTAATAGAGGCTGGATTTCACCATGTTGGCCAGGCTGGTCTCGAACTCCTGACCACAGGTGATCCACCCGCCTTGGCCTCCCAAAGTGCTGGGATTACAGGCGTGAGCCACGGTGCCCAGCTTGTATTTCTATATACTAGCAACAAACAGCCTGAAAATGTAACTAAGGAAAACAACTCCAGCCGGGCACAGTGGCTCACATCTGTAATCCCAGCACTTTGGGAGGCCGAGGCAGGCAGATCACCTGAGGTCAAGAGTTCGAGACCATCCTGGCTACATGGTGAAACCCCATCTCTACTAAAAATACAAAAAATTAGCTGGGCGTGGTGGCAGGCACCTGTATTCCCAGCGACTCAGGAGGCTGAGGCAGAAGAATGGTGTGAACCCGGGAGGTGGAGCTTGCAGTGAGCCAAGATTGGGCCACTTCACTCCAGCCTGGGCAACAGAGCAAGACTCCATCTCAAAAAAAAAAATTAGCTGGGTGTGGTGGCAGGCACCTGTGATCCCAGCTACTTGGGAGGCTGAGCAGAAGAATTGCTTGAACCCGGGAGGCAGAGGTTGCAGTGAGCCAAGATTGTGCCATTGCACTCCAGCCTGGGTGACAGAGCAAGACTCTGTCTCAAAAAAAAAAGGAAAAGAAAAACAATTCCTTAGAGAAGCATCAAAAATAATACTTATTTAACCAAGAATGTGCAAGACTTGAACAGTACAAAATACTGTTGAAAGAAATTAAAGACGTAAATAAATGGACAGATCCTTCATTCATGAATTGGAAGACTTAATACTGTTTTTTTCTTCTGTTATTGTTGTTGTTTAAGATGGAGTCTCCCTCTGTTACCCAGGCTGGAGTGCAGTGGCATGATCTCAGCTCACTGCAACCTCCTCCTCCCAGGTTCAAGCGATTCTCCTGCCTCACCCTCTCGTGTAGCTGGGATTACAGGTGTGCACCACCTCCGACTAATTTGTTTTTTATTTTTAGTAGAGACGGGGTTTCACCACGTTGGCCAGGCTGGTCTTGAACTCCTGACCTCAAGTGATATGCCCGCCTCAGCCTCCCAAAGTACTGGGATTACAGGCGTCAGCCACCACACCCAGCCAGAAGGCTTAATATTGTAAAGATGACAATGTGCCCCAAACAGATCTACACATTCTATGCAATCCATATCAAAATTCAAACTGTCTTTTATGCAGAATTGGACAAGCCGATCCTAAAATTCATATGAAATTGCAAAGGATCCAGAAACAAAACAAACTTGAAAAAGAGGAGCAAATGGTGAATAACTACCACTTCCTGAGTTTAAAACTTATCACAAAGCTATAATAATCAGAACAGTGTGGTACTGGCACATATACACCAATGGAACAGGAGAGAGAGCTCAGAAATAAACCCTTACATATATTGCCAATTGATTTTGGACAAAAGTGCCAAGACCATTCAGTGGAGAAAAAGCAGTCTTTTAAACAAATGGTGCTGGGAAAACTGGAAATCCACATGCAAAAGAATAAAGTGGACCCTCACCTAATAACATATACAAAAATTAACTCAAAATGGATCAAAGACCTAAATTTAACAGCTAAAACTACAGAACTCTTAGAAGAAAACATAGGTGAAAATCCTCATAACTATGGATGAGGTGGTTTCTTAAACCTGATGACAAAAACATAGGCAATAAAGAAACAATAAATTGCACTGCATCAAAATTTAAAATGTTTGTGCATCAAAGGACACTATATCAAGTGAAAAGACAACCCAAACAATGGGAGCAAATATCTGCAAACTATATACTTCATAAGGGATGATATCCAGAATATATAAAGAAATCCTGGGCCGGGTGTGGTGGCTCATGCCTGTAATCCCAGCACTTTGGGAAACCAAGGCGGGATCACCTGAGGTCAAGAGTTCGAGACCAGCCTGGCCAACATGGTGAAACCCTGCCTCTACTAAAAATATAAAAATTAGCTGGGCACCACGTGGTGACAGGCGCCTGTAATCCCAGCTACTTGGGAGGCTGAGGCAGGAGAATCCCTTGAACCCAGGAGGTGGAGGTCATGCCATTGTACTCTAGCCTGGGCAACAACAGTGAAACTCCATCTTAAAAAAAAAAAAAAGGTCCAACGCAAATCCAAGAGAACTTATCAGTCCTGAATGGTGGCAAGGTGGACGTCTGTAAGATGCTCCGGAAGCTTTCAGATCAGGCCTGATGCCGACATGGCAAGCAGCACTGGGTGGAGCAGGGGACGGAACGAGGGCTGGGGGCAACCGGAGCCCTCTGAGCCTTGAAGCCCTGGACCACTCAGTTCTTCTACTCCTGTTTCCTCCTCTGTCAGATGGTGTGACTGCAGGGCCTACCTACAGGGCTGTTGCACAGATGAATGAAAGTATATGAAACCCTTGGAGCAGTGCCTGGCCCAGAGGGAGCACCACAGGGATGTGTCAGATCTCTCATCAAAGGGATCAGGAATTCGAGACCTGGGTAATATGGTGAAATCCCGTCTCTACAAAAAATACAAAAATTAGCTGGGCGTGGCAGTGCACACTTGTAGTATCAGCTATTAGGGAGGCTGAGGTGGGAGGATGGCTTGGGCCAGGGAGGCGGAGATTGCAGTGAGCCGAGATTGTGCCACTGCACTCCAGCCTGGGTGACAGAGCAGCAAGACGCTGTTTCAAAAAAAAAAAAAAAAGGAAGACATTCAAAGAACTAGAACTAGAACTAGGGATGGTTACACGGTCAGCCTGAACTATTGGCTAAAAAAGAAAATTACCTACTAGAAGGCTTGGTAAATATTTCTTCTAAGAGAAAAGTAAAAAGGAGGAAAAATAAAGCTATGCGCTTAGGGAAATAGAGACATTACAGTAATAATTGTTCATATTTGAATATGGAAGAGGTATTACCATTAAATGTGTTACCTATTATGACACAGAAGTTACTCTTTTTTGTCCTCACATCGGACTTGGACTTCCAAAAAGTTACTTTTTAAGTAATTTCCTAATCAGTTAGATTAGAGATGCAACTATGAAGTATTCATAATTGGAAAAAACCAGTAACTTCTGGAATTTGCTTTAAAATGGCCCAGGAAAGAAAAAAATAGGGCAGGGAGAACAGACAAAATGAGACTGGGAAAATATTAATAAATGACGACATTGGATGATGGACCGTGGGCGGTGATTATGCTAAACTCTCTAATTTGGGGTATGTTTGAAAATCTCCATGAAAGTAAAATTTAAAAGTTGAACTCTAGAGAATAAAACTAACAACAGGGCCAGGCGCAGTGGCTCACGCCTGTGATCCCAGCACTTTGGGAGGCCAAGGTGGGTGGATCACGAGGTCAGGAGTTCAAGACCAGCCTGGCCAAGATGGTGAATCTCCGACTCTACTAAAAATACAAAAAATTAGCCCAGTGTGGTGGCGGGCGCCTGTAATGCCAGCTACTCTGGACGCTGAGGTAGAGAATTACTTCAACCCGGGAGACAGAGGTTGCGGTAAGCTGAGATTGCGCCACTACACTCCAGCCTGGGTGAGGAGAGTGAAACTCTGTCTCCAAAAAAAAAAGGCCAGGCGCGGTGGCTCACGCTTGTCATCCCAGCACTTTGGGAGGCCAAGGTGGGCGGATCACGAGGTCAGGAGATTGAGACCATCCTGGCTAACATGGTGAAACCCCGTCTCTACTAAAAATACAGAAAATTAGCCAGACATGGTGGCGGGCGCCTGTAGTCCCAGCTACTCGGGAGGCTGAGGCAGGAGAATGGCGTGAACCCGGGAGGCGGAGCTTGCAGTGAGCCGAGATCACGCCACTGCACTCCAGCCTGGGCAACAGAACAAGACTCCATCTCAAAAAAAAGATAAAAAATTATAGTAATATAAAAATTAGCTGGGTGTAGTAGCGTGAGTCTGTAGCCCAGCTCCTAGGGGGGCTGAGGCAGGAGGATCGGTTGAGCCCAGGAGGTCCAGGCTGCAGTGAGCCAGGACTATGCCACTGCACTCCAGCCTGGTTGACAAAGTAAGACCCTGTCTCAAAAAAAATTAAAACAACCACCAAAAAAAAACTGACGATAGGCTGGAGACCTACTCTCTTCCACATAAGCCTTGCACTGCTGCTCGGGCTGCAGTACAGTGGCTGCATCTCCACTCACTGCAAACTCGGCCTCCTGGGTTCAACCAATTCTCCTGCCTCAGCCTCCTGAGTAGCCAGGACCACAGGTGCGCGCCACCACGACCGGTTCATTTTTGTGTTTTTAAGGAGATGGGGTTTCACCATGTTGACCAGCGTGGTCTTGAACTCCTGACCTCAGGTGATCTGCCCGCCTCGGCTTCCTAAAGTGCTGGGATTACAGGCGTGAGCCACCGCGCCTGGCCTCCTTCCATGCTTCTTGATTCACCCCAGAAGGAAGACGTAGACGCCTGAACACAGACACAGCTGTCAAAGCACGCCTGCCCCAGGAAGCTGAGACAAAACTGCAAAGCAAAGGGAGGGCCGATCCTGACCCGACCCTGTGTGCGTGCCCCTTACGCCCCTAAGGTTGGCATCTGACAACAAAGGGCTTTACCTGCAGTTCTCCTTAAAGCGGCACTTTCCCTCCAGGAAGAACGGGCACGGCTTCAGAGACTTGTGAGTGGGGTACAGGTAAAGCACACGGACACCCGCCGAGCCATCCTCCGCCTCTTCCGTTCCCACCACCATGGCGTTGTGATACTCCAGAGTGCCCCAGGAGCTGTAGTAGGGCGCGCTCACCTTTGTCCCACTCAGCTCTTCCTCGTCCTCTCCCTCTTCCTCCTCCTGCCCACCTGCCGCAGATTCTGGCCCCGCCTCTGCTTTAGGAACGGTCTCTGATCCGGACCCACGGGCCGCTGCTGGTGCCTCCACCGCCTCAGTGATGGCCTCCCGGAAAGCCTGGTACTCAGCATCTTCCTGGCGGCCCGGGCGCTCTTCGTCCAGCGCGGCCAACAAGCTGCTCTTCCTGACAGACACCAGGCTGGCCTCGGTGAGCTCGATGAGCTCCTTCAGGTCCCCCTGCAGCTGGCGCAGGTCAGCCTGCTCAGACGAATCCAGGCCGGCGCCCAAGGCCAGCTCCACCTGCTGCAGCTGCGCACGGTAGGTCTGCAAGGCCGACTCCAGGCTCTCCTCGTCCATGCTGAGAGAGGGAGGCGCTGGACCAGGGCTGCAAGAAGAGAAGCCAGCTGAGCCCCGCGTCTCGGGACCGACCCCACAGCCTGAGGGCGGGCACGGGCACGGGCACGTCCCCTTTCCCTCGGGGAGACACCGGCTCAGAGGCACAGCTCCCAGCGCAGAGGTCGCAGCCCGGGTACCCCCGCTCAGGCTCCGCGCTTCCCTTCCGAGCCGCCGTGGGCTCGCCGCTAGCCGGGTCCCGCGTCACTCCGGAGCCCCTTCCCCGCGGGGCGCCCCGCCGCCTCACCCTCCGCCGAGCCCACCCGCCGCGCCCGCCGCCTTCCAGGCCGGCCGCGCCCCCCCGCCCGGCGTCTCTTCTGTCTGGCCAGGGCCGCGTCCCCGCAAACCGCGGCCACCTGGTCCCCGGCCGGGCACCTCCTCCGCGCGGTTTCCCAGCCGCAGCCACAGAGAGCCCGCCGGCCTCACCGGCTAGAGCGGCCCGGCGCCCCCTTTTCGCCCCAGCAGCCGATCGGCACTTCCTCCCGAGCGCCGCCGCTTCCGGAAGTGCTTGGCGCGCGGGGGCAGCCGGGAAGCGGAGCGCGGAGGCCGCTGGGACGCGGTTCAGCTCATTCCCTGAGGCCGGCCCGCGTCCCGTCAGGCGCCGCGCGGGGTTAGCGCGGGGTCAGCGGAGGTCAGCGGGGGTCAGCAGCAGCGGCTCCGAGGGCGCGGCGGACGCAGGTAGGCCGCAGGCTGTGCGGTGAGGCGCGAGGCCCGAGGGGCGGCCCAGGACTCGAGGTGGGACGCGGGTGTGACAGGAGCCAGCTTTGGCTGCTTGTCGGGGAGCCTCAGACCTGGCGGCGGCGGCTTGGGGCGGACGTAGCCGGGGGCCGCGACCCAGGTTCTTCCTTCGCAGTCGTTCCCTGCCAGCCGCGCGCCGCCTCCAGGTGCACTCCAGGAGCAGCCGCGCCGCTGCTCACCCGCCCTGTAGTCCGCTCCCCCCAGGGCCGTCCCCGTTTTAAGAAATGGGGTGATGGGGCGTCCCTACCCGGCGCCTGCAGGGGCTCCTGGGGAGCGCGCCGGTGGCTCGCTGCTCCCGGGTGGGGCGCGGGGCTGGCGCTCGAGGGTGCCGTGGCCCAGGCGGGGCTGCAGCGAGTGTGTTCCCCGTTCCGCGCGCGTGAAGCGTGGGAGCGAAGCCTCGGGGGAGGGCGGGAGCGCGGCTGAGCTCACTGTGAACACCCGGCTGGGTAGTCCCGCGAGCAGGGGAGGGGCCGGAACCGATGTGTATGCGGAGAGGTCGCAGTCATTGCTGTGAGCAGGACACAGTGGCGGCTGACCTGGGAGAAGTTACAGAGGGACGGGGTGGGAGAGGGACGAGGAGTCGGGAATGGCCCCCAGGCTCTCGTCCTGAGCGGTCGGCTGGACGTGGGGCGCCACTGACCACCGTGGAGAAGCCCGGGGGAGGGGAGGTGCTTTCTGGCTGCACACTGACCTATGTTGGGGTGCCCAGGGCAGGATGTACACGCTGCTGTCGGGCTTGTACAAGTACATGTTTCAGAAGGACGAGTACTGCATCCTGATCCTGGGCCTGGACAATGCTGGGAAGACGGTGAGTGCCCACGCCCTTGCGCGCACCTTTCCCACGGCCTGGCGGCGCCCCCTTCGGTTTTGTGCTGTCAGCTGCACGTTCACTACCCAGACGGAAGCCAAATTTCACCTGAGACGGCAGGATAGTCACCACCAGCCTCCTGAAGAGCAGAGTGTTGCTCTGTTTCTGTTTCTGTCTTTTAAAGAACAGACCTGAGTAAGGATATTTGGAAGCCAGTATAGCCCCTCCTTGATGTGTTTCGCCTCTGCCTCTCTCCTCAGACCTTCCTGGAGCAGTCGAAAACCCGATTTAACAAGAACTACAAGGGGATGAGTCTATCCAAAATCACCACCACCGTGGGCCTAAACAGTAAGGGTCTCAATAGCAGGCTGTGGGTTTGGGGCCTTGAGGATGCCGTGATATTCACAGTCCAGCTGGCCCGTGGCCACAGCCCTGTCGGGCCCCTCTCAAGTCTCATTTGAGTGGCACCAGCATGGTTTGCCCCATCCCCTGGGAGAGCTGGGACTGGGTGTGTCGAGGACCAAGGTCATGAGCCTTGCCTGTTTCCTCCTCTCCCCAGTCGGCACTGTGGATGTGGGAAAGGCTCGGCTCATGTTCTGGGACTTAGGAGGGCAGGAAGAGCTGCAGTCTTTGTGGGACAAGGTAAGACTCCCTGGCCAGGACCACCCCCACCCCAGCCCTCCAGTGCCACTTCTTTCCAGAGTGCCCTTTGGGCCCTTCCTCAGCAGTTTTCCTTACCCACTCTGTCCCTCGGGTTTTCTCTCTGGTCCTGTCCCAGGTTCCCGAGTGGCTCCCTGTTTTGTCCCAGCTGAACCCTTAGCTGAAGTTGCCCCAAAAGTGGTGGTAGGGGAGTTTCCCACTTGGGAGTTCCCTGCGATGGGGCCAGTGGAGAATTCCAGGGAAAGAATCACTAAATGCCAAGGCGATCAGATCAGAGCATGTATTAGGGGAACCTGTTGACAGAGTGCGGCATCCTCAGGTGACCAGTGAGAGAAGGGCGTGTTCACTGGTCATGCCTGAAGCCGGGGGGGATCTGGGTTCAGGGCTGGGGCTAGTTTCTTTCAATGTTTTGAAACCTGAACATTATGTTAACAACCTAAACATCTTACAAGTGTCTGGGAATGTTCAAACCCTGGCTTGGGTTTGAGCCTAAGGGCAACCTCGCTGGCCAAGTCAGAGAGGTCAGGGCAGTCTGTTTCTTTCTCAGTCAGGACAAGACAAAGTGTGGGGACCTGGGGACCCTGCACTCCTCCAAAGTGAGTGCCTCCTTTCGGCTCAGAGACCTTGCTGCTGACCACCACAGGACACAGAAATGGCAAAGACCAGATGTGGGGACGGCAGGATGGCTGCCTCTCCCCTGATGAGGTTCCTTCAGTTCTAGCTTAACATTTGTTCTTCCATGATCACCAGAAGACTCCTCAGGGTCTCACAGCGGCAGTCTCCTATTTTGACACAGGTTTTGGGCATTTCTGAGATCCCAGTGTGGTGCCCCTTCCCCACACCCCCAAGGCTGCAGTTTATCTCCTTCTCAGCCTGGGCCAGGCACTGAGTCCAGCACTGAGCAGGGCAGAGCCTGTGGCTTCCTCGGGCTCCCTGCCCTAGGCTGGCACAGTGGGTGTGGGGTGTCCCCAGTGCCTTGGCTGCCCTGATGCCATCTCTAGAGCTGAGTGCCCAGGTCCTGATCTCTTTTTTGATCCTAGTTCCCCTTTCCTAGGCGCCCCCAAAGTGTCCCCTCCTGCTGTGACTTCTAGCCAAGAAGACATTTCTCCCATGGCCAAGTGATCTCTGATAGATCCTGTAGGACCACTGAAGTCAGACAGGACAAGTTGAGTCAGGGCCTGTGTGTCCAGTGCGCAGCATGCTTGGGGAGTGACACAGATGATGATGATCTTGTCACAGGCCGGTGTCTCAGGCACAGATGCTGAGACAGGTCGAGGTACAGGATGCACACTGGGGGTCGGCACCAGGAAGGCAGGGAGGACGGGAGAGGAGAGGTCGACTCAGGCAGCAGGATCCACAGAGCTGTGGTTGGCCCAGCAGGGAGCCCTGGAGGAGAACTGGCTATGCTGTGCCATGTGGGGCCAGGCTGGCCGGGACTTCACACCATGGCCTGGTGGGTCCCCAGTGTGGGCTGCCCTGGGCAGGTGTGACCTGGCAGTGTGGCTCTTTGCAGCCAAAGTGGGTCCCACAGAAACCAAAATGAGACCATCTGCTGGTGCAGTGTTCTCCAACATGAAGCAAGAATACAGTGGGGCCAGAGATGCCTGCACTGGCCACAGCTGCAGCCCTATGTGGACCCACACTTCCACGTTGGAGAGGGGTTCCTCCAAGGTCCTGAGGGCCTCTCTTAAGGCGAAACTGGAAGAGGGAGACTTAAGGGGGCCACTGTAGCCCATCCTTGCTGCTGGTCTTGGGGCTGCACAGCCCTTCCTTGAGTGCCCTCCCAATTCACTACCACTTCTGCTGGGGTGCGACTTCCTGGCAGTCTGAGCCCTTCTCCAGACACCACCGTGGTGGGGCCAGTGGCTCCCTGGGTCCCCAGCTGTGGGACAGCTGTGGGATGGCAGCCCCATCTCCTGCCCACCAGGGTCTCCTAGACATGAGGTGCAAGTCATGCCCATGAGGCAGCTGTGGCTCGTCATTCAGCGTGTCTGCTGAGTATGTGCTGCTCTAGTGGCCGGGACCCCTGACCCTGCTGAGCTCAGAGCTGGGAGGATCAGCTGCAGGGACCCCCCTAGGTCACTGGGAGGGACCGGAAGGGAGGCCCCTGCTCCCACCCTGGTTTCCTGTATCCTGCATCCTTGTGCAGAGCCAGCACCACAGAAAGGGGCGTCATTGCGAATTGGCCTCGTCCTGGGGCTGGACCCTGGGTTGGTGTCCACATGTGTGGCATGTGCCAGGACCTCAGCTCCTGGGTTCTTTGCTGTAACACTAGTCTCTCAGGCTGGCTGGCACTTTGCAGTTGGGGAGCTCCCATTGCTGCTGGGGAGAAAAACTCAGACCCACAGTCCCTCTGACTGCTCCACTGGGGTCAGCTGGCCAGCCAGGAGCCACGCTTGGACACCTCCCTCTTCCCCCTCCTTGTGGGGCACCCCACAATGACCACTGCTGTGACGCCTCCACTGGGGCGTGGGGCTCTGGGTCCTGCCCGCACTCAGCCCTGAGGTGTCGCTCCCGTCCACTGCGGCCCTGCTGGGCTGTGCACCTTGTGCCTGGTAGGTGTGATGGGTGGCTCTGGCCACGTGGTCCCATGGTCCAGGACCCGGTTGCACATGAACCTTCTGCCACCCTGCTCAGAAGCCCCAGGAGCCACGTGGAGATTCTCTCACTGGGCTTGCTGCAGCCTCCACAGAGCCGCCCCTCCTGCCACAGAGGTCTCCACCTTAGGGTCCGCCTGCTCCCTTGTGTCAGCAGCAGACAGCCGGCACACTGCAGGGTCCCTTGAGGGGTTGGCGGCCTCTGTGTGGGACCTGTCTGTAGGCCAGAGAAGTTCCTGGGGGTGGGGGGGCCTCGCTACCTGCAGAACCCTGGAGGGCGCCTGGCCTTGGGCCTCCTCTCCACTGTGGGAAGTTCCTGGGGGTGGGGGGGCCTGGCCTTGGGCCTCCTCCTTTCCACTGTGGGAAGTGCAGGTGCACAGGCTTCTCTCCTCTGTGGGAAGTGCAGGTGCACAAGCTTGTCTGGCACTGGGATGGGGTTGTCTGGTACTCCCTGCTCAGACACCCTAAGGATTTCGGAGAGTTGGGCTGTGCCTCCTGGCTTCTCATGCTCTCGGGTGTGTGTGTCTTAACACACTGACCACCAGCTTGTCCTACCTGGTCAGCATCCAGTTCTAGGTCTCTGGGCACTCATGCCTGGACAGGAGAGCTGGCACAGCCTGGAGGCAAAGTGGCAAATGTGAGCTGTTGTCTGCTCCACGTGGACGCGGAGTTTGCTGTGTTTTTTTCTGATTGAGATAGAGGTGCACTCATCTGGTCCAGGGCTCAGCACTTGTACCTGAGGCTGCAGGGGCTGTGCCCTGTCTTGCCCAGGAGTGTTGCCAGCGAGCCCAGGACTGACCAGCCCAGGCTGCAGAGGTCTGAGCTCAGTGACTCTGGCCCTGTCCTGGCAGGGAAGGCTCGCTTCGTAGATGGCGCTGGTCAGTCTTATCCGCATGGCCACACTCCCTCCCTGTGCGAGGTGCTGGCACAGAGCCCCACAGGTGCACTCCCTCAACGGGCCAGGCTGTGGTCTAGGTTCCTCCAGCCCCCAAACCCTATCTTTTTTTTGAGACAGGGTCTCTCATTCTCACCCAGGCTGGAGTGCAGTGGTGTGATCAGAGCTCACTACAGCCTCAACCTCCCAGGCTCAAGCCATCCTCCCACCTCAGCCTCCCGAGTAGCTAGGACTGCAGGCGCACATTACCATAAGCTTTTGTACAGACGGAGTCTCACTGTGTTGCCCAGGTTGGCCGTGAAGTGGGCTCAGGTGATCCTCCTGCTTCTGCCTCCCAAAGTGTTGGGATAATAAGTGTGAGCCACCACGCCTGGCCCAATCCCTGTCTTTCACCTTTGGCCACCATCAGGCCAAAGGTTGCCGGCAGGTTCTCAGGAGCAGCGTCTGGGGACACCTCCACCAGATCTCCCCGCAACCCCAGAATGCATCCCAGAAGGGTCTTGCAGTTGGGGGCTGCCCTCTTGCCCCTTCCTCATGTGAGCCCCTCACTGTGGCCATGACACAGGCCTGGCTCTGCTGGCCCTTGGCAGGGTGGGGACTGAGCCCCAACTCCTGGTGCTTCCTCCCAGTATTATGCGGAGTGTCACGGCGTCATCTACGTCATTGACTCCACCGACGAGGAGAGGCTGGCTGAGTCCAAGCAGGCGTTTGGTGAGTGCGGCCTGGCTGCTCTGGGAGGGATGGATGGTGAGTGGGGGCAGGTCCAGCTTGGGCAGCTCTGTGCCTGGGGCAGGCTCAGTGTCTGGTCAGAAGTGCTCCTGCCTAGTGGGTGACGGGGGGGGGGGGGGCAGAGGGAGTGGCTGTCACAGTGTCCACGCCTGTGGGCCCCTGGGCAGTCAGAGGCAGGATGCTGGGTGTGAGGCGCTGCCTCTCCTGCCCTCCCCAGAGAAGGTGGTGACCAGCGAGGCGCTGTGCGGTGTCCCCGTCTTGGTGCTGGCCAACAAGCAGGATGTGGAGGTGAGCCCCACCCCTGCCTCCCGCAGCAGCTTCCCGAGTCCCCAGCCTCCCCCACAGCAAGGGGAGCAGGTGTGCACCCAGACACCCCAGGCCCAGTGACTGCCCAGGGGGTACAGAGCCATTCTCAAGGCCTGCCCTGCCCCCAGCAGCTTCCCAAGCCTGGTTCCTCTCCAGACCTGCTGCTGCCAGCCCTGGAGGTTCTCCCACCTCAGGGCAGGCGCCCAGAGGCCTCTTCCTGCTATGCAGGGCACCTCTCCCCAGGAGGGCGGCCGTGTCTCAGGAGTGTGTGGCCAAGCTGTGGGGACACCCAGGTGAAACTCAGAGCTCAAAGAAGTGATGCTGGGGCCCTGGTGGGAGTCAGCTCTGACCCTTACCTGTTCCTGCTACCCTTGGAGGTGGCATCTGTGCCAGCCCCACCCCCAGGGCAGCCCCTCAAGACCCCTCTGAGGTGCCACTGCCCCCGGGAGCACTGGCCACGCTGAGTTCTAGCTGTTCTCTTGGAGTGGCTTTGCACAGAAGCAGCCCGGCGTCCAGAGGGCCAGGTGAATCTTCACTTCCTGCCTTCTCTGGGGTGGCTCTGTTGCCCCCAGCCTGTAAGGCTGGCCTCCCCTACAATCTCAGCCGACAAGAGGGACATCTGGTACGGGGCAGGGGTCTCCCCTCGGAGGAAAAGGGGAGGGGAGGGCTGCTTTTTGAAGACTGGGCAGGTGGTTGTGAGCAGAAGCCACCATGACTGCAGACTGCCTCCATCACTGATGCAGGGCTCCCACCTCTCCATCATCCCCGGCTGTGTGGGCCCCTGGGACCTGCCTCCGCCACTGCCCAGGAGGCCTCAGTCCTCAGCGCCCCACCTCGGGGCTCAGGGTGTCCCCCAGGGAGGGGATGGGGGGTGGACTCCTTGGAGCCGTGTGGACGTCTAGTTTGTCTCAGGCACTACCAGCCATGTTCAGCCTCGGGCTGAGCACAGGGTCCTCACTGCTGTGGTCTCTGTGGGAGACACTGGGACCCTGGTGGAGCTCTGGCTGTTTCCCTGGGGTGAAGGGCATACGCCCTTCTGAGAGTCCCGGGCCCACAGGCAGGACAGGGCCAGACGTGGGGGCTGCTCCTCACGGCCTTACCTCCCCCAGACGTGCCTCTCAATCCCTGACATCAAGACGGCCTTCAGCGACTGCACCAGCAAGATCGGCAGGCGAGATTGCCTGACCCAGGCCTGCTCGGCCCTCACAGGGTGAGTGGGGGCTGCACCTGCGGGGGCTTTGGGGACCGAGACCCCCCGCCTCACACCCGCTGTCTTCACAGCAAAGGGGTGCGCGAGGGCATCGAGTGGATGGTGAAGTGTGTCGTGCGGAATGTGCACCGGCCGCCGCGGCAGAGGGACATCACGTAGGCGCAGCCGCGCTGCCGTCGGGACGGCTGGTCCCCTGGTGCTGGAGGAGTGGCCTCCTGTTGGCTCCCATGCTGCTGATCTGGGGGGTGGGTTTGCTTTGCTTTGGGGTTCTTCTATTTACTTTGTTTTCTCGAAGACAAACTTTCCTCTATGTCTGGAAAAGCGTAGGCATCCGGAGGCTTTGGAGGGGAGTCTGGCAGCCCGGCTGGCCCAGGCCCTGCAGCGGCAGCCTTTCCACAGGGCGCAGCGGCGGCCTTTCGAGGCCCTTTCTGGGGGGTCTGAGGGAGACCTGGTTGGGAATTGGGGCTCCAGTGCTCAGGCTGGCTTGGGCTGCATGAGGACAGCCCTGTGGGACCCTCGGGAGACCCCGTGGCTGTCTCCGCCCCATCGAGGAGGAGGCCCGTCAGCCATGGCTGCCATCTGGCTTCTGCCCTGTGACCCCGTGACCCCGTGACCCCGGAAGTGGTCTGGGGCTGATCTTGCCTTGAGGAAGACCCAGGCCATGTTCCCAAAGGCCAGCGGGGGCCCTGGATTGTGATGCAGCCTCGGGACAGGGCTGAGGCCTGCGGGGGAAGACCTATACCCCACGCCTGGGCCTGGCTTCACCTCACCCTAATCCCCCGGGAGGGAGCTGACTGATGCAAAAAGCTGAGGGGGCCTGCTGGGAGTGGCTGTTTTTATGCCCCAGCCCCGCAAGTTGGGGAGTGTTTGTGGGGGTCCAGAGCCCTCCCCCAGCCAGGAGAGAACCTCCCGGAGGGGTTCTCTGTGGGGCCCTGTGTCCCCTGCTCGGGAGTAAGGCTGGTCCTGGGGTCCTCCCTGCACGGACCCCACTGGGCCTGCCGAGTGCTGTGTTCTTCCTCAGTCTGGCTGTGGGCAGGAGCGGCCTGCCCAGTGTCACCCAGGGTGAGTGCAAAATAAAGACGGCGAGTGTGGCTCTGTCCATCCCTTCCCTCCTGGAGGGTGGAGGCTCCTGGCTGTTGGACACGGTGATGGTGTTACTGGGCTGCTCAGGGGCTGGTGGGCAGGTGAGGGGCTCCCCAGGTGGGCCTGGAGAGTCCAGGCACTCCCTTCCTGCGGATGTGGGAAGGACATGGGGTCCTGGGAGGAGCTGCTGGGAAGGGGCATGAGTCAGGGTGGGGGTGGCGCAGCAGCTGCGGGGCTGTGACTCACAGGAGTCGGGCCCTGGAAGTCCCCGCGTCCTCTCCAGGGGACCCTGTGTGTGTTCTGCAGGTTGGTTCCCAGGACCTGGGGGGGACCTCCAGCCCCGGGAACCTGGCCGTGCTGGGGAGGCGAGTGGCTGGTGCAGCCCCCCGGTTGCTCTGGGTGCATCGGGAGGCTTCAGAGCCTGCCCCAGAGAGGGAGAAGCTTCACTTCCCGGAAAGCATGGGAGGCCTGGAGGAGGTCTTTGGCAGGTCCCCTCTCGGGAAATCCCCTGTGAGTTGGGAGTGGGAGGAATTCATAAGTGGGGGGTTAGTGTGGGCCCCGGCGACTAGGGCTGGCCTGAGCCCCATCCTGTTCTTCCAGCAATGATACCCTCCCAGGCCCTGACCCTCGCTGAGCTTCAGGGGCCCCTGCCACGTGCCACAGCCACTGGGGGCAGAGGTGGCACTCCCCACTGATCCTCCCAGGGAGGGTCTGTCTGAGGTAGGGGAAGCCCCGGGCAGCAGTTCTGATGGCAGGCAGCCTGAGGGATCTGGGCACAGCGGGCGGCTCAGGTGTCCCCGGCTGCCCTCCCAGTAGCTGTGCAACTACAACCAGTTTTATGAAAAAGCTTTATAAAAATAAGCTTTAAGAAACCTCATTTCTTCTATTTAAAAAAAAGCCTCTTTCAGTGCAAGTGGGGTGCCAAGGATGTAGAATAAATAAGAGGGGGCCAGGATCAGTGCACAGGGAGGAAGCGCTCACGGACGCTCCGCTCCAGCCCGGGCATCCTGGCCACGCGCAGCGCCTGCAGCAGCCGCACCAGCAGCGCCCCGTCCTGCGCCCCCAGGAGCTCCGTGAGCCGCCGACGCAGCTTCAGCTGCAAGGCCGCGCGGCCCGCCCTTGGTGTCGGACCCCAGCCCTCCGGGGCCTCGAGGGCCTGCAGCAGCCGCTGCAGCCTCTTGATGGAGATGTCCTGGAAAGCCACAAAGTCGATGACGGCACGCTCACACTCCTCAGCTCCTGCAGTGGGGTGGGGAGGCAGCGGTCCGATCATTTCACCCACACACACTGGCGGGGGCTGCCAGGTACCCTGCTTTCTGGGCCCCACTCGGGGGGTTTGCAGGAGAGAGAAATCCCTGTGCAGTGAGCCGTGCTGGAGAGGGCAGTGCAACGATGGGGACTGGAGAAGGGGCAGGAGCCTTCGGTCAGAGAGCTGGAGCAAAGGCCTAGGGGGCAGGAGCGGCCACTCGGACCTTGGCTGCAAGAGGCAAGGGGGCCCAGGCAAGGGCTTGGGGCTCCTGGGCCATCGGAAGGGGCGAGTTGGGACCTGCAGATGGACCGGACCTGACTTGATGTTAAGGGGGTCACTTCCCCCTGTGACTTCTCAACAGTGGTTAACATTGGGCCTCGGTTTCCCCATGTCAGAGGAGGCAGCCACCTTCCTCTCAGGCAGTTAGGAGAGTTACCATCAGGCCTCGGTTTCCCCGTGTCAGAGGAGCCAGCCACCTTCCCCTCGGGCAGTTAGGAGATTGCTGCCCACTTTCCCAGAGCTCCCCAGGGGAGGCTGTGCCCTGGCTCAGATCCAAATTCTCAGCCACCCCTGAGAGGGCAGACTTGGTGGGGATCTAGTGGAGGGACCCCTGACCCCTCAAATCCACTGTGGCCCCTTCCCAGAGCCAGCTGGCATGCCTCAGGCTAGATGCACGTGCAGGGGCAGGAGTGAGGGCACAAGTGGGCCTGGCCTGCAGTGTGCTGCCCCCTCAGGCCTCTGGCTCACCTGGTACCCTGGTGCTGAGGGGGAAGCCAGTGCAGCTGGTGCACAGGGTGTCATGGGAGGAAGAGCCTGGCACATTGAGGGCCAGGCCCAGGGCCGTGCAGTTGCGGTGGGGCTGGCACTGCTCTGAGCTGGAGCTGCTGGCTGAGAAGGTGCCTGGGGGGCACGGCTGGCACTGCGTGTTCTGGCTGGGGGTGCCTGCAGCCAGGAGGGAAGAACAGGGTCAGGGGAACTGGTGTCCTAGCTCAGGGTGCAAGGCTGGGACCAGCAACCTGACCCCTGCCACACCTCCGGCCACCACTCCTGGGGGCCCCTCCCCTCGCCCAGCTCTCACCCGGGGCAATCACGCCGGCACCAGGTGGACACGATGCGTGCTCCAAGCAGAAACCAGCGTGCGCGAAGAAGCCGGTGCGGCAGCGGCAGGCACGGTTGTGGGTGGCGTGGCAAGCCCGTGCCTCCTCCTCACGCTCCCCGCAGAGGACGTTGCAGTAGCGGCAGCGCTCTAGGTAGTTCCAGAACTGCGTGTAGTGGCGCGGTGGACACGGGCCACACGTCGTGGGGCTGTCTCGGCGGCACGGCCGCTGCACAAAGGTGCCTGGGGGGCACTGGGCGCACACCAGCCGCTCCCCTGTCTCTGCGTCCCGCCAGGGGTAGGTGGGTGTTTCTGCCACTCCGCGTACAGCCGGCACCGGCAGCAGGGCAGGCAGCGCCAACACCAGGCACAGCAGCGACAGGCCTGGCCCCTCCAGCGCCCTCATGGTCCTTGCTGGAGCAGGGAGAGCGCGGCTCAGCGCGGACACAGGACCCTGCTGTGCCTGACCGACATGCCACCTCCTTTGCCCCCGGTCCGCCTGCGGAGGGGCCGCCCAAGTCCAGAAGCCCATCCTGCTGCTGCCCTACATATATGGGCGGGGAGAGGGCTGGGCCAGCCTCGCCACGCCCCATAGGAACCCCTCCCTCCCCAGGCAGCCCCCCTCACCCACCTGGTACCATCCCTCCCCAGAGCTCAGTCCAAGGGTGGTTCTGGGAGGGGCCTCACCAGCCAGGGAGCTGCCCTCCTCAGCACCTGGGGCAGCTCCCAACCCAGAGACCAGCCCAGGCAGCCTGGTGTGTCGGTGGATCCCCTACCAACTGCAGCTTGGCTGCGGCTGTGAGGATGAGGGCAGGGCTGAGCCCACCGTGGAGGAAGTACAGTGTCACATGGCAGGCTGGGAGGGGCCTCTGCCAACTCCCTGTCCCTCAACTCCCACCACCAAGCCCAGGCCACGAAGACACCGTCCTGGGCACTGCCAGCAGCTTTATTAGAGAGCCCTGTCCCCTGATTAAAAGTGGACACGTGCCCACGGGGGTCTCCTCCTTCCCGGTGAGGGGCTCAGCTGGGGTGCCCCTGTGGCACCACTCACAGGCCAGGAGCCAGGGAAGTTCTGGGGAAGCACTTTCCCAGAAACCCACCCCAGACCCCAAGGTAGCTCAGGGCTTCTCAGAGGCAGGCCCAGATCCGGTCCCACCGCAGGGACCAACCATGGGCCCCGCCTGCCTGAGGCCTGCAGCGGGCCAAGCCGGCTGGCATGGGCTGGCCTATTCTGTTGGGTGGGTTCTTGGCCCACCAGAGCTGGACAGGCAGGTGATCAAGCCACGTTGGGTGTGCTGGGGGCCTCCGTGGGCACTCACTGGGGCTCTGGCCAGAAGACCTGCATGACGCTCTGCTTCCTGGAGGCGGTGTGGCAGGCTGGGCACATCCTAGAGGCCTGTGAGACAACCGGCCCACTGCACACGTCTGCCAGGCGTTGCCACCAGGACAAGGGCCTGCCCTTTCCCCCTCAGCCCATCACCTGGGGCTACACCCAGCAGGAACTGTAGTGGCCAGGCACCAACCTGAAGGTGCCGTTGCCAGCAGGCTTGGCAGCGCTGGAAGTCACAGGCAGGGCACTGGAAGGGCACCACGTCCTCTGCCCCACAGCCCTGGCACACACAGCCTGCTGAGAGGGGCCCGCCCGGAGCTCCCGTGGCCTGCTGCCCAGCGATGTCTCTCCCATGAGGCTCACCCCACTCAGATGCTGCAGGCCCGTGGGGAGGTCCTGAGGACTGGCTGGGACCTGCATCCTCACCGCCCGCCCCCACAGTCCCTGCTGGCCTCTGTCTAAGGAAGGACGAGATCTTGCTCTGGGTCTTCCCGGTCTTCTCGGACCGTGAGGGGCCTGGAGACAGAGACTTGAGTCTGAGGGGGGCCTGGGGCTTTGCTGCTCACTCCCAGGGCTGCGTGCGGTTGGGGCGCTGCCAGGAGCAGCCAGGCAGGTGCCCTACCTGGTTGGGGAGCCCTGTGGGTAAGCACAGGAGGCACGGCAAGCCTCTCCTCCTGGGGTCCCGGTGGCTCCATGCCCGGGTAGGGCCGGCCGGTCAGGTCTGTGCACGTCTGTGAGAAGCGCTGCTTGTGGTGTGGACGCACAAACATGCTGAACCCTGCGGGGAGCTTCAATCAGACCCGGCACAGCCCCCATTTTGTCCCCTGCCCCCCACCCCACCGGCTGTTCCCCACGCCAGGGCCACTTGCTGTGCAGCAGGGGGAAGTCCTCTGGCTTTGCAGTGGTCAGGGCGGCCAACACAGCCAGCACCTTGTCGAGGTCGTCGTCTTGCTTATAGGCTGTCAGCGCTGCCAAGAGTTGGCTACAGCCCGCGGACCCCAGGGCCCTGCGGGCATCAGCCAGGTAGGCGCTCACGGCGTGCTGGCCCTGCTTCCCTGCTCTGGGCACTCCAGACCCCCACTGTGGTTGGCTGCCAGGGTCTCCTGGTGTGGGAGTAGCATGGCTCAGAGTGGCGCTGGGGTGGAGGACTGAGAGTCCCACCGCCCTGCCCGCCCTTCCTCCAGGAACTCCTGGAGAGCTGCTCAGGACAACTGCGGGGTGCAGAACCGGGAGCAGTCCCCACCATGAGATGGCTCCCCACAGGGGCAGCCCCGGCCACACTCAAGAGTTAGCCTCGTGAAGCCACTGAGGGACCCACCAAGTCGTAGGCTGCACACGGTTCAGGAGTCAGCTACCTGTTGGGGGTGGCCTGGGCGACAGGTGGGGCCTGCCCTGGTTCAGGTGCTCTTGGGGGTCCAGCTGCTGGGCTGCAGCCGTGGACACGGTCAGCTTGGGATCCGGCGCCGTTCTTCCTGATGAAGAGATGTAGAGCCACAAAGCTGGTCGAGAGCATCTGGAAAGTTCCCTGGGGTGGGGGGGCAGGGCTGGCTAGGGAGGCCAGGCCTCACCCACCTCAGACCAGGGCGGGAAAACCCAGGCAGGTACACGCCTGGGTGCTGGGGGCATCAGAGGAGACACCAGCCTGCTGGATGGGGGCTGGAACAGTGGCGGGCAGGCCAAAGCCCCACTCAGGAGCTCAGAGCCGTAGGCTGGGTGCAGGCATGAGGATATCCCAGTGAGTACCAAGCCCAGAAGGGATCTGGGGTCGTCCCAACAGGCTAGGTTCCCCCCTGGGTGAACTAGGGGAACTCTGTAGGGGCTGTTCATTAACACACGAACACAGATGCTTCCGCCTCTGGAGACTTGGACTCCACCCCAAACAGAGGCAGAAACAGGGAGGACAGGGGTCTAGGACCCTAGGACCCTGGCGTGTGCAGTTGACCCCCCAGGACCATGCATGGGAGGCAGGGGACGTGTGGCAGTTGGACAGGGCTGTGCTTAGGGGTCGGGGCTATGGCAGGGACAGGGCTGTGCATGGAGTTGCACAGGGTCTCCCCAACAAGTGATGCTGCTGCTGGTGGAGGTGGAGGTGGTGGTGGTGGTGGAGGTGGAGGTGGTGGTGCAGGTGGTGGTGGTGGAGGTGGTGGTGGTGGTGGTGGTGGTGGTGGTGGTGGTGGTGGAGGTGGTGGTGGAGGTGGAGGTGGTGGTGGTGGAGGTGGTGGTGGAGGTGGAGGTGGTGGTGGTGGAGGTGGAGGTGGTGGTGGTGGAGGTGGAGGTGGTGGAGGTGGAGGTGGTGGTGGTGGTGGTGGTGGTGGAGGTGGTGGTGGTGGAGGAGGTGGTGGTGGAGGTGGAGGTGGTGGTGGAGGTGGAGGTGGAGGTGGAGGTGGAGGTGGTGCTGCTGGTGCTGGTGGTGGAGGTGGAGGCCCCCATCACTCCCATAGGGGAACAGAGAGGCGGGGCCAAGCAGGGCCCGAGGATGCCCACCCCAAGCAGCCCAGGACTCTGGCCCACACTGCCTTCCACGCAGGAGTCTGAGGGTCCCACCTGGGGCCCCATTTACCAGTGGGGTCCAGGACCGGCTGTGCCCGCTGCCTTCGGGGAATGCTGTGCTCAGGCCGATAGCCACAGCCTCGTCCTGTCAGCTGGATACAGACCTCCTCAAACTGCTGCTTATGGTGGGGCCGCACAAACTGGTAGAAGCCTGTAGAGGAAGGGGCGTCTGTCCCCATCTGCCCCTTTTTCTCTAGAGAACAGAGACCACCTTGGACCCAGATGGCCCCCACCCCACACGCGGCGGCAGCACTGCCCTCAGGGTGGGTGGCCTCTGCAAGCCAGGGCACCTTGGAGCAGGTTGTGCTTCTTGGGGTCCTCAGCAAAGAGGGGGCCGAGACAGGCGGCCAGGGCGGCGAAGTCATCGGAACCCTTGTAGTCCTGCAGGGCCTGGGTGAAGGTGGCAAAGTTGGCTTGGCTCAACTCCTGCTTCACGGCCACCATGAAGAGCTTGGCCCTGTCCGTCTGTGCACCAGCCACGGGCTCCTCCTGCAGGACACAGGCCCGAGGCTCCATCAGGGCCAGCCTCATCATCTGGTCCCTGGGGCTGCAGAGCCTTCCTTGGAACATTGAGCGTTCCCTGGGACAGTGACTGCCGAGGTGGGGCTGCTGCCTGAGAAACTGGCTGGCTGGATGGACATAGGGAGGGGCTGCGGGAAGAAAGCTGTGGGGCTGGGCCCGTCTGAGGTCACACAGTGAGAGGCTGGCAGGGAACTGAGAGCAGTGAATGGGCAAAGGGTAGATTGGCTCTGCCTCAAGCCAGGGGTCCTGCATGGCCCGTCTCTCTCCTCCTCCCTCAAGCCCCCTGCCCCACAGCGGATGCGGCTGAGGCTCCCAGGATGGCAGCGCACAAGGAGGGGCTTCCGGATGAGCAGTGCCCATCTCTCTACACACCCCAGACCAACACGGAAACGTGGAAACCAAGGCAGGGGCGGCCCAGGCACTCCCCACCCAGGCCCTCGCCAGCCCAGGCCCCTCAGCAGCCACCCACTTCCTGATGGCACCAGCCCTGCCTGGGCACCACCCAGTTCTTCCCAGAAGCCAAGGGACATGGACAAAGGCCGCCACACTTGGGGTTTTCCAGCAGGCAGGGGGCTTCCTGGCTCCGGCTATAACTCCGTTCTTTGATCCAAGGCTAGGAATGGGCTGTGTCCCTCACATGAGGCAGGTGTGCATCCACACTTGAGGGAAATGCCAGGGCCAAGCCCAGTGCTGCAGGCCCCATGCCAAACCTGCCCAAGGGTGGGGCCTGATTCCAGCTGGGACTCATGAGCCCCCTGCAGAAGAAACCACACACTTGAGCCCCTGGCCGTCAGCATCACAGCTGCCCTGGACATCAGCTCCTGGGGGTGGATTCCCTGGTCCCATCGGGACCAGCCGTGGCTGGGGGCACCCACGGCTGCGTTCCCATGCGTGTCTATGGTGGTCGGCACAGGTGCAGGGACAGCTCACGCACCGGGTGGCTGACCAGCCGGATCTTCTTCCTCCCTCCTCGCGGTTCTTCTGCCGGCCTCTTCTCAGACAGGAGGGACAGGGTGGAGCAGCTGTGGGCCTGAGGAGGACACAGCTCACAACCACACACAGACCCCAACCACACACTCTGGGGTCCCAAAGCACCTGGACGCACAGGGAAGATGGTCCCAAGGAGCCCTGAGCCAAGATGGAGGTCGGGGGAGGGGGGCACAGCACACCCCGGTGACAGTGCCACAACTTGGTCCTGTCCAAGTCACACCAGCGGCTCATGAGGCTCGCAGGTGGTGACTTGTAAGAGCAGGTCCAGGGAAGACAGTCCGACCACAGCGAGGGGCTGGCAGGAAGGGGACACAGGTGCCTGGTGCCTGCACCTGGAGCTCACTCCAGGGGCCTGAAGGGCAGGGATGGGCAGGAAGAGGGGAATGGCTCCCAGCAGGAAGCAGGGAGAAAATTTCGGGTTGGCCTGAGGAATTATGGGCTTCTGGGGCAAAAGGCCCCAAGGAAGAAGGAACCTGGGTTCCACCCGCAGCACATTCCTGGAGAAAGGCCAGCCTCAAGCGCAGCCAGTGGCAGGGGCACCCGACCTTGAGTGCACTGAGCCAAGCTGACCCGCCAGAGAACCAAAGTGATGTGGGGGGCACCCGCGGAGGGCCAGGGCATGCACCACCTGGGAGCCAGCAGCCTGTGGGTGAGGTGGGGTGGAGGACCCACAGACAGCCAGGCAGCTGGGATCCCCCGCCCGCTTGCCCGCCTGCCTGCCAGGCAGGGGATTTACAGGGGTGTGTGGGGAGGTGCCTGAGGCCAGATGGGCGGGGTCGGGTTGGCCTCAGGAGACAGAGGGTCTGTGTCCATCCCAAGGCCCTGGAACTGTACCTGCTCCTCGCCAGGGCTCCCCGCCCGCTGTTCGCTGTGCTCCAGGGCGGCCAGCAGCCCCCTGGGCCTCTGCCGGGCAGGAACTGGCTCCTGCTCATACTCCACACACAGGCTACTCTCGGGGTCCCCGGCAGCTGGTGACCCTGCAGGGGCACCCGAGTGCGCAGTGAAGCCCACGGGGGGCCCCAGCTGGGGTCCCTGCCTGTGGCAAAGCCCCTCTTGGGGGAGAGTCCCAGCACTTGGGGTCCTGCCTGTGGGTGTCCTCCCTGCTATTGGGGGGAGTCTCAGCCTCGGGGGGCATCCTTGCCTGGGGCGTTCTCTGCCTGTAGGGGAGGGTTGCAGCCCGTGGGGGCCCTGCCCTAGGAGGGAGAGGCAGCCTTTGGAGGTGGGAGGGGAAGCGCACAAAGCCAGGTGAGTCGCCTCCGCCCTGGGCGCCTGGTGCTGCCCGCCCCACGCCGCCCGCTCCGCCACCCCCACACCGCCCACCCAGCGCTGCCCGTCCGCACCTGAGGACCTCTGCTTCAGGCTGGGGACATGCAGGTCCAGACTCTTAGCTTTCCTGGTGGAGAAGAAGGGGCCAGGCGACTTGGCCTCGCTGACAGCATCTTCTCCACGCACACTGGGTGCTGTAGCCCGGGGGGCCGGCGCTGGCATCTGCAGAACCATGGGGGTGGGTGGACCCATTTCTGGCTCCTCTGGGGACAACACCCTCATCCCCTCCCTGGGCAGGAACTCACAGTTCGCTCGGCAACACGGAAGAACTGGGCCACGTCTCGGATGACATGGCCAAAGTTGTCATACACCCTGACGTGGGGACGCACCCAGGAGGGCAGTTGGGCTCTTGCGTCGGCAAAGGCGAACCTGGGGGGTGGCCATAGCCCTGCTGCCCTGCCCACAGCCGCTTCAAGGGTTCAGTTCACCGAAGTGAAGACCCTCATCTGCTGCAGGGGCCCCACGCTGACCCCGAGTAGCCGGAGAGGCTCTGGAGGAGACGGGGCCTCATGTGGGGAAGGAGAGTCCAGGGGCCCAGTGGGGTGTGGGCGTGTCCCCTGGCGCCGCGCCTGCCACCGGACTGCACGCACCTGTGGTCACAGAGGAAGACAGCTCCGTAGTCCTGGCGGTGCCGGATCACTCGCCCGATGGCCTGGTTCACAGCCCTGGACGCCTGCTGCCGGTACCACTCCTGCCCAGAGAGGAACTGTGGGGCGAGGCGGCTCGGTCACGGGGGCTCCCTTGGCCACGGGGCGGGGGCTCAGTCACCAGACCGCCTTACCCCAGCCCCACCCTGCTGTAACTCACCTGGCCCCCAGCCCCACCCTGGCCCTTCATCTCATCCAGGAACTGCATCTTGAGGACAACCCGGGGGTCCATGCGTGGGGGGTACGGGAGGCCCGTGACAATCACACCACGGCCATTCGTGTCTGAGAAGTCCAGCCCCTCGCTGGCCTAGGGGACACACCAGGGAGCTGCCTGGGGCCGTGGGGGCTCCTCTCCCTGGTGCCCACACCCAGCCCAGCCACCTTCCCCGAGGCTCCGTCCCCAACCAGGGGTGGGAGGAAGCTCCATCTGTGGGTCAGGACCCCACTTGGGGTCCACAGCTCCCAGACGCCACCTCCAACTCTTGTGGCCAGGAAACTCCCATCCTGCCTGCCCAGGCCCAGAGCAGGACACGCTCCCAGCAGGGCCAGCAGTCGCTCTCGTGGGACCCAAGGAGGGGACCGGGCAGCCCCCAGGGCCCAGAGTCTGCTGGGGAGCCATAAGCACCCACCAGGGAACAGGCAACCAGGTCAGGGCAGAGGGCCCTGGAGAGCTCACCTTGCCCCGGCAGACCGCCAGGAAGGTGGCGCCGGTGGACCCAGGGGCGGCAACCCTTGCATAGTAAGCACTGATGGTCTGGAAGGAAAGTTGGTGAGGCTGAGCCTGGAGCCCCCCCCCAGCCCCTTCCTCCCCCATGAGGGAGACCCAGGTCTCATGCTCCAAGATGAAGGATCGTCCTAGCCAGGAAGGCCAATCGGGTTCTGGAAGCTTCTTCCTGGCACGGATCCCAGGCTGACCCCACGCCTGCTCAGTGCTTCCCAGAAAACACGGGGAACCCCAGGGCCAGGGTGGCCGACTAGGGCTACTCAGACAGGAGGGCCACTGTTACCACACCCACCCGGTGCTGGGGGCTTTGTAAGATAAGAGGCAACACTCAGGGCCAGGAAGGAAACGCAGGAGCCCTGAAGAGGCAGCGGGAGCCGCCGGAGCCCATGGTCAGGGCCAGTGGTCAGCCTTGGGGAAGCTGTGAGAGGCAGGGGAGGCACGAGGGGGCAGCAGGCCCAGAGCCCCGGCCAAGTGCCGACCTCGGAGAAGCTGCCTTTGCTCCTGGGCTCCACAAACAGCGGCTTCAGCGCCTCCATCTTCCTGGCCAAGTCGCGGGCCTGTGGGAGGAAGAGGCAGGGACACGGCAGCCCTGGTCACGCCGCCGATCCGATGAGGGCAAGCAGGAGCTGTGACCACTGCCTGCTTCATGCTCCAGCCCTGCCCTCACCCACCCCGCCCAGAACACAGGGGAGACGCACCCGCCAGAACTCCAGGCTCTTCTCCATGACAGGATAGGAAGGGAAGAAGATCAGGAGCCCATAGGGCACCACGCGGGCGATGTTGCCTGGAAGTGCAGGGGCCGGGGTCAAGGCAGGGGCAGGATGTCTGCAGGGTTCCCTACCAGCTCTTGGGAGCAGGGGTCCAGGATCCAGGATGGGCACAGCTGGGGCATTCAGGGCACTCACCCAGAGCCTTCCCCAGGGAGGATAAGCACTCCTCGGAAAACCTAGAGCCGGAGAGGCCACTGCTCAGGACCTCAGGCCTCAGTGCTCCCCCACCTCCCACCCCAGCAGGGCCCAGGGACAGGCCCTCACCGTCTGTCAAACGCGGAGCTCAACTGGGCTCCATCGGGGCCTCTGGGGACGACCCCCACCCAGATCTGGTGCTTGTCGATGATGTGTGGGTTCTCCAGGCAGACTGGGAAAGGGCTGAGCGTGGCCAGAGGGAGCAGACAGTGGGGAAGTGCACCAGCACCCCTTTAGCCCTCGAGGCCCGAGACCCCCAGCACCCGGCTCATGGGGACCCCCACCACTTCCACCCCGCTGATGTCAGAGGTGTCACCGGTGCTCAGGCCCTGGCAGGGGTGGCCCGTACATCTGCATCTCCAGAGCAAAGGAGGACACCGGGGCCAGCGTGCCGCTGGTAAGGATGAGGGAGCGGACGCCCTGGCGGACCAGCTCGTGCATGCTGTGGCCGGGACTGAAGCACCAGTAGCTCAGCACCTTCCCTGTGGGGCGGGGGGCGGCAGAGGGCACAGAGTGTGAGGACGGGACTGGGGGCCTGACCACCTGCCTCTCTGCCCATCACCCTCTCCACCCACTGGCATCAAGCAAGCGAGCCGCGGGCAGCCACCCAGGCCCACTGTGCAGAAGTCAGAACAAAGGAGGCTGCCCTGAGTGTGAGCCTGCCAGCTTGGGGCCCCTCTGGGGGACAGGGGGTCCTGGGAGTAGGAGGCAGACCCCAGGCAGAGGCTGGGGACACCTGCAGAGAGGTCAGCCCACTCCAACCCTAAACTTCTGCAGAAACTGTGACATGCGGCTCAGGGCAAGAAGCCCACCCCGCCAAGAGCACACGGGAAGGAAGCGCCGGCATCCCGACATTCCACGGCCGCGTGCAGAAGACGGGGTGCGAGTTCCCAGCTCTGCCTGGAAGCAGGACACGTGCACAAGCCTCTGAGTGGCGTCAGCAGTGAACAAGGGCGCCAGCTCAAAGGAAGTTCCTAGAAGGGCTTGACCGACTGGCCACGGCGGCCGTGGCCTGGGGAGGAGGCTGAGTCTGGATGCCGGATGCCGGGAATTCAACACGGCACAAGCAGAACGACTCTGACTGCGATTCGGAGTCAGCAGGGACGAGGCACGTTTCCTTCCTGGGGCTGAGTGTGCCCTGCAATGGGGGAACTTCCCCACCCCCTCCTCCAGGAGCTCATTTCCTACAAACGCCCAGTGCAGGGAGTGGCTGCTTCTGAGAAGTCAAGTGACATCAGAGGTCAATGGAACAAACAGATTCCAGGCCCTTGGAATCTGTGCACCGGCTGCCTCAGGCACGCACTGCCTCCCGCAACCCCAACTGCGTGAGGGGCGCCGGCCTCCCCCCGGGATGGACGCTTCCTGCTGGGAGAGGCCTTGCTGCAGGACCATCACCGAGCGGGGGTCAAGCCACGCCACCCTGACGCCCTCCCAGCCCTTCCCTTCCGGCTCGGCCAGGCAGACCCAACCACAGCAACCGCACAAGGGCTGCTTCAGCCAGGGCCACGTCATGCCACCATGGGTCGGACAGCAGCTGAGAAAGAATGTTCCAGAGAGGGACGAACCAAGCCCAGAGGCAAGGCCCCACTGGAGCACAAGGCAGGGGCAGCAGCTCCCGCAGCTGCAGCCGTGAAGCCCCACCCTGGACACCACGCAGTGGGGGTGGGGCCAGATACACCCCAAGAACCACAGGGCTCCGGACACGGAGCCGAGGGCACACTCACAGACCCCATCCACACAGCGTCCCCGGCAGCACCGACTCGAAGACGCCACGGAGCACAGGAAGCCAAGAAGGCACGTGGGGCCTCGGGGCTGAGCGCACCAGGGGCTTCGGACAACAGGGCCAGCCGGGCCCCCTTCAGATGTGACCCTGAGGCTTGGCCCGGCCAGGCGCTGCGTGGAGGCAGCAGGCAGAGCCGTGCCTCACTGTGGAGGCTCTGTGCTGACGGCCTCGGCATAAACGAGCGTGTCCCAGCAGGGAGGCCTGGCTGGGCTGTGGCTCTGCCACCACCAACCAGGTGACTCTGGGCAGGTCACGGTGCCATCAGGCCATCTCCTACGTCTCTCAGTAACTCCAATCTTCAGAGGGACAGTGAGGAGAATGCTCTGGATTGGCCTGGATATGGAGAAGGTGGCCAGGCCCATGGGGGCAGGAGATCCACGGCTGGGCATGTGCCTAGCCTGTGGCATGGTGGTGCCGGGCACTGCACCCGGGCGGGCGGGGAGCGTGTGGGCCCAGGTCTGTACCTCGCTTTCTGGCTGCAGTGGTGCTCCAGGCATCAGACCGCTGAGCCGTCCTCCGGTGACCAGCATCAGGATGGATGTGCACCTGGAGGGGACAGGACCAGGAGTGTGGAGGCCCCGCCCATGTCCTGGGGGCAGCCCCTTACCTTTTAGGACCAGAAGACCCCCAGCCCCACCTGCCTCCTGGAGGTGGCCCCCACCTTATAGGACTGTAAGGCCCCCAGCCCTGCCGGGGAACAAGGGCTGCCCTCCACCTGCCTCCTGGAGGTGGCCCCTACCTTATAGGACTGTAAGGCCCCCAGCCCTGCTGGGGAACCAGGGCTGCCCTCGGAGGGGTCCACACTGAACACAATCTGAAAGGCAGAGGAAGTGCAGCCCCGTCAGGAGCCTGAGGCCACCCGACTTTCTGCAGCATCAGCCGCATACACAGAAGGTCACAGGACACCCAGGGGTCATCGGTTCACCGGCCCCTGCCATCATGCAGCCCCAGGCCAATGGACAGGAGCTGGCACCTGCCTGACCCTTTCTCCTCCCTGCAGGGACCCCCGGTGAGCTCTGTGTTCCCCCAACATAGGCCATCTCCATGCACTGAAAATGCGGCAGCCCGAGGGGCCTCTCCTCCCGCCAACTGGCCCAGCCCTCCTCTCTGTGCCCCTGAGGGCCCCAAATTAATCTAGAAATTCAACATGGCCTAGTGCAGTGGCTCAGGCCTGTAATCCCAGCACTCCGGGAGGCTGAGAGGAGCAAACTGCCCGAACCCAGGAGTTCGAGACCAGCCTGGGCAACATGGTGCAACCCCAGGGTGTTCACCAAAAAAAAAAAAAAAAAAACCTAGCCGGGCATGGTGGCATGTGCCTGTGGTCCCAGCTACTTGGGAGGTTGAGCTGAGAGGATCCCCTGAGCCCAGGAGGTTGAGGCTGCAGTGAGCTGTGATGGTCCCACTGCACTCCAGCCTGGGCAACAGAGAGACCCTGACTCAAAAAAAAAACAGGAATTCAACACATTCTAGTCAAAATCACAGTAAGATTTTTACAGGAAGTAGACACGCTGACTCCAAGATGCACTATGGAAAAAACGTCAGGGCAGGTTTCAAAAGAACAAGAGGCCGGGCGTGGTGGCTCACACCCGTAATCCCAGCACTCTGGGAGGCCAAGGTGAGAGGATCACCTGAGGTCAGGAGTTCGAGACCAGCCTGGCCAACATGGCAAAACCCCATTTCTACTAAAAATATCAGGCTGGGCACGGTGGCTCATGCCTGTAATCCCAGCACTTTGGGAGGCGGATCACGAGGTCAGGAGATCGAGACCATCCTGGCTAACACGGTGAAACCTCGTCTCTACTAAAAATACAAAAAATTAGCCAGGCGTGGTGGCAGGTGCCTATAATCCCAGGTATTTGGGAGGCTGAGGCAGGAGAATGGCGTGAACCCGGGAGGCGGAGCTTGCAGTGAGCCGAGATCGCGCCACTGCACTCCAGCCTGGGCAACAAGAGCAAAACTCTGTCTCAAAAACAAACAAAAAGAAATTGGTTCAGGCCAACACCAGGACTTACGACAAAACCACAGTGAACAAAAACATGAGGAAAAGTGTGGCAGGTGCCCAGTGGAGTTGGGGGAAGCCGAGCCGCTCGGTCAGCGCACAGAACCACCGGTGTGGCGTGCTGGGAAAAATCAAGGTAGAGTCTGCCTTTCACACCCCCACAGGTGACGTCAGAAGGCATGGAGGCCCAGACACAAAGCTCCGTCACTCTACAGTGCAGTTTGGAGAATACACAAGACCCGGTTTAGCATCTTGGTCGGGAGGCACAAGCTCAGAACAAAAATCTGACAAGGAAACATGTGTTCACCAAACCTGTCATGAAAATGGAAAAAATGACCAGCATGAGACAAGGAAAGAATATGTATGTCGGCATGGGATCCTCAGAACTTAGAGAGAGAATATGTATATGGGATCCTCAGAACTTAGAGAGAGAATATGTATATGGGATCCTCAGAACTTACAGAGAGTATATGTATATGGGATCCTCAGAACTTACAGAGAACCCTGCAAATCAATGGGAAAGGAATGATGCCTGCACTAGGAGAGGAGCGCGTGACGACCGTTCCTGGAAAACGAGCCAAAAACGGCCAGAACAGGAACGCAAAGCCCCCAACAGGCTCAGCAATGTGGCCATGTCAGCCAAGCCACCGCCGTCAGAGCCCCGCCGCAGACTTGAGGGAGTTCTGCTGGGAACACCAAGAAGCCGGAATCATTCACAGAAATGCGGAGAAGCCGAACTAGAGAACACCGGGGGGCAGACACCACGGCTGGAACACAGAGACTTGGCAACATGCGTGGATTTGTGCAGGCGTGCGTGCGTGTGTGCGTACTCTGCATGCATGTGCACGTGCCTGGGTACGCACAGAAGGAGAGAGAAATTTCCTTCCGTTCCTTCCTTCCTTCCCAGCCATTTTCACTGTCAAGACAGCTAAACACAGGGCCTTGTGTTTTACCAAAGCATTTGGCCCACGGGGATGGAAGTAACAGAACAAGTTCACCCCCACGCTGGTGGCTGCCATGAGCAGGGCTGAGTCTGCCTCAGGAAACAGCTTCCTTCGAAAAGCCTTCTGCTGGGCAGGCATGGAAGCTCTTGCCTGTAATCCCAGCACTTTGGGAGGCCAAGGCGGGCAGACTGCCTGAGCCCAGGAGTTTGAGACCAGCCTGGGAAACATGGCAAGACCTCATCTCTACAAAAAAATTTTAAAAATTAGCTGAGTGCGGTGGTGCACACCTGTGTTCACAGCTCCTCGGGTGGCTGAGGCAAGAGGATCACTTGGGCCCAGGAGGTTGAGGCTGCAGTGAGCTGTGATCAAGCCCCTGCACTCCAGCCGGGGTGACAAAGCGAGACCCTTTCTCAAAAAAACACCACCACAAATCCCCCTGTGCCTCAGCCCAGGGCAGCTCCGGCCTCAGGCAGAGAGGGATGAGGACCCAGCAGTCTCACGGGGGCCCAGGGGCAACTGGTTCCCCAACACGGGCCAGCACTGCCCAGAGTTTGCCTCCAGCTAAGCCCTGACTTCCGAGCACACGGCCTGACCCTGCCTGGAGTTCGCCTCCAGCTGAGCTGTGCATCCCACATCCTCTTCCTGGGGCCACTGGCCCCACTCTGCCCCCAGGGTCACCTGTGACTCAGGGCTGCAGGCCCAACCCAGCACCAGCCCTATGGGCACCGCCCACACCTGCAGGGGCTCAGGAGCCAACGCGGGTGAGCACTGTGTGCAGTCCCTCATCCTCCAGGCACCCGAGGGCTGGCAGAAGCTGAGTCATCCACCAGCGGCTACTTAGAGCAGCAGCCAAAGGAAATTCCAAACCGATGGAGTGTGCAGGATTCGGTTCCAGAGTGTGGAGTCTTCTCCTTAAGTGGGGGCCTGGGAGGCCACGTTCCAGGATCCGGTTCCAGAGTGTGGAGACTTCTCCTTAAGTGGGAGGCTGGGAGGCCGCGTTCCAGGATCCGGTTCCAGAGTGTGGAGTCTTCTCCATAGCTGGGGGCCTGGGAGGCCGCGTTCCAGGATTCGGTTCCAGAGTGTGGAGTCTTCTCCATAGCTGGGGGCCTGGGAGGCCGCGTTCCAGGATTCGGTTCCAGAGTGTGGAGTCTTCTCCATAGCTGGAAGCCTTGGAAGCCGCATTCCAGGATTCAGTTCGAGTGTAGGAACCTCAGAAGCCACATTCTAGGATTCAGTTCCATAGTGTGGAGGAGACTTCTCCATAAGTGGGAGCCTGGGAAGCTGTATTCCAGGGAGGGACAGGCCCGGGCCAGCTCACACCTGCCCTCCAGGCCCTGGGCTGCAGGGCTACCTCGCCTGGCCATGTGCTGGAGGTGCTTTGCAGTGACCCATCAGGGACATGGAAGCAGGTCCGCCTGATAGGTGCACGGCCTCCTGCTTGAAGAGCCAACCACACTCCATGCGGGACAGCACAGCAGCCCTTGGCAGGCAGGAGCCACAGACAGAGGGGTCTGGGCCTGGGATGCCCACCGTGCCTTTGGGGAGGAGTTGGGAGGACAAGGCAGTGCTGTCCTTCCAGCCCCAGCTACCGCACAGAGAAGACACAGGCTGTGGCGTCACTGGCCACAGAGACGGCCACAGTGGAGGGAGGGCTGAGCCTGGGCCCCACCACCCTGTGCCCACCCCACCTGGTCCCTGCCCAGGTCTCGCCCCCGCTCAGAGCTGCGTCTGTGAAGGAGAAGGCAGTGCCTGCTTGTTCCGGGATCTGCAGCTCCATGCCCAGCAGCATGCACAGGCCAGCCATGCATCCCAGGGTTCTTCTGCGGCCTCCCCCAGCTCAAGCACCCCACAGGCCAGATGGACACTCATGAAGCTGTCATAGCGCTGGGCAGCCCTGCCTAACCCTGCCATGATCTCGTGTGGCCAGCAGGTACAGCGTGGGCAGCACAGAGGAGGCCTCACAGGGCTCCACACAGCCACCTGTGCCTTGGCTTCCCCAGTCAGGGACTTCTGAGTCTGCTTCTAAAAAAGCCACCGAGGCCCCGGAGAGGCAACGTGCCCAGAGCACCCAAAATGGGGCGTGCCCTCCACAAACCGGACAAGCACCTCTACGCCAGGGAAAGCAGGTGCTGCCATAGGCATGGAGCCAGAAGCAGACCTCACATGGGACGGGCATTGCAGGACAGGACGGGGCCAATGAGAAGGGGGCCAGGGTCGCACCCCCAATCATGGGCTCCCAGGGACACCCCTGCCGGGAACCTGCAGGGTCCCCATTTGTCTGTCCCTGGAGAAGCTGTTCAGGAAGCCGCGTGTGTCCAGAGCTCTTCATCTGCGTGCAGCTGGGGCTGCTGGGGCTGCCAGCAGTGGGTCCCCCCTGGCCTGAGGGCCCGGACAGGGCAGGAGCGGCTCCCCGGCCCCCACTGTCCTTTGCGTCCTCCCTCACCAGCATCACCCTGGGCATGTGCCACCAGACCTCGTCCTCCCCCATCCCTGCAGGAGGCCCAGTGTGGGTTTAGGGCACTGGAAAGGAGCCGAGAGTTTGCCAATCAGAAACAGGTGGTGTAGGGGCCTTTCTCCCATCCCCAAGTCTAGAATCAGTTAACTAATACAGCAGGAGAAGGCACCCGCCCGGCTTCCATCAGGGAAGGAGATGCCACAGAGGAGCAGGCCCCACCTGGATAATGTCCGCCAGCTTCTGCAGTCCGGCCGTGTTGGTGAACACTCCAGCACCTGGAGGGCAGCAGGGCGCTGACACCCACACTGCAGGCAGGGGAGGCCCCGACCCCAGCCCCGGCCCTTCCAGCATGAGCCCGCTCAGCCCGACTGCCAAGCTCCATCTCCTGCCCAATGGGGGGCCCAGGGTGGAGCGCAGCATCCATTCAGGGCGGGCAGTTCGCCTGCTCTTCCCAGCAGCCAGGAGAGAAGCCAGGCAGGGACAGAGTCTCCAAGGGGGTCAGTGGGACTTGAAAAGAGGCTCTATGGTCGCCTAAGGGTTGAAGCAGCAAAAGCCACCCTCCCCAGCACCCGGGAGCGCAGCAGAGGAGAGACCCCGCTGGGCCCGGCGTCTCAAACCAGAGCAGCCCATGGGGACACCGCCTCTGGGCAAAGCCTCTGGACCCCACAACTCTGAGAAGCAGAACTCGGGGTGGTGTGGAGAAGCCAGAGGCCCCACAAGCCAGCTAGGGCCTTGGGCTGCTCTTTCTCAAAAGCAGAATAATGGGATGAGGCTGTAGGACGAAGCCGCCAGCTGCAGAACTGGGACAGGCTCTACGGCAGCTGGCAAGTGGCACTAACGCCTCCACGCCCCGATCAGAAGATGAGGTTCTGTGGGCCTGTTCCTGCTGACGGCCAGGTGACGGCCAGGGGAGCCCTGACTGCCAAGATGGAGGCCTGCTGCACCCCCTACGCCACATTTGCCCGCACCAAAGACCCCGTGCCAGCACTCACGTCCTGCCAGGTGCTGGATGATCTGGTCCAGCGAGTCCAGGATGCAGCCCTTGGTCTGAAACGTGATCTGGGCTTCAGCAAACAGCTCAAAGATGTAGCTGCCGAGGAGAAGAAGGCAGGCTCGAGCCTGGCGGGGGGACCAGACTGCAGCTTTGGGAACTGAGGAGAAGAAGGCAGGCTCGGGCCTGAGGGGGGACGACACTGGTCAAAGATGTAGCTGCCGAGAAGAAAACAGGCTCGAGCCTGGAGGGGGAAATCAGGCTGCAGCTTTGGAACTGAAGGCAACAACTGTGGAAGTTTCCTTCCCTCGGAAACAAATTCAGCCCTCCAGGGGACGCCAGCATTGGAGGTGAGAGGCCTCCGCCCTCAGGAGCCTCCAGGTGGGGAGAGGAGGCCTGGCCAGCACGAGAACAGCACCGAGGAAAAGAAGCCGCCTCAGAGCAGGGGCCGCCGTCAGAGGGGAGGGATGGGGTCACTAGGGGGTCGTCAAGAGGTTGTCAGGGGCTTCTGGGAGGCGGTGGCTCTGGGCAGAGTCCCCAAAGCTTTGGAGAGTGACAGTGATGGGGCAGCAGAAGCTACAGGAGGGGACCCTGAGGGTGCAGGGTGGCCGAGGAGCCAGGCCAGAGCCTTGAGCATTACGCTGAGGACAGTGGCTCCACCTGGAAGCAACTGGGATTCCCCCGACCAGGTCGGCGCTCAGGCAGAACACGCTCCACCTCGGCGGCTGTGCGCTCAGGAGAGCCCCCACACAGGCCCCAGCCCTGACTCCTCATCTGCCTGCAGGACAGACAGCAAACCCTGCTGCCCTGGCTGCGGAGAAGACTGGAGCCCCACGGAGCGTTCAGAACGTTCCAGGCCTCCCGGAGTCCAAAAGAGGTGGTGGCTGGGACACTCATCGTCCTAACAAGAAGGTCTCGTTCTAACAGGCACCTGTGCTCAAATGACGGACTGGACCAGGGTCCAGGGAAAGGCCTGGAGGAGGAGAAACTGCAGGAAACCCAGCGGCCCCGCGTGGGAGAGTGTGCTGTTCCGTGGGTGTGTGTGTGCTGTCTGTGGGAGTGTGTGTGCTGTTCCGTGGGAGAGTCTGCTGTTCCGTGGGAGTGTGTGCCGTTCCGTGGGTGTGTGTGCTGTTCCGTGGGAGTGTGTGTGCTGTTCCGTGGGAGAGTGTGCTGTTCCGTGGGAGAGTGTGCCGTTCCGTGGGAGTGTGTGCCGTTCCGTGGGTGTGTGTGCTGTTCCGTGGGAGTGTGTGTGCTGTTCCGTGGGTGTGTGTGCCGTTCCGTGGGTGTGTGTGCTGTTCCGTGGGAGTGTGTGTGCTGTTCGTGGGAGTGTGTGTGCTGTTCGTGGGAGTGTGTGTGCTGTTCCATGGGTGTGTGTGCCGTTCCGTGGGGGGCTGTGTGCTGTCCCGTGGGAGTGTGTGCTGCTCCTCTCAACATCTCAGCAACCAGATCATGCAAAGCAGGTGCTCCTCCCAGGTCTCAAAAAGGGAAAACAGGCCTGAAAACAGGCCTCACTCGTGATGTGACAGCCCAGGACTGCACCATGGCCCGTTTCTAGCTCTAGGCTGGGCCTGCAGTGAAGGGGCTGGCTCCCCGCCTCTCACCTCCCTGGCTTGGTGACACCGCTGTCGTCTCCAGGCAGCTCAACAGCATCGATGGCCCCCTCCAGGCGCAGCAGGATCACTGTGGGTCGAGGAGGTGTCACCCACCTCCTCGCAAGGAGGAGGCCCCACCCAGCTGCAAGGAGGCGGGGAGGGCAACACTTACTCTTCAGCTTTGCAATGTCTTCCAGCTCCATGTTCAGCCCTGGGCAAGAGAAAGGCAGCAAAGGCAGTCTGCATCACGCTCGTGCCAACAACCCCGCCCTTGAGAACCAGGATTCCTGGCATGGAAAAAAGGACACCAACATGGAAAGGAAGAGGCCACACAGAATCCATGCAGGCCAAATCCACCAACATGGGAAGGAAGAGGCCACACAGAATCCGTGCAGGCCAAATCCACCAACAGGGGAAGGAAGAGGCCACACAGAATCCGTGCAGGCCAAATCCACCAACAGGGGAAGGAAGAGGCCACACAGAATCCGTGCAGGCCAAATCCACCAACAGGGGAAGGAAGAGGCCACACAGAATCCGTGCAGGCCAAATCCACCAACAGGGGAAGGAAGAGGCCACACAGAATCCGTGCAGGCCAAATCCACCAACAGGGGAAGGAAGAGGCCACACAGAATCCGTGCAGGCCAAATCCACCAACAGGCGAAGGAAGAGGCTACACAGGCCAAATCCAAACTGGAGACACCAAGAGGAGCAGGTGTTTTATCTTTATTTATCTATTCATTTTTGAGACAGGGTGTCACTCTGTCACCCAGGCAGGGGTGCAGCAGCGCCATCTCTGCTCACTGCAACCTCCATGTCCCAGGTTCAAGCAATTCTCGTGTCTGTCTCCCGACTAGCTGGGACTATAGGTGTGCGCCACCATGCCCGGCTAATTTTCGCATTTTTAGTAGAGATGGGGTTTCACCCTGTTGCTCAGGCTGGTCTTAAACTCCTGACCTCAGGTGATCCACCAGTCTTGGTCTCCCAAAGTGCTGGGATTACCGCTGAGCCCTTATGCCTGGCCGGGTGTTTGACCTTTAGAATTAACATTTGTGAACACACCTGTGCGTATGGCTGTATCTCCACGAAAACACCCAGTAACAACGACCAACCCAGTAACCATGACCAACCCGCTGCCGCATGGCGGGTCTTGAAATACCGTCTTGCAGGAAAAGAAAGCAGGGCTTCTTGGAGACTTGGCTGATTCCAGGTCTGGAGCAGGACATGAGTGTGAAAAATCCTGACTCCCAGACAGCAAAGAGGCCACAACCGCCGGGGTCAGGACACAAGAGCCCACATGAAAACACCTCAAGGTGCAGCAACTGAGGTCAGGAGTGAGATTCAGGAGGGAGCATGGGGCAGGACCAATCCCCACGTTCACACACAAACATTCAGTGATGACACTTGATTGACTGATTGATTTTTGAGACGGAGTCTCGCTCTGTCGCCAGGCTGGAGTGCAATGGTGCGATCTCGGCTCACTGCAACCTCCGCCTCCTGGGTTCAAGTGATTCTCCTGCCTCAGCCTCCCAAGTAGCTGGGATTACAAGCATGCACCACCACACCTGGCTAATTTTTTTGTATTTTTAGTAGAGACGGGGTTTCACCGTGTTGGCCAGGATGGTCTCAATCTCTGACCTCGTGATCCGCCTGCCTGGGCCTCCCAAAGTGCTGGGATGACAGGTGTGAGACAGCACACCCGGCCCACCCCCAGCATTTGTCCCACCTTTCCTGTGTGAATGGGATCACCACATAGCTGATATGGTGCAGGGCGTGGTCCTAAGTTATTCCTGCTAACTGACTAGATGATGGAATTAGCACACTGCCATCTTGCAAGCCCCCAGTGATTAACATATTCAGGTGTTCAGCAGCAACAATGTTCACATGGGAAGAAACGGGAAAGGAGATACTGTGAGCCTTCTGATAGAAAGGACGTCCCATCTGGAGCCCGGCAAACGGTGGCCGCAGTCTAACTGGGGCCCTCAAGCCACCTAAGTTCAGAGTAAACCGGGGAACTCGTGTGGCTGCCCCTCCTGTACAGATTCCGACTCTGCAGGGTAAACGGCCTGGGCTCTTCAATAAATAAAGTGTGAGGAAAAGAATGGACCCTGCCAAGCACAGTGGCACACGCCTGTAGTCCCAGGAGCTTGGGAGGCCGAGGCAGGAGGATCACTTGAGCCCAAGAGGTGGAGGCTGCAGGAGGTGGAGGCTGCAGTGAGCCGTGATGGCACCACCGCTCTCCAGCCTGGGTGACAGAGTGAGACCCCATCTCCAAAGGGGTGGGGGAACAGATAGGGATGAAAACTGAAGTTCTGGTCCTGAATGAGATGGCAGAAGCCCACCCCACCACACGTCCCCCACTAGTTACAACAAAAAGCCCTGCACATCAAGTAACTAACAAAACTGAAGAGTGGAGAAGGCCCCGTGGTGATGTTCACACAGGCCTGGGGGTGGGTGGATGTTTCTCCCACGTTATGTAAGCGATGAAATGGCAGCTGCCGAGATGAGGGAAGGAGACCTGTCACTCTCCCCACCCTGCGCCAAGCGAAGGATGGAAAGAGGCGGCCGTCCACCCCGTTAGAGAGGTGGGGTTGGGGGACTGTGGAGAGGAGGGAGGTGGAGCGTTCAAAGTCCCAGGAACCCCTTCCCCCACTGCAACTCCCTGCGTGGCAATCTTGAGAGCCGGTGGCAGTGGTGCACACCTGTGGTCCCGGCGCTTTAAGACGCTGAGACGGGAAGATCCCATGAGCCCAGGAGGCCGAGGCTACAGGGAACTTTGATTGTACCACCACATTCCAGCCTGGGCAACAGAGTGAGACCCTGTCACTTAAATATATGTATATATATATATATATAAAGGGATTCTAAAGCCAGAACACCTGATAACTTCTGTACTAAACAAATGCCAACTTTGCAAACTCACTCTCTACCAAGCAGCCATCCTGGTGAGAAGGGTGAGGACGGGGCTCCCCAGGGTCCAGGGTCCCCGTGGTGTCCGTCCACATGTGCGATTTTAAAGGAAAATGGGGGAAGCTGATGCTGTTTACACCTGGAGATGCTCACGAGCAAGTAGTGTCACAGCAGAACCTATGAAGATATTCACACAGACTCCTAGTCAGCTGTTTACAGAAGCCATGTAGAAAATATGGACAAAGGCCGGGCGTGGCGGCTCACGCCTGTAATCCCAGCACTTTGGGAGGCCGAAGCGGGTGGATCACGTGAGGTCAGGAGTTCGAGACCAGCCTGGCCAACACGGAGAAACCATCTCTACTAAAAATACAAAATTAGCTGGGCGTGGTGGTGCACGCCTGTGATCCCAGCTACTTGGGAGGCTGAGGCAGGAGAATTGCTTGAACCCAGGAGGCGGAGGTTGCAGTGAGCCAAGATCGCGCCATTGCACTCCAGCCTGGGCAACAAAAGTGAAACTCCATCTCAAAAAAAAAAAAAAGAAAGAAAATATAGACCAACTGACAACATCCATGAAGGGTTTCCACGTTTTCCACGTATGCCGTGACTAGCGCTGTGTGGAAATACACCTCTGGACAAACACTGGGAAGGAACCTACAGGCAGAGCAGCTGATGCATGCCAGATTTGTGGGTCATTTAAAGATGCAAAATGCCCTTACAGTGAATATATTTAGTTTTCCTTTTTTTTTTTTTTGAGATGGCCTCACTCTGCCGCCCAGGCTGGAGTGCAGTGGAGTCATCTGGGGCACCGGAAGCTCTGCCTCCCAGGCTCAAGCACGCCTCCCACTTCGGCCTCCGGAAAAGCTTGGACCACAGGAGCACACCACCACACCTGGCTAATTTTTTGGCAGGGGCGAGGTTCCGCCATGTTGCCCAGGCTGGTCTCAAACTCCTGGCCTCAAGCGATGCTCCCAACTCAGCTTCACAAAGTAGAGTTTTCCAGTTTTACACAGTAGAGGCCAAGTTGATACTGGCTGGGAGAAGACATAGGTCTTTGGAAAATACCAGAACTACTGAACAATACCAGCCCTTCCACAGGCTACAGGACCCTGAAGAATTCACACCCAAGAAGCCTCTGAGAGAAGCGGATGCCCTGCAGTGCCAGCCTGAATAGATGGTGCCCAGGCCGACCACACACAGCCACAGGGCAGGCTGCCCACTGCAGTAGCACGGGCCTCAGGACCAAGCAGCCTGGCTATGAACGCACCTGGGCTGGGGGAGTCCGTGCTGAACTCCGGGTGGGGCTCACCCTGCAGCAGCGCAGGCCTCAGGACCAAGCAGTCTGGCTATGAACGCACCTGGGCTGGGGGAGTCCGCGCTGAACTCCGGGTGGGGCTCACCCTGCTGCGCTGCCTTGGTCTGCTCCTCCAGCACCTGGTCTATGACGTCCAGTCCTGAAGCCAGGTCATGGGGAGTCAGGTCAAAGGATGCCGATTCTTCACACATCTTCTCCTAGAGCCCAAGCACACCCGAATCACCACAGAACAGGACAGGATCGGGGGTTCCAGAAAGCAGAAATGGGGTGGGGGTGCAGAAGGCACAGGAGGCTGACAGCCAAGTTCCCAAAGCCTTGGCCTGGGGTCTGTAAAAGGCCACAAGTAGGTCCAAACATGACTGTGTGGCCCACACCAATATTTAGAAACGATTGTTTCAGGCCGGGCGCGGTGGCTCACACCTGTAATCCCAGCACTTTGGGAGGCCAAGGTGGGCAGATCACTTGAGCTCAGGGGTTCAAGACCAGCCTGGGCAACGCTGGGAAACCCCGCCTCTACAAAAAATACAAAAATTAGCCGGGCGTGGTGGTGTGCACCTGTAGTCCCGGCTACTCGGGAGGCTGAGGTGGGAGGATGGCTTGAGCCCAGGAGGTGGAGGTTGCAGTGGGCCAAGATCATACCACTGAACTCCAGCCTGGACGACAGAAGGAGACCCTGTCTCAACAAACAAACAAACAATTATTTCACTGGAATTGCCAATTATTCTTTTTGATTTTATTTTTTTTGAGACGGAGTCTTGCTCTGTCACCAGGCTGGAGTACAGTGGTGTGATCTTGGCTCATTGCAACCTCTACCTCCTGGGTTCGAGTGATTCTCCTGCCTCAGCCTCCTGAGTAGCTGGGACTATAGGCACACGCCACCACGCCCAGCTAATTTTTTTGTATTTTTAGTAGAGACGGTGTTTCACTATGTTGGCCAGGATGGTCTTGATCTCTTGACCTCGTGATCCGCCCACCTCAGCCTCCCAAAGTGCTGGGATTATAGGCATGAGCTAGCGCGCCCAGTCAACATTTTTTTTTTTGACACAGAATCCCGCTTTGTCACCCAGGCTGGAATGCAGTGGTGTGATCCTGGCTCACTGCAGCCTCTGCCTCCAAGGTTCAAGCGATTCTCCTGCCTCAGTCTCAAGCCATGTGGCCGGAAGGGCAGAGACACTGCAGGCAAGACCACAAGCCTGCTGCTGCCGAGGGCAGAGGAGACAGCCCTGGCCCAGGCTGACCCCGAGCTGGCTGGAGGGAAAGGGTCTGGTGAGCGGCCTGTGGGGGCCCTGCGCCTGACGGGCAGGTCCCTGGCCCAGCTGGCCAGTCTCCAGCCCCAGCAGAGGCATCGGATCAGGGCGGGAGGGGGTGGCAGAAGCTCCTGGTGTGCTCAGTCCCCAGTCCTGGGCACCTAGGGCTTCAGGAGTTTGGCCAGAGCCCCTCCAGAAAGGTTTGCGTGGCTCTTGACAAAAAGGCCAGAAGCAATAGGAGGTGTTTAGGAGGCCAGCGGAGACTCACCACGTTGTGAGCTTCGTCAAAGATCACGACTGTCCCCTTCAGGTCAATGTTGTGTGCTCTGCGGCTCTACAGGAGGAAGAGAAGGGACGCAGCGCTGGAGCTCACAGAGGCCGGGAAAGAGGGAAGCCAAGACATGTGCAGCAGGCATCGAACATCACAAGCGCAGATGAGCAACAGCGCCGGCGATGTCGAGAGCAGAGGCCAGACCTGGATGACCTGGCAACACCGCCCCACCCTAACCAGCAGTTCGCCATACCGGGAGACGCTCCTCCACAGCATGGAAAGGCACGTGCCACGCTCAGCAAGACAGACGGCCACGATGCCCTGGGAGCCCCCGGCCACCGCAGTCAGGAAGCCACAGACCAGAGGAGCCAGGAAGACCCAGACCCAGCAGTTCCCTGCCCCAGCCCCACTCAGGGAGATTTACAAACCCAACTCCCAGCCAGGCGCGGTGGCTCACGCCTGTAATCCCAGCACTTTGGGAGGCCGAGGCGGGCGGATCACGAGGTCAGGAGTTCAAGACCAGCCTGGCCAACATGGTAAAACCCCGTCTCTACTAAAAATACAAAAATTAGCAGGGGGTGGTGGTGTGTGCCTGTAATCCCAGCTACTCAGAAGGCTGAGGCAGGAGAATCGCTTTCATCTGGGAGGCAGAGGTTAATGTGAGCCGAGATTGTGTCACTGCACTCCAGCCTAGGCGACAGAGTGAGACTTCATCTCAAAAACAAAACAAAACAAAACAAAACCCAACTCCCAGGTCCCACCCACAGAGTGTCATGGGAGCAATCTGGGGTGGGGTCCAGCTTTGGTACTTTTAAATTTTCACACATTGGCCGGGCATGGTGGCTCACGCCTGCAAGCCCAGCACTTTCGGAGGCCGAGGCAGGCGGATCACGAGGTCAGGAGATCGAGACCAGCCTGGCGAACACTGTGAAACCCCGTCTCTACTAAAAATACAAAAAAAAAAAAAAAATTAGCCAGGCGTGGTGGCGGGCGCCTGTAGTCCCAGCTACTCGGGAGGCTGAGGCAGGAGAATGGCGTGAACCCAGGAGGCAGAGCTTGCAGTGAGTGGAGATCGCACCACTGCACTCTAGCCTGGGTGACAGAGCAAGACCCCGTCTCAAAAAAAAAAATTTCACACATTAAGATGTTCATTTTAAGTGTACTGAGTTCTGGCAGTTATGTGCACCATATAACCACCAGCCCCACCCCTGCCTTTTCTATTAATAGAGTGTCACATAAATGGAATAAAACAGTAGGTCCAGCCGGGTGCGGTGGTTCATGCCTGCAACCTCAGCACTTTGGGAGGCCAAAGTGAGTGGATGACAAGGTCAGGAGTTTGGGACCAGCCTGGCCAACATGGCGAACTGCCGTCTCTACTGAAAATACAAAAATTAGCCGGGTGTGGTGGCGGGTGCCTGTAGTCCCAGCTACTCGGAAGGCTGAGGCAGGAGAACTGTTTGAACCCAAGAGGCGGAAGCTGCAGTGAGCCAAGACCACACCACTGCACTCCAGCCTGCACCACAGAGCGAGACTCCATTTCAAAACAAAAAACAAAAACACAAAAAACAGTAGGTCCTCCTCAATGGGCCTCTCTGGGTTAGCATGTCCGAGACTCATCGGCTCCCTGCTGCTGTGTGACCACAGTCCACGCCCGTGGCTGCTGTTAGTGTTCGGGTACCACGGTCTGTCCATTCACCTGTGGATGGGCTCACGCGGGCTGCTTCCCAGTTTTGGCAACTGCAAACAAAACTCTGGTAAACCTGCACACTGAAGTCTTTTCTTTTTTCTTTTTTTTTTTTTTTGAGATGGGGTCTCCCTATGTTGCCTAGGCTGGTCTCAAACTCCTGGGCTTAAGCGATCCCCCAGCCTTGGCCCCTAAAGTTCTGGGATTACAGGCGTGAGCCACTGAGCCTGGCCACATATGAATCTTTGAACACGTCTTCCCTTCTCCCGGCTCGGCTGTTTGCCACACGTTTGTGGAGTGGCTACACAACTTCACAGCGATGGATGAGATCCAGCTGTTCCACATCCTCATGCCACACTCAGGGCTTCTGAATTTCAGCCATGCCAGTGGGACCACAGTGTCGGCTCCCCGTGGCTTTAATCTGCCTTCTCCTATGACTGGAGATGCTGGGCGACTTTCCATGTGCTCAACTGGTCATTCCATCCACCTTGGTGAAACGTCTGTCCGGATGCTCTCCCAGTGGTTAACTGGCCATTCCACCCATCTTGGCGAAACGTCTGTCCGGATGCTCTCCCAGTGGTTAACTGGCCATTCCACCCATCTTGGCGAAACGTCTGTCCGGATGCTCTCCCAGTGGTTAACTGGCCATTCCACCCATCTTGGCGAAACGTCTGTCCGGATGCTCTCCCAGTGGTTAACTGGCCATTCCACCCATCTTGGCGAAACGTCTGTCCGGATGCTCTCCCAGTGGTTAACTGGCCATTCCACCCATCTTGGCGAAACGTCTGTCCGGATGCTCTCCCAGTGGTTAACTGGCCATTCCACCCATCTTGGCGAAACGTCTGTCCGGATGCTCTCCCAGTGGTTAACTGGCCATTCCACCCATCTTGGCGAAACGTCTGTCCGGATGCTCTCCCAGTGGTTAACTGGCCATTCCACCCATCTTGGCGAAACGTCTGTCCGGATGCTCTCCCAGTGGTTAACTGGCCATTCCACCCATCTTGGCGAAACGTCTGTCCGGATGCTCTCCCAGTGGTTAACTGGCCATTCCACCCATCTTGGCGAAACGTCTGTCCGGATGCTCTCCCAGTGGTTAACTGGCCATTCCACCCATCTTGGCGAAACGTCTGTCCGGATGCTCTCCCAGTGGTTAACTGGCCATTCCACCCATCTTGGCGAAACGTCTGTCCGGATGCTCTCCCAGTGGTTAACTGGCCATTCCACCCATCTTGGCGAAACGTCTGTCCGGATGCTCTCCCAGTGGTTAACTGGCCATTCCACCCATCTTGGTGAAACGTCTGTCCAGATCCCTTCCCAGTGGTTAAGTGGGTTGTTTGCTTAGTTATGGGAGAATTTTACATACTCTGGTCAAAGGTCCTTTCAAATCAGAGGAGGGCTGAAAAAATTTTTTAAGTCCTTTGAAAGAAGTATTTTCTCCCTTTCTTTAACTGCTTTTTCATTTTCTCAACTCTTCCACAGAGTTGAAGCTTTAAATTTTGGTGAAGTCTAAATTTTAATGTTTTTCTTCATGGCTAGTGCCTTGTGTATCCATACTAAGAAATCTCTGCCTACCCCAAAGTTGCAAAGACCTCCCCCATGTTCCTTTCTATAACTTTTAGTTTAGCTTTTACATTTAGGTTTATACAGGGTAAAACAAGAGTTAAGATTCACTGTTTTCCGAACAGATATCCAGCTGTTCTTAGCACCATTTTTTCAGAAAACCAGAAATCAACCTTCATTTCCTCTCTCAATTAAATTGGCATGTTTGTCAAAAAACAATCACCAAGGGCCAGGCATGGTGGCGCACGCCTGTAATCCCAGCTACTCGGGAGGCTGATGTGGGAGAATCGCTAGAACCTAGGGGCGGGGGCTGCAGTGAGCCGAGATGGTGCCACTGCACTCCAACCTGGGTGACAGAGTGAGATTCCAACTGAAAAAAAAAACAATGACCACATGCGTGTGGGTCAGCTTGAGCTTGCTGCCTTCTCCATGGCCTGCAGGCCTGTGCCTGAGCTGGGCCATCTCCACCTCCACTCCTGCAGCTTTAGAGGAGTCTTGAAACCAGCGAGGTGAGTCCTCCAGCTCTGTTCTTCTTCACGGTCATCTTGCTGTTTTAGATCTTCTGCGTTTCCGTGAAAGTGTTAGACTCGGCTTACCAGCTGTGATATAACTGTCCCAGGGAGGGGCCTGGTTGGGTTAGAAGCTCTCCAGATGGTTCCCAGGGGCAGCCAGGGCTCAAAGCACCGAGTCACCCACAACCACGGCAAACCTCACCAGCTCTCTGTGGGGTTCTGCTACAGCTTCCCAGGAGTCGGCCCCCCAGCCGCCCCCACTCACCTCTTCCCTTGCTCTGCTGCACCTGCTGAGGCTCCCCTCAGACCCACCAGCATTCCCCACCTCCCGCCGACATCGCACTTGGGCCCGCTTGGCTCGGTCTCCGCCTCCTCCCTCTGCTCTATTTCCCTTCAGTATCATCAGCTCACGTGCTTACTCTTTTGCTGTCCACCTGTCCCCACCACTAGAATCAAAGCTCCATGTGAGTGAAGCCAGTCTTGCTATGCCTGGAATAGCACCCAGCATGATGAGCTCTCAATAAATATACACCCCGAGAATGAGCGAACCAACGACGGGATCTGGAAACGTCACCACGCCATCGTCACGTGAACACACAAACCATTGACCCGTGGCGTGTGATCCCACCTGCACTAAGTAAAAAGTGTGGGGCACAAAAGCAGGGCACATGGGGAGGAGGGCAGCAGGGCCGGGCACACACTGGGAGGAGGGGAGTTGAGTGTGGGGCCGGGCACATGCTGGCGGGGGGAGTGAGCGTGGGGCTGGGCACACGGGGCGGAAGGGAGTGGGGCTGGGCACACACTGGGAGGAGGGGAGTGAGTGTCAGGCCGGGCACATGCTGTGGGGGGAGTGAGTGTGGGGCCGGGCATGCACTGGGAAGAGGGGAGTGAGTGTGAAGCCGGGCACATGCTGGGAGGGGGAGTGAGTGTGGGGCCGGGCACGCGCTGGGAAGAGGGGAGTCAGTGGGCTTCCTGTGTTCTCGGTGCCTCCCATGGCCTGACGTGAAGGAGAGAACCTGAGCTGTCAGGATCAAGAGCGGGCACTGGCCTATGGACCACAGCCTGGAGGTCTCTCCTCACTCCCACCAGCCTGCCCGCTCCCAGACTGCTCAGAAAACTGACCTGTGGCCTGGGGCTGCTCACAAGTGTGTCTGGCCAGGTTGAGCCCCTGCCCAGTGACAGAGGTGAGTCCTCCCACCCAGGCCTGCTGATCTAAGGCCCTGAAGCAGCAAAGGCTCGGACAGCTGTTCCCAAGCCCAGGGACACCCCTGGACATCAGGAGTCGTCAGCTACAGGACTGAGCCCCCACCTTGGCATCCAACAAGTAATTGTACGGCATGAATATGATGTCGGCTTGCTGCTTCAGGTTCCGGGACAGGTAGTAAGGGCACACCCTGGGAAGGAGAGAGGAGAAGATCCTGTGAGCACCCCATGCAGGGGACGGTGCCCCGAGGCCGCCATGTCTTCTGACCCGGAAGGAGCCCTCATCCTGCACGTAGGGCCCAGGTGGGAAGCTGCTGCCTGGGATGGATGGGAGTCCACGTGAGTTTCTGACCAAGGGATGGGGAGTCCATGTGAGTTTCCGACCAAGGGATGGGGAGTCCTCGTGAGTTTCCGACCATGTAAATCGTCGTCTCTTTAAAAACTCGATGGAAAAGTAAAACCAACCCTATTCCTGGATAGAAACAAACACAACGCAGAACCACTAAGAAAAAGCAGAGCTGGGCCGGGCGCGGTGGCTCACTCCTGTAATCCCAGCACTTTGGGAGGCCGAGGTGGGCGGATCACAAGGTCAGAAGATCGAGACCATCCTGGCTAACACGGTGAAACCCCGTCTCTACTAAAAATACAGAAAATTAGCCAGACGTGGTGGCGGGCACCTGTAGTCCCAGCTACTCGGGAGGCTGAGGCAGGAGAATGGCGTGAACTCGGGAGGCGGAGCTTGCAGTGAGCCGAGATCGCACCACTGCACTCCAGCCTGGGCGACAGAGCGAGACTCCGTCTCAAAAAAAAAAAAAAAAAAAAAAAGAGCTGGCCAGGCATGGGGTCTCACGCCTGTAATCCCAGCACTTTGGGAGGCCAAGGCAGGTGGAACTCTCGAGCTCAGGAGACTGGCCTGAGCAACAGAGTGAGACCCTGTCTGTACAAAAAATACAAAAATTAACCAGGCATGGTGGTGTGTGCCTGCAGTCCCGGCTACTTGGGAGGCTGAGGTGGGAAAATCGCTTGAGCCTGGGAGGCTGAGGCTGCAGTGAGCCAAGACTGTGACACTGCACTGCAGCCTGGGTAGCAGAGCGAGACCCTGTTTCAAAAAAAAGGGGGAGGGAGGTTTCCCCCTCAATATAAGAAGAGCTTTATTATAACTTGAATCTCTGAAGCTGTAAGAGGTAGACATAGGAGACATCTGCTGTCCTCAAAAGAACAAGGCCGAGCTGCCAGCACCAGCATGGGAAGCTATACCCACAACGCTGAGTGAAAACAGCCAACTGCAGGACAGTCTGTGCAGACAAAACTGCGCGTGCTTCCGCACAGACACAGGCCTGCAGGGCTCCGTCCACACTCCACGGTGGCCACCGGGGATGGCTGAGGGCCAGGGAAGAGGGAGACAATTTTTTACTCTATCTTCCTCAGAGCTGCTTAAACTTTTTCGTACTGAATGGTGGTTAGTTTCATAATTTAAAAAGGAACAAAGAAAAGTGAAGAAATATATCCGGGCCTCCACAGGTCACAGGAGAGCTGGGCCATGGAAGGACAGTGGTCGTGGCCTCACTGAGGGGTCTCACCTGTGCTTGCTTCCGCTCTTGACCAAGTCCTCAATGTCCAGGATGGGGCTGGCCAGCTCCTGCTCCAGGCTTTTTTCTGCAGGTGTGAGGCAGGGGTAAACACACACCCTCAGGGTCCACTAAGTCCCAGACCACAGGGGGATGCCCAGGACAGAACGGCTCCTACACGGCGGGCAGGGCTGGGCGTCCCCCACCAACCGTGAACGCGCCACAAAGCACCCACTGAGGGTCTCAGGTGCCCAAGAGAGGCCCCCACCCGAGTGATCCTGAGGGAATCCTCCTCTGCCCCCAGAAGGCCTGAGGTTCAGGGTGGACCAGACGGAGGCCAGCAGGATCCCGAGGGTTCTACGCATCCTCTCCGAGACAGCCCAAGACAGGACAGGAGTGGCGGCTACACTCAGCCCTCCTCAGGGCAGGGAAGAACAGCCCCTCAGCCTATCGCCCCAACCCACAGAGGCATCTCCCACAAACCCCTGCAGGTGCCCCTGTGATTAGCACCGTCACTCAGCTTCCCTGCCAACCACAACAGGCCCAGAACTTCCAGCTAAGGGAGAGCCAGGTTTTCCTGGGCTAAACAGTGGCCCACTCCCCTCTGCAGCATGGCAGCCCTGGCAAAGGACACTGCCTGTACTGGCGGAGAGGCCCCGGGCAGAAAAGGCTTCAGAAGTCAGAGTCTGGGGGATGTCCTGCCCCTCCCTTGCCTCTACAGTACAGGCCCCCCAAACTGGAACCACAAGAATTCCTTAGGGAGTTGCTTAAACACAGACAGAACCAGATACCTCTTCTAACAAGCACCCCAGAGTCACAGGGCAGCCACGTGGGGCAATGGGGCCTCCCCCAGCTCCCGACTCCATCATGGCTGCTTTGTGCCTGTCCCCAGGAGGTGCCAGGCCCCCCGAGGGCCAGGACTCAGCTGCAGAGGCCAGAAGCGCACACATATGCACACGTGCACATACACACACACACACACTCACACACACCAGCGATGACCCAACCCCAGATACTCCCAGGGATAGCAGGGAAGGCAGGGGAGGAAAAGCACACCCCTGGGCAGCACCATAGCAACAGACCAGCCAATCAGCAGGCACTGCCGCACAGCGGCACTTGCCAAACCTTGCCTGGCGGAGAGCTGAGGGCGGGGCGAGGACAGGAGCTGCGAGGGGAAGGGGCACGAGGGGCGGGGCCGTCCCAGAGGCTCTGCCCCAGGCTGACCCCAAGCTTGCTGTCCCCAACCAGAGTCCTCACAGGACGCAGGCCAGGAAGGGTGCCAGCTCTCCAGCTGTCTCCTCATTCGCCCAAAATACCTGCCTCCCTTCCTCTCAGACCCCTCCAGGAGCTGCAGCCCACTCTGAAGATGCTCAGGCCGGTGCAGGTGCTGCAGACACCCCCTCACAGCCTGTCCGGTGGCAGACAGGGTGCGAAGGTTCACGGCTAGGCAACCTCCCGCCAGGTCGGGCAGTGAGAGCCCAAGCCAAGGGGGACAGGCAGGGGCTGGCCTGTGTCTTCCTGGTCTGAGTCCACAGGCCTGGAGGAGGAGACAGATGGGGGCCCCAATACCCAGAGGCCTAACACAGACGGAAGCAGCACCAGGAGGCAGTCAGAGGCCTCCCCACCAGGTCCCAGGCCCAGCATCCCCACCAGGTACCAGGCCCAGCGTCCCCACCAGGTCCCAGGCCCAGCAGCCACCGGGGCACTGCCCTTGTCCAGGACCACGGCCGGCCAGGCCCATGCTCAGCGTTCCATGCTATCCCAAGGACCCCCGCTGCATGGGACTGGGGACACCCAGCAGGCACTCCTGTCCTGGAAATCCAGGTGAGGACCTCGGAAATGACGCCTGCTTGAGAATTTCCATCAGCACATCTGCCCAACCCCCCGTCCCAGAGTCACGTCCTGCAGGCATCACCGGGACGAGCCGGCAGCTCCTGTCAGGGAACCTGGGGGCACAAAGGCAGAGCCCCTTCTTAGGACCAACAAAAAGGCCTGGACAACCACACATCAAGATGACTGAGGGTCCTTGGTGCCACCAGACCAAAAACCACAGCGAACAAGAAGCAACACAGAGGATGTCTCCAGCAACACAGCACATGCCTCCAGTAAGCGGGAGCCTCCCTGCAGGCCCATGTTCCGCCCACCCTGTCCCTCCAAGGGCCAGGGCCCAGAAACGCCTGGTAGTGGGTCATGCGGGACCACCTGGCTCAGTCTCTGCCAGGGGAGCGCCGCCCTAAATACAAGAGCAGCTTCAGGGTCCTCAGTCCTGGCACACTGAGCACTCAGCAAACGTGAGTGCAGAAAGCAGCCCACAGGACCGCCGATGCCTTCTGAGTGCTCCGGGGCCACCTCACCTGAGGCTTGAGCCCCAACTGAGGCAGGAAACAGAGGGAACCCTGATCCCACAGAAGCACAGACCGCGCCGACTGCACAGATGCCACCCTCAGGTCACAGAAACTGTAAGGGCAGCCAACGGGGGTGCACCCTGCCACTGTCTCTAGGACCCCGTGATGAGCCCCAGAAGCCCTTGACATACCCGAGGGGCAGCCACGTGGGTGGAGAAGCACCCCCGGCCCTCACAGGCTGTGGCCACGTGCAGTCACAGGGCAAGCTGCCCCGGCCGGCTCCTGTCACTCACATCCCGTCTCCAGAAGAGGCCCCAAGGCATCCCGTGTTGGACCCACAGGACTCAGCCTGGAGTCACACTCAGGGCCATAATTTTCCGCAGCAAGGTCAGCACAGGAAAAAGACACACGGGGCAGGGTCGCGGGAGGCCAGACACGGCTTCCAGGACACCCTCCCAAGATGGTATGAGGGCCGGTCACTGGAGCACCTGCTGCTGGGCAAGCAACAAAGTCCCCGAAGAGAAAGCCGGTGTTCAGCAAAACCCCTACTGTTTGCACCAGCAGGTTAGGTGCAGGGAGACCCTCTCATCAGGAAATGGAGGGAGCCTTCCCAAAATCCAAGGCCCCAGGCACCAGCCAGAGGCAGTCTTGCCGGCTGGCTGTCTCAGACCACTGTGTGAGCTCTTCCACACAGAAGTCTAACATGGGTGGCCCCGAGTCAGAAGACAGGGCCCAGGTACATGGCCGCACTGGCCGCCCCACCGGGCAAGCACAACCAGGCTGTGACACCACTGAGCTCCACCCTGAGAGGCTGCACACACTCCAACCCGACCCTGGTCCCACCCAGCTGCTTGTACCTTCTACGTTGTTGTAGAAATGACAGGAGCGACTTGCCACCTTCTTACGGCACAAGTGGATCTGTGGGAGGAAGGGCAGAGTGCGCAGCTGAAGCACGGCCAAGAAAGGACCGAAGCCAGTCCCCACCCCCACCAGGTCCTCCCCTGCAGTCCCCCAGTGAACTTCAAACCCTAGCCCAGCGGGAGCGCAGCCTGGGGCTCTGGACACCCAGCAGCACTCGCCTGTCGGACACTGAGCCGGAGCGGGAGCCCAGGAGCCTACCTGTAGATGGTTACTCTCTTGTTTCTTCACCTCAGGATGGATGCACAGCTGCTCCCGGGAGCCCAGCACACACACCTTAGGCCTGGTGGGAGAGAGCACCGTGGGTCGAGGAGGAGCTGTCTCCAACACCCACAGCGTGGCCCTGCAGCGTGAGCTGTATGGAGACACGCAGGAGCCTCGGCGGTCAGAGGAAGTGAGCATAACTGAAACGTGGCCCGGGCGTAGGAGGGAGCTAGAAGACGAGCGGGGGTACTGGACAGAGGGAGGAGATTCGACAGCTTCCACAGCACCCTGCCACTGGTCCGGCCACAGGAACCCGACAGAACACCAAGACTCTGCTGGGCTCTGACAAGCAGCAGGGCCTCCTCCTACTTCATGTGCAAAGCTGCACTGGGGGCCAGCCCTGACCTACTGCACAGCTGCTACAACAGCACCTGCGAGGAGCTCAGGACGCCCGCCCAAGGTCAGCACACAGATGCAAAGCTGCTTCCTCACAAGTAATGGGCATTGGAGGCAGCCCAGGCCGCACCCCACCCCTGGGCACCAGCGCTCTGCACACTTCGGGGGAGCGTCTAGAAAGACCACCACCCTCCACCACAGCACAGCATGGGGCTGTGGACTCAGCACCATGCCAAGCTGGTTCTCTTGAGGACCCCGAGACAGGTGTAAACTCGTCTGACCCACCGGTAGGAGGTGTTCCGAAGCTCGTTGATGACCTGTGTGAGTTGCGAGTGGGTCCTGGAGGCGTAAATAATCTTTGGGATGTCCGTGTAGCAAGCTGACCAGACACAAGCAAGCACAGAAGTCACGGTTCTCAGACAACGTTCTCACGTATCAAAGGCAGGTGGCATTCGGCTAACTCGGCCCTGCAGACAGCCAAGAATCTGACACCCCAGATACTGGTTTATCAAAAATGGGTGAAGTGGGCATCTGCCGTGCCCTAATTCAGCAAAAAAGCCCAACCCTAGGTTTACACCCACGATGGCGAGAAATTATACAGCAGCTAAAAAATTCTCCTTGAGTTCTGCTTGAGAGACGGCAGGAGTCCCCATGGGCCCACCCCACCCTCAGCGCCATCCCTTGCCAACCATCCCCACAGGAGGCCAGGAGAGGCCTGGGAACTAGGGTCACCTATGGGGTCTCCAGCAGCAGCAGCAGCGTTGCCCCAGGATGACAAGGCCCGATCCGGGAAAAGCTCTCCTTGCGCCCTCTCGGCAATCTTGCGGGCAGAGATGCCGTCTCGGAGGTGTTCTCGCCAGGCCAGCGTGGTGCACAGCAGGCACAGCGTCTTCCCTGTACCCGTAGGGCTCTCCAGGATGCCATTCACCTTCTGAACGGAGTTCGGAGCAAGGGTTACGGGGAAGCCAGGAAGAGGCGAGGCCACACAAGCTGCCCTGAGACAAGCTTCGGCAGCCAGCGGGCAGCTCTTTGCAGATGCAGAGGCCACTGCCAGGTGGCGAGAGCCCTGTGGGACCGCGGAGAAGTCCACAGGCAAGTCCCACTCTTGCCCTAAAGGGCGTGAAGCAACTCAGCCGCCATTAGCAAACGATTTGCAGAACGTTACCCAAAACACGACACTATTTTTCAGCTTAAATAGTAAGATGACTAATTAGGTGTCAAGTCTCAAAATAGGAAACTGTTCTGCGTTTCTGGATCCAAACATTTATGCTGTCCTATCTGACGTCCTACATACAAGCTCTCAGACGGGAACCTGAGCAGGAAACTCGGGGAGGGGAAGGGTGTGAGCCGGGTACAAGAGGGCACCTCAAGGAACCCAGGAGAAGGCAACCTGCACCACTGCCACCTCCCTGCACCCCCGAGGTTCAAAGACCTTCCAAGTGAGGCTGGCCACCGGCTGCCCCTCTAATGGAAATGCTTCCTCCTGACCCGTGAATATCAGCTGCTCCTCAGAGAGGCCCCCAAGGCACTCCTAAGTCTGTCACCCTCAAGGACTGTAGGGAAAAGAGAGATCAGACTGTTACTGTGTCTATGTAGAAAGGGAAGACATAACACACTCCATTTTGACCTGTACCCTGAACAATTGCTTTGCCCTAAGATGCTGTTAATCTGTAACTTTGCCCCAGCCTTGAGCTCACAGAAACATGTGTTGTATGGAATCAAGGTTTAAGGGATCTAGAGCTGTGCAGAACGTGCCTTGTTAACAATATGTTTACAGGCAGTATGCTTGGTAAAAGTCATCGCCATTCTCCAGTCTCGATAAACCAGGGGCACGATGCACTGCGGAAAGCCGCAGGGACCTCTGCCCTGGAAAGCCGGGTATTGCCCAAGGTTTCTCTCCATGTGATAGTCTGAAATATGGCCTCGTGGGATGGGAAAGACCTGACAGTCCCCCAGCCCAACACCCGTGAAGGGTCTGTGCTGAGGATTAGTAAAAGAGGAAAGCCTCTTGCAGTCGAGATAGAGGAAGGCCACTGTCTCCTGCCTGCCCCTGGGAACTGAATGTTTCGGTATAAAACCCGATTGTACATTTGTTCAATTCTGAGATAGGAGAAAAGCCGCCCTGTGGCAGGAGGCGAGACATATTGGCAGCAATGCTGCTCTGTTACTCTTTACTCCACCGAGATGTTTGGGTGGAGAAAAGCATAAAACTAGCCTACGTGCACATCCAGGCATAGTACCTTCCCTTGAACTTATTTGTGACCCAGATTCCTTTGCTCACGTTTTCTTGCTGACCTTCTCCCCACTATCACCTTGCTGTCCTGCCGCATTCCTCTTGCTGAGATAGTGAAAATAGTAATTAATGAATACTGAGGAAACTCAGAGACTGGTGCCGGTGCAGGTCCTCTGTATGCTGAGCGCCGGTCCCCTGGGCCCACTTTTCTCTCTATACTTTGTCTCTGTGTCTTATTCATTTTCTCAGTCTCTCGTCCCGCCTGATGAGAAATACCCACAGGTGTGGAGGGGCCGGCCCCCTTCAAAGGACGATCGTTTTTACTTGTCAATCCTCTCTCTGACCCCACCTGGAACACCAGCCCTTTTTATGACAGACGCTGCCTCTGGCCCGGAGGGGCCTGGCTGGAATGGGCCGGGAGAGGGAAGCACACCCCGTCCTGGCTGAAGCTCCACCCACCCGCAGTCCTTTCCTCGGGGCCTGTGCTCTACCTGCTGCAGACATTCCAGGACCTTGGTCATGTACTCCTGTTGGCATTTGTAGGGCTGGAAAGGGAAGTCTACGGTCACACCATTCAGGACTATCTTGGGCATATCAGCCTGTTCTCAGAAGGGCACAGAGCGTGGCTGAGGGGCAGGCTATTCGGGTCTGTGCGAAAAAACCACTCCGAACATCTTAGGGTCTCGGGCACTCCTGGTAAGCGATGCGAGCATGTGCACTGGGACACAACGCTGTTCTCTTCGAGAATCCCTATGGCACAGACCTGGGAAAGACAGTAAGACTCTGTTTGTAGACAGCCTTTGTGGGTACCGGGCTACTTTCCCAGGCGTTTCCATCAGTCCCTCCTGCGGAGAGGGTTGGAGAGCAACCCTGGTATATCCCATCTCGAGGAGCTGGCGGGGCGAAGATGCGAAGTGGCTGGGCCTTGCCTTATCCTCCCGCCCCACAACTCCGTCCTTCTCTGGAAAAGACGCCCACAGTGCTGCAAGTTCCGCCTGCAGTAATTCCGCGACTTCCACAAGAGCGTGAGGGCTGAAGAGGCAAGCGGCACCCCTCCCGGCCTCACCAGGCGCAACGTCAGAGCGGAGGGTCTGAACCTCCGGCCCTGCCTCTCCAGCCCTCTGCCCTCCTGGCTGGCTGGAGTCCATTCCCCATCCGCCCGGGTGGGCAACCAGATGCAGCCAAAGTAGCGAAAGAGCATGCCGGGATGCCAACCCGTGCAGCCCTCAGCAAATCACTCAACTTCTCTAAGCCTCAATCCCGCCCGGGAACTGGGACTAACAGAACAGACGCGGACACACTGAATGTCGGCCCTTCCCTCCAGCCCCGGTCAAGGGCTCAGCCAACGCCGCGGCGCCAGCGCCACGAGCGCAGGAAACTACAGGTCCCAAAATGCAGCGCGGCCAATCCGCCGACCCGCGGCCCCGAGGGCGGCTTGGGGCCTGCCGGGAGCTGTAGTTTCGAAAAACCGCAACGCGCCTACGAGCCGCTCGGGTAAAAGAACCACTTGTAGGGTCACTGCGACTCACTGCTCACTTGTCTCCGCGGCGAACCTTCCAGAACCGGGGTCCCTCAGGAACTCAACCGACTCCAGTCGAGGGCCGCCACCCGTCCCCAGCTGTCAGCCAGCTCAGAGTTTTCGCGGGCAGAGGCGCGCAGTCGGCGCTGAGCCCACTGCACTTCCGCCCCCCACTTCCGGTCCGTTGCTTTGTGCTCCCGGCGGAAACTGTTCCCCCGCGGAGGGGGTCCGCCTGCTCTTCGGCTCCTCCAGGCCTACACGGCGTTTTGCGCGTTCTGTGTCCGGCTCCGCTGGCCAGTGAACCTCACTTCCATCGCCCACAGGCAGAAATCTGGGGTCCCGCCCGTCTCCTCCCTTGATGTCATTCCCCCACCAGGGTCTGCGTTCCACTACCGCCTCTCTAGGCCGAGCCACCACCATTGCCCGGAGAGCTGCACGGGCCTCCTCCCCAGAGGCATCTTTTTACTGCTCGAGTGTGAGCCGACCGCTTTCCTGAAAATTTGAAAACGGCTGCGCCTTGCCCAGGACCCGGCTCCTGAGAGCCCTGACCGCCCCCTCTCCTTCCTCTCCTGCGTTCCAGCTTCTGCTCGGCTCACTGTCCCGCAGTGGTCCCGGCGGGCCTCCCTGAGTCCCCAGCACCCGGCACTGGCTGGCAGCAGGGCTGACTCCAAGAGCGAGGCCCGCACCGTTCTGTGGGGTCAGCCCAGCGTCACGGATGTTTGTCTCAGGCGGCCCCAGCTCCCATGCCCCAGAAGGCCCCAGAAGGCCCCAGGAGGGAGTTGGCGCTGCGTGACCGCGCACGGCCGGCAGGCAGCACTTCTTCGTGGCTTCTTCATGGCTGTGTTTAATGTCCACTGACGGCACATGCGAATGCCATGCGTGCCCACGCTCCTGGGTGTGAGATAGTGCTCGGAGAAGCCCCAGCACTCACTGGCACCCAGCCCCATGTGCCTGTTGTGGTGAAGGAACTGCAGGCTGCCTATCTGAGACTCGGCAGGGAGTTGAAGATGAGGAGACCAGCCACACACACTCGTTGAATGAATGGGCACCAAGCACAAGTTTCAGTGCCCCCCATACATGCTGATATGGTTCGGCTCTGTGTCTCCACCCAAGTCTCACCTCGAATTGTAATCCCCACGTGTGGAGGGAGGGACCTGGAGGGAGGTGGTTGGATCATGCGGTCAGTTTCCTCCAGGCTGTTCTGACAGTGAGTGCTCAGGAGACCCGATGGTTTAAAAGTGGCAGTTTCCCCTTCTCTCTCTCTTTCTCCTGCCGCCATGTACGACCTGGGAACTGGGACTAACATAGACTTCACCTTCTGCCATGATTCTTTTTTCTTTGAGACAGAGTTTTGGCTTTTTGCCCAGGCTGGAGTGCAGTGGCACAATCTTGGCTCACTGCAACCTCCACCTCCTGGGTTCAAGTGATTCTCCTGCCTCAGCCTCTCAAGTAGCTGGGATTACAGGTGTGCACCACTAAGCCCGGCTAATTTTTTATATTTTTAGTAGAGATGGAGTTTGACCGTGTTGGCCAGGCAGGTCTTGAACTCCTGACCTCAGGTGATCCACCCGCCTCGGCCTCCCAAAGTGCTGGGATTACAGGCGTGAGCCACCGCGCCCAGCCAGATAAGTCCTCTCATTGTCCACACTTTCTGGGTGAGAAAGTGAGGCACAGAGCGTTGAGCAGATTGCCCAGAGCCTGCTCAGGAGCCAGGAGTTTACCTTTTGCAGCCACACATCTCATCTCCTGAGAGCAGTGGCCAGAAAAGGCTGTCCTGTGGACTGAGCTGAAGTCTGAGTCATCTGCTCCTTGCCAGCTGCTATAGGAGCGTGCTGGCCTGGGGTGGTCAGGAACTCCTGTACCCCTGCCCTCTTCCTCTAATTGCTGACGTACCCACAGCTCCAGCATACAGCAGGTGCTTGACAGATGTCTGTTGAATGACTGAGTGTCCTGCTGAGATATAGGGCTCCTTCTAGGAGCCAGAGTTAATTTCTTTCTTTCTTTTTTTTTTTTGAGACAGAGTCTTGCTCTGTCGCCCAGGCTGGAATAGAGTGGTGCGATCTCGGCTCCCTGCAACCTCCACCTCCTGGGTTCAAGCGATTCTCCTGCCTCAGCCTCCTGAGTAGCTGGGATTACAGGTGCATGCCACCACGCCCGGCTAATTTTTGTATTTTTAGTAGAGATGGGGTTTCATCATGTTGGTCAGGCTGGTCTTGAACTCCTGACCTCGTGATCTGCCCACCTCAGCCTCCCAAAGTGTTAAGATTACAGGTGTGGGCCACCACGCCCAGCCAAGCCAGAGTTAATTTCAAGAATGCAGAGGTCTGATAAAAGTCACACTTTATGAAAAACATTTTTTTTTTTGAGGTGGAGTCTTGATATTGTTGCCCAGGCTGGAGTGCAGTGGTGGGATCTCGGCTCACTGCAACCTCTGCCTCCTGGATTCAAGTGATTCTCCTGCTTCAGCCTCCAAAGTAGCTGAGATTACAGGCACCTGCCACCACACCTGGCTAATTTTTGTATTTTTAGGGTAGATGGGGTTTCACCATGTTGGCCAGGCTGGTCTCAAACTCCTGACCTCAGGTGATCTGCCCACCTCGGCCCCCCAAAGTGTTGGGATTACAGTTGTGAGCCACTGCACCCAGTCAAAACATTTTTTTAACTAGCACTAATGTGCATGTGAAAAACATCTTTGAAATGCTCGTGCACTTTCTGCATTTGATCTTGGTGAGAAGTCAAAATCTGCTCCAAGACCTGGCACTATATTGGGGCAAACAGTCAGTACAGCTATTGTGTGCCTGCCAGCATGCTGTCATTACTCCTATTGCGTGTGCCTGCCAGTGCACTGAGAGTCAGTACACCTATGGCATGTGCCTGCTAGTGTGCTGTCAGTACAGCTGTTGTGTATGCCTGCTAGCACGCTGACAGTCAGTATGGCTGACAGTCAGTACCCCATTGCGTGTGCCTGCCTAGGTGCTGACAGTCAGTACCCCTGTTGTGTGTTCCTGCTAGTGCACACTGTGCACATCTACTGTGTTCCTGGCACTATGCCACGGGCTTCCACACACCTGGTCCCTGTGCTCCAGATGAGGACACAGAGGCTCAGAGAGGGCCTGGCCAGAGTCACAATGAGTGTGAGGCATTGCGGTGCTCTGAGCCTGACTGGGTGGGTCCTACCCCACCCACATGAGAAGACTCTGGAGGTCCCAGAGAGGGCTACTTCTCTTGATCCCTAGCACCTGAGCTCCAGCACCCGGGGCTGGAGTCTGCCTGAAGGATGCTGACCATCCCCAACTGCTACTGTGGTGGCCAACAGGGAGGACACAGCTGCTGTGGTGGGCAGCTCTGTGTGCCTCTCTGCCCTTCTTCCTCCTTCGCAGAGCTGGCTTCCTAGGAATGGCCCAGGGGCCAACACCTCTGTGTGTATATTAGTTTGATATGGCTTCATAGCAAATCACCACAAAACCAACAGCTTAAAACAACTCTCATTCATTACCTCCTAATTCTTAGTAACCCAAGGCTGAAACCAAGTGGGCAGTTGGGCTCAGTTCTTGTGTGGAGGCCCTGGGGTCAAACCTGCCTCCAAGCCCATTCTCTTCTTGTTGGCAGAACTCACTTCCTTGCAGTTAAGGTCTTGTTGTCTTGCTGGCTGTTGGCTGGGAGCAGTTCTCAGATCCTTGCCACGTGGCCCCCTCATCTCAACAACAGAAAACCTTCTTTGGTTTGATCCCTCCGATTTCTTCAACCAGGCAAAGGAAACTGCTTTTAAAGGGCTCCTGTGATGAGGTCAGGGCCCGCCTGGTGATCCTCCAGTCTTAAGGGTACCTCTGGGCCACACAATGTCACATTCCTGGGCATCACCCCCACCAGACTCACAGTCCCGGGGATGATGCCGGCTTGCACGTCAGGGGTCAGGACTCTCCAGGCCACCCTAGGATGTGACTGGCCTTGGGTGCTCCCACCGCACTGCTAGAGCTGAGGCTTGCCCCTGGCTTTTGTGTTGCTGAGCCAGCCTCATGGCTCTGCAAGTCTCCTGAGGTTTTCAGGGTTTTGCTCCTGGCCCTATGACTTAGTTGCTTGTAGGGCAAAGCACTTTTCTCCCTGCCTCGGTGGCTTCATCCCTGCAATGGCAAAGACGCTCCGTTTGCCTACCAGGCTTTCCCTTTGGGAGTTATGAGGAGAGGGGGAGGCAGGATAGGTTGCCCCCCACTCACTAAGTGCGCACAACCCTGGCACCCCTCCTCTCCATCGTCTGGGGGCATCATTGTTTCATCTTACCCCTGAGAAACAAAGGCCCAGCGAGGTCAGACGCTTGCCCTTGGCCTGGGCCACACAGTGAGTGAAGGTCTGAGCCCAGGCGGGAAACCACCTCTTTCACGGCAAAGCCTTTGTTCTGGCCTCACTCCTCCACTTTCACTCTTCTCCGCTCAGATCCTGCCCATCCCCTGGGCTCACAGGAGATGCCCCTTGGAGGCCTCCAGGCCAGCGCCCACCCCTGTGGCTGTGGCATCCTCTCCGATGGCAGGCACAGACCTGGACCCTGTTGGCGCCAGCCCAGCCTACAGCGGCCTTGGCGGCGAAGAGCTCTGCGGCCCCACCCCATGGGTGGGACCTGCTCCTCCGGCATTGCCCCTGCCCCGCCTGCCCTGGGGAATGGGGGCTCATCTCCACCCCCACCCCACTCTCAGGCCTCACAAAGCCAAGTTGGAGAAGCAGCTGTCCCGCTGTGAGCGGTTGGAGGGTGGGGGGTCTTGTTGCAGTTCGGGTAGCCCCCCTCCTCCGCCCTCTCCCCCTGAGAGCCGCGGCCCCTTCCGCAGCCAGGCGCTTGCTCCTCTCTCTCTTCCTCCCTCCCTTCCTCCCTCCCTCCTTCCCCCGCCCCCGCAGTCTCTCTCTCTCTCTCTCTCCTTCCCCCAACCCTCCCTCCCTCCTCCCCCCGCTCCTTCCCCCAACCCTCTCTCTCTCTCCCTCTGTCTCCCTCCCTCTCTCTCTCCCGCCGCGCCCGCCTCCCGCCCGCCCTCGCTCCCTCCACTCCTCTCCCCTCCCCTCCCCGGCACTGCAGCACCAGCCGTCTGCAGCTCCGGCCGCCACTTGCGCCTCTCCAGCCTCCGCAGGCCCAACCGCCGCCAGCACCATGGCCAGCACCATTTCCGGTAGGCTCCGGGGCCACGGGCTTTGTGGGGCGGCGGGATCTGAGCAGAGGCCTCGTCTGGCCTCGCCTGGGGCAGCGGCCGGCAGCGGACGCCAATTTCCCTTCTCCTACCCTGCGCGTTGCAAGCCTGGGCCCGACCCGCCCGAGGCTGGGGTCTGCGGCGCCGGCGGGGCTGGTGGGGCGCTGGGCTGCGAGGCGCCGCGCCGGGGAGCGCTCGGGACCGGGACGTCGGGCGGGGGCGCCTCGCCCCTGGGGGAGCAGCGTGCCACGCAGGGCGCGACTGCCGCAGGGTGGCTCCCAGACCCGGGCGTGGGCTCGCGACCGGGTGGGCGCGCTCGCGATGTGCGGGCGGGGTCCCTGGGGCGTCCGGCGACCCGAGATCTGGGTCCGCCAGAGCCTTCGTGGGGAGGCGGGGAGAGGGTGGGACCCTCTGCCAAAGCCCCAGCCGGGAACCCGGCGCTCCCCGCGCCAGTGCAGCACAGGGGCTGGAGGGGGCGCTGAAGGAGGGGGGCGGGCCAGACACGGCGGAGCCCGGAGTGAGGGGGACCGCGCCCTCCCCCCACACCGCTGCGGCCTCGGGGACCACCCTTTGCGACGCCCGCGCCACCTGCTCTGGCCAGAAAAGCCACTGCCCTTTGCGCCGCGGGGTCTGGATGGGGGAGGGGCGACTGCGATCCCCAAACCCTCCGGAGACCAGAGGGCTCCGCCCCTCCCGCCCCTCCACCTCCCGCGGGGCGGACCCACCGCCTTCGAAGGTAGCGCCCACCCCGGCCTCCCGGCCCGTCCCGCGCGGAGCTCAGGCGGAGGGGCGGGCGCAGGCCCGGGCGGGGGGCGGATTCTGGACGCAGGGGAGCTGCCGGGCGACCTCGGGCGCGAGGACGCTGGGCCCGCCCTTCCCGAAACGCTCTGCTCCGCCGCGAGGCCGCAGAACCCGCTTCGTTTTTCACTCGACGTTTGGGAGGACAGGACGAAGGGCCGCACCTCCTTCCCATCGCCGCCCCCGTTCACGAGCCGCACTCCCTCCCACCTTTTCTTACGCCCCCGGGACAGGTCGCCGCGGTCCCTCTCCCGAGCTGACTGGTTCAACTCGGGCGCCTTGGCCCGGGGCGCAGAACTCCGCCCACCCACGCGTGCCCGACCTGACCCCGCCCCTCAGGCCCCACGGGCTTGGAGGCTCCAGGTGACTTCAGCACCTGCCAGGAGGGGACCGTGTGTGTCACCGGCCACACCTCCCCACCCTATCTGGGAGTCCTGTCCATCTGCGCTTCCTCCCTCCGCCTCCTCCTGGACACCCCCGGGGATACTGGGGGTGGGGGGGCTCTCAGCGGAGGGGACTCCCCTCCTGCCCCTGAGGGCAGCGCCGTCCTCTCCAGGGCCGCCTCCTGCCCTTCCTGACAGCCTTTCCCTGACGGTCCCTCCCCATGGGCTCGGTTCCTGGGGCTGAGCTGGGAGGGCGAGGGCATCTCGGCATCTGGGCACTGGCTCCTCGCTCTTTTGTGGCCTCTGCTCACATTCTCCTTCTGCAACCCAGAGTCTGACCTCCTCCAGCTGTGTGGTGTTGTCCGAGCTGCCTAACCTCTCAGGACCTGGGTCTCCTTATCTGGGTAGAGATGACGGTGCTGGCACCTCTCCTGGGGCTTGTTCTGAGGCCTCAATATTTCAGGAAAGGTGCTTGGCCGCTTGCCTGCTAAGAGATGAGTGCTCACCGCACGTCAAGCAGCCTGACTGTGGTAGCCACATTTCTGAGTTTCCTGCCCAGGGAAAGGCAAATCGGCTGGTGGCTCCTGCCATGCTGTGCTCCTGGCACCATGAGAAGCAGCCTGGGTGACAGTGACCTCCATCTGCCCCCGGGGGGAGCCGGCAGCAGCCTCCAGGGCCCTCCAGGGGTCAGAGGCCACTGTGGTCCCCTGGCCTCTCAGTTCTGGACAGATCCCCCACCTCCGCGAGCTCCCAACAGGAGCCTGCAGTCAGGCCCAGGCTCATGACTGGGCTCTCACCCGGCACTCTGTGTGATGCTGGGTGGAATGCTTGCCCTCTCTGAGCCTTCATTCCTCCTCTGTAGAAGTGAGGCAGATAGGGTGGCTCATGCCTGTAATCCCAGCACTTTGAGAGGCTGAGGCCGGTGGATAAACTGAGGTCAAGAGTTCGAGACTAGCCTGGCCAACATGGTGAAATCCCCCCTCTCTGCTAAAAGTACAAAATTAGCCAGGTGTGGTGACACACTCCTGTGATCCCAGCAATCTGGGAGACTGAGGCAGGATAATTGCTTGACCCGGGGAGAGGGAGGTTGCAGTGAGCTGAGATTGTGCCATTGCACTCCAGCCTGGGCAGCAAGAGTAGAAACTCTTTCTAAAAAAAAAAAAAAAGAAGAAAGAAGAGGAGGAAGACGAAGAAGACGAAAGAGAAGGAGAAGGAGAGCTGATAAGGGCATCCACCCGGGTGGGCGGGAGGGGTGGGTGTGAGGTGTGACCCTGGGAGTGGGCACCATCCACCTGGGCGGCGGGAGGGGTGGGCGTGAGGTGTGACCCTGGGAGTGGGCACCATCCACCTGGACGGCGGGAGGGGTGGGCGTGAGGTGTGACCCTGGGAGCGGGCACCATCCACCCGGGCGGGCGGGAGGGGTGGGCGTGAGGTGTGACCCTGGGAGCGGGCACCATCCACCCGGGTGGGCGTCAGGTGTGACCCTGGGAGCGGGCACCATCCACCCGGGTGGGTGGGAGGGGCGGGCGTGAGGTGTGACCCTGGGAGTGGGCACCATCCACCTGGGCGACGGGAGGGGTGGGCGTGAGGTGTGACCCTGGGAGTGGGCACCATCCACCTGGACGGCGGGAGGGGTGGGCGTGAGGTGTGACCCTGGGAGTGGGCACCATCCACCTGGACGGCGGGAGGGGTGGGCGTGAGGTGTGACCCTGGGAGCGGGCACTACTATACCCTGCTGCTTGAGGCCAACCTGGTGCCTTTTTCTGACTCCTGCTCATGAATCATCCAAAGGCCAATCCGCATTTCCTCGGTATCTAATGTTTAGTACAAAGAGAAGCAGGGAGACAAAACAAGCCCAGCTCACTGCGAGAATTGTTTTTAACTCCCTGAAGTCAGTGAAGGGGAAGGATGGTGGGGAGGGGGCGGTGAGAAAGAAGGGAGTCAAAGAGAGGGAGGGGCCGGGCGCGGGGGCTCACGCCTGTAATCCCAGCACTGCGGGGGGCCAGGCGCGGGGGCTCACGCCTGTCATCCCAGCACTTTGGGAGGCTGAGGTGGGCAGATCACCGGAGGTCAGGAGTTCAAGACCAGCCTGGCCAACATGGTGAAACCTCATCTCTACTAAAAATACAGAAAATTAGCTGGGCATGGTGGCATGTGCCTGTAATTCTAGCTACTTGGGAGGCTGAGGCAGGAGAATCACTTGAACTGGGGAGGCAGAGGTTGCAGTGAGCCGACATCGCGCCACTGCACTCCAGCCTGGGTGACAGAGTGAGACCCCGTCTTAAAAAAAAAAAAAAAGTCCAGGCGCGGTGGCTCACACCTGTAATCCCAGCACTTTGGGAGGCTGAGACGGGCGGATCACAAGGTCAGGAGATCGAGACCATCCTGGCTAACACAGTGAAACCCCGTCTCTACTAAAAATACAAAAAATTAGCTGGGCGTGGTGGCGGGCGCCTGTAGTCCCAGCTATTCGGGAGGCTGAGGCAGGAGAATGGCGTGAATCCGGGAGGCGGAGCTTGCCGTGAGCCGAGATTGTACCACTGCACTCCAGCCTGGGAGACAGAGTGAGACTCCGTCTCCAAAAAAACAAAAAGAGAGAGAGAGAGGGAGCAATGCCTTGAGGCTCTGGGAGGGGCTTCCCTGGCACCAGCTGTGTCTGTGGAGAGGTGGCCTGGATGGGTCTGGGCCTCGGCATCCTCTCTCTGTAATAAGAGGCAGTAGACATGCTCTTTAAGCCTCACCAGCTCTGAAAATACTGGTCCAATGCCCTGCCTCGCCCCTGACCAGCCCTGCCCTGTGCGCAGACTTCCCCTTGCTTGCTCTCTCCAGAGTTGGCCAATTCCTGACCTGCTGTCCTGCCCCCTCCAATCTGCCCTTCCTCCCTGTAGCCAGACCACAGGGCAGGCCTCACTCCCAGGCTCCGTCCTGTGGGTACCTGGTCCCACTTGCTCCTTGAGGGACAGTCTCTTGGGATAGAAGCTCCTCATGGGCCACCAGCTGGGAGAAGCCAAGCCAGGGGGTCTCCGTGGCCATCAGATGCTGAGCCGCACCTGTGTCTGCAGCTGCAGAACCCAGTTCCTCACCTCTCAGTTGGACACGTGTCTCCTGGGCAGAGCCAAGACCTGTGAGAGGTCTGACCTGCGTCCCCACCGTGCCCCTTCTTTCCTGATGATGCAGGTGCTCACACCTGCCCCCAAATTGCTGCCAGCCGTCTGCTTGCTGAGGTGAAGCAAACTGGAAGAGAGCCTCCCTGGTGTTTGTCCTTCCTCTGTATGAGCCTACAGATCTTTTTTTCGGTGAAAATTTCAGGCTTAGGGCAGACAGGGGCTTTGAGCAGCTGTTAATCACATTTTCTGGCCTTTATGGTAAACACATTCCAGTTTTTGTTTTTTGAGACAGAGTCTCGCTGTGTTGCCCAGGCTGGAACGCAGTGGCACAATCTCTGCTCACTACAACTTCCGCCTTCCAGGCTCAAGTGATTCTCCTGCCTCAGCCTCCTGAGTAGCTGGGGCAACAGGCATGTGCCACCACACCCAGCTAATTTTTATATTTTTAGTAGAGATGGGGTTTCACCATGTTGCCTAGGCTGGTCTCAAACTCTTGTTCTCAAGCGATCCTCCTGCCTCAGCCTCCCAAAGTTCTGGGATTACAGGCGTGAGCCACTGCGCCCGGCCACATTCAGAGTTTTGGATGTGTGATAAGGAAGGATGAGCTGAAGGGTAGGGGCCTGGAGTCTGCTGATAGGGAGCTGGTTGCTGGCAGAGTCAGGCCTGGAGGGGCCAAGTCCCTACCTTCTTATCCTCTCAGGACCCAGGTACGTTCTGCCCCAGCCCAAACTCCCTCTTGCTCTCTCCCTCCCCCGTCCTCCTGAGCACAGGGTTGGCCACCTCTTCAGCTCCTCTAAATGTCCCCAATGTCTCCTGACCTGCTGCTGTGGAACACATGGCTGGCACACCCTCTAACTCCCTCATCACATCCTCTTGTTTAACATTAATTTTTAATAGGCTAGGTACTGTGGCTTACACCTATAATCCTAGTGCTTTGGGAGGCTGAGGTGGGAGGGTCTCTTGAGGCCGGGAGTTCAAGATCAGCCTGGACAAGACAGCAAGACCTATCACTACTCTCTCTCTCTCTGTATATATATATGTATATATATATATATATATACATATATATATACACACACACACATATATACGTATATATATTAATATATACACACGTGTATATATACGTATATATATTAATATATACACGTGTATATATACGTATATATATTAATATATACATATATACGTATATATATTATATATACACGTGTATATATACGTATATATATTATATATATACACGTGTATATATGTATATATATTATATATATACACGTGTATATATATGTATATAATATATATACACGTGTATATATATTATATATATACACGTGTATATATACGTATATATATATTATATATATACATGTATATATATATATGTTTGTTTGTGTTTGTTTTTGAGACAGAGTCTCACTCTGTCACCCAGGCTGGAGTGCAGTGGCGTGATCTCAGCTCACTGCAACCTCTGCCTCCTGGGTTCAAGCGATTCTCCCGTCTCAGTCTCCCGAGTAGCTGGGACTACACGTGCCCGCCACCATGCCTGGCTAATTTTTGTTATTTTTAGTAGAGACAGGGTTTCATCATGTTGGTCAGGCTGGTCTCGAACTCCTGACCTCATGATCTGCCCGCCTTGGCCCCTCAAAGTTCTGGGATTACAGGCGTGAGCCACCATGCCCGGCCTCCATACCACTACAAATTTTTTTTTTTTTTTTGAGACGGGAGTCTTGCTCCCAGGCTGGAGTGCAGTAGCTCGATCTTGGCTCACTTCAACCTCCACCTCCCGGGTTCAAGTGATTCTCCTGCCTCAGCCTCCCAAGTAGCTGGAATTAGAGGAGCCCGCCACCACGCCTGGCTGATTTTTATATTTGTAGTAGAGACAGGGTTTCGCCATGTTGGCCAGGTTGGTCTTGAACTCCTGACCTCAGGTGATCTGCCTGCCTCAGCCTCCCAAAGTGCTGGGATTACAGGCATGAGCCACCACGCCCAGCTATTTTTTTCTTTTTTTTAAGCTGGTGTGTAGGCCGGGCGGGCGCGGTGGCTCAAGACCAGCCTGACCAACATAGTGAAACCCTGTCTCTACTAAAAATACAAAAATTAGCCGGGTGTGGTGGCATGTGCGTGTAATCCCTGCTACTTGGGAGGCTGAGGCAGGAGAATCGCTAGAACCCAGGAGGCGGAATTGCAGTGAGCAGAGATAAAAAAAAAAAGAAAACTGGTGTGCTGGCATGCACCTGTAGTCCCAGCTGCTAAGATGGCAGGATCCGTCAAGCCCAGAAGTTCAAGGCTGCAGTGAACCGCACAGCTGCACCCTACACTCCAGCATGGGCAACAGAGCACAGTCCTGTTTCTAAAAAATAAAGTAGGCCAGGCACAGTGGCTCACACCTGTAATCCCAGCACTTTGGGAGGTCGAGGCGGGCGGATCACGAGGTCAGGAGATCGAGACTATCCTGGCTAATATAGTGAAACCCCGTCTCTACTAAAAATACAAAAAATTAGCTGGGTGTGGTGGCGGTGCCTGTGGTCCCAGCTACTCGGGAGGCTGAGGCAGGAGAATGGTGTGAACCCAGGAGGCGGAGCTTGCGGTGAGCCGAGATCGCACCACTGCACTGCAGCCTGGGCAACAGTGCAAGACTCCATCTCAAAAAGAAAAAAAGAAAACTTGACAAGTCAGACCAAAGTCCCCTGTGAGGCTCCCCCACCTGGTCCCCCTCCATCTCCCTCCCTGAAGACAATGACCAAGACAGGTAGCTTTGCCTCGCTTCCCGGCTCAAAGTCTCATTCCTTCCCCCAAAGGCTCTCGCACGGGCCTGCCCACCCTGGGATTCCTTTCTGCTCCTCCTTACACCCTCTTGGGCTCTGTGCTGCTCTGTCCAGAAAAGTGTAGGTCACCAGGAAATTTAAGTCAGGACAGACCATTCTCTGCACTGTCACCAGAAGACCCAGCTCACCATGAAAGGCTTGATTACTTCTGCCTTGTCTGTCTTCCTTTCCTTTCCTTTCTTCTTTTCCTCCCTCCCTCCCTCCTTCCTTTCTTCCTCTCTCTCTTTTTCTTTCTGTTTTGAGACGGAGTCTCACACTGTCACCCAGGCTGGAGTGCGATGGCGCGACCTCGGCTCACTGCAACCTCCGCCTCCCAGGTTCAAGCGATTCTCCTGCCTCAGCCTCCCAAGTAGCTAGGATTACAGGTGCCTGCCACCACGCCTGGCTAATTTTTATATTTTTAGTAGAGATCGGGTTTCACCATGTTGGTCAGGCTGGTCTCAAACTCCTGACCTCAGGTGTTCCACCTGCCTTGGCCTCCCAAAGTGCTGGGATTACAGTTAAATGAGCCACTGCACCCAGCCAAAAGGATTATCGAGCACTAGTGAGAAACCGGGCCAGCGTGTCTGCTTAGGAATGAGGTTCGCCCTGAATAGACCAAAAGAGCTAAATTATTTTCACTGTGACAGCAGGCGCCTTCCTCTTCCCCTGACAGGGCACAGGGCCACAGGAGCCCGGCTTGCTTCTGGTTTGGGTTGGGCAGCAGGGACACTGGCTGGTGGGCACTTGATTGACCTGAATGGGCAAGAGGGCTGGCTGTGGTGCTGAACGGACAGCTTCCCTCCCTTGCTCCTTGGTGGCATCAGTGGCCCAAGCCCAGCCCTAGATAGACAGAGAGCATGTGCCTGGAGAGGGCCTGGTTTCATCTCAAGGTGACCACACAATCATTGGGAAGGAAAAAGGAGGGTCTGAGGGCTTCATCCAGGTTTACAGCCCAAGAAAGTCCTGCCCACAGAGGGTTTGCATCTGTGCTGGTCCCGTCATGAGTAAATCTTGCCTGCTTGAGCTGGCGAGGAGTGGGAAGGAGGAGGAGGGGAGAGAGAAGTAGCGGGACAGAGGGAGGTAAGAGTCAGAAAGACACACAGTGACAAGGAATCACAGAAAGATGCACTCAGGGAGAAAGACAGAGTCAGGGGCTACCCCCAGAGACACAGAAAGATACAATGACAGTGACAGAGTCAGACACACAGAAGGTAAACAGAGACCCAGACAGGCAGGGGTAGCCACTTTGTCAGTCTGGGCAGGTACCTGAGACTGAGTGGTTTATAGACGACAGGAACTTATTTCCCATCGCTCTGGAGGCCAGAAAGTCCAGGATCAAGGTGCCGGCAGAGTCGGTGCCTGGAGAGGTCTCGCCTCCTGGTACATAGACGGGTGGCGTCTTCTGGCTGTGTCCTCACATGATGGAAGGTGAGGGAGTTCTCTGAAGCCCCACTCTGGGGCCACTTAGGAGGGCTCTATCCTCATGGCCTAATTCCCTCCGAATGCCTCACCTCCGCACACCGGCACCTTGGGGTTACGATTTCAACACATGAGTTTTGGGTAATGGAAACATTCAGACCACAGCAGGCAGGAGAAGGATGGAGAAACAAGTCAGTGTGGAAGATGAGACAGACATTAATGCCGAGAGAGAGGAAAAGCGGGGAGAGGCAGAGGGCGAGAGAGACAGAAGGCAGGGGACACACCACGGAGACAGTGCCGACGTCTGGAAGCGAGAGAGCTGGAGAGACGAAGGGGCCGGCGGTGTGGAGACACACAAGAGAGCGTGCTGGGCAGCTCCGTGTCTCACAGAGACATGATAGAGGCAGCCATGGGGAGGGAAAACGGGGGCCCAGGTGGGCAGGCCCCAGTGGTGCTTGCTCAGCCCAGCCTTGTGCCCACAGCCTACAAGGAGAAGATGAAGGAGCTGTCGGTGCTGTCGCTCATCTGCTCCTGCTTCTACACACAGCCGCACCCCAATACCGTCTACCAGTACGGGGGTGAGTGCCTGGCTGCCGCCTGCCCTTCCCTGCGGTGCCTGCCCACCTCACCTTTTCCCCCGGCCTCCGGCAGTCTCTCTGAACTCCCGTCCTGGCTGCCTCTGGAGAGGGAGGTTCTAGGGGGAAGGGGCCCATCCTGGGGGCTGAAGCCTGGGATTCCTGCGGGAGCAGCCACCCCCTCTCGCCCAGCCCTGGGGTTGGATGTGTGCTGGGAGCATCCCGCTCAGCCCACGCCATGCCCTGGCCGGGCCTCTGAAGCTCTACTCTGGTCTTGCCCTGCAGACATGGAGGTGAAGCAGCTGGACAAGCGGGCCTCAGGCCAGAGCTTCGAGGTCATCCTCAAGTCCCCTTCTGACCTGTCCCCAGAGAGCCCTATGCTCTCCTCCCCACCCAAGAAGAAGGACACCTCCCTGGAGGAGCTGCAAAAGCGGCTGGAGGCAGCCGAGGAGCGGAGGAAGGCAAGGAGTCCTCCATCCCCCACCCCCCAGGAGTTTCAACGGAGGCGGCCCACGGGGACAGGGCCTGCAAGAAGCAGGGTGCTCCCGGACAGGCTTGGTCAGTGCCTTGGCCTGGAGCAGGAGGGGCTGTGGCTCCCTGGGCCTCTTTCTGAGAGATAAGAATGGGATGGGGAGAGGCCGGGTGTGGTGGCTCACGCCTGTAATCCCAGAACTTTGGGAAGCTGAGGCAGGCAGATCACTTGAGGTTGGAAGTTCAAGATCAGCCTGGCCAACATGGTGAAACCCCATCTGTACTAAAAATACAAAATTAGCCAGGTGTGGTGGTGCACACCTGTAATCCCACCTACTAGGGAGTCTGAGGCAGGGGAATTGCTTGAACCCAAGAAGTGGAGGATGCAGTGAGCCGAGACTGCGCCACTGCACTCCTCAGCCCGGGCGACAGGGTGAGACTCCATTTCAAAAAACAAACAAGAACAAAAAAAGAAAGGGATGGAGAGGAGGAAGGGTTCCGAGGCGGCCACCTGGAAGGAGCAGGAGCCTCTGGTGAGGGTGGGAGGCACCCTTGTCAGGGCCAGCAGGATGCTAGGGGGTGGTCCCCAGATGGGCCCTGGGGACGTCGGGTGGGGCATCCCTCTCCCAGACAGGGAAGCTGGAGGAAGGGCCTCATGTGTGAAGACCCTGAGGCTTGCTGGAGGGCGGAGGGGCCCTGGGAGAGGTGGGTGTGGGCTCCAGGTCCCCTCCCTGCAGCCTCCCCTCCCACCAGCCCCTCTGAGACTGAAACAGAGATAAAAATGTCCTTTTGGGGGTGCCACCCTGGAGGCCAACGCATTGGGCAGGGGAAGCGGCTCCGTTCCCTTCCCGGTGAGGCCAGAGACCAGGGTTCACAGGGCTGACTAGTAGGGACTGGCATGTGGGTGCGGGTCCTGCTGCCCCGCTCTCCTCCCAGGGGTCACCAGCCGGCCCCTCCCCCAGCATCCCTGGGGACCCTCCGCTCCTGGGCACCTAATTGGGAGCTGGGAACCCGGTGTGTAACAAGCAGCTACTCTGCTCAGTGGGCGGATGTCCGAGGAAGAGACAAAGCTCAGAGACCGCCCACAAGTTTAGGGTTTCTTGCTGCTGGTCCTTGGAGGGGCAGACGCGCAGGGCAGGGTGTGCAGTGGCGGCAGGGTATGGCGGGGGCCCTGGGCGCAGCCAGGACCGCGGGACCCGCGCGCGAGGCAGGGACGGGGGCGGGGGCGGCGGATCGCGACCCCCTGGCCCTGCCCCGACCACAGGCCGGATGGCAGGCGAGGGTTCCCAGGGCAGCGCCCGGGGGTCCCGGCGCCCACCGAGGCCTGGGCAGGTGGAGGCGCCAGGTGAGGCGAGCGGGCGCTGGGCGGGAGGCGGAGAGCAGGGAGGAGTCCGGCCGGGCAGGGCCCGGGGTTGCCGCTCACGCGCGCCCGCCGGCCCCGCACAGACGCAGGAGGCGCAGGTGCTGAAGCAGCTGGCGGAGCGGCGCGAGCACGAGCGCGAGGTGCTGCACAAGGCGCTGGAGGAGAATAACAACTTCAGCCGCCAGGCGGAGGAGAAGCTCAACTACAAGATGGAGCTCAGCAAGGAGATCCGCGAGGCACACCTGGCCGCACTGCGCGAGCGGCTGCGCGAGAAGGTGCGGGGGCGGGGCCGGGGCGGAGCTCGGAGCGGGCAGGGGCCGGGGCGGGGCCGGGGCGAAGCTCGGAGCGGGCAGGGGCCGGGGCGGGGGCAGGGCTAGCAGCAGTCAGGGGGCGGGGCACTGGGCGGGGGCGGGGCCAGGGCGGAGCTCGGAGCGGGCAGGGGCCGGGGCGGGGCCGGGGCGGAGCTCGGAGCGGGCAGGGGCCGGGGCGGGGGCAGGGCTAGCAGCAGGCAGGGGGCGGGGCACTGGGCGGGGGCGGGGCTAGGGCGGAGCTCGGAGGGGCGCAGAGCGGGGCCGGGGACTCCGAGGCGCTGAGCTGGGGTGGGGGTCGGGGGCTCCTCCCGTGTTTACTGGGCGTCCCCAGCAGCGCACGAGGCAGGTCCAGAGTCTGGTCCTGGCGGGACAGTAACTAGCCGCAGTAATAGATGGCTAAATTCATTATATTGAAAGTGCCCTGAAGGAAGCTCGGCTCCGGTACGAGCTAGAAGCGGGGCCCAGCCAGCTCCCAGGAAACCCGTCCTTGGTCCCTGGCCTTGCTCTGCGCCTCCCCGGTGCTCCCGCCCCCTCAACTCAGTCAGGGTCCTGCCGAAGGCCAGCCCGGATGAGGCCGGGCGGGTGCCAGGGCGCCACGGCCTGCGCGCCTGGGGGTTCCCGGAGTCGCCCCAAGCCACCCCCGCCCTCAGGCCCTCCCGCCCCCTGTCCTGCAGGAGCTGCACGCGGCCGAGGTGCGCAGGAACAAGGAGCAGCGAGAAGAGATGTCGGGCTAAGGGCCCGGGACGGGCGGCGCCCATCCTGCGACAGAACACGTTCGGGTTTTGGTTTTGTTTCGTTCACCTCTGTCTAGATGCAACTTTTGTTCCTCCTCCCCCACCCCCGCCCCCAGCTTCATGCTTCTCTTCCGCACTCAGCCGCCCTGCCCTGTCCTCGTGGTGAGTCGCTGACCACGGCTTCCCCTGCAGGAGCCGCCGGGCGTGAGACGCGGTCCCTCGGTGCAGACACCAGGCCGGGCGCGGCTGGGTCCCCCGGGGGCCCTGTGAGAGAGGTGGCGGTGACCGTGGTAAACCCAGGGCGGTGGCGTGGGATCACGGGTCCTTACGCTGGGCTGTCTGGTCAGCACGTGCAGGTCAGGGCAGGTCCTCTGAGCCGGCGCCCCTGGCCAGCAGGCGAGGCTACAGTACCTGCTGTCTTTCCAGGGGGAAGGGGCTCCCCATGAGGGAGGGGCGACGGGGGAGGGGGGTGATGGTGCCTGGGAGCCTGCGTGTGCAGCCGGTGCTTGTTGAACTGGCAGGCGGGTGGGTGGGGGCTGCAGCTTTCCTTAATGTGGTTGCACAGGGGTCCTCTGAGACCACCTGGCGTGAGGTGGACACCCTGGGCCTTCCTGGAAGCCTGCAGTTGGGGGCCTGCCCTGAGTCTGCTGGGGAGTGGGCATTCTCTGCCAGGGACCCATGAGCAGGCTGCATGGTCTAGAGGTTGTGGGCAGCATGGACAGTCCCCCACTCAGAAGTGCAAGAGTTCCAAAGAGCCTCTGGCCCAGGCCCCTCCCCACCAGGGCTTTGCAGATGTCCTTGAAAGACCCACCCTAGAGCCCTTTGGAGTGCTGGCCCCTCCTGTGCCCTCTGCCCTGGTGGAAGCGGCAGCCACAAGTCCTCCTCAGGGAGCCCCAAGGGGGATTTTGTGGGACCGCTGCCCACAGATCCAGGTGTTGGAAGGGCAGCGGGTAAGGTTCCCAAGCCAGCCCCAACACCCTTCCCACTTGGCACCCAGAGGGGGCTGTGGGTGGAGGCCTGACTCCAGGCCTCTCCTGCCCACACCCTCTGGGCTGAGTTCCTTCTTTCCCTTGGACGCCCAGTGCTGGCCTTGGAGGACGGTCAGCTGGAGGATGGCGGTGGGGGAGGCTGTCTTTGTACCACTGCAGCATCCCCCACTTCTCCACGGAAGCCCCATCCCAAAGCTGCTGCCTGGCCCCTTGCTGTAAAGTGTGAAGGGGGCGGCTGAGTTCTCTTAGGACCCAGAGCCAGGGCCCTCAACTTCCATCCTGCGGGAGGCCTTGGCCGGGCACTGCCAGTGTCTTCCAGAGTCACACCCAGGGACCACGGGAGGATCCTGACCCCTGCAGGGCTCAGGGGTCAGCAGGGACCCACTGCCCCATCTCCCTCTCCCCACCAAGACAGCCCCAGAAGGAGCAGCCAGCTGGGATGGGAACCCAAGGCTGTCCACATCTGGCTTTTGTGGGACTCAGAAAGGGAAGCAGAACTGAGGGCTGGGATATTCCTCATGGTGGCAGCGCTCATAGCGAAAGCCTACTGTAATATGCACCCATCTCATCCACGTAGTAAAGTGAACTTAAAAATTCAATCAAATGAACAATTAAATAAACACCTGTGTGTTTAAGACATGGTTGAACTGTCTGTGTGTGTCCTGCACCTGTGGGGTCGGGGGCAGCTGCGGGCTCCCTGTCTGGGAGTGAAGATCTGCTCTGTGTGTATCTCCAGACTGAAGCTGGTTATAAATCTTATTTTATCATCATGATTATGAATTGTTCTATTGACAACAGTGATTTTAAGATATGAGCATGTAAACTACACACAAGCCCACTTTCCTCTCTGGAATCCAAGGGGTGAGGTGTCAGGGTGGGGGGTGGCAGGGCCCGCTGCTGTGGGTGGGGCTGGCGGGGGCTCCCCTGCCCTCCCTCAGGGCGGAGCCCTCCTCAGGGGCTTCCTGTTGTTCAGGACTCTGTGGCCCGCCGCTCAGGAGGAAAGGGCAGGGCCTACATATGTATGCATCTGAGGCTGGAGCCTCTAGGCTGTGGGACTTCCTGACATGGGGGCAGGTGCTACGAGACCCCTGGGGCTGCACCCCACTGTTCTGTGGACTCACCCCACTCACCCCATTCACCCCTGGGCAGCCGGTTGTTCACGGTCACAGGTCTGGACCCAGGATGGGGGACAGAGTAATAAAAAGTAAGAAGACGTTCTGGGCTGGGCGTGGTGGCTCAGGCCTGTAATCCCAGCACTTTGGGAGGCCGAGGGAGGTGGATCACCTGAGGTCAGGAGTTCAAGACCAGCCTGACCAACATGGTGAAACCCTGTCTCTACTAAAAATACAAAATTGGCCGGGCGCGGTGGCTCATGCCTGTAATCCCAGCTACTCGGGAGGCTGAGGCAGGAGAATGGCGTGAACCCAGGAGGCGGAGCTTTCAGTGAGCTGAGATCGCGCCTCTGCACTCCAGCCTGGGCGACAGAGCCTCGAGACTCCATCTCAAAAAAAAAAAAAAAAAATTAGCTGGGTGTGGTGGCTCACACCTGTAATCCCAGCTACGTGGCAGGCTGAGGCAGGAGAATCGCTTGAACCTGGGAGGCGGAGGTTGTAGGGAGCTGAGGTCGTGCCATTGCACTCCAGTGAAACTCTCTCAAAAATAAAAAATAAAAAATAAAAAATAAAGATATTCTGACTGATGGACATGCCTGTCCCACCAAACAGCCACTTGGGGTGCCCAGGGGCCCCCTGTTAGGAGGGAGATGTGTTTGTAGTGGATGTCTAGACTTTCTGTGCTGAGTCCATGTCTTAGAAGGGTGTCTGGTCCCCACAACCCCGAGAGACCCAGCTTCCTCCTCTCCCAGGGCAGCCCTGGTGGCATTCCTGGGCTTGAAGGAGCTCTTGCTATCACCTCTCCTCCAGTCCAGGGAGCGTGGGCAAGTCAGGACCTCGGACTCAGCTGGGGAAGACCTAGAGACAAAAGAAATCTGCAAGGGAGAAGATGGCAGGAGAGAGAAAAGAAAGACATTGAAAGAGTTTGCAGGCTGGGCGCAGTGGCTCACGCCTGTAATCCCAGCACTTTGGGAGGCCGAGGCGGGCGGATCACGAGGTCAGGAGATCGAGACCATCCTGGCTAACATGGTGAAACCCCATCTCTGCTAAAAACACAAAAAATTAGCTGGGCGTGGTGGTGTGTGCCTGTAGTCCCAGCTACTTGGGAGGCTGAGGCAGGAGAATGGCATGAACCCGGGAGGTGGAGCTTGCAGTGAGCTGAGATCGCATCACTGCACTCCAGCCTGGAAGACAGTGAGACTCCATCTCAAAAAAAAAAAAAAAAAAAAGAAAGAGTTTGTAGGCCAGGCGCGGTGGCTCATGCCTGTAATCCCAGCACTTTGGGAGGCTGAGGCGGGTGGATCACGAGGTCAGGAGATCAAGACCATCCTGGCTAACATGGTGAAACCCCGTCTCTACTAAAAATACAAAAAATTAGCCGGGTGTGGTGGCGGGCGCCTGTAGTTCCAGCTACTCAGGAGGCTGAGGCAGGAGGATGGCGTGAACCCGGGAGGTGGAGCTTGCAGTGAGCCGAGATAGCGCCACTGCAGTCCGGCCTGGGCGAAACAGCAAGACTCTGTCTCAAAAAAAAAAAAACGAAAAAACAGAGTTTGTATATAGCATCCCTGTATCCTGGGCATACAGACACACACATGCCACATACAACATTGAAAGAATTTGTATATGGCATCCCTGTACCCTGGGCATGCATGGGCACGCAGACACAGACACCACACACAAACACACGTGGGCCTTGGCCTCCCGCAAGACCAAGCTGATCGCAGGCCGGGTGCTGGCAAGGCACTGAGGGCAGATGGAGTTTATGACAGTCACCATGTGGAGCCTCTGGCATCAAGTGGGGGCGGACATTCCTTCACAAACTGATCGCACTTTTCCCATGAAGAAAAGGAAAGGCAGGCTCCTCCTGGGAGGCCAGACAGAGCTGTTTAGTGACCTATTGTGTGTGACAAGTCACCCCTTAATTAACAACGAACATTATCTGTCAGTTCCCATAAGTCAGGAGTACAAAACCTGGGGGTTTCTGGCTCGGAGTCTCTCATGATGTTGCAGTCAGGACGTTGGACGAGGTCCTGGCCATCTGAAGGCTGGGCAGGAGGTGGGGCATCCTCTTCTGAGAATGCTCCCTCCCGAGGCTGCAGGCAGGAGGCCTTCATTCCTTACCACATGGACATCCAGGGGCTGCCTGAGTGTCCTTGAAACATGGCTCTGGGGGACCCAAAGCCAGCGACCTGGGTGGGGGTCGCTGGGTGGGGGGATATTGGGAGGAACCCAATGTCCTCTGGGTGTGGGGAACCATGTAAGATCTGCTGTTAGAAGTGAGTCACTGAGAAGACTCATGCTTAGGAGGGAGTTGGGTTCCAGCTTTTGAGGTGAGGAATGTCAAAGGATTTGTGAACATATTTTATTTTCTTATTTTATTTATTTATTTAGAGATGGAGTCTCGCTCTGTCGCCCAGGCTAGAGAGCAGCGGCGCAATCTTGGCTCACTGCACCCTCTGCTTCCTGGGTTCAAGCGATTCTCCTGCCTCAGCCTCCTGAGTAGCTGGGATTACAGGCACGCACCACCACGCCTGGCTAATTTTTGTATTTTTAGTAGAGACAGGGTTTCCCCATGTTGGCTAGGCTAGTAGAGACGGGGTTTCATCATGTTGGCCAGGCTGGTCTCGAACTCCTGACCTCGTGATCCGACCGCCTTGGCCTCCTAAAGTGCTGGGATTACAGGTGTGGGCCACCATGCCTGGCCTTATTTTACTTTTTTGAGACGGAGTTTCACTCTTGTTGCCCAAGCTAGAGTGTAGCGGTGTGATCTCAGCTCACTGCAACCTCCACCTCCCAGGTTATAAGCGATTCTCCTGCCTCAGTCTCCCAAGTAGCTGGGATTACAGGCGTGAGCCACAGTGCCCGGCCTTGTGAATGTATTTTATTTTATTTTATTTTTTGAGACAGAGTTTCGCTCTTGTTGCCCAGGCTGGAGTGCAATGGCATGATCTCGACTCACTGTAACCTCCACCTCCTGGATTCAAGCGATTCTCCAGCCTCGGCCTCCCGAGTAGCTGGGATTACAGGCATGCACCACCTGGCTAATTTTGTATTTTTAGTAGAGATGGGGTTTCACCATGTTGGTGAGGCTGGTCTTGAACTCCTGACCTCAGGTGATCCACCCACCTTGGCCTCCCAAACTGTTGGGATTACAGACGTGAGCTACAGTGCCCGGCCAGTCTGTGAACGTATTTTAAAACCACATCAGACACTCTGCCTAGAGTGACTGCTATGATCTGAATGTGTCACCTCCGAAGTTCACGTGTTGGAAACTTAACCGCAGCGCAGCAGTGTTCTGCTCTATTAAAAGGGCTCCTGGGAGTGGGCTCTCTCTGACCACGTGAGGACACGGTGGTCAAGGTGCCATCGTGGAAGCAGAGACCAGGCCCTGACCTGATGGCCCCTTGCTCTTGGACTTCCCAGCCTCCAAAACTTTGAGGAAATAAATTTCTGTTCTGTATTAAATTACCCAGTCTGTGGCATTCTGTTACAGCAGCACAAAACGGGCCAAGACAGTGACTGTATGTTTTGGACACAGCTGGTGCTTGCTTGGTGTCTGGGGCAGCAGTGGGTGCCCCCCAAACAGGGGTGTCCAGCAAAGCAGGTGGGGATACGGCACAAGTGGAGGCCTGACTCAACCAGTTGCTCCCCCACAGCCTGCTGTGCACTCGTGTCGGGCAAAGGTGCGGCCATGCAGAAGTGAGCACAGGAAAAGCTGGTGCCAACCACAAGTGCTTCTCCTTTTGCTGAAGAAAAACAATTTTGATGTTCTGCAGTTGCTCAGTTTCCTGGGACTGCTGTAAGAAGTACCACAAATGAAGCGGCTTAAAACAACAGAAACTCAGCCGGGTGCAGTGGCTCATACTTGTGATCCCAGCACTTTGGGAGGCCGAGGCAGGAGCATTGCTTGAGCCCAGGAGTTTGAGACCAGTCTGGGCAACATGGTGAAACCCCATCTCTACAAAAAATACAAATATTAGCCAGGCGTGGTGGTGCTCGTTTGCAGTCCCAGCTACTCTGGAGGCTGAGGTGGGAGGATCGCTTAAGCCCAGGAGTTCAAGACTGTAGTGAGCCATGATTGTGCCACCCAGCCTGGGAGACAGAGCAGGGCCCTGTCTCAACAAACAACAAACAATAAACTTGTATTTCTAGTCACCAAAATGTTGTGTGTATAGCATAGTTTATTATATTCAAAACACTTTCAAATTTTTTTAATCTTCATAATGTCTACTCTGGGAAAAACAGGATAAACATTGTTACACTAACCTTTTTTTCTGGTTGCAAATGTAAGACATGGTCATTGCATCACTGCAAAACACAAGGACAAGAGGCCAGGTGCAGCGGCTCATACCTCTAATCCCAGCAAGGCCTCCCACCTTTGGGAGGCCGAGGTGGGCGGGTCGCCTGAGGTCACGAGTTTGAGACCAGTCTGGGCAACATGGTGAAACCCCATCTCTACTAAAAATACAAAAATTATCTGGACGTGGTGGCGCACACCTGTAGTCCAGCGACTTGGGACGTTGAGGCAGGAGAATCGCTTGAACCTGGGAGGCGGAGGTTGCAGTGAGCTGAGATTGAACCACTGCACTCCAGCCTGGGTGACAGAGCAAGACCCCATCTCAAAAAAAAAAAAAAAAAGTTATTTGTTAATATCACCGTCAAGCTCATCAGAAAGTACTGGGAAGCCTTTCACAATGGCAAAATTCTTTTTTTTTTCTTGGCCCGGGCACAATGGCAAAATTGTTATTCTTACTTCAAAGCTCAAATTTTATCACTGGTAACAAATGCTGTCAGTTGCTTTCCTTAAAGTGTATGGGTTTTTTTTTTTTTTTTTTTTTTGAGACGGAGCTCGCTCTGTCGCCCAGGCTGGAGTGCGGTGGCGCGATCTGGGCTCACTGCAAGCTCCGCCTCCCGGGTTCACGCCATTCTCCTGCCTCAGCCTCCCGAGTAGCTGGGACTACAGGCGCGCGCCACCACGCCCGGCTAATTTTTGTATTTTTAGTAGAGATGGGGTTTCACCGTGTTAGCCAGGATGGTCTCGATCTCCTGACCTCGTGATCCGCCCGTCTCGGCCTCCCAAAGTGCTGGGATGACAGGCGTGAGCCACCGCGCCCGGCCGGGTTTTTGTTTTTTCTTTCACTCCCCTGACATAAAATATTTGGTATTTTTCTATACCAGCAACCAATTCTCCAACCGCTAACTGGGTGTCCAATATAATACAGGTAAATTCTGACACTGCCTTCCTGGAGGGTGTGTCAGATCCTACAAATTACAAGGGCTCAATCCTAACCGACTGCCCACACTTCAGACCCCGGGAGCCAGTCCAGAGCCACTTATATTTATGACCACTGGGCTTTCTAAATCAGGGGTTCTCACAACCTGCTCTTCAGGTTAGATGATTTACTAGAATGTCTCACAGAACTCAAGAAAATTTGTATGTTTGTCAGTTCATTATAAACGAACAGCCAAGTGGAAGAGATATTCAGCCATCCCCGTTAAAGTGGAAGTAGACCTGAGTAAACTTTTATCCAGTATTGGACAATATCCTCTAAGGCGTGAAGCAATGAAAAGAATCAGACCCATAACAAGAGTGTATCTGCTTTCGGGATCTAGGAGTGCTACAATTAAATAAAAAATGAGAGTATTTTTAAACAAAGATTAATTTTAAAAAGAAAGAAAGGCTGGGCCTGGTGGCTTATGCCTGAAATCCCAACACTTTGGGAGGCCGAGGTGGGTGGATCACCTGAGGTCAGGAGTTCAAGACCAGCCTGACCAACTTGGTGAAACCCTGTCTCTACTAAAAATACAAAAATAAGTCAGGCCTGGTGGCGGGCATGTGTAATCCCAGCTACTCAGAAGGCTGAGCCAGGAAAATCACTTGAACCCAGGAGGTGGAGGTTGCAGTGAGCCAAGATCGCGCCATTGCACTCCAGCCTGGGTGACGAGAGTGAAACTCTGTCTCAAAGAAAAGCAAAAAAAGAGAAAAGGGTATAATGATCCCTTGCACAAGCCCATGTATTATAGTACTGCGATCCTTCCCATAAGGAAACCAAATGGGAGGATCTGGCATTTTGTACAAGACCCCAGAGCTATCGACAACATTGTGATTCCACGACATGGGTGCTACCAAAGCCTCCCACTCTGGCAGCCACCGTCCCTGCAGAAGCGAGGTATTGACTGTGGCTGATATATGCAGTGCTTTCTCCAGTAGACACAGAGTCGGCTCGTTTTCTTTTACATGACAGGACCAGCAGTATACCTCAACCATCATGCCCTAAGGACACACCAAGGGTCCCACCTATGTTTCTTTTTTTGCTTTGAGATGGAGTCTCACTCTGTCACCCAGGCTGGATGGAGTGTGGTGGCGTGATCTCAGCTCATCGCAACCTCCACCTCCCCGGTTGAAGAGATTCTCCTGCCTCAGCTTCCCAAGTAGCTGAGACTACATGTACACACCCAGCTAACTTTTGTATTTTTAGTAGAGATGGGGTTTCACCATGTTGGCCAGGCTGTTCTTGCACTCCTGACCTCAGGTGATCTGCCCATCTCGGCCTCCCAAAGTGTTGGGATTACAGGCGTGAGCCACTGTGCCCGGCCTGCAGGCAACACTTTTTTCTCTTTTTATTTATTTATTTTTTGAGACAGAGTCTCACTCTGTTGCCCAGGCTAGAGTGCAGTGGCACAATTTCAGCTCACTGCAAACTCCTCCTACCAGGTTCAAGCGATCCTCCCAGCTAGGTCTCCCAAGTAGCTGGGATTTCAGGTTGCACCACCATGCCCAGCTAATATTTGTATTTTTACTAGAGACGGGGTTTCACCATGTTGGCCAGGCTGGTCTCTAACTCCTGGCCTCAAGTGATCCTTCCACCTTGGCCTCTCAAAAGGCTGAAATTATAGCCACTGTTCCTAGCTCAGCATTTTCCACCTGGTGGATGTCCAAGTTTCTGAAAAATAACTCAAGAACATATGTTAAGCTGTTATATTTTAGTTTCCACAGGGAATCAAAACACCTTGTGACTCTGACTTACTTGGGAGACTATTGTTTTTTTGTTTTTTTTTTTTTTCTTTGAGACAGAGTCTCGCTCTGTTGCCCAGGCTGGAGTGCAGTGGTGCGATCTCAGCTCCCTACAACCTCCGCCTCCCAGGTTCAAGCGATTCTCCTGCCTCAGCCTGCCACGTAGCTGGGATTACAGGTGTGAGCCACCACACCCAGCTAATTTTTTTTTTTTTTTGAGATGGAGTCTCGAGGCTCTGTCGCCCAGGCTGGAGTGCAGAGGCGCGATATCAGCTCACTGAAAGCTCCGCCTCCTGGGTTCACGCCATTCTCCTGCCTCAGCCTCCCGAGTAGCTGGGACTACAGGCACCCACCACCACGCCCGGCTAATTTTTTGTATTTTTAGTAGAGACGGGGTTTCACCATGTTAGCCAGGATGGTCTTGATCTCTTGACCTTGTGATCCACCCGCCTCGGCCTCCCAAAGTGCTCAGATTACAGGCGTGAGCCACTGCCCCCGGCCGGGAGACTATTGTTTAAGCTGTTTCTATCTTCTTCCTCATCAGATTGTTCCTTTGCCTGTCAAGGGTGGCGAGGTGCCTGGAATTTCCCTTAGAGGAACTCAGGACTCAAGATTCTTTTGTTTTGTTTTGAGACAGTCTTGCTCTGTCGCCCAGGCTGAAGTGCAGTGGCATGATCTTGGCTCGCTGCAACCTCAGCCTCCTGGGTTTACATGATTCTCCTGCCTCAGTCTCCCAAGTAGCTGAGATTACAGGCGCCCGTCACCATGCCTGGCTAATTTTTTTGTATTTTTAGTAGAGACGGGGTTTCACCATTTAGCCAGGCTCGTTTTGAACTCCTGACCTCAACGAATCTGCCCGCCTCGGCCTCCCAAAGTGCTGAGATTACAGGTGTGAGCCACTGTGCCTGGACCTTTTTTTACCTTTGGAGACAGACTCTCGCTCTGTTGCCCAGGCTGAGTGCAGTGGCACAATAACAGCTCACTTCAGCCTTGACCTCCTGGTCTCAAGTGATCCTCCCACGTCAGCCTCCTGAGTAGCTGGGACTACAGGCATGTGCCGCCACACCTGGCTAACTTTTTAGCTTTTGCGGAGATGGGGTCTTGCTATATTGTCCAGGCTGGTCTCAAACTCCTGGACTCAAGCGATCCTCTTGCCTTGGACTTCCAAAGTGCTGAGCTTACAGGCATAAGCCACCATGCCCAGCCAACCCAGTTTCTCTACTTTAAAATTACCATCTTTCAGCCGGTTGCAGTGGCTCATGCCTATAATCCCAGCACTTTGGGAGGCCGAGGTGGGCAGATCACAAGGTCAGGAGTTCGAGACCAGCCTCACCAACATGGTGAAACTCCGTTTCTACTAAAAATACAAAAATTAGCTGGGCTTGGTAGCGTGCGCCTGTAATCCCAGCTAGTTGGGAGGCTGAGGCAGGAGAATCGCTTGAACCTGGGAGGCAGAGGTTTCAGTGAGCCAAGATCACGCTATTGTACTCCAGCCTGGGTGACAGAGTGAGACTCCATCTCAAAAAAAAAAATTATCATCTTTCCCTTTGTAGTTAATAAATATGGCCAGACACGGTGGCTCACGTCTGTAATCCCAGCACTTTGGGAGGCTGAGGCGGGTGGATTACCTGAGATCAGGAGTTTGAGACCAGTCTGACCAACATGGTAAAACCCTGTCTCTACTAAAAATACAAAAAGTAACTGGGCATGATGGCGCGTACCTATAATCCCGCCACTACACTCCAGCCTGGGTGACAAAGTGAGACTCCATCTCTTTTTTTTTTTTTTTTTTTTTTTTGAGACGGAGTCTCGCTCTGTCGCCCAGGCTGGAGTGCAGTGGCGCGATCTCGGCTCACTGCAAGCTCCGCCTCCCGGGTTCACGCCATTCTCCTGCCTCAGCCTCCCGAGTAGCTGGGACTACAGGCGCCCGCTACCACGCCCGGCTAATTTTTTGTATTTTTAGTAGAGACGGGGTTTCACCGTGTTAGCCAGGATGGTCTCGATCTCCTGACCTCGTGATCCGCCCGCCTCGGCCTCCCAAAGTGCTGGGATTACAGGCGTGAGCCACCGCGCCCGGCCGAGACTCCATCTCAAAAACAAAACAAAACAAACAAAAACAAAAACAGGCCTGGTGCAGTGGCTCACGTCTGCCCGGAGGCAGAGGTTGCAGTGAGCTGAGATTGCACCATTGCACTCCAACCTGGGCGACAGAGCGAGACTCTGTCTCAAAAAAAACCAAACCAAAAAAATCCCCAAAACAAAAATGATAAATATTTTAGAAGGAAGAATAGCCCCCCCACAGCCCTGCCCAAGATATTCACATCCTAACCCCTGGGATCTGTGAACGTTGGTTCCAAGCAAAGGGGAATTACAGCGACAGATGGAATGAAGGTCACTGGTCGGCGGACTCTGACAGGAGGTGCCCTGGGCCAGCTGGTGGCCCCATGTCATCACAAGGGGCCTTGACAGCAGATGAGGGAGGCAGGAGATCAGTGTCGGGGCCAACAGGGTGAGGACTCAACTGGCTTTGGCTGGCTTTCAGGTGTGGGATAGGCCACGAGACAAGGGGCTCAAGTGCTTCCAGAAACTGGAAAGGCCAGAACAGCTTCTCCCCTGGAGCTCCAAAAGCAATCGGCCCTGCAGACACCCTGATTTTGGCGGAGTGAGGCTGGGCTGGACTTCCGACCTACAGAACAGTTAGAGAATACATTTGCAGTTTTATTTATTTATTTTTTGAGACGGAGTCTTGCTCTGTTGCCTAGGCTGGAGTGCAGTGGCGCCATCTCGGCTCACTGCAAGCTCCGCTTCCTGGGTTCACGCCATTCTCCTGCCTCAGCCTCCCGAGTAGCTGGGACTACAGGCGCCTGCCACCACGCCAGGCTAATTTTTTGTATTTTTAGTAGAGAGGGGGTTTCACAGTGTTAGCCAGGATGGTCTCTATCTCCTGACCTCGTGATCTGCCCGCCTTGGCCTCACAAAGTGCTGGGATTATAGGCGTGAGCCACCGTGCCGGACACATTTGCATTTTTTAAAAAGAGACAGTTCTGGCCATGTTGGTCTCGAACTCCTGGCCTCAAGCAATCCTGCCTTGGCCTCCCAAAGTGCTAGGATTATGGGCGTGAGCCTCCGCACTCAGCCTAAATTTGCATTTTTAAGCGACTAAGTTTGAGATAATTTGTTATGCCAGCAGAAGAAAGCTAAGTTATCTTGGAGGTGATTTTTCTTTTTTTTTAGATGGAGTTTCTCTCTTGTTGCCCAGTTTGTCTCTTGGAGCCCCAGAGTGAAGGAGGCAGAACAGGCCCCAGGGCTCACCCCAGGCCGACCTCGGTGGGCTTGCGCAACACACAGGCATGATGTAGCCACCCTCCCATCCCCAGGCCCCCCTCAGCACTCCTCTTCGACTTTATTGACATTTATTTCCAAAACGTGACGATAGGCAAACTCAGATAAATGACACACATAGACCGCGTGAACCCTCTCATATTTACCAGATAATAAAATAGTAGCACTGACAAAGGCTCAATTTTTTTTTTTATTCTTCCCCAGAGACAGGCTCTGTTGCCCAGGCTGGTCTTGAACTCCTGGCCACAGGTGATCCTCCCACCTTTGTCTCCCAAAGTGTTGAGGTAAAAGGCATGAGCCACCGCACTCGGCCAATCTAATTTTTAAAAACACCTTTTCCTCACTGGCTGGAGCACGTTCTACTTTACTGGGAACTGAATGAATGTGCAACTCTAATTACAGCCCCTCCGAAGTGCAGTGGCTTGGGAACCTCCCGTTCCGGGAGGCGGCCTGCAGAGCCCTCCTCCTACAAGTGTGAGCACAGGGTCAGGGTTCCATCCAAGCGAGCACCTGCTTCCTATTTTCCGACTAATTTCGGTCCCCTGATACGGAATCCGGGATCCTGCAGACAGGCAGCGGGTGACAGCAAGCACAAGGGTGTTCGATGACACCTGGAGAGGTCAGGAGAGCCAGTCCTGCGGTGCAGAGGAAGAAACCCAGCACAGAGGCCAACAGAGCCAGCCCCAGCCTCTGCCAATAAAACATATAAATGAGCCCTGGGGGCTGGAGGAGGGCCACAGGATCCAAGCTGGCTGCCGGATCCGAGTGGGATCGGGGTGCCGACTGTGGGACATGGGTGGGATGGGGTGCCGGCTGCGGGACTCGGGTGGGATCGGGGTGCGGGCTATAGGACTGGGGCGGGATCGGGGTGTCATCTATGGGATCGAGGTGCTGGCTATGGGACTGGGGTGGGATCGGGGTGCTGGCTATGGGACTGGGGTGGGATCGGGGTATCAGCTATGCTATGCGATCGGGGTGAGTGCCGGCTGTGGGATCGGGGTGCCGGCTGCGGGACTGGGGTGGGATCGGGGTGCCGGCTGTGGGACAGCGGTGGGATCGGGGTGGGTGCCAGCTGTTGGGCTGGGGTGGGATCGGGGTGCCAGCTGCGGGACTGGGGTGGGATCGGGGTGCCGGCCGTGGGACAGCGGTGGGACCGGGGTGTTAGCTATGGGATTGGGGTGGGTGCCGGCTGTTGGGCAGGGGTGGGATCGGGGTGTCGGCTGTGGGACTGCGATAGGATCGGGGTGCTGGTTGTGGGACTGGGGTGACAGCTTGAGGGGTGACCGAGCCCTCCCGGCCGCTCCCGGATGCCCCTCGCCCTCCACGCTGGGAGCGCCGTGGCTGGCTGAGCCTCTGGCATGTTCCGCGTGAGTCCGCGCACCCTACAGCGTCCTCCTCCACAGCCTCGTGTTCAGGCGTCCGCCCCGCAGGGGAGTCCCCTCGCGCCCATTCACACACAGCAGCGTCCGGGCGAGGAGCGCCCGTACCTGGAGGCCTGAAGGTACCGCCCTGCCGCGCGTGGGCACTGCTCCCTGGCGCCGTCCGTCCACTGACCATCGTCCCTCGGCCCGGCCGCCCGCGCGGGGCAGGCAACGCCCGACCGGGGGCCTCGGGGACCAGGAGGAACCTGCGGCGTTAGGAGCTGACAGTGTCGGTCCGCGCACGCGCCCCGGGGCCCGTCGGGCCTTATTTCACGGCCCCGCCTTCCTCCTCCGCGAGCGCCAAATAAGTGTCCGGCCCTCCCAGCCCCGTGCGTGCGCGGCCCCGCCGCCTGCGTCACTAGGAAGCGCGCGCCCGCGCCGCCGCCGCCGCCGAATCCCCAACAAGGAGCGAAGCCCGCGGCCGCCGCCGCCGCCCGCCGCCGCCGCAGCTCCCGACGCCGCCGCCCCCGCCGGGTGCCTAAGCAGGCCCGGCGCGGCCCCAGGTAAGCGGCGCCGGCGAGCCCGCGGCCCCCCCGCGGCGAGGCCTCTCGCTCCGCTCACGCGCCGCCGTCCAGTCAGGGGTCCCTGCGGAGCGTCAGGACGTTACGGCGGGGGGAGGGGAGGGCCGGGGGAGGGGCGGCCGCGCGGGCGGCGGCGTCAGGCGCAACGGCGGCGTCAGGCGGGCGGCGCGGGCGGTGGCGGGCGCGGGCGGCGGCGCTTCCTGCCTCCATCTTGGCGCCGCGGGCGGGCGCGGGCTCGGCCTCCAGCGGCCTCCTCGGTGGACCCATCCCGGGGGGACCACGCCGCAGGGGTGCGACCCGCAGGGACCACCCCGCAGGCACCCGACCCGCAGGGACGCGACCCACAGGGACCACCCCGCAGGCACCCGACCCGCAGGGGCCACCACGCGACCCGCAGGGGCCACCCCACAGGGACGCGACCCACAGGGACCACCCCACAGGGACGCGACCCACAAGGACCACCCCGCAGGCACCCGACCCGCAGGGACGCGATCCCCAGGGGCCACCCCGCAGGCACCCGACCCGCAGGGACGCGATCCCCAGGGGCCACCCCGCAGGCACCCGACCCGCAGGGACGCGATTCCCAGGGGCCACCCCGCAGGCACCCGACCCGCAGGGACGCGACCCATAGGGACCACCCCGCAGGCACCCGACCCGCAGGGGCCACCCGGCAGGCACCCAACTCGCAGGGACGCGACCCGCAGGGATCACCCCACTGGGACCCACTCTCAGGGACCTGACCTGCAGGGACCACCCCACAGGGGCCCGCGTCACTGTAGGCTCACAGGCGGGACCTGGATCTGTGTAGACCCATGGTGGTGTGGACCCTGTTGGTCGGAGCTGATTTGTTGTGGGCCCGTCGTCAGTCATGGCATGTTATCTATTTGGTTACTGTGTAATTCATGCGTGACTGAAAAGTCGTGACTGACTTTTCTGTTGAACCAGAATTCTCTTTCTTTGCTAACACTTCAAATACAACAGTTTCAATTACATCAGTGTTGACCGTGCCGGTCAAGAATACTAGTTTAAAAATATTTTCTTGGGCCAGGTGTGATGGCTCACACCTGTAATCCCACCACTTTGGGAGCCCGACGTGGGCGGATCATGAGGTCAGGAGTTTGAGAGCAGCCTGGCTAACACGGTGAAACCCTGTCTCTACTAAAAATACAAAAGTTAGCCGGGCGTGGTGGTGTGCACTTGTAATCCCAGCTAGTTGGGAGGCTGAGGCAGGAGAATTGCTTGAACCCAGAAGGCAGAGGTTGCAGTGAGTGGAGATGGTGCCATTGCACTCCAGCCTGGGTGACGGAGCAAGATTGCGTCTCAAAAAAAAAAAAGTAAAATAAAATATTTTCTCATATCTGATTTACCTAATAATTTGGAAACTCACTTCACACTAGTGGGGAACCCAAGCCTTGGGATCAAAGCTGGGTGGGTCTTGGCTTCAACACAGAAGGGGCTGTGGAGAGGCCAGGTGTAGTGGCTCACACCTATAATCCCAGCACTATGGGAGGTCAAGGTGGGAGGATCACTGGAGGTCAGGAGTTCGAGACCAGCCTGGCCAACATGATGAAACCCCGTCTCTACCAAAAATGCAAAAATTAGCTAGGCGTGTTGGGTGCCTGTAGTCCCAGCTACTCGGGAGGCTGAGGCAGGAGAATCACTTCAACCCGGGAGGCGGAGGTTGCAGTGAGCCAAGATTTTGCCATTGCACTCCAGCCTGGGTGACAGAGCGAGACTCCATCTCAAAAAAACAAAGAAGGAGCTGTGGAGAGAGGAGGGGGTGCTCGCCCTTGGGAAGGCAATAGGGCGAGGTGCTCTATTCTATAGTGCTTCTTCTGTGTCTAAAGAGCATTGTATCAAGGACTTGCACTATTTTCTGTGAGGTAACTTTTGTGCATATTGCTTTGAACCTTTAATATAGTTGCCATTGGAGGCCAGGCTCAGTGGCTCACGCCTGTAATCCCAGCACTTTGGGAGGCAGAGGCGGGCGGATCACGAGGTCAGGAGATCGAGACTGTCCTGGCCAACATGGTGAAACCCCGTCTCTACTAAAAATACAAAAATTAGCCGGGCGTGGTGGTGGGCGCCTGTAATCCCAGCTACTCAGGAGGCTGAGGCAAGAGAATCGCTTGAACCCGGGAGGCAGAGCTTGCATTGAGCCGAGATCGGGCCACTGCAGTCCAACCTGGGCTACAGAGCGAGACTCCGTCTCAAAAAAAGAATATATGTATGTATGCAGTTGCCAATGGAGAGGCTGGAATTCAGTTTTGTGCGTGTACATTGCGTAATCCTCTGCAAAGCCCTGAAGCTGTGACGAGGACCCCTGCCTGCAGTGAGGCTGTTGCCTCTTTGCAGCTCTCTGCTTAAATGACTTTAGTTGCCCCTGCTGAGCTTACCCTTATGAAAGCAGCGTCTCCTCAGTGAGAGTTAAACCCCGAGAAGTCAGCACGGGAGATCAGTAGTATTTTAAATGAAATTTTTATTTTTTAATTTTAATTTTTTTTTTTTTGAGACAGAGTCTCGCTCTGTTGTCTAGGCTGGAGTGCAGTGGCACAATCTTGGCTCGCTGCAACCTCTGCCTCCGGAGTTCGAGAGATTCTCCTGCCTCAGCCTCCCAAGTAGGTGGGATTACAGGCACCCGCCACCATGCCCGGCCAATTTGTTTTTTTTTTTTTGTATTTTTAGTAGAGACAGGGTTTCATCATGGTGGCCAGGCTGGTCTTGAATTCCTGACCTCAGGTGATCCACCCGCCTCGGCCTTCCAAAGTGATGGGATTACAGGCGTGAGCCACCACGCCTGGCCAAATTTTTGAATTTTTTTTTTTTCTGAGACAGGGTCTTGCTCTGTCGCCCAGGCTGAAGTGTAGTGGTGCAGTCTTGGCACACTGCAGCCTCTGCCTCCCGGGTTCAAGCAGTTCTCTCACTTCAGCCTCCTGAGTAGCTGGGATTACATGGGCACACCACCACGCCCAGCTAATTTTTGTGTTTTCAGTAGAGACAAGGTTTTACCATGTTGGCCAGGCTGGTCTAACTCCTGACCTCAGGTGATCTGCTCGCCTCGGCCTCCCAAAGTGCTAGGATTATGGGCGTGAGCCACCACACCTGGCCTGAGTAAAATTTTAAAGTGGCTTTTTTTTTTTAAGAGAGAGTCTCACTCTGTCACCCAGGCTTGAGTGCAGTGGCATGATCTTGGCTCACTGCAACCTCTGCTGCCCAGGTTCAAGCGATTCTCCTGCCTCAGCCTCCCAAGTAGCTGAGATTACAGGCACCTGCCACCGCGCCCGGCTAATTTTTGTATTTTTAGTAGAGACGGGGTTTCACCGTATTGATCAGGCTGGTCTTTGAACTTCTGACCTTATGATCCACCCGCCGCGGCCTCCCAAAGTGCTGGGATTACAAGTGTGAGCCACCGCGCCCGGCCTAAAGTGGCTTTTTATTCATGTTTGTTTAAAGTTCTTTATTTTGAAGCCTAAGTCTACAACAACAAAGTTATGCTAGTGAAAACATTATATTTGAGAAATACGAAGTAATTCCGCCAGTGTAAACGAATTCATCATTGTAACTTTCCTGGCTAAAAAGCATCTGAAGACAGTCTTCAGAGACCCTGATGCCCTAATGGGAAATTGCCCACCAGCAGCTGGAGGGGTTCACCTGTGAGCCCCCTTTCCCCTTAGGCGCTCTGTCCTAGATGGCCACCATTTAAATTGAGTGACAGTAAACGGCTCATCATGTTCCAGGATGTTCTTAATTTGTAAAAATTTTTTTTCCTCATTTAAACAATACATTTTCCTTCCATCACTCATTTTCGATACCCTCCTGAAACAGGAAACGGGGAATATTTTCTTGTCCCTCGCACTTAGTCCTTAGTGCTTGTGTTTAGATGTGTTCCGTGAATACTTTGAGTAGTGTTCCTGTGGAGCCCTCACTGGTGTTCTCTGGGCTCTGGGCGCTGCCCCTTCTTACCCTAAACCTACCACAGCCCTCCCCGCCACTCACCGTCCGCCACACTCACTGCTCTCCCAGGCCAGGCTGGCGTCAGTAACGCGTGCGGGGTCTTTGCTGCGGGTGGTACCCAGCTCCCCACGGTTTCTTTTTGCTTCCTTTTCTTTGAGAATGGGTCTTTCCTTCATGGTGTTTAACCACCATCCCCTCTGTTCAGATCACCTACATTTCTTGGTTCCTTGGATCTCTGGTCAAGGGTTACTTCAGAGACTGGCTGCCATTTGCGATTGGTGGCCCAGGAAATCGTAGCTTTCTTTTCTCCCCTTTATCTTGCCTGTGGCCCTTTACCTTGGAGTTGTGTGGAGACCCATGCCCAGGTAGGAAGAAGTAGAGCCCCCTGGTCCAGTGCATACCCAGACAAAAGACAGCCTGTGGAATGGAGGAAAAGAAGCTAGGGTGGCCTGAGGACCTTTTGTTCTCTTGCGGACTTCCTCTCCCTAAGACATTCAGAAAAATGTTCCCATGCTGGAAAATGTCGGTTGAGTAAGATTTAGCAAGAACCTTGAGACCTGAAGGCACATTTTGTGATCGATTGTTCAGTTTGGGTGAGTTAGTTCTGGCATTGAAGGCATAATTGCAGAGGCCTGGCTGGGCTATGAGTGCCTCCCCTTAGTGAGTGCAGGGCCAGACTCTCCGCAGGGGACCACTGCGTGCCAGGTTGGGGTGGACCCACTCCTGTCCTTAGACACACTTGTTTGTTACAGTCCTAGGGGCAGGTGATGTTATTTTTATATTAACAATGATGATTTTAAAAGTTCTGGAAGATTTTATTTTCTTTCTTTTTTCTTTTCTTTCTTTCTTTTTTTTGTGACAAGGTCTTGATCTGTTGCCCAGGCTGGAGCGCAGTGGCACAACCATGGCTCACTGCAGCCTTGACCTCCTGGGCTTAAGTGATCCTCCTGCCTCAGCCTCCAGAGTAGCTGCAACTACAGGCGTGCACACCACCATGCCTGGCTATTTTTTATTATTTATTTAGCAGAGATGGGGTGTTGCTGTGTTGCCCAGGCTGGTCTCAAACCCCTGAGCTCAAGCATTCCTCTTGCCTTGGCCTCCCAAAGTCCTGGGATTACAGGTGTGACACCATGCCTGGCCATGAAAATTTTTCTTTGTTTAAAAAGTTTTTATATTCTGTACTTTCTAGTCTATATCTAATCCTAATGAGTCATTCTATTATAGTAGCATTACAGTGTTTTTATTACGGTAAAATATACATAACATAAAATTTAACCATTTTAAACTTTTTTTTTTTTTTTTTTTTTTTTTTTTTTGAGATGGAGTTTCGCTCTTGTTGCCCAGGCTGGAGTGCAGTGGCACGATCTCGGCTCACTGCAACCTCTGCCTCCTGGGTTCAAGCAGGTCTCCTGCCCCAGCCTCCCAAGTAGCTGGGACTACAGGTGCCTGCCACCATGCCTGGCTAATTTTTAGTATTTTTAGTCAAGACAGGATTTCACTGTGTTGGCCAGGATGGTCTCGAACTCCTGACCTCAGGCGATCCGCCTCCCAAAGTGCTGGGATTACAGGCGTGAGCCACCACGCCCAGCCCATTTTAACTGTTTTTAAATGTGTGGTTCAGCACCATTCAGAACAGCCACAGTGATTGTGCAGCCATCACCGCCGTCCATTTCCAGAGCTTTTCATCATCCCAAACAGAAATTCTGTACTCATTAAAGAACAACTCCCTGTACTCCCTCCCCCAGCCCCTGGTCACTTCTGTTCTACTTTCTTTCTTTTTCGTTTTTTGAGAGAGTTCTCACTCTGTTGCCCAGACTGGAGTGCGGTGGTGTGATCACAGCTCATTGCAGCCTCAATCTCCTAGGCTCAAACGATCCTCCAGCCCCGCCTTCCGAGTAGCTGAGACTATCCCAGCTTTGTGTATTTTCTTTTGGTTGTCGTTTTTAATTTTCACATTTCTGTTTGGTTATAACTCCTGTTTCTATACCAAGATTTTCTTTCCACTTGGTTGACAATGTTTGCTTTCCTCTTGGAGCTGGTCCGATAGCACCTGAAAGTCTCTGGATTCTGCGTTCAAGAGCCAGCTTCTCTTGTGTATTTGTTCCTTTGAGAATCAACCAGACTACCCTTTGCCAGGAAGTTTGATCGTGTTCTGGATGCTTTGACTACTGTGCTATGGACTCTAGGTCTTGTTTTAAGTTTCACAGAGAATGTAGACTTTTTTTTTTCATAGCAAGAAATCGACCTGGTTAGGTTCAGGCTGCAAATTTTGCACCCCGTTCCTGTGTCTGTGTTCTTAGGCCAGTTTATTTTAGAGACTTTCCAGTGCACTGTGGATCTGTCCCATATGCGCCACTGGGGCCCATCTGAGACCTGGGCAGTGGCCTATCCTGTAGGTCAGTTTTCTTCCCTTTGCCCTTTAGGGTCAGGACCACGTAGAGACTGTCTTGGGACGACCCAGGCGCTCACACACAGCTGTGTGCCATCCTCTCTTCTCCCCTCTCCTCTTGTCGCCTCCCCCACACTCTGACTCCAGGCTCGTTGCCCTCTGGCTGGAAACCAGGGGCTTTTGTGTTCCCTGTGCTAGGTAGGGGATGGAGAGTGAGAGGGCAACAGGGAGCCCCCACACTCTTGGGCCACCATTCCTTTAGTCAGGAGGAAGATTCCCCTGTCTCCAAGCTTTTTGGGCCAGGACAGCCATTATCACTGGGTTTTAGCAGGGGTTGGACTTGCTGAAGGCAAAGCCAGGAAAGACAAAATAATAATAATTTTTAAACCCGGGGCAGGCCAGGCATGGTGCCTCACACCTGCAATCCCAGCACTTTGGGAGGCCGAGGTGAGTGGATCACCTGAGGTCAGGAGTTTGAGACCAGCCTGGGCAACATGGTGAAACCTGTAATCCCAGCAATTGGAGAGGCTGAGGCAGGAGAATCACTTGAACCCAGGAGGTGGAGCTTGCAGTGAGCCGAGGTCGTGCCACTGCATTCCAGCCTGGGCGACAGAGCGAGACTCCGTCTCAAAAAAAACCCAAAAACCCAAAAAAACCCAGGGCGTTTCCCTCCTCTCTTTCTGTCTTGAATGGGTTTCCCTTCCCGTTCCACAGACCAGCGAGGACTTCTTGGAGTGCTTTCTGCACCTGAAACTCAGTTCAGGGATTGGGGCTGGCTTTGAGTTCAGGCCAGGAGAGACGGAAGAACTGGCAAGCCGGGAGCCTGCGTCCAGGGAAGTTGCTTGGAATTCCAGGCCCCTCCTGTCCTCCTGCTCTGAGCCCCACGTGGAGGGAGTGGCTCTGTGCTTTCTACCCAAGGGTTTCGGCTTATCCAGTGGGAAAAACGGGTGGAGTGCGCTTACACCGCCCTCGGAACCAGAGCCTGGAGTAGCCCTTCTGTTGCCGCTCGTTTTTGTCAGGAGGTAGCAGTCTGGGACTCAAGGGTGGGTCTTTGGAGCTGATTAGAGATGCCTTTGTGAGTGCTATGTTGTGTGGATGTGGAGATGACTCCATCCCTGTGCCCTGCCTTGCTTCCTCCAGGACTTGGGACCCTGGAGGACTGACGCTGCTGGCCTGGGCGTCCCCTTCCGCTGAGCCATGGCGACTCCCGACGTGAGTGTGCACATGGAGGAGGTGGTGGTTGTGACAACTCCGGACACTGCAGTGGACGGCAGTGGTGTGGAGGGGGTGAAGACCGTGTTGGTGACGACCAACTTGGCCCCTCACGGGTAAGCTCGGGCCTCGGTGCCATTGGGGCTGATGGGGGCTTGGGTTGGGCTGTCCTTGGCACAGCTGGCATTAACGTAGTAAGGGACAAGTGTCAGGATTTTTCTAGTTCCAGTTCTTCTGAGACTGGACTCAAATGTGTGTGTAAGTAGAGAGCGAAGAAAAGCAGAAATGGCACGGGGACCAGAAGACCCAGCTGCAGCTGCGGGGAGGCCTCCCGTACCTGCATGGCCACGTGGCTCCACGTCCTGAAAGGCCGTGATTTCTCATGTGAGAGGGAGTGGTAGGGATGTCAGAGAGCTGGCCTTTCATAAATGAAGTGAAGAGTCAGTGATTTTCTTGACAGTCTTCATGAAACTGTGAGTGTTTTCTTCCTCATCTCTGTACCAGATGTCCGATTCAAATGTTAGTTGGCAAAAACGCTAACATTTGCCCAAACTGCCAGCTTTGTTTTGCTGCCCGTAGGTGGAACTGCTAGGAGGTGGCAGAGCTGCTCCTGCTGTGAGCCGGTGTCACTCCTGCCTCTGCTGGGGTGAAATAAAGGCAGAGTCAGCCCCGGGCAGTCCCAGGCTGCCATCCTTATTCTTCCTCCCCAGAGGGCTCTGGGGCTCTGGTCTGGGGCAGTCTTCCCGTTGGTCTCATCCTTGCTGTGTCTCATGTGTGGCATCTTCATGCTGACCTAGCATATCACTGAGCATGAGCTTTTGACTTTCTCACCGTTTGACAGAGGACGACTCTAGACTGCCAACCCCTGTGCGGTGTAGGTCAGACCTCCCTTGGTGGACAGCGTGCAGGCAGCTGCTGCCTGGGAGGACCTGGCCCTGAGTTCCTTCCTGCCTTTCTTCCCTTGCTGTGGAGCCTGTTGTTGGACCCGAGGCTTTGACCTCCCTCCTGCATGTCAGGGTGGTGGAGGCTGTTGTGTGATCACAGAGCAAGACATGGACCTGTGTGGGTTCCTGGTGTGAGGTACCCTGTCCTCCCCTGTCTCATCCACAGAGCTGGTGGCCATGTCTGGAAATGCAGGAGTTTCTGAGTGGGACCTGCTAGCTGGATGTTCACACCTCCATTCTCCTTTTTCCTTTGTCAGCACCTTGGTGCACAGCTTCCGTGTTTTCCCGGCATGTGTCCATGATGTTTCCAGACATCTCCCACCCCACACCTCCCCACTCTTGCCCAGAGAGGCAGTGCCCAAGTCCCTCCCTTGGGACGCCGTGGCCGCGGCTGCTGGGGTGGTGTCCACGTCTCCTCAGCTGAGCCCTGACATGGCCTGCAATGAGTAGTGTGGCAGCAGTGACCCTTGGTCAGAGAAGTCCACGTAGCTTTCTCATGGTGCCCTAGGGCTACTGTGAGGAGCCCAGGGTCATTTCTGACCTGGGGAGAGGCTGCTCTGATCCCAACTGAGCCCAGCTTTCGTGTCACCCACCCAGGCGTCTGGGTGGAAGCAGCCTCGGGGTAGGCCCAGTCCCATATCCAACTCTCCTCACCTGAGCCCTGACACCGTGGCCGCGGCTGCCGGGGTGGTGTCCGAGTCATCTCATCCGAGCCGTGACACCGTGGCCGCGGCTGCCGGGATGGTGTCCAGGTCACCTCACCCGAGCCGTGACTCCGTGGCCGCGGCTGCCGGGATGGTGTCCAGGTCACCTCACCCGAGCCGTGACTCCGTGGCCGCGGCTGCCGGGGTGGTCTGGTCCAGCACCGGGTTGGGACCTTCAGTATCCTGAGCTCTAGGCCTTTCTTCCTGATCTGGTCTGACTCCCCAGATGGCGTGTGTCTTAGTCTGCTCGGGCTGCCGTAGACCGCGTGGCCTGAACAGCAGAGAGTTATTTTCTTACAGCTCTGAAGGCTGAAGTCCAAGATCAGGGTCTGCCAGGTTCAGCTGTTGGGAGGACTCGCTTTCTACCTTGCAGATGGCCGACTTCTTGCTGTGTCCTCATGATGGAGAGGGAGGGAGAGAGAAAGATCTTTCTCTTTCACTTCTTAGAAGGTCACGGTCGGCCAGGCGCGGTGGCTCATACCTGTAATTCCAGCACTGCAGGAGGCCGAGGGAGACAGATCACTTGAGCCCAGTTCAGGACCAGCCTGGGCGACATGGCAAAACCCCATCTCTACAAAAAACACAATGCACCACCAGCTGGGTGCGGTGGTAAGCACCTGTAGTCCCAGCTACTCAGGAGGCTGAAGCAGGAGGATCACCTGAGCCCAGGAGTTGGAGACAGCAGTGAGCCGTGATCGTGCCACTGTACTCCAACCTGAGTGATAGAGTGAGACCCAGTCTCCAAAAAAAAAAAAACCACCAGAAGGTCAAAGTCTTACTGGATGAGGGCCAACTTATATGACCTCATTTAAATTATCTCCTGAAGACCCCATCTTTAAATACAGTCACACTGGGGATGAGGCCTTCAACATATGAATTTTACGGGGGACACAGTTCAGGATAACGCCTTCCCCTAGCTCTCAGGGTCCTGTAGGCAGGGGCCTGCCTCCACCTCTCAGGGTCTTCTGCCAGTGGGGCTGAGGATGGCAGGTAGCTGGATGGGTGAGGGTGGGACATCTTTTGGTTGCCCTCCTTTCCCTCATTCCTGCTGGCAGAGGTAGTTGATGTGCCACGCCTCTAGATTTACGGATTTGGGGTATAAACTGAGCATCAGTCATCTCCCCACGGCCAGCCTCCGCCTCTCAGTCTGCACCTTGCTGCTCTCTGCGTCTGCGCGCACCCTCCTGCTCCTCGCTTCTGGGTTTACACTTTGGAAGCTCTTCCCTCTGCATTGTTGTGATGACTTCCATGAGGAGCCTATTCACGTGTGTGTTATTTTTATTTTTTTTTGAGTTGGAGTCTCGCTCTTGTTGCCTAGGCTGGAGTGCAGTGGCATGATCTCGGCTCACTACAACCTCTGCCTCCCGGGTTGAAGCAATTTTCCTGCCTCAGCTTCCCAAGTAGCTGGCACTATAGGTGTGTGCCACCACATCCAGCTCATTTTTGTATATTTAGTAGAGACGGGGTTTCACCATGTTGGCCAGGCTGGTCTCAAACTCCTGACCTTAGGTGATCTGCCTGCCTCAGCCTCCCAAAGTGCTGGAATTACAGGCGCGAGCCACTGTACCCGGCCCACATGTGTGTGTCTAATTTGCCATTTTATCAGGAAGTTTGTACAGCCTTTAAAAAATTAAATATAACCATTTTTATTACAAAATATATATGGTAGAAAATTATTTCATAGCTAGAATTATTTAGAAAGAAAAAGAAAATTAGAAAATACTGATAAGCAAAAATTCAAAAAGGCCATATTACTACTACCTAGAGATTCCTACTGTCAACACCTTAGAATAGATCTTTCCAGATGTTCTGTTTATATCGAAACATATGAATTTTTCTTTCCTTAAACCTTTTTATTATTAAACTCACGTACATGTTGAAAAGCACCCCAGGTCCTCATGTTCCGCTGGATGAACCCCCACAAAGGGAGCATGGGGCGTCGCCACACCGTGGAGCCCTGCACGTGCCCCTCGCGTTCCCAGCATGAGACCCCACTGTACACACAGCTTCCATTCTGGTTTGGCTTTAGTTAATGATCTTTGTCTTTCCATGTTGATGAATTTTCATCTCTTCTAATATTCAATTCAAATTTAAATTTCTTCCTATGTTGGCCAGGCCTGGTGGCTCCTGCCTGTAATCTGAGCACTTTGGGAGGCTGAGGTGGGAGGGTTGCTTGAGCCCAGGAGTTGAGACCAGCCCGAGCAACATAGTGAAACCTCGTCTCTACAAAAAATATAAAAATTATTTGGGTGTGGTGGCATGCACCTATGGTCCCAGCTGCATGGGAGGTTGAGGCGGGAGGATTGCTTGAGCCTGAGAGAGGTTGAGGCTGCAGTGAGCCAAGGTCATGCCACTGCACTGCAGCCTGGGTGACAGGGTGAGATCCTGTCTCAAAAAAAAGAAAAAAGGAAAAGTTTCTTTCCCCGCAAAGTGGCTTTTACTGTTGGTTTGTCCAAGTTGGAGACCATCCCATTTAGTCCTCATATTGCCCATTAGCATGTCACTCAGAAAAGTCTCTTTTTCGTGAACTGGCTCAACGAGGAGACTGGGCCAGATGTCCTGCAGGTGCCTTGCTGGGTTTGGAGGATCGCAATTCACTACAGCAGCTGAGTCGTGCCTAGGCTCCAGTCTACAAAGCCAGGGTGTAGGGACCAGCCCCACAGGGTTGGTGGGTTTTCTCCTCGTATGCGGAGATGAGAGAGTGTAGAAATAAAGACACAAGACAAAGATAAAAGAAAAAGACAGCTGGGCCTGGGGGACCACTACCACCAAGACGCGGAGACTGGTAGCGGCCCCGAATGCCAGGTTGCGCTATTTATTGGATACAAGACAAAGCGGCAGGGTAAGGAGTGTGAACCATGTCCAGTGATAGGTAAGGTCATGTGGGTCACGTGCCCACTGGCCAGGGGGCCCTTCCCTTCCTGGCAGCTGAGGCAGAGAGAGAGGAGAGAGAGAGAGAGACCGCTTACGCCATTATTTCTGCTTATCAGAGACTTTCAGTACTTTCACTAATTTGCTGCTGCTATCTAGAAGGCAGAGCCAGGTGCACAGGATGGAACATGAAGGCGGACTAGGAGCGTGACCACTGAAGCACAGCATCACAGGGAGACGGTTAGGCCTCCGGATAACTGCGGGCGGGCCTGACTGATGTCAGGCCCTCCGCAAGAGGTGGAGGAGTAGAGTCTTCTCTAAACTCCCCCGGGGAAAGGGAGACTCTCTTTCCTGGTTTGCTAAGTAGCGGGTGTTTTTCCTTGACACTGAGGCTACCGCTAGACCACGGTCCACTTGGCAACGGGCGTCTTCCCAGATGCTGGCGTTACCGCTAGACCAAGGAGCCCTCTGGTGGCCCTGTCCAGGCATAACAGAAGGCTCGCACTCTTGTCTTCTGGTCAGTTCTCACTATGTCCCCTCAGCTCCTATCTCTGTATGGCCTAGTTTTTCCTAGGTTATGATTTCCTAGTTTTTCCTAGGTTATGCTTAGGCAAGGATTATTATAATATTGGAATAAAGAGTAATTGCTACAAACTAATGATGAATGATATTCATATATAATCATATTTATGATCTATATCTAGTATAACTATTCTTATTTTATGCATTTTATTACACCGGAACAGCTCGTGCCCTCGGTCTCTTGCCTCGGCACCTAGGTGGCTTGCCGCCCATACCAGGGTCCATCTGATGGAGTGGGTGTTGCCCAGTCTGACAAATGCAGGGCGGCCTTCACATCCTAGGGGGTCTCTTTACCCTGCCCTGCTCTGCACTCTTCCCTCCCCCTCCTGTCCAGACCACCCACATGCTAGACTCTCACACCCAAGAGAAGTCTCACGAACATGTCGCAGGAGCATCAAGGACACTGGAGTTACCCATTTGAAATGTGGAGAGTTCAACATTAAGTACATTTTTATTGATAAACAAAAATGGGCCAGGCGCAGTGGCTCACACCTGTAATCCCAGCACTTTGGGAGGCCAGGGTGGGTGGATCACTTGTCAGGAATTTGAGACCAGTCTGGCCAACATGGTGAAACCCCGTCTCTACTAAAAGTACAAAAATTAGCCAGGCGTGGTGGCGGGCGCCTGTAATCCAGTTGGGAGGCTGCAGCAGGAGAATTGCTTGAACCAGGGAGATGGAGGTTACAGTGAGCCGAGATTGTGCCACTGCACTCCAGCCTGGGTGACAGAGCGAGACTCAGTCTCAAAAAAAAAAAAAAAAGAAAACAAAAATGTTGTAGTAATAAAATCCTGCACAGTTGTCTTCGTACACAGTTGTGGCTTAGAGCTCTCCTCTGTGGGTGTCTTGCCGGCTGGTGGCAGTGACGGACCAGGGCAGTGGCAGACACAGGCGCACGGCTGGCGCAGTGCCCTGGAGGCTGGTGTCCCACTTGCTGTCTTGGTTTCCTGTGGTCACTGTGGAAGGTGGCTCCTGTAGGTTAGCTTTGCTTTATGAACACTGAGTAGGAGCTTTTTTTCTAGGATGTTAAAAGAATTTGCTCACATCTTATGCTTGAGTTAACTCTTTGAAGAACAGTGAGAAGTAGAGAGGAAATAATTGCCAAGTTCTCTTGCTTGCTCTGTTTATGATTGTGTCAGTTTTCTTTTGCTGTTTAAGAAAACACCCAATGGCAGGCACCTGTAGTCCCAGTTACTCAGGAGGCTGAGGCAGGGGAATGGCGTGAATCCGGGGGGCAGAGCTTGCAGTGAGCCAAGATTGCGCCACTGCACTCCAGCCTGGGCAACAGAGTGAGACTGCGTCTCCGAAAAAAAAAAAGAAAAAGAAAGAAAGAAACCATCCAAAACTTAGTGGCTTAAGACAAGACATAGTTGTTATTATTTTTAATTCTGTTGGTTGGTTCGTGGTTCTGCTGGTCTGGGCCGGCCTCACCAACCCCTGTCGTCAGCTGACAGCTTGGCAAGGACCTGCTGGTCTGGGTGGCCTTGGCCACAGGGGTCTCTGGAGGGAGGCAGTCTGAGGCACAGGTAGGCTCGGCTGGGTGGCTCTCCTCTGCTTTGCCCGGTCTGTGATCCTCCACCTGGAGGCCTGGACTTCTTTGCCCCGTAAGCCCACAGTTGCAGAGGAAAGTGGGCCTCCTGCTCACTTCTGTTGCCTTGATTGACGCAAGCGACATCACCAAGTGCTGGTTCAAGGGCAGAGCTAAGACTGCCTCTTGGTAGGAAGTTACAAAACGTTGAGATCATTTCTGTGGCCACAGAATGACATTTCCATTCGTCCGCCTCCCGCCTTTTCCTGGGCCTTCCCAGCTCACCCCTTGTGGCCACGTCGGGTCTGGGTGTGGCTGGGGCTTCTTGGTTATGGCACGTCTTGATCCAGAGACTGGTGAACTAAAACCTAGCGACTTCCCCTCCCCTACTGAGCGTGCGGTGGCAGACAAGACAGGACGGGCTCCAGGGCAGGTGGCTTGTTCGAAGGCACCTCACTGATCCAAGATGGGGCAGGGTGGCCCTTTGGCCAGATGCGGCCAGAAAGCTTTCTAAGGTGTGAGGGAAGAGTGACAACCATAGCCCAGGTTGGTCTTTATTCTGAGACCATCTCTTTTTTAAATTTTCTATTTTTTATATTTTTTCCTTTCTTAGATTTCTGTGGGTCAGAACCATTTTTTACCTTGACAGAGTCTTTTGCCAGTGGAGAAACTGGAGACATGAAATGATTTTTTGTTTTTCGAAACAGAGTCTCGTTCTGTTGCACAGACTGGAGTGCAGTGGCACAGTCACGGCTCATGGCAGCCGTGACCTCCTGGGTTCAAGGAATCGTCCTGCCTCAGCCTCCTGAGTAGCTGGGACTCTACAGGCATGTGCCACCATGCCCGGCCCCGTGTAGATTTTTAGTACAGTGCTGGGACTGCAGGCATGTGCCACCACGCCTGGCTAATGGGCTCTCACTGTGTTGCCCAAGCTAGTCTTGAACTCCTGGACTCAAGCAGTCCTCCCACCTCAGCCTCCCGAAGCACTGGGGTTACAGGCTTGAGCCACCATGTCTGGCCGATGCAAAACAATTTGATCCCCTGGGGATTCCTTGTTTGGAGAAGAACCTTCTAGCTCCACTGTGTCTGGAATGTTCCTTGCGAGATCACACTAGTCAGATGTGTTTCCTTTTTTTTTTTTGAGACCAAGTCTCACTCCGTCACACAGGCTGGAGTGCAGTGGCATGATCTCAGCTCACTGCAGCAGCCTCCACCTCCCGGGTTCAAGTAAATCTCTTGCCTCAGCCTCCTGAATAGCAGGGATTACAGGCACCCGCCACCACGCCTGCCTAAATTTTGTATTTTTCGTAGAGACAGGGTTTCACCATATTGGCCAGGCTGGTCTTGAACTCCTGACCTCAAGTGATCCACCACCTTGGCCTCCCAAAGTGCTGGGATTATAGGCATGAGCCACCACGCCCAGCCTGTTTCTTCTCTTTTAAATTGCTGTGGCATAAGGTCCTGCCAAGGTTTCCTCTGCCTCATGGCACAGTGGCCCCTTCCACACACAAGAGCCGGGTCTGGGATGGCATTTGTGCCCTTAGCCTGTGCCCTCTCCCCACGCAGAGGCGGTGCTGTGTGTCCCAGGCTGGGGACAGCAGTGCTTGTTTCTGGCAGTTTCTGAATTAGCCATGCTTGCAGCCTAACAAACCACCGCAGAGCTTGGTGGCTTAAAGCAGCAGACACTGGTCATTTCTTAAGGTTTTCGGGCCTGGGCTGGTGCTGCTGGGCCTCGCCGGGGGGTCCAGGCTGGGCTCACTTGCATATCCGGGCATTGGTGGGCTGGCCGAGGCTCTGCATGTGGTCCTCATCTGCCAGGACACCTGCCTGGGTGTGCTTAGCAGGAGGAGAGCCAGAGTCCTCGTAGGGCCTCGTCACAGCCTCTTGGTCAAAGCTCTTCAAAGCTTGGCCCAAAGTCAAGTGGAGGGGGTGGGAAATAGCCCCCTGTCTTGATGGAGGGAGCCATGAAGGACCAGAGGGCATTTTTCAGTCTGCAGTTGCTTTGCCAGGACGCCAAGGCTCTGCCCTCGCGGGACAGTGGCTTATGGAGCAGTGGAGAGTCTGCATGCGCCTTCTTCTCTGAGAAGAGAACCCCACGTGGCAGCTGAGGCAGGGCTGTCTTGAAGGACTTAAAGATCCTCTTCTTTTTTGTGGGGAATTAAATCTGTTCTTCTACCATCTGGAAATTGAGACTTCCTCTTGCTACATGTTTTTTTTGTTTTGTTTTCTTTTTTTGAGACAGATTCTCACTCTGTCGCCCAGACTGGAGTGCAATGGCGCGATCTCGGCTCACTGTAACCTCCACCTCCCGGGTTCACGCCATTCTCTTGCCTCAGCCTCCTGAGTAGCTGGGCCTACAGGCGCCCGCCACCACGCCCGGCTAATTTTTTGTATTTTTAGTAGAGACGGGGTTTCACCGTGTTAGCCAGGATGGTCTCGATCTCCTGACCTTGTGATCCGCCTGCCTCGGCCTCCCAAAGTGCTGGGATTACAGGTGTGAGCCACCGTGCCCGGCTGGTGTGCGTGTGTTTTTAAGCAAACTTCTGGAAGTTTAGAAGTGCACACATCATACAGTTGGCTGTTATGAGGTGCACAGCTGGGAACCCCACCCAGACCTCTCCCAGCTTCTCCACATCATCTCCCCAGAGGCAGCTGCCCGCACGGGTTCCAGAAACTGGAGACTTGTTCCCTGTTTCAGACAACCCTCATGCCAGTGTGGGAACACCATGTCTGCAGGATTAATTTCTAGAAATGGAGGTGGAGTCAGAGGGGCATGTTTCTAGAAATGGAGGTGGGGTCAGAGGGGCATGTTTCTAGAAATGGAGGTGGGGTCAGAGGGGCATGTTTCTAGAAATGGATGTGTGGGTCAGAGGGGCATGTTTCTAGAAATGGAGGTGAGGTCAGAGGGGCATGTTTCTAGAAATGGAGGTGTGGGTCAGAGGGGCATGTTTCTAGAAATGGAGGTGGGGTCAGAGGGGCATGTTTCTAGAAATGGAGGTGGGGTCAGAGGGACATGTTTCTAGAAATGGAGGTGTGGGTCAGAGGGGCATGTTTCTAGAAATGGAGGTGGGTCAGAGGGGCATGTTTCTAGAAATGGAGGTGGGTCAGAGGGGCATGTTTCTAGAAATGGATGTGGGGTGAGAGGGGCATGTTTCTAGAAATGGAGGTGGGTCAGAGGGGCATGTTTCTAGAAATGGAGGTGAGGTCAGAGGGGCATGTTTCTAGAAATGGAGGTGGGGTCAGAGGGGCATGTTTCTAGAAATGGATGTGGGGTCAGAGGGACATGTTTCTAGAAATGGATGTGGGGTGAGAGGGGCATGTTTCTAGAAATGGAGGTGGGGTCAGAGGGGCATGTTTCTAGAAATGGAGGTGAGGTCAGAGGGGCATGTTTCTAGAAATGGATGTGTGGGGTCAGAGTGGCATGTTTCTAGAAATGGAGGTGAGTCAGAGGGACATGTTTCTAGAAATGGATGTGTGGGGTCAGAGGGGCATGTTTCTGGAAATGGAGGTGGGTCAGAGGGGCATGTTTCTAGAAATGGATGTGTGGGGTCAGAGTGGCATGTTTCTAGAAATGGAGGTGAGTCAGAGGGACATGTTTCTAGAAATGGATGTGTGGGGTCAGAGGGGCATGTTTCTGGAAATGGAGGTGGGTCAGAGGGGCATGTTTCTAGAAATGGAGGTGTGGGGTCAGGGGCATGTTTCTAGAAATGGAGGTGTGGGTCAGAGGGACATGTTTCTAGAAATGGAGGTGTGGGTCAGAGGGGCATGTTTCTAGAAATGGAGGTGAGTCAGAGGGGCATGTTTCTAGAAATGGAGGTGGGGTCACAGGGGCATGTTTCTAGAAATGGAGGTGAGGTCAGAGGGGCATGTTTCTAGAAATGGATGTGGGGTCAGAGGGGCATGTTTCTAGAAATGGAGGTGTGGGTCAGAGGGGCATGTTTCTAGAAATGGAGGTGGGGTCAGAGGGGCATGTTTCTAGAAATGGATGTGGGGTCAGAGGGACATGTTTCTAGAAATGGAGGTGGGGTCAGAGGGGCATGTTTCTAGAAATGGATGTGGGGTCAGAGGGACATGTTTCTAGAAATGGAGGTGGGGTCACAGGGGCATGTTTCTAGAAATGGAGGTGAGGTCAGAGGGGCATGTTTCTAGAAATGGATGTGGGGTCAGAGGGACATGTTTCTAGAAATGGAGGTGGGGTCAGAGGGGCATGTTTCTAGAAATGGATGTGGGGTCAGAGGGACATGTTTCTAGAAATGGAGGTGGGGTCAGAGGGGCATGTTTCTAGAAATGGATGTGGGGTCAGAGGGACATGTTTCTAGAAATGGATGTGGGGTCACGGGCATGTTTCTAGAAATGGAGGTGAGGTCAGAGGGGCATGTTTCTAGAAATGGATGTGGGGTCAGAGGGGCATGTTTCTAGAAATGGATGTGGGGTCAGAGGGGCATGTTTCTAGAAATGGAGGTGAGGTCACAGGGGCATGTTTCTAGAAATGGAGGTGTGGGTCAGAGGGGCATGTTTCTAGAAATGGAGGTGAGGTCAGAGGGGCATGTTTCTAGAAATGGAGGTGAGGTCACAGGGGCATGTTTCTAGAAATGGATGTGGGGTCAGAGGGGCATGTTTCTAGAAATGGATGTGGGGTCACGGGCATGTTTCTAGAAATGGAGGTGAGGTCAGAGGGGCATGTTTCTAGAAATGGATGTGGGGTCAGAGGGGCATGTTTCTAGAAATGGATGTGGGGTCAGAGGGGCATGTTTCTAGAAATGGAGGTGAGGTCACAGGGGCATGTTTCTAGAAATGGAGGTGTGGGTCAGAGGGGCATGTTTCTAGAAATGGAGGTGAGGTCAGAGGGGCATGTTTCTAGAAATGGAGGTGAGGTCACAGGGGCATGTTTCTAGAAATGGAGGTGGGGTCAGAGGGGCATGTTTCTAGAAATGGAGGTGTGGGTCAGAGGGGCATGTTTCTAGAAATGGATGTGGGGTCAGAGGGGCATGTTTCTAGAAATGGATGTGGGGTCAGAGGGGCATGTTTCTAGAAATGGAGGTGGGGTCACAGGGGCATGTTTCTAGAAATGGAGGTGTGGGTCAGAGGGGCATGTTTCTAGAAATGGATGTGGGGTCAGAGGGGCATGTTTCTAGAAATGGATGTGTGGGTCAGAGGGGCATGTTTCTAGAAATGGAGGTGGGGTCAGAGGGGCATGTTTCTAGAAATGGAGGTGGGGTCAGAGGGGCATGTTTCTAGAAATGGATGTGTGGGTCAGAGGGGCATGTTTCTAGAAATGGAGGTGAGGTCACAGGGGCATGTTTCTAGAAATGGAGGTGGGGTCAGGGGCATGTTTCTAGAAATGGATGTGGGGTCACAGGGGCATGTTTCTAGAAATGGAGGTGGGTCAGAGGGACATGTTTCTAGAAATGGAGGTGAGGTCAGAGGGGCATGTTTCTAGAAATGGAGGTGTGGGTCAGAGGGGCATGTTTCTAGAAATGGATGTGGGGTCAGAGGGGCATGTTTCTAGAAATGGAGGTGGGTCAGAGGGGCATGTTTCTAGAAATGGAGGTGGGTCAGAGGGGCATGTTTCTGGAAATGGAGGTGGGTCAAAGGGGCATGTTTCTAGAAATGGACTTGTGGGTCATATGTGCATGTTTCTAGAAATGGAGGTGGGTTAGAGGGGCATGTTTCTAGAAATGGAGGTGGGTCAGAGGGGCATGTTTCTAGAAATGGAGGTGGGTCAGAGGGGCATGTTTCTAGGCTGCAGGCGGAGTGCCCTCCTCATAGCTCTCACCAACGACTCCATTGGAGTCCTGCGTCCTGGGCCGGCACCACCATCCCAAGACTCTCCCGTACGCGTGGTAACGCTGGTTCCTTCCTGTGGGCTCTCTAGGGGAAAGTGGCCTCATGTACTGGTTTCTGTTTGCATTTGTCATGAGTGTCTTTCCAGGGTTTCTCCAGAGCCCCTGCTTGGGGCCTTTGCGTTTCCCTGTTGTGTTGTGACATTGGTCTGGAGTGCAATGGTGGGACCTCTTTATGTCATATCAGGAAATAAGTGGTTTGTTGTCCTTATGTTTTAAGCATTTTGCCACCAAGTTCTTTCTTTTCTTAAAAAATTGTTTGTGGTGGCTGGGCGCAGTGGCTCATGCCTGTAATCCCAGCACTTTGGTAGGCCGAGGTGGGAGGATCACGAGGTCAGGAGATCGAGACCATCCTGGTTAACACAGTGAAACCCTGTCTCTAACAAAAATACAAAAAATTAGCCAGGCATGGTGGCGGGCGCCTGTAGTCCCAGCTACTCGGGAGGCTGAGGCAGGAGAATGGTGTGAACCCGGAAGGCAGAGCTTGCAGTGGGCGGGGATTGCGCCACTGCACTCCAGCCTGAGCGACAGAGCGAGACTCCGTCTCAAAAAAAAAAAAAAAAATTGTTTGTGGTGTTTTTTTTCCTGGCATTGAAAGTTTTTATTTTTATTTTTTAAGGCAAAGTTATCTTTTTTTATTTCTTGGTTTTGTATTGTATGAGAAAACCCTTTGTCACTTTGAAACAAGTAAAAAAAACTTATTTTTTTCCTTCTAATACTTTTATGGTTTCATCTTTTACCCTTTTGTCTACAATTTAGTTTTTTATGAGGTTGGGCCATAGTGACTTTTCTTCTAAAATTTTGTATTTTCTGATAGTTTCTATAGCCATATGAAGTAATTATTGTGGAAATAAAACACTTTATTAAAGACAGAAATGGAAGCATAGAATCCTTGCTGGGGCACTCGCTGCCTCCATGAATCCTGCTGGTTTCACCTGCTGGGTTTTTTTTTTCCCCTGAGACAGAGTCTTGCTCTGTTGCCCAGGCTGGAATGCAGTGGTACAATCTCGGCTCACTGCAACCTCTGTTTCCGGGGTTCAGGCGATTCTCCTGTCTTGGCCTCCCAAGTAGCTGGGATTACAGGTGTGTACCACCACGCCTGGCTAATTTTTTTATTTTGGTTAGAGATGAGGTTTCACCATGTTGGCCAGGCTGGTCTCGAACTCCTGACCTCAAGTGATCTGCCCGCCTCAGCCTCCCAAAGTACTGGGATTACAGGCGTGAGCCACTGCACCCAGCCTCACCTGCTGGCTTTACCTGCTGGGTGCCGTTCTGGGTGCTCGCCACCATGAACCAAACAGAAAATGTGTGATCTCGAGACCAGCTTGTCCCCATCAGTGCTCAGACCTGCGCAGCCTCTGCCATTTCTTTTTTTTTTTTTTTTTTAATTTTGACGGCATCTTGCTCTGTCGCCCAGGCTGGAGTGCGGTGACACAATCCCCACTCACACCTCTCGGGTTCAAGTGATTCTGTGGTCTCAGCCTCCTGAGTAGCTGGGATTACGGGCTCGAGCCACCACACCCAGCTAATTTTTGTATTTTTAGTAAAGACGAGGTTTTACCATGTTGGCCAGGCTGATCTCAAACTTCTGACCTCAGGTGATTCACCTGCCTCGGCCTCCCAAACTGCTGGGATTATAGGCATGAGCCACCGCACCTGGCCTTTTTGTTTTTTGAGACAGAGTCTCGCTCTCTCACCCAGGCTGGAGTGCAGTGGTGTGATCTTGGCTCACTGCAATCTCTGCCTCCCAGGTTCAAGCGGTTCTCCTACCCCAACTTCTACAGGCATGTACCACCATGTCCAGGTAATTTTTGTATTTTTTTAAATAGAGATGGGGTTTCACCGTGTTGGCCAGGCTGGTCTCGAACTCCTGACCTCAAGTGACCCTCCCACCTCAGCCTCCCAAAGTGCTGGGATTACAGGCTTGAGCCACCGCACCCGGCCCCTCTGCCATTTCTGAATTCAGTTAGAAGAGTGTAACAGGTCAGCAAAGCGCTGTCAGGAAAATAGTGCCCTGCAGGTTGTGCCCTCCGGGATCCTGATTCTATTCTCTCCTCCCTTCACTTCACCAGGGGCGACCTGACGGAAGATAACATGGAGACAGAAAATGCAGCGGCAGCAGCTGCCGCGGCCTTCACAGCCTCCTCCCAGCTCAAGGAAGCCGTGTTAGGTAGGAAGCCGTCCTAGGTGGGAAGTCTGCCTTCTTGCCGCAGCAGGGACAGGACAGTCCTGCACTCAAAATGAGGAACAGCCAGAGATATACAAGGTCTTTGTTCGGGCTGATTCCCAAGCTGTGTGCCCTTAGGAGTGAGAGGCCAGGCCCCAGGTCCCCCAGGTGGAACCTGCCATGTGTCTGTAATGACAGCCCTTTCTCTGCCCATGACTAATAGGAGAGCAAAGTCACCTGGCCCCAAGTTTGCAGCTCTCTCCTCTTTTGGATTTTGTTTTCTTCTCACTGTTTCAGTACTCTTGTTTTGCCTGTGTCTGTTTATTATAACGATCAGTGAATGGTAGTAAAAGAAGGTTTTGTTTTTTGAGACAGGGTCTTGTTCTGTTGCCCAGGCTAGAGTGCAGTGGCACGATCACCGTTCACCATAGCCTTAACCTCCCAGGCTCAGATGATCCTCCTACCTCAGCCTCCTGAGTAGCTGGGACTACAGGCATGTGCCACCATACCCAGCTAATTAAAAAACTTTTTTTTTTTTTTTTTTTCAAGAAATAGGGTCCCACTGTTGCCCAGGCTGGTCTCGAACTCCTGGCCTCATGTGATCCTCCAGCCTCAGCCTCCCAAAGTGTTGGGATTACAGGTGTGAGCCACTGAGCCTGGCCAGTAAAAATTCTGTTTTTTTTTTTTTTTTTGAGACGGAGTCTCACTCTGTCGCCCAGGCTAGAGTGTGATGGCATGATCTCAGCTCACTGCAACTTCTGCCCTGCAGGTTCAAGCACTTCTCCTGCCTCAGCCTCCCAAGTAGCTGAGATTACAAGCACATGCCACCATGCCCAGCTAATTTTTGTATTTTTAGTAGAGATGGGGTTTTGCCATGTTGGGCCAGGCTGGTGTCAAACTCCTGACCTCAGGTGATCCACCCACCTGGGCCTCCCAAAGTGCTGGGATTACAGGTGTGAGCCACCTCGCCTGGCCCAGTAAAAATTCTTTTTTTTTCTTTTTTTGAGAGGGAGTCTTGCTCTGTCACCCAGGCTGGAGTGCGGTGGCGCGATCTCGACTCACTGCAACCTCCACCTCCCGGGTTCATGCCATTCTCCTGCCTCAGCCTCCTGCCTCAGCCTTCCCAGTAGCTGGGACTACAGGTGCCCGCCACCATGCCTGGCTAATTTTTGTATTTTTAGTAGAGACGGGGTTTCACCATGTTGGCCAGGATGGTCTTGATCTCTTGACTTCGTGATCCGCCTGCCTCGGCCTCCCAAAGTGCTGGGATTACAAAAATTCTTTATAACACTCTTAATATTTTTCTTTTGCCTGAGATTAAAGGCCCTAGAACCTTTAAAACCTTAGGTTTCCCTAGAATTGTTTCAATTAAAGTTTGATTTTATTTTCCTAAGTGGGTCTTCAGTTGAACCATAGTTTAATGGAATTCTGTTAATGTAACGATATTTAAATCTGTTTAGTGGGTTTAACCCTGAAACTCTAATGGCACTGATGGGCATGCCCTGCCCACCTTGGCTCTATCTCAGGCCTTCCTGGATTTTAATTTTTGGTTTCCATGTTGGTAGCTATTTTCTGCATTTTCAGGAAATGCTTTGAAGAGGTTGTAACTGATGTTCTGCTTTTACCCTTCCCTGTCAATGTGCCTGTGAGAAGTGAAGATGGCTGAAGAGGGGGAGAACCTGGAAGCTGAGATTGTGTACCCCATCACCTGTGGAGACAGCAGAGCCAACCTCATCTGGAGGAAGTTTGTGTGTCCCGGCATCAATGTGAAATGTGTTCAGGTGAGCACAGGCTGCATTCAGGGCCCAGGAGAGAGGCCTCATGGTGTCTGTGACTGCTTTGGGGGTGCAGCTGTGCTGAGTGCATCCTGAGGCAGGGTCTCCAGGGCTGGGGAGAGTGAAGGAGGTGCGGGAAGAACCTTCAGGAAGAGGAATTCGCTGTGGCCACAGTGCACTGTGGCAGGGAGGCTGGGAGGCCCTCCCGCTGTGTGGAGGAGGCTGCCCCTCCTGGACAAGGAGCTTTACCCAGCAGATCCAGTGAGAGCTGCTCCAAAAAGGCTGCCTCTTTGGTAAGGATTAGGATGAGTGGGAAAGGTCTTCTCTTTCTGACAATACTGATAGGTCAGGTGCCCAGGCTCACCTGTGGTGGAACAGCCGAAAATGCCAGTGAAGACATTTCCATAAAGCATCTTACAGATGCTGCCTCACACGGGCTAAGAAAGAGGAAGTGCTGAGGCCTGGGGACCTAATGGTGACAGAATTGAGAGGCAGATGGGGTGCCAAGCCCAGCTTTTGCCCTGAGAGCCTTGGCCTGAGCTTGGTTTTCCCAGCCTTGCAGGGCTGGAGATCAGAAGACAAAGCCCAGGGCTTCCTTGAGGTGTGCGTGCTGGGTGGTGACTGTCCCTTCCAAAGCTGGCACCTCCAAGGGTGAATCCACCACGTACTCCCATACCTCTTGTCCCTGGCAGAGGGAAGGAGACACCCCCTTGAGGATTCATAGGTGGTCTGGATGGTCTGAAAGCCTCAAGCTGAGAGTGTCGTTATCAGTGGCTCCCAGCTGGCAGTTCCCCCAGGAATCTGACAGAAACAAACAAAAAGTACTTTTTGGAAGAATTCACCTTTATCTCAGGTTTCAAGTAATTTCCACAGAACCCTGGACACACAAGAAGTAGTGCTCCTGGAGCAGAAGCCACAGAAGCCACAGGCTGCACAGAAGCCACAGGCCCCACAGAAGCCACAAGCTGCACAGAAGCCACAGGCCCCACAGAAGCCACAGGCAGCACAGAAGCCACAGGCCCCACAGAAGCCACAGGCAGCACAGAAGCCACAGGCCCCACGGAAGCCACAGGCCCCACGGAAGCCACAGGCAGCACGGAAGCCACAGGCCCCACGGAAGCCACAGGCCCCACGGAAGCCACAGGCAGCACAGAAGCCACAGGCCCCACAGAAGCCACAGGCCCCACAGAAGCCACAGGCTGCAGAGTCGGCCCTGCAGCAGCCTCGGCTGTTGGGGTTTTAAGGCTTAGAAGATAAAATCGTTATATTTAATAATTTATTTTAAGAAATAAAAGAGGCCGGGTGCCATGGCTTAACACCTGCAATCCTGACACTTTGGGAGGCCGAGGCAGGAGGATTGCTTGAGCCCAGGAGTTCAAGAGCAGCCTGGGTAACATACTGAGACCCCAGTTTCTTCTTAAAAAAAAAAAAAAGAAAAGAGAGCATGAGTAAAGCATAAGTAGATTCTGCAGAAACACGACTAGAGATAGGATTGAAGTTCAACACTTAGTGGATAGGTCTTCAGCAGATTAGCCATAGCTGAAGAGAGAAGTAGGACTTGTAAATAGAAATAAAGCAATTTATTCAGGAAGCACGAGAGTCAAACACATCTATTTGAGTTCTGGAAGGAGGAGAGAGAGTCTGAGAACTTTCATAACTGAGAAAGAGTGGTCCACAGTGCAAGGGCCCTGACTGACCCCAGCCTGGATGAAGACCCCACTGCCTGCATGTAGGGTGGCTTTTAGCATCCAAATAAATAGTGATAGTCATGGGTCATCACTCGAGTAAAATAAAATCTATGAGTCTATATACCTATCTCCATATATTTCATGTTATTTATTTATGTTAAATAAATGCATAGAGAGAAGTAAAGCATGGGAGGAATGATGGGGTCAGAGTCATGAGCGGGTGCTCAGACTAGTTTCAGAGCATCCCTGTAAACCATGCAGCCATTGCAGACGTAAGTCGTAGCTGTGGTGGGAAAGCTGGCAGGTGCCTCCTTAACCCAGCGATCCATCTTCACATCATCAGGCTCGGGACAGACCTCCCCTTTGAGCCTCCTGATGCAGTGAGCAGGTCTGTGGTGTTCTTCCAACAGTTCATAGCCTGACTCTACTCATGAGAAAACAGCAGACACTCATGGAGAGACAGCCTACGTTAATACCTGACCCACAAGCTCCAAAAACGTCAAGGTGAAGAAAAACACAGACAGGCTGAGAAGCTGCTCCGTCTTTTTTTTTTTTTTTTTTTTTTGAGATGGAGTCTTCCTCTGTTGCCCAGACTGGAGTGCAATGGCGCGATCTTGGCTCACCGCAACCTCCGCTTCCTGGGTTCAAGTGATTCTCTTGCCTCAGCCTCCTGAGTAGCTGGGACTACGGGCACCCACCACCATGCCTGGCTGATTTTTGTATTTTTAGTAGAGATGGGGTTTTGCCATGTTGGCCAGGCTGAGCCCGAACTCCTGACCTCAGGTGACCTGCCCGCCTTGGCCTCCCAAAGTGCTGGGATTACAGGCGTGAGCCACCGCGCCCGGCCTGCTGCAGTCTTAATGGGGACAAAAGCCGAAGAGCAAGGCAGCTGCATGCTCCACAGTCTTGGGCTGGATCCTGCATCAGAAAAAAATGTAGGCTGGGCATGGTGACTCACGCCTGTAATCCCAGCACTTTGGGAGGCCGAGGCGGGTGAATCACCTGAGGTCAGGAGTTCGAGACCAGCGCAGCCAACATGGTGAAACCCCATCTCTGCGACAAATACAAAAAAATTGGCCAGGCATGGTGGCATGTGCCTGTACTCCCAGCTACTCGGGAGGCTGAGGCAAGAGAATCTCTTGAACCCGGGAGGCGGAGGTTGCAGTGAGCCCAAGATTGCACCAGTGCACTCCAGCCTGGACGACAGAGTGAGACTCCATCTCAAAAAAAAAAATTTTTTTTTTGCAATAAAGGCTATCATTGGAACAATTCATGAATTTGACTATGGACAATGGATTAGAGAATAATGTATGAATGATAATTTCCTGATGCGAGTTGTTCTGTGGCTGCGTAAGAGAAGCTTGTTCTTAGGAAATATACACAAGTGTTGAGGGCCCAGGGGCCCGACGTCTCTGCTTCACTCTCAGTAGCTGCACGTGCACAGGTCTAGGCGGGGGCAAGGGGGCAGACGGGAGCAGGCAGTGAGTCCGGAACGCACGTGTGAGAGCTCCCTGGACTATCCTGGCAATTACCCTGTGAGTTTGAAATTGTATTAGAATTAGAAGTTGGAAACACGAAAGAAATGTACCATAGGTGACATCATAATGAAATTCCAGAAGGACGGGGACAGAGAAGATCCTCAGTCTAGCCAGGAGGAGAGACGGATCGCTCAGTAGCAAGAATCCCGCCGGCCGTGAGCTCCCGAAAGCAGCGCAGGAGCAGAGGTGGCAGCGCCAGAGCCTCACTGTGTGGCGAGTGACGACACCGTGAGGTCGTCTTTGAAATTATGCTGGAAGAAAGACGTTTCCAGAAAAAGACACGAGTTTGCCACCAGCAGATCATGATGGAAGGATGTTCTAAATATGCATTGCAGGCGGAGATAGGAGGCCTCCAGATGGAAGCGCTGTGCTGTGAGGAGGTGTGAAGAGTCGGGGAAACGTGGGTCACCCGACCAGTCCTGTCTATTCAGCATCGAGAGAGACGCCCTGGAGGGCCTCAGAGATGAGAGCAGGGCCACGTGGCTGTGGTCTGGAGGGTCAGGAGCGGGCCGAGTTAGCTCCGGGGGGTCAGGAGCGGCCACGTTAGCTCCGGGGGGTCAGGAGCGGGCCGCGTTAGCGCTGGAGGGTCAGGAGCGGCTGCGTTAGCTCTGGGGGGTCAGGAGTGGCCGCGTTAGCTCTGGGCTCTGGCAGCTCTGGTAAGCGTGACATGCTGAAGCTCCTGGAGCCACTCATGAGAGTACAGCATGTAGCTTCCTAGCTGGGAGAGGAAAACCTGGGGTGAGAAGAGTAACAAAGGTGAAAGCAAGAAAGGAAAGAGGCAGGCCTAGGAGGGGCAGGGAGGTGAGGCTGGCTGAGCCCAGAGCCCTAGGTAGGATCAGGCCCTTTGGGTGCAGTTGAGTTTCCTAGGTGTGAGCCACGTTGGGTAGAAGTGATGGCCGGAAGCAGCCTCAGTCACAGCCAGTGCAGCCTTCCTGCCAGGCTCCGACAGTGGCCAGAGAATCTTCTGGATTCCACCTTCTGGACTTCTATGGGATCTCCCTGATCAGCCGCATGAGGGAGAGCCAGAGACTGGCTGGGCTTAGTGTTCCCGTCTGTGGCACAGGGGTCATGAGAGGGTGGGCTCAGGGATTGGGAACATCACTTCCTTCAGCAAGCTAGACTTGGGCACGGCCCGGGGGTGGAGGCGGCCCCCGTACTCGGGCCTCCTGGGTCCAGCTGCAGAGACCTCGTGACTCCTCCATCCCCAGCCTGCTTGTTTTCTAAGTAAATGCAGTTTTATTCCAGTTTTTGGTTTCAATAATTGCTTGTGTAACAAGATTGAACAGGATATTTTACCTTCTCAGTTTCTCTGAGCTCCCACATGGGTGAAATTAGCAAGCAGGAGGGTTCCCCTGGCTTAGAAACAGATGAGTGTGTGTGTGTGTGTGTGTGTGTGTGTGTCAGAGTGAGAGCAGGTGCCGGTGTTTGCTGCACGGGGCAAGGTGGTGTCAGGAGGGACCTGAGGAAGGTGGCGTTCACAGCTCCACCCATGTGCTGGCATCTGTTGCCATCTGCGATGTAACGTATGCAATAACGTGTATTTATAAAATACATTGCACAGAAGCAGTTTGCTTAGTCTGCCTGGAGGAAGAGAAGGCCACACACCTTCTACCTGGTGTGGTCAGCCCAGCCCTGTCTAGCCCCAGGCACACAGCAGCTCTGCCCCCTCAGGGCTGGAGGAGACACCACTCCCCACTGCAGCCACCGTGCCTGTGGGTCATGTCCTTGTTTTACCTGAATGCTCTGTAGGAGGCCTGCACCGGTCAGAGCCGTGCCGTGGCGCTTTTCCTGCCTTGCGCGCCTGACTCAGGGTCGGATGGGAGATGGGGGCACCCTATGTGGTGTCCCGGCCAAGCTTGACCCACATGACTGTGTCCCCCACAGTACGACGAGCATGTAATCAGCCCAAAGGAATTTGTGCACCTGGCCGGGAAGTCCACCCTGAAGGACTGGAAGAGAGCCATCCGCATGAACGGCATCATGCTCAGGTGGGCGCTGGCGCAGGGTCAGCCTCCCTGCTGGAAGGGGCCCTGGCAGCTCTTGCTTTCTTGTGGGGTTTTGGGATTTTGAAGATGAGGCGTATTTTAGATGTGGTGAGTGCTGACAACCTCCCGGGTGGCTGCTGCACCTGCTCACACCCAAAACTGTAAACCCGTCTCCCACACTCCTGCCAACAGGGACACTATCAGATTTTTAGAATTGTTTTGTCAGTCATTTTAATTTCCACCAATTCTTTACCTGAAGGCACTTGTGACTGTTTCAGCGTTGTAAAATAAAGGGTTGGCTGGGCACATGGCTCACACCTGCAATCCCAACACTTTAGGAGGCTGAGGCAGGAGGATCACTTGACGCCAAGAGTTTGAGACCAGCCTGGGCACAATAATGAGACCTCATCTCTACTAAAAATAAAAAAAAAATTATCTGGATTTGGTGACATATGCCTGTGGTCCCAGCTGCTCGAGAGGCTAAGGTGGAAGGATCACTGGAGCCTGGAAGTCAAGGCTGCAGTGAGCTGTGATTGTGCCACTGCAATACAGCTTGGGTTACAGAGTGAGACTCTGTCTCAAAAAAAAAAAAAAACAAGAATAAAAAGGAAAAGAAAAGGGTCTGTTCCAATTATGCATTCTGAAAATAAAAAATAAAAGAAAGGTATAATCTGGTATTTGTGCATCAGATTTTGGCCTTTTATGTTACTCCTTATTTCTGTCCTTTCTTTCACTTTTTTTTTGAGAGGGAGTCTTGCTCTGTTGCCCAGGCTGGAGTGCAGTGGCATGATCTTGGCTCACTGCGAACTCTGCCTCCTGGGTTCAAGCGATTCTCTTCCTCACCCTCCCCAGTAGCTGGGTTTACAGGTGCTCGCCAGCACACCCGGCTAATTTTTGTATTTTTAGTAGAGACGGGATTTTGCCATATTGTCCAGGCTGGTCTCGAACACTTGACCTCAGGTGATTGACCTGCCTCAGCCTCCCAAAGTGCTGGGATTCCAGGCATGAGCCACCGTGCCCGGCCTTCACTTATCTGTGAATCATAAGCCTCAGTCTCAGTCTTTGTGGGCCTGGCCTCTACCTTGCTTCCCAAGGAGGGCCCCTGCTTTGTGCTGGAGTCAGAGTTTGAGACCTCACGAGTGACTAGCCCTGGGTCCTTTCCCATGGCTCAGGTCCTTTCCCTGTCCAGCTGAACTGGCCTCTGATTTTCTGGAACGTGGCTGGTGGCACAGCTGTGGGGACCACCGGCCAGGTAGGCAAGTCCTGAGCTGACCACAGAAGCATTAGCCTGTGTGTGCCTGAGGTCAGTGCTGCCCAAAGATTGAATGAGGCTGGAGCCTCTGACCCTCGTTTCATGGGTCGAGGCAGGCTCGTTGAGACACACAGGACTGAGACCCTGGACCTCCGGAGAGGCAGAAGAGAGGGCCCTGGGAGGGCGGCTCTCAGCAGTTTGGGCCGTACGAAGCCTTCCTGGTAAAGATGAGGATGAGCGGCAGCCATGGCCGTTGGTGCTGTCCTGCGCCCTCATCACTCTTCTTGGCTGTCTCTGTGCCTTTAGAAGGAGGAAGGTTCTCCTGGAAGTGATTTCCCACCTTCCTCTGCTTCAGAATGAGTCACGCATGATGCAGGTGGACTGGGCCCACCTTTGTTAGCTGTGGGTCACTCCCTTGGGGCTGGGGTAGTGGGACATCCCAGAAAGGCCCAGCCCCACAGACTCTGACGGGCACCTCCAGGACACCCACTGGCCAGCGCTTGCCCCCTTCCTGGGGACAGTGCCGTAGCGTGGGCCTGGGCCGGCTGCTTCTTCAGCAGCAGGGTCCTGCACGCCGAGCTCGCGCTAAGAGGGAAGTAGAGCCCACCCTGCCCTGTGGAGCTGCCAGCGCCTCTGCTAGGCCTGCCCCACGCAGGTGGATGGCCCAGGTCAGGGTGGGCGGGCCAGGTGCCTTCGGCTCTGGGGCCGACCTGGACGCTCCATGCCACTGTCTGTCACAGGAAGATCATGGACTCCGGGGAACTGGACTTCTACCAGCATGACAAGGTCTGCTCCAACACCTGCCGCAGCACAAAGATTGACCTCTCAGGAGCCCGTGTGTCCCTGAGCAGCCCCACGTCGGCCGAGTACATTCCCCTCACGCCCGCCGCAGCCGACGGTAGGTGCACAGGGCTGCTCGTCCTGACCCAGCCCCACCCTGGCCATGGCCACAGAGGGTGACATGCCCCTGGGTGGCCTCCTTGGCCCCAGGCGTTTGCTCACGCCAGGACTGCCGGTCTCCTGCCTGGGACCCTGAGTTGTCTGGGATCAGCCTCCTCCTGCCTCACAGAGGAGATCTGGCAGAATTGCTGCTTTCATTGACAAGGAAGATTGAAGCACTTTTCTTTTTAAGCCATTTTGGTTGTAATATAATAACTCACGTGTGGGGAAGGGTATAGCGAGTAACAGAGAGTGCCTGGGCGCCCACCCGGCCCCCTCCCTCCCACCCCCACGGCCCAGCCCCAAATCTGGACCCGCTTCCCTCCTGACCTGGCGGTTTACGGAACTGCGCGCCTGTGCTCCCGCCTTCCGTGCTGGGTGCCTTGCTGCAGGTATTCCTGCCACTTGGGTTTTTGGGTGACGCTTTAGATACTGTTCCACGTTGGTGTCTGTAGCTCTAAACTGTGGAGAGGTTGTTCCCTAGAATTCTTTCCAGCTTTATGAATAGAGAAATTTTTCTTAAAACTACAGTTAGGCTGGGTGTGGTGGCTCACACCTGTAACCCCAGCACTTTGGGAAGCCGAGGCGGGTGGATCACTTGAGGCCAGCCTGGCCAACAGGATGAAACCCTGTCTCTATTAAAAGTACAGAAGTTAGCCGGGTGTGGTGGTGCATGCCTGTAGTCCCAGCTACTCAGGAGGCTGAGGCAGGAGAATCGCTTGAACCCAGGAGGCGGAGGTTGCAGTGAGCTGAGATCGCTCCACTGCCCTCCAGCCTGGGCGACAGTGTGAGATTCCATCTCAAAACAAAAAAACTGAAGTTAAAGTGAAGTTAGGTCCTGGGCTCCCTGGTCACATCTCTGGGTGGTCTTTGGTGATGTGTTTCCAGCAATGCCACATGCATTGTCCCTAAGCTGCCACTCCGCATTGCTGGCCAGATTGTGTTCCTGTGTGCCCAGGGACGTCCTTGTTGTTGGCCCAGGTGGGACCCAGTTGAGTCCTGTCCTGTCCCGCTGGGTAGGAGAGTGAGGCCAGGGCACTAGGGAGGCCTCACCCTTCTCCTGGGCCCCCTTCCACGTCCTGCTGGGGCAGCCTGGCAGGTTCAGTGCTGAGTCCTGAGAAGCCCAGGACACTTGGGCTGCTGTGGTCAGAGGGGCTGGGTAGAGCCCAGCCTCCTGTCTGTCCTCCCCAGGGCCTCCCCAGCGGCTCCACCGCGTTAGTGTTGGCCCTGCCTGACCGCCTGCCAGGGAAGGAACTGGGCCTTCCACGCCCTGTAGTCAGTGCCTCACAGCTAGGCTGAGGCTCAGCTCTTCTGAAGATGATTTGGGTTCTTTAACCTGCAATCTCTGAGAACCATTGACTTGGCTACTGTGCAGTTAGTAAAAGATGCTGTGCCAGCCCCAACTCGGAAAAACGACTCATTCACGCCCCAAATAATTCCAGATGTGTAATATGAGTCATACTCACCACTGCCATGTCTTTGATGAATGTGGAAAAGGCCAGTATTCCCAAAACATTCAACTGCTTCCAGGTCGTTGGTGGTGGTGTTGGAGAAGGAGTCCTGCTCTGTCGCCCAGGCTGGAGTGCAGGGGCCTGATCTCGGCTCACTGCAACCTCTGCCTTCCGGGTTCTAGCGATTCTCCTGCCTCAGCCTCCCGAGTAGCTGGGATTACAGGCGCACGCCGCCACACCCGGTTGACTTTGTATTTTAGTAGAGACGGGGTTTTGCCGTGTTGCCCAGGCTGTTCTCGAACTCCTGACCTTAGGTGATCCACCCGCCTCAGTCTCCCAAAGTGCCTGGATTACAGGCGTGAGCCACCACATCCGGCCCCGGGTTTGTTTTTTAAGCCAGATCTGTGTATAAAGTCTCTATCAGCAACGCCCAAAATGGCCACATATGAACGACACGCCCAGTTGTGTTCTGCAGGCGCGAGAGAGGGACCCACAGGAAGAGCCAGGACGGTTTCTGTCTCTCAAAGCCCCACTTGTTCTGGTGTAGAAAAATGGAAACATGATAGATACTGAGATTTATGATGACTTCAATGAAGCATCACTTGAAGAGGCGAGGTGAGGGCGAGCCCCACGGGCGACAGACGCAGCCGCAGAGCTCTCGGTGGGAAAACAAGTCAAGCAGAAGGATCACCTTGTCTCGCTCCTGACGGTCCAGTCGAAAGTGCTTGTTGAGTACAATCGTAAATGGACAAGAGGAGGAAAGTGTTGAGGATTTGCTGAAATTGGGTGACGGGTTCAAGGGATTTGTTTCTGCGTTGTTTCTCCTTTGTATGTTTGACAACGTCTGTGATTAAAAATAGCCATAAAATATAAGGCAGGTACACTTTGGCTGTACTAGTGCGTATCCTGTGTTTGTCAGTTTTGTGAAGACAGATGGAAAGGTTCAGAAGGTGGTGTGAGGAGGGTGGACAGGGTATGTGGGGTGTGGGACTGTGGTCCAAACAGCACTCACCCGAGGTTCCCTTTCGGCTGCAGTGAATGGGTCTCCTGCGACCATCACCATAGAGACCTGTGAAGACCCTGGCGACTGGACCGCGGCCATTGGAGGTACGAGGTTCCTCCTTGTGGGCTTCTCACAAGCCCTGGCGGGGTGGTGGAGTCTCTGCCCACCTCGGGCCACACAGGGGCTCCAGGAGTCCAGGTGGGGCCGGCAGGGTCTTTGTGGAGAAAGGCCTGGTTCCAGCAGCATTGTCGTGGGCGCTCTGAGGCTGACCTGCTAGATTTTGGCACTGTGGATGTGTCTGGGCAGTGCAAGCCCAGCACAGTGCCAGGCGCTGCCGGCTCTGGCATGGTGTCCTCGTGGCTATGGTGATGTCCTTGTGGCTGTGGTGGCTGCCCCGTGTAGCAGCACTTTCCCTGCCCACTGAACCCACTCCTTCCCTCACAGATGACACATTTACCTTCTGGCGGGGGCTGAAGGACGCCGGCCTGCTGGACGAGGTCATCCAGGAGTTCCACCAGGAGCTGGTGGAGACCATGAGAGGCCTGCAGCAGCGGGTCCAGGACCCTCCCCTGCAGCTTCGAGGTGAGAAGCTGCATCTTCCCTCTTGCTGGCTACTCAGCCCAGGAGTCTCTGCAGGAGGTGAGGCCACTGGCCCTCCTGCCCCTAGGCCCTTCTGTGCTGCTGGGTTGGAGGCTGAATCTAGGCTTGGGACTCCTGCTGTGCTGAGGCTGAACTTGGTGGGAGGATCGCCTTGATGTATCTCAGTCTTCTCCCTCTGAACTGAGCTCCTGGCTGGCTGGGTTCCTGAGGAGCAGCCTCAGTGGTGGTGTTCTCACTCTCTAGGAAGAGCCCAGGCTCTCACCGAGCGTCCACGTGACTCTCTAGGAAGGTCCCGGGCTCTCACCGAGCGTCCGCGTGGCTCTCTAGGAAGGGCTTGGGCTCTCACTGAGTGTCCGCGTTACCCTTTAAGATGCTGTACTTCTCAACAACATCGTGCAGAACTTCGGCATGCTGGACCTGGTGAAGAAGGTGCTGGCCAGCCACAAGTGCCAGATGGACCGCTCGCGGGAGCAGTACGCCCGGGACCTGGCAGGTATGCTGAGACCACCCCCGTCCCGTCCCCTGGGCGGTAGGCTGAGGACCTGGAGCCCACGGGCTCACCCCACGGCTGTGCATCCACCTGCACTTCCTGGAGTCACCGCCACCACGGCGAGCTTCTCCGCACTGCTGTTGTGCGAGGAAAACAACCTGAAGCTTAAGTGAGGTAGTCAGACCTCTCCATTGCACTAAGCTTACATTTACCGGCATTTCTGTGATGAACCAAGTAGTTATTTAAGAGAAAATGACAGAGGCCAGGCGCGGTGGCTCACGCCTGTTATCCCAGCGCTTTGGGAGGCCGAGGCGGGCGGATCACTTCAGGCTAGGAGTTTGAGACCAGCCTGGCCAACGTGGTGAAACCCCATCTCTGCTGAAAAAAACAAAACAAAACTGGGCATGGTGGTGTGTGCCTGTAATCCCAGCTACTCGGGAGGCTGGCAGGCAATTGCTTGAGCCCAGGAGGTGGAAGTTGCAGGGAGCTGAGATCACACCACTGCACTCCAGTCTGGGTGACAGAGCGAGACCCTGTCTCAAAAAAAAACAATGACAGAGAATGGGAAGGGCTGGTCCTGACCCCGCTCAGAGCTCAAGCCCCTGATATTGGTGCGTTTCCTCCATGCTCCTCTTGGGGTCTGTGCTTACTGTGTGTTCACTGTGTGTGTGTTCAGTGTGTGTGTGTTCACTGCGTGTTCACTGTGTGTTCAATGTGTGTGTATTCAGTGTGTGTGTTCACTGTGTTCAGTGTGTGTGTATTCAGTGTGTGTGCACTGTGTGTTCACTCTTCACTTTGTGTGTTCACTGTTTGTGTTCATTGTGTGTGTGCACTCTGCATGTGTGTGTGCATGTTTATGTTTAAACACATGTGCCACATGTGCTGCTTTTCCTCCTCTCTCTCTTAATATGTCACAAGAGCAACTTTCCACGCTGGGTGTGTGAAAGCTCATGCGGGGATCTGAGACGGCATTTCCACGCTTGCACGCAGGCCCTGGGTCAGTGCAGGAGGGTCTGAGACGGGATTGCCACGCTTGCACACAGGCCCCGGGTCAGTGCAGACCCTGGGTCAGCACAGGCTGGTGTCTACCCCGAGGGCCATCTTGGGCCCCGTCTCCCACAGACCTCACCTTTGGCGGCCATGTGGTCATCTGGGTTTGTGGCATCAGGTGAGCAGACCTGGGTTGCCACTGACCCAGGGGCCACCCAGATGGTGTGGCGTGTCTGCCCCCATCCCCTGCATGCCGCCATCCATGCCCCCGTCCCCTGTGTGATGCCATCTGTACCTCCCTGCAGCCCTGGAGCAGCAGTGTGATGAGCATCGTCGCCGAGCCAAGGAGCTGAAGCACAAGTCCCAGCACCTCAGCAACGTGCTCATGACGCTGACGCCGGTCTCCCTGCCACCGCCTGTGAAGCGGCCCCGGCTTGCACGTGCCACATCAGGACCGGCCGCCATGGCCTCGCAGGTGCTCACCCAGTCTGCCCAGCTGGCGCTTGGCCCGGGCGTGCCCGTCCCCCAGCTGACCAGCGTGCCCCTTGGTAAAGTGGTGTCCACCCTGCCGTCCACCGTCCTGGGCAAGGGTTCCCTTCAGGCGCCCCCCGCCAGCTCCCCGGCCTCCCCGCTGCTCGGGGGATACACAGTCTTGGCCTCTTCCGGCTCCACCTACCCCAGCACAGTGGAGATCCACCCGGACGCGTCCAGCCTCACGGTCCTGAGCACGGCCGCCGTGCAGGACGGTAGCACGGTGTTCAAGGTGGTCAGCCCGCTACAGCTGCTCACGTTGCCTGGCCTGGGCCCCACCCTGCAGAACGTGGCCCAGGCCTCGCCTGGCTCCAGCACAATTGTGACAGTGCCCGCAGGGGCTGCCCCCGGGCCTGAGGAGCACACGGCCACCATTGAGGTGGCTGCCATGGCAGAGGACCACGAGCGGAAGTAGCCGACAGGAGGGCGAGGCCCCTGGGACGGACAGGGCTGGCTGTCTCTCAGCCGCGGCAGCAGGGAGCGGGCAGAGGCCGCAGGGCTGGCTCGGGCAGGTGGGTCACGTGGTCTGCAGAACCAAAGAGAGGAATCGCCAAAACAAATCACGAGAAGAGAGAAGGGGACAGAACAGCGAGAGCAACCTGGAAAATCGGTCTTCAGGTCCCACGTTTCCTCCCCCTTTTTTCTTGGGAAATATATTTTTCCATCTGTTGCTTATTAATACTGTTTACACATTGGGCCTTGATCAGGAGCCAGGTGGGCGGGGGCTAGGGGGAGCCTGGGTGCAGCAGAGACAGAGGAAGCAGAGCCAGGTGCCGAGCGCGACCCTGCAGGTGCTGGACGCGGTGCAGCAGGTCACGAGGCCCCCATGTCTGCACCCAGCCAGGTCCCTGGGGACGTTACTAACTCATGACTTGGGAGCTAAGCCCAAGTGTGAAACCTCTGGATCCTATGGATTTGGTTTCTTCCCACAGTTTTCTGTAGGTTTAGTGTGGCTGGCGCCCCGTTCTCCTCCAGTTGGGAACATGCACCCGGAGCTTGGGGTGCAGATCCTGATGGGTGCCTGCCTCCCCCGCCCCCAGCCGGTGCTCAGGTGGCCCAGGGGCCGCACAGACGAGGCGTGGTCCAGGCATTGTTGCACATGTACTGAGGGTGTTTTTAAGTGAATTGCTTAGTAGGCTTCTAGGAAGAGTCAGATTTATAGCATTTTCAACCAAAATAATGGTGAGTGCCTAGGCTTCCCGAGTTAGCTCTTTGGGTGGCCCCTGAGCCCCTGTGAGTGCACTTGACCGGGTGCGGAGGTCCTGGGCAGCCTGTCCCTGAGCCGGCCCCTCCCAGGGGTCTGAGATCCATGAGGTGTGTCCCTAGGGCTTCAGTCCTGGGGCAGAGGCATAAACAGAACCAGTCACTATGGAGGTCGAGGATTCCCATGTGGGCCCTTCAGCTTGGGCTGCTTGGCCACGGAACAGCCCTTGGCTCCCTGGCCCCCGGCCCCCATGCAGCCCCTGGGCTGGCCCTTGGTGGTCTCTGTCCAAGGGAGAGCCCCTGGGTGTTCAGGAGGCTGCCCCGGGTGGGCTGCTCAGGGCAGCTGCCGAAGGTGGAGCCCAGAGCCTGTCTGGAAGGGCTGTCTGTGGCTGTCCTGAGACCTGGCCTTGGACTCACAAGGAAGACCAGGCTGAGGCCCCTCCAGGCCAGGGTCCTGGGGCAGGCATCTCAGGGAGCAGCCAGCCCAGGCCTCCTGCCGTCTCCAACAGGGCATGTCCCGGGAGGACCCTGAGTGCCAGATTCCCCTGGACGCTCCTGCTGATTCTGTCGGCAGTTGAAGGCCCGTCTGAGGCCCCGCAATGCGAGGGTCCTGTGTCCCACTTCACTGCTCCGAAGGGAACTGGCTGGCTGTCCGTCCAGTGAGCGGCCCAGACCCCACCTCTGCGCCATTGTCACCAGGGCCCTGTCCTGGCTGCCCTCACCCATGTCAAGCTACTGAGGCTGTGTCTTGTTTGTTTTCTCTGTTACATTTTTGTTTGCTGTTGTCACAGTCAGCTGGTTTCGGCGTGATGTTGATCTTTTGATGTACATACTCCGTTTTAAACTCATTTCCACTCTAGTTGAGTTCTGCAGCATGCAGCGGTATGACCCTACGGGGGTCAGGAGAGCCCTGCGGCCCCCACCCACCAGCTCAGAACCTGTCACTAATACAGCTGCCTGTGACCCTGGGACCCGCAACCTTCCAGCTGCTTCCCTTTGTCAAAGTCACGAGTGCGTCTGCCTTGACAGCCCTCGTCAACAGAACTTCCAGTGGGTTGTGGGTTCATTTCCTTTCTTTTTAAGAACAGGGTTGGGACCTTTTCTGCCCCTGCCCCTTAGCTACTGAGGCATAGGGAGAGGAAGTTAATTTCAGAGCCATACAAAAATAAGCCACAACCAGCTTCAGAATTAATTCCCAATCCCCCATTCCACCAGGGCTGGGAGCCCATTCCCAGTGCTTCCCAAGGCCCTCGGGGACATCTACCGCCAACCCAGCTGCTTCTGGCAGGGGCTCCAAGCCCCAGCGTGGGGAAGGGCCCTGGAGAAGCCCTCATCCTCATGGGAACCACACTGCAGTGGGTGGGGAAGGTTGTTGTCAGCACCGCCCCCGGCTCCTCCAGGTCCTGCTGGCTCCTCGGGGGCAGGGTTCCCTGGACCTCCCAGTTCTGCGCCTTGGGGCCAGCCAGTACTCAGAGAGGAGGACCTTCTCAACCACGTACAGAACACGGGTTTTCATGGCTGCCTTTGGTTTGGTTTTCTGAGAAGATAGGATTGGATTGGATTTTGCAGAGGGTGAGAACTTCTCTGTGCCTGCTCAGAGGCGCCCTAGGGAAGGGCCATGTTTGAGTTTTGCTTTGTATGTTGTTTTGCAAGTATCTGCCTGGTACTTTGATTTAAAATAAAAACAATTTTCATAGTTTGAGTGTCTATCTCTTGGAATGAAGTGTGGAGAGAAATCAAGTCTATAAACACGCCCAACGCAAACAGCGCTGGCTGCCACCCCCGCCCCGGACCACTCACACCCACATGCTTCGTTCTTCCAAGTGTGGCCTGGGGGCTTCAGGACCCTTCCAGGGTGTCCCGAGGTCAAAGCTGTTTTCATCACAGCAGGTGCCCTGTGCCCTTGTCCTTCTCTCCCCAGCACGCATCGGAGTTTTCAAGAGGCCTGGTGGGAGGATCATGGCCGTTTTAGTCGTTAGTGCTACTGTAACAAAATACCGCAGGCTGGGGGGCTTGCAAGCAACAGAGGTTCATTTATGCAGTTCTGCACGCTGGCAAGTCGGAGATCAAGAGCATCAGCCGATTTGGTGCCTGGTGAGGGTTTTGAATCAGCCGATTCGGTAACTCGTGAGGGTTTTGAAGGTGTCCTGCAAATCGCTGGAGGACAATAGTAAGAACAGCCTGGGCCCCACCTTGACCCGAGGCTGGCGTCGGAGGCACCGCCGCTCACAGGTAAGGAGACCTCTCAGTGGCACAGGGGCCTGCGCCCGCCAGTCAGGAGCTCAACAGACTCACGCCCAGGGGGGCCCCTTCCTCCCCTCTCCCAGGTTCAGTCCCAGAGCCTTCTCGTCACCAACGCTGTTCCCCTCCCTGCTGCCATGGTCCACCCAAGGCCATAGGAGCCTGCACACCAGCCACAGGCCAGCCTCCCAGACTCACGGCCCAGCAAGAGGCAGACATAGAAGTCCACGCTGTGTGGTCACTGGGTGTGGTGGCTCCCGCCTGTCATCCTAGCACTTTGGGAGGCTGAGGCGGGTGGATCACCTGAGGTCAGGAGCTTGAGACCAGCCTGGCCAACATGGTGAAACCCCATCTCTACTAAAAATACAAAATTAGCTGGGCGTGGTGGCAGGTGCCTGTAATCCCAGCTACTCGGGAGACTGAGGCAGGAGAATCGCTTGAACCTGGGAGGCAGAGGTTGCAGTGAGCCGAGATTGCACCACTGCACTTCAGCCTGGGCGACCAGAGTGAAATTCTGTCTCAAAAAAAAAAAAAGTCCATGCCGCGTGGTTCCACTTAGGAAAGTTGGACACGTCCCTCAAGGCAGAATGGCATCGAAAGCCGGGTCACTGGGTGCCCTCCGGGACGGTGGCTGGAGGGGCACAGGGCGCTGGTTCCAAGAGTCCACTCTGAAACCTGCCCTTCTGCCATGGCTGCTCTTCCACGCTTGTGCCCTGCTGCAGCCCAGAGCTGATAAACGCACAGGCATGTCCTTCCAGCACACATTGGCACGGGACCACCCTCCCCACAGGTCATCTGTCAGCTCCTCAGATTCCATGTGTACAAGACAGAGCTCCTGCTTCATATTCCCTCCCATGCTCTGTCCCCATCGTGCCCCGTCGGGGAGGGGAGCACCAACACCTGCCCACAGGCTCAGCCCACCTTCCTGCAACCTCACATCCACGATGCATCCCCTTCTTGTGAGGCCAGGCCCCCTCCATCTCTCTCAGGTCGATGTAACTACCCGGTTCCCACCTCTGGCCCTTCCTACCCTCCTGCTACCCTTCCGGCTGTGACCCTTCCCATTTGCTGACACGTCCTGAGCACCCCCATCATTCCCTCTGCCCCTGGAGGGGGCTGCACCCCTCAGTATCCCACCATGATATCTCCTCCTCCTGATACTTCATGGGGTTTCAGAGGCCACAAGATACAAACCTACAAGGGGTCATGTCTTGTACCCACTGAGTGTCCCCAGGAGCCGGTGCAGCACTGGCCACTCCTCAGCTGAGGACACAGGAGTGGGGAGTGGGCTGTGGCCTGTCCAGCCCAGGGCACTCCAGAAGGCAGAGTCCCCACAGAGGGTGGAGTGCTTTGTGACATGCCACTGTTTGGATGGGCCACAGTATACCATTCAGCGACTGAGGGACATCTTGGTTTCTTCCAAGGTTTGGCAATTATGAGTAAAGCTGCTGTTAAAAACCCTCGTGCAAGTTTTTGTGTGGACCTAAGCTTTCAACTCATCTGGGTAAATACCAAGGGGTGAAACTGCTAGATTGTGTGGTAAGAATGTATTTCATTTTGTAAGAAACTACTGAAGTGTCTTCCGCCAGTGGCAGCACCATCTCGCATTCCCACCCGCAATGACTGAGATTCCTGTTGCTCCACGTCCTCACCTGCAATGACTGAGATTCCTGTTGCTCCACGTCCTCACCTGCAATGACTGAGGTTCCTGTTCCTCTACGTCCTCACCTGCAATGACTGAGGTTCCTGTTCCTCTACGTCCTCACCTGCAATGACTGAGGTTCCTGCTCCACGTCCTCACCTGCAATGACTGAGGTTCCTGCTCCACGTCCTCACCTGCAATGACTGAGGTTCCTGCTCCACGTCCTCACCTGCAATGACTGAGGTTCCTGCTCCACGTCCTCACCTGCAATGACTGAGGTTCCTGTTCCACGTCCTCACCAGCATTTGGCGTTGTCAGCGTTTTGGGTTTGGGACATTCTTTATTTTTATTTTTATTTTTTTCAAGATTGAGTCTCACTCTGCCGCCCAGGCTAGAGTGCAGTGGCACCATCTCCGCTCACTGCAACTTCCAGTCCCCGGGTTCAAGTGATTCTCCTGCCTCATCCTCCCAAGTAGCTGGGATTACGGTCGCATGCCACCACGCATGGCTAATTTTTGTATTTTTAGTAGAGACTGGATTTCGCCATGTGGCCAGGCTGGTCTTGAACTTCTGACCACAGGTGGTCCACCTGCCTCGGCCTCCCAAAGTGCTGGGATTACAGATGTGAGCCACCACGCCTCGCCCGGCTAATTTTTTTAAAAAGTGTTCATGGAGGCCGGTTGTGGTGGCTCACGCCTGTAATCCCAGCACTTTAGGAGGCTGAGGCGGGCGGATCACGAGGTCAGATCGAGACCATCCTGGCTAACACGGTGAAACCCCATCTCTACTAAAAATACAAAAAATTAGCCAGGCGTGGTTGCAGGCGCCTGTGGTCCCAGCTGCTCAGGAGGCTGAGGCAGGAGAATGGTGTGAAACCGGGGAGGCAGAGATTGCAGTGAGCCGAGATTACGCCACCGCACTCCAGCCTGGGCGACAGAGCGAGACTCCTTCTAAAAAAAAAAAAAAAATTCGTGGAGACAGGGTCTCACTCTGTTGCCCAGGCTGGTCTCGAACTCCTGGACTCAACGCAATCCTCCAGCCTCGGCCTCCCAAAGCATTGGGATTACAGGCGTGAGCCACTGCGCCTGGCCCTGGCACATTCTCACAGGTGTATGATGGTAACTCACTGTTTGGGTTTGCAGATTTCCTAATGATGTGTGATGGGAAGCACCCTTTCACAAGCTGCTGCTTTGCCTTCTCTCTGTCTCTGGTGAGGTGACTCTTCAGATCTTTTGTCTGTTTAAAAAATCGGGTTGTTCATTATTGTTGAGTTTTAAGAGTTCTTTTCATATTTTGGATAATGATCCCTTATTAGACATGTTTGTTTCTGTTTTTGAGACAGTCTTGCTCTTGTCACCCAGGCTGGAGTACAGTGGTGCGACCTCTGCTCAGTGCAACCTCTTGTTTCCCAGGTTCAAGCGATTCTCCTTCCTCAGTCCCCCGAGTAGCTGGGATTAAAGGCTTGAGCCACCATGCCTGGCTAAGTTTTTGTATTTTTAGTAGAGATGGGGTTTTGCCATGTTGCCCAGGCTGGCCTTGAACTCCTGAGCTCAGGCAATCTGCCTGCCTTGGCCTCCCAAAGTGCTGGGATTACAGGCATGAGCCACCGTGCCCGGCCTATTTTATTTATTTATTTTTGAGACGGAGTCTTGCTCTGTCATCCAGGCTGGAGTGCAGTGGCGCGATCTCAGCTCACTGCAACCTCTGCCTCCTGGGTTCAAGCAATTCTCCTGCCTCAACCTCCCGAGTAGAGTAGCTGGGACTACAGGCACGCACCACCATGTCTGGCTAATTTTTGTATTTTTAGTAGAGATGGGGTTTCACCATGTTGGCCAGGCTGGTCTTGAACTCCTGCCCTCAAGTGATCCGCCCACCTCAGCCTCTCAAAGTGCTGGGATGACAGGCCACTGCGCCCAGCCTTGGATGAGTTTTAAGCAATACAGACACATGTACCTGCTGCCTGCACCAGGCAGAGGACACTCCCCTTGTTCCCTTCTCTAGTCGGGCCTGTCCTCACAGTCACTGACCTGGTTTTTAGAATTCGTCTGTTCCTGAGCTTCATAGAAACGGAACCGCACATTTAATACTCGTCTGTGTTTGGCCTCTTTCACTGAACTGTTTCTGAGATTCCTCCATGCTTCTGTGTGGGTCGGACGTGTTCGGTTTTGGTTTTGTCTGAGTAGTGTTGTGTCGTACAGACGTTCCACGGTTTGTTTATTCAGCCGCCTGGTGATACGCATTGGAGCTGTTTTCAGTCTGGGGCTGCTGGGAATGGGGCTGCTGTGAACCGGCGGGTGTCTCTGTGTGGGCGTCAGCACGCTGGCCCCAGCAGGAGGGGCTCCCTGGCCCAGGCGTTGTGAAGAATGAAGATCCTTTTTTCATTTCTCTTGGGTAGATTTGCAGGAGTCGAACTGCTGGATCCTGAGACAGATGTTCATTTAACTGTATCGGAAATGACCGAGCTGTTTTCCAAGGTGGCTGTGCCGTCTTGTATCCCCACCAGCACCAACGGGAGCGGTGGCTGCTCCGCACCCTCCGCGGCACGAGCCGTCCTCACTCTGGACGCAGTCGGTCTGCCCGTGTGAGGTGGTTTCTCGCTGGGTCCCATTTGCGTGTCCCAGTGACTGGATGGTAAGCACCTTCTCACGTGCTTTTGGTCATTTGTATATGTTCTTGTGTGGAGTGTCTGTTCAAATATTTTGTTTGTTTTTAAAAACTGGACTTTTGAGTTTTGAGATTAAAAAAAATCTGCCTTCTAGGAGTGGTGGCTCACCCCTGTAGTCCCAACACTTTGGGAGGCCGAGGCAGGAGGATCACTTGAGGCCAGGAGTTCAAGATCAGCCTGGGCAACATAGTGAGACCCCATCTCTACAAAAAATTTTAAAATTAGCTGAGGGTGTTGGTGCATGCCTGGAGTCCCAGCTACTTGGGACGCTGAGGTCGGAGGATTGTCTGAGCCCGGAGTTCAAGGCTGCAGTGAGCTGTGATCACACCTCTGCGCTCCAGCCTGGGCAATAGAGCAAGACCGTCTCAAAGCATAATAATAATAACAAAGATAAAAACATTTTCAGTTTGCATATAGTTCATCAGATATGTGTATTTTGAATATTTTTGTCTCAACTAATAGCTTGACTTTTCATTTTTCTCACTGGTACAGACATTTTTTACTTATATAACCTTGTTTATCAATTTTTTTCTCTTATATTTCTACCTTTTATGTCTTTTTAAAGAAATATATGCCGGCTGGGTGCGGTAGCTCACGCCTGTAGTCCCAGCACTTTGGGAGGCCTAGGCGGGTGGATCACGAGGTCAGGGTCAGGAGACCAAGACCATCCTGGCTAACATGGTGAAACCCCGTCTCTACTAAAAATACAAAAAATCAGCTGGGCGTGGTGGTGGGCGCCTGTAGTCCCAGCTACTCGGGAGGCTGAGGCAGGAGAATGGCATCAACCCGGGAGGCAGAGCTTGCAGTGAGCCAAAATCACGCCACTGCACTCCAGCCTGGGCGACAGAGCAAGACTGTCTCAAAAAAAAAAAAAAGAAAAGAAAAGAAAAAAATATATGCCTATCCCAAGGTTGTGAAGATTTCTCCTGTTTTCTTCTAGAAGCGTTACAGTTTAGCTTTGATGCTTAGATGTTCCATCTTGAATTAAATTTTGTGTGCAATGCGAGGTGGGGCTGAGCTTCGTTTTTCCCGAAACTTTACTCCGTGTTCCAGCTGCCACTTGTTGAAGACTGTCCTTTCCCCGCCTCAGGCCCTTCGGGGACCAACAGACCGCAGACCTGGGTCTGACCCAGGCTCCCTTCTGTCCTGTCTTGTCTCTCCCGACATCTGCAGTAACGTTCTGGACTTGAACTTCTGGGCGTCAGGAGCAAGCCACATTCCTGTATGTCCAGGGAGAAGAGGGGAGACCGGAAGGCTGGGTGGAAAGGCCCAGGTTTTGGCTCCCTCCTCCAGGGCAGCCAGGCTGGGCACAGCTGCCCCACGGGGCGCACAGGCACCTGGCTCTGTGTCAACCAGATGCCCAGAGCAGCCCCAGGGCAGGCCCACACCCACTCCAGACCCCAACATCTCCAGCCCCAGCAGGAGTGTGGCCCCTCCCCCTGTCATCCCGGAGAGGCGGCCACATGGCAGAGGGACACTGGGGGCCAGTGAGGACTAGGAAGGTCCCTGCCAGGAGACCTCAGGGATATCTGATCAAGCCTCAAGCTTTGGGGGTGCTGTGGGGGCAAGCAGAGAAAGGCACAGCCCCTGGCCAGGCTCTCTGTTGCCCCTGGGAGGCCTTTTAGATCCTGCAACACCTACCCCATGCCTCCTGCTCAGGGCCTGGCCTGAGGGCTCCAGCAGGCTTCAGTGTGGGGGAGAGGTGAGCAGGGGCTGAGAAGGTGGCTCATCACCTCTAATGATGTCAGAAAACTAGGCTGTTTCTCCTGCACTCTCACAGCACAGCTCACTGCTGACACCAGGTGGGGGTTCTGTTCCAACAACAGATTAGTCAGTTTTGCAGCCGACGCCGGCTGGGCGTGCTCCAGTTTAATTCCGATACCATCTACCTGAAGACACCATCTACCTAGAGACGTCTACTTGGAGCCATTGTCTGCTGCCCTGTGCCGTCCGCTATCACCCGAACCCTGCGGGAAAACCCACACACCCTCCCCAGCATCACAGTGCAGGTGGAGGTCCCCAGGGCTTAGGGCCAGGCCTCAGTTTACCTGTGACTGTGGGCCATGTGCTCTCGGGCAGGAACTGACGGCCTCTGGGTATAACTCACTTAAGCAGGTCTTTAACACCCAGTTCCCATCTTTCCAGAGACCCTCCCGGGCGCCCTCCCACCAGCCAAAAGCTCACACCTTGAGTGGAGGAGGTGATAGGGTCTGCAGTGGGAGGGATTCCAGATCAACCTGGAGACATTGTCCACCCATAGACACCATCATCTACCTGGAGACATTGTTGTCAACCTGGAGACACCATCAATTCATAGACATTGTTGTCAACCTGGAGACATTATTGTTAACCTGGAGACACCATCAATTCATAGACATTGTTGTCAACCTGGAGACACCATCAATTTATAGACATTGTTGTTAACCTGGAGACATTGTTGTCAACCTGGAGACACCATCAATTCATAGACGTTGTTGTCTACCTGGAGACATTATTGTTAACCTGGAGACACCATCTATTCATAGGCATTGTTGTCAACCTGGAGACACCGTCTATTCATAGACATTGTTGTTAACCTGGAAACATTGTTGTCAACCTGGAGACACCATCAATTCATAGACATTGTTGTCTACCTGGAGACACCGTCTTTTCATAGACATTGTTGTTAACCTGGAGACATTGTTGTCTACCTGGAGACACTGTTGTCAACCTGGAGACACCATCAATTCATAGACATTGTTGTCAACCTGGAGACACCATCAATTCATAGACATTGTTGTCTACCTGGAGACATTGTTGTTAACCTGGAGACATTGTTGTTAACCTGGAGACACCGTCAATTCATAGACGTTGTTGTCTACCTGGAGACACCATCTAGCTGGAGACGCCATCTGTCCTTAGACATCCTCATCTACCTGGAGATGTCCACACAAGGCTGCTGCCCACTCCCCATGCCAATCTCAAGCCCCGGGTGCTTCAGACCAATTGGCTATAAATTGAGGTTCCTAACCCCCATATTTGGGTCAGATTAATTTCCTAGAGCAGCTCACAGAACTCAGGGAAACATGTTTACCCATTTATTATAAAGGACGTTACAAAGGACGCAGATGAAGAGATGCGTAAGGGGAGGGGCGCAGAGCTTTCACCCCACAAGGGCACCCCGTCCAGGAACCTCCACGGCTCTCTGAGCCCTGTCCTTTTGCGACTTCATGGAGGCTTCATTACCCAGGCATGATTGATTACGTCACTGGCCACTGGTGAGGACCGCCTTCAGCCGCCTCTCCCCTCCCCTGCCTGGAGGTTGGGGCAAGGCTGCAAGTACCACCCTCTACTCCTGCTGAGGCCTTTCTGAGGACCAGCCCCATCCTGAGGCTGCCTCCAGGCTGCCAGCCTTCGGTCAATATCAGCACAAAAAGGCACTTGCCACTTTGGCTACTCCAGGGATTTTAGGGGTTTTTGCCAGGAAACGGGACGAGACCAAATATGTTAATGTATATTTCACAATGTCACACGCACATGGCTGTGTGTGCAGAGGCCAGGCAGGGAGAGAGGACAGAGCAGCTGGGAGGCCCCGGGGGGCGTAGACCCATCCTGGGACTAAACCCCCATCAGATCCTTCTGGCACCCCTGCAAGGAGAAGGTGTGGTCCCCCTGACTTTCTCCCCAGGGGCTCATCTCGAAGGAGGCCTCCCGGCTGCACGGCTCCCACAAGGCCAAGAGGAGGAGATCTGAAATCGGCTCCACTCCCTCCCACTGCAGACCCTATCACCTCCTCCACTAGGGGTGTGAGCTTTTGGCTGGTGGGAGGGCGCCCGGGAGGGTCTCTGGAAAGATGGGAACCGGGTGTTAAAGACCTGCTTAAGCGAGTTATACCCAGAGGCCGTCAGTTCCTGCCCGAGAGCACATGGCCCACAGTCACAGGTAAACTGAGGCCTGGCCCTAAGCCCTGGGGACCTCCACCTGCTTCGTGACGCTGGGGACAGTGTGTACGTTTTCCTGCAGGGTTCAGGTGATGGCAGACGGCAGAGGGCAGCAGACGGCAGGCTGGCACTGGGGGGCCATGGAACCCACTGGCAGGGACGCTGGGTGAGGAGGACCTAGGGACCGGGATGAGACAAGCTGAGGGTGTTGGGCAGACATTTCTTACTTTGTATTTTGATATAATAATTTAAACAAACGTACACAAATGTTGCAAAAATAGAACAAAGGACTCCCTGTGCTCTATGCGGACTCACCAGTCGCTTTGTTCTGGCCCATTTGCCGGTTCTGTAGAAGCCTGTAGTTCCAGGCAATTGAGACTAAGACACGATACCCCTTCACCTTTCAGATACGATACCCCTTCACCCTTCACCCTTCACCCTTTACCCCATCACTTCAAGGTGTGTTTCCTCAGAACGTGGAAGCTGTCTGTTACAAAGTCAGGAAGCTGACGTGGATACAATAATATTACTAATACTCAGCCCGTGTGAGCGTGTTGTTGGCCGTGTGCTGTGTGTACGTGGAACTCTCTCCCGTGGTCTCACACTCAGCCCGTGTGAGCGTGTTGTTGGCCGTGTGCTGTGTGTACGTGGAACTCTGTCCCGTGGTCTCACACTCAGCCCGTGTGAGCGTGTTGTTGGCCGTGTGCTGTGTGTACGTGGAACTCTGTCCCGTGGTGTCACACTCAGCCCGTGTGAGCGTGTTGGCCGTGTGCTGTGTGTACGTGGAACTCTCTCCCGTGGTCTCACACTCAGCCCGTGTTAGGGGTCACTGTGGCCTGAGCACAGCTGGACGGGAGCCAGAGAGCTGTCCACGGCAACCTGCAGGTTTTCAATGCTCTGTGGACTCGAGGTGGCACTTTTTGTTTTTGTTTTGAGTTAAGAAGACGTGCACAGATGTGAAAGGTGGGCGGAAACAGGACATCTCCCTCCTGTCCTGGCCGCACAGTCCTGATCTGTCTCCCAGGCTGGAGTGCACTGGCACCATCACAGCTTACTGAGGTCTTGAACTCCTGGGCTCAAGTGATCCTCCCGCCTCAGCCTACCAAATTGCTGGGATCACAGGTGTGAGCCACCGTGCCTGGCCAACCTCATTTTTAATGGCCTTAGAGTCTTCCATGGCACAGGGTGGAGACTGCCCATTACATAGACCCTGAGCGAGGGGCCCTGGGCATTCCCGGTCCATTGGGTGTAGAAGGAGCTGCCGGGAGCTGTTGGTGGGCACAGATGTCCCTCTGTGCAGGAGCCTCTGTGGAGCCACGTGGAAGGCGCGTGTCCTGTGCTCCCGGGCCTGGCTGGTTTCCAGAGCGGTGCTGCCAGTTTAGACTCTGGCCGAGTGCCTGCAATGTCAGAGGGGTGGACGGGTTGTCTGGGGCTGGTTTGCGTTTCCCTTACGCCGAGGTTGAACACTTCACTCCATTTACAGCAATTTCACTTTCCACGTTTTGTGAAGTATTGATTTGCATCCTTTGCCTATTTTTCTTTTAAATTATACATCTTTTTCTTAATTTATAAGATCTTTAAAATATTAGAGAGATCAGGGCCAGGCGCGGTGGCTCACGCCTGTAATCTCAGCACTTTGGGAGGCCGAGGTGGGTGGATCACGAGGTCAGGAGATCGAGACCATCCTAGCTAACACGGTGAAACCCCGTCTCTACTAAAAATGCAAAAAATTAGCCAGGCGTGGTGGTGGGCGCCTGTAGTCCCAGCTACTTGGGAGACTGAGGCAGGAGAATGGCGTGAACCCGGGAGGTGGAGCTTGCCGAGATTGTGCCACTGCACTCCAGCCTGGGTGACAAGAGTGAGACTCCGTCTCAAGAAAAAAAAATATATATCAGAGCGATCAGACTTTTCACTGTGACATAAGCTGCAATTTTGTTTTCTGTTCATGTTTGGTTTTTGACTCCTTTGATGGTGGTGTTTTTTTCCATGTGAAATTGTTTTGTGTCATTGAATTTATCACTGTTGTGCTGGTAGATGTTTAATTCGTTCTCTAAGAAGAAAAAAACAGTGCTTCAGGAGACAGGTTTTGTGGATTTCTGGGGTGTATGCTTGCCCCTCACGGCATGTGTGAAGCCACCAGCCCTGTCCTTGAGCCTGGCTGGGGGCGAGTGGCGCAGGGCTGGATTTCACCTAGAAAGGCCTTTCACATCCCAAGAGTCCTGAGAATCAGACACTTTCAGCCCTGGTTTCTCCTAGTGCCTCTGTGGTTGGCTTTTCCTTCCGTGAGAGTGTTTGATTATTTCATATGGTGTAAGATGCTACGCAGAGACCGTCCCTCCCATTTTTGTTTCCAGATGCTGCTAATCAGTTGTTCTAATAATTTGTGGAATGCATCAATGAATTGTTTTTCCCTGAGGTGTGAGAGCCAAGCTTTCTTTTCTTTTCTTTTCTTTCTTTTTTTTTTTTTTTGAGACAGAGTCTCGTTCCGTCTCCCAGGCTGGAGTGCAATGGTGTGATCTCAGCTTACTGCAACCTCCGCCTCGCCCCCCCCGACCCCAGGTTCAAGGGATTCTCCTGCCTCAGCCTCCTGAGTAGCTGGGACTACAGGCACCTGCCACCACGCCCAGCTATTTTTTTTTTTTTTTTTTGTATTTTTAGAAGAGATGGGGTTTCACTATGTTGGCCAGGCTGGTCTCGAACTCCTGACCTCAGGTGATCTGCCCACCTTGGCCTCCCAAAGTGCTGGGATTACAGGCGTGAGCCAGTGCGCCTGGCCGAGAGCCAATCTTTCATCCCACCCCAGACTCCTGAGTGTGACTCTATTTCTGGACTCTCTGTTCTGCCTTGGAACTGTGTGTCCACACCGGGTTCAGTGGCTTTGCAGTGTGTTATGTGTTTAGTAAGTCATGCCAGCACCCGCTGGGAATCCTTTTTAGTCATCATCCTGGGCTGGGTGTTGGGATTCAAGCCTGTAATCTAATCCCGGCACTCAAGGAGGCCGAGGTGGGGGGTTTGCTTGAGCCCAGGAGTTCAAGAGCAGCCTGGGCAACATTGAGAAACCCCATCTCTGAAAAACATAGAAAAAACTCCAAAATAGTTAACTGTGGTGGTGTGCACCTGTACTGTGGTGGTGTGTGCCTGTAGTCCCAGCGACTCAGGAGGCTGAGGGGGGAAGACTGTCTGAGCCAGAGGTCGAGGCTGCAGTGAACTGTGATTGCATCACTGCACTCCCGCCGGGGCAATGGAAGGAGACTCAGTCTCAAAAAAAAAAAAAGCCCTGTCCAGCCTTTCTTGGTGATGTGATGCTTTTCCAAATGGACTTGAAAGTCAGTGTGTCCACCATGCGACTGCAGGTTAGTTTAGGAGGAACTCACGTCTTTGTGTGGTGTTGAGCCTCTCCATCCAGGAACACAGCGTTCCACACAAATTCTCCCAGCGTTCCACGCACATGGACCCTGCTCAGCGCCCGGCCCCTGGGGCTGCTATTGTCGAGGGCCTGCCCTCTCCCAGGAGCTCCAACGTGATTGGTCTGCGGAGAGGCTCCCTGGTGGTTGACGGCCCACCCAGCCGACCTCCCGAGGTCGCTGTGAGCCCCCAGCCTGGCCCTCCCCACGAGGTGCTGGCCTTGGGTGGCAGCCTTGCTTCCTTGTTTCAGGGGCAGCATCACTGTCCGTTATCTACTGCTGCAGAACAGATCGCCCCAAAGCTCAGGGGCTTAAAACAACACAGATGTTTATTTTATTTATTTATTTGTTTTGAGATGGAGTCTTGCTCTGTTGCCCAGGCTGGAGTGCAGTGGCGCAATCTTGGCGCACTGCAACCTCCACTTCCTTGGTTCAAGCAATGCTTCTGCCTCAGCCTCCCGAGTAACTGGGACTACAGGCGCCCGCCCCCACCCCTGGCTAATGGGACGTTTATTTTAAACATAGACATCTAACAGCTGGGCGTGGTCTAGGTGGGAGGGTTAGGCCTGGGGTCTCCCTGAGATGGCAGTAAGGCTGGGGCTGGGACTCGAGCTGCAAGTGGGCTGGAGGCCTCAGCTCCTCTATGGGGCCTCCCCACAGGGCTGCTGAGGGCCCAGAGCCAGTCCAGAGAGCCAAGAGCCAGGCGTGCTGACTCTGGGACCCGGCGGCCACTTAGCCATTCCTGCCATATCCTGGTTGGTGACAGAAGGGACTTGGGGTCCCAGCAGCACCAGGGCCACGGGCAGGTCCTGCCTGTCAGGGGACCCAGGCTTCCAGGTCAGCTGTGCCTGGATTTCTCCAGGGGCTGATGGTGGAGTCACCAGACCATCCTGCCGTCCAGGGCCGGGCAGGGTCTCACCCCTTCCGCCTGGCACATCATCGGGGCGTCTCTGGTGTGTGAAGGGCTGGACGGGGCGTGGGGCCCTGGAGGGGTGCGGGAAAGGACCCCCACCCCCAGCCGCCTCCGCCTTCGACGGCGCTGGCCCTTCAGGGAGGGGCGTCCTCTGCTCGCTGGCGCTTCCCGAGGTTCCCTCGCAGCGGGGGCCGAGCTGTCGCTGGAGGCGGGGCAGGGCGGGGCGGGGCGGGGGGCGGTGAGGTAATTTCCGCGATCAGCGTCAGTGCCCGGGCCAGAATCGAAACTGAGAGCTCCTGGGCAGGCTCGGCAGGGCAGGCAGCTCCAGGAGGGTGAGCGCGGGGGTCCCAGGGCGGAGGGGCGGGGGCGCGGGGGTCCAGGGGCGGCTCCAGGAGGGTGAGCGCGGGGGTCCCAGGGTGGCGGGGCCGGGGGCGGAGGGGGGGGTCCGGGAGGGTGAGTGCAGCCGGGGGCGCGGAGTCCCGGGAGCCACAGACCCAGCCCGGGGCAGTGCAGCCCGTCCAGGACCAGCACCCTCCGCAGCAAGACCCAGCGCTGTGGTCTCTGCACCCACTGGAGCGCAGGATTTTGGGGTCTCGGCTCCCGTCCTTTCTGGATGGCAGACTCGGATGTTTTCTCAGAGGGGTCCGCGGGGAGTGCCGGGTTCTCATACTGAAGTCTGCCTCCAGTCTGTTGCTTTTAAACTTACTCTTCTTGTAGCATCCCAGCTGCGGTGGGGACCCGGGGACCCATCTCTTCCTGGCACCCTGAGCTCTGGTGGGCACTGTACCCTCCTCTCCGTGAGGCCCCTCCCCAGGTGCAGATGTGGAGTCCTCTTTTCCTGGGGGCCAGTGGTCATTCAATAGAAAAGGAGGTGCTGTGTCCTTAGAAGAGTCAGGAGCCTGAGGCCCTGGGGTGCACAGGACCCCTGGCTGGGGCAGAGGGGTGCGGCCTCCTGGGGGCGGCACTGTGCCAAGGGCTCTGCCCCCTCCAGGGCTCCACAAGCAGTCACCTTGGCTCCTTCTAGGTGGGGCCTGAGACCCTTCAGGAGGGAGGGTCTGGCTGTGTCCGGGTCAGTGAGCCCTGTACTCCCTGACAGGACACAGCTACTGCCAAGGCCTCCACTTGGGCGTCAGGGTGGGGAGAGTCCCAACTCCTTGCTTGGTGGAGAGGCCTCTGCTTGGGCATCAGGATAGGCAGATCCCCAGCTCCTTGCCTGGTGGAGAGGCCGTGCTTCTGAGCTGGGCCTGGACCAGATGTCCTCTGGCCTCAGTCTCACCTGCTCCTTCTGTCGCAGGCTTCGAACCGTGGCCAACAGTTCCAGTGGACTGCGTGGACCCGTGAGCTCAGGAGCCTCAGACGCCTCCCTGGAGAGCCAAGCTGGTGTTCGAGGTGGCGCCTCCAGGGTCCACCCTGCTGCCCAACAGCCCCGCGGCCACCAGAGGGCCGTCCCTGGCCCGGCTGTGTGCCCTGGTGGACCTGTGTCTGGGCTGCTCCCGCTGCACCCAGCGGCTCAATGAAAGCACCTACGTCCTCCGTAGGGTGGAGCATGACTGCTCCCGCGAGATCCTGCTGGCCCGCTTTAAGCAGGCCACCAAGAGCAAGGTCTGGCGCGTGGTGGGCTGCCGGCCCACCTTCCCAAGGCCCCTGTGCTACCAAGTCTGCCACTACTACAGCCCTGGGCTCGGCTGCCGGCGCCACCGAAACCGGTGCACCTTTGCCCGCAGTCGCGAGGAGGCCCTGGTCTGGACCTTCGAGCGTCAGCACAACCTCCAGCGCCTATGGCTGAAGGCGGAGGTGCAGGGCAGCGGGGCCCAGGGAGGGGCAGGCCGGGCGGCCGACGCCATCCTTACGGAGTTTGGCGGCCGCTTCGAGCTGCTTTGCTCCCTCTGCTTCAGGCGCTGTCCCCCATGCATCTGTCGCGTGGACCCCCAGGGGCAGTGCCCTGAGCACGGAGCCTGCCCCTCCCTCCTGGCCCACGTGAGCGCCGAGGGCCGCCGCAAGCAACAGTTTGTGGTGGTGAGGCCGCGGCCCCGGGCCGGCCAGCCTCCTGCCTACTGCAGGTTTGTGGGGCGTGGGCAGCCGTGCTGGCGTGGGGAGTCCCGCTGCCAGTTTGCACACAGCGCCGTGGAGATGGCTGTGTGGGAGGCCGAGCAGCTGGGTGGCCTCCAGCGGGGGGACCTGCTCACACCCCCTGCCCCTGATGGCGACGGGCGCACGGCCCCCCTTGGCCAGCCCCCTGGGGCCCAGCTGTACTGCCCGGCCTGCTTGGTCACCTGCCACTCTCAGGAGGCCTTCGAGAACCACTGCGCATCCTCGGAGCACGCACAGATGGTGGCCTTCGACCAGGCCCTGCCCTGGGAGCACCGTTCCCCACCCCCGGGACTCTCCAAGTTCGAGCTCTGCCCAAAGTAAGGATACTCGAGGCAGGAGCTTGGAGTAGGGCAGGAGCCCACCATAGGCAGAACCAGAGGTTCCCAGGAGCTTGGAGTGGGGCAGGAGCCCACCACAGGCAGAGCCAGAGGCTCCCAGGAGCTTGGAGTAGGGCAGGAGCCCACCGTAGGCAGAGCCAGAGGCTCCCAGGAGCTTGGAGTAGCGCAGGAGCCCACCACAGGCAGAGCCAGAGGCTCCCAGGAGCTTGGAGCAGGGCAGGAGCCCACCGTAGGCAGAGCCAGAGGTTCCCAGGAGCTTGGAGTGGGGCAGGAGCCCACCGTAGGCAGAGCCAGAGGCTCCCAGGAGCTTGGAGCGGGGCAGGAGCCCACCACAGGCAGAGCCAGAGGCTCCCAGGAGCTTGGAGCGGGGCAGGAGCCCACCGTAGGCAGAGCCAGAGGTTCCCAGGAGCTTGGAGCGGGGCAGGAGCCCACTGTAGGCAGAGCCAGAGACTCCCAGGAGCTTGGAGCGGGGCAGGAGCCCACCACAGGCAGAGCCAGAGGCTCCCAGGAGCTTGGAGCAGGGCAGGAGCCCACCGTAGGCAGAGCCAGAGGTTCCCAGGAGCTTGGAGCAGGGCAGGAGCCCACCACAGGCAGAGCCAGAGGCTCCCAGGAGCTTGGAGCAGGGCAGGAGCCCACCGTAGGCAGAGCCAGAGGTTCCCAGGAGCTTGGAGCGGGGCAGGAGCCCACCGTAGGCAGAGCCAGAGGTTCCCAGGAGCTTGGAGCGGGGCAGGAGCCCACCACAGGCAGAGCCAGAGGCTCCCAGGAGCTTGGAGCGGGGCAGGAGCCCACCACAGGCAGAGCCAGAGGTTCCCAGGAGCTTGGAGCGGGGCAGGAGCCCACCACAGGCAGAGCCAGAGGCTCCCAGGAGCTTGGAGCGGGGCAGGAGCCCACCGTAGGCAGAGCCAGAGGTTCCCAGGAGCTTGGAGCGGGGCAGGAGCCCACCGTAGGCAGAGCCAGAGGCTCCCAGGTTCAGTGGACGGGGGCCTCCCTGCCACCTGCTGAGGGCTAAAGCCATGTGGCCTCTGAGGACCCGGATAAGGGAGGTTCATGTTTGGGAACTGCTTGAGCCAGGCCTTGTCCCGGGAGCACAGGAGTGGGTGGGACGAATAAAGCCCCTGCTCCCTACAGAGGCCAGTATTGGGCTGAGGGGTCCCGGCCTTTGAACTCAGCACGGCGGCTGTGCCTCTGTGTAGCCCTGCTGACCTCCCTGTCCCCCAGGCCTGACCTCTGTGAGTATGGGGACGCCTGCACCAAGGCACACTCAGCACAGGAGCTGCAGGAGTGGGTCCGGCGCACGCAGGCTGTGGAGCTGCGGGGGCAGGCGGCCTGGCAGGACGGGCTGGTGCCCTACCAGGAGCGGCTGCTGGCCGAGTACCAGCGCAGCAGCAGTGAGGTCCTTGTGGTAAGTGGGCCCTGGGAGTGGGTGGGGTGGGGTGGGGTCCAGGCCTCTTGCTGAAGGCTAGACTTCCACGCAGCTGGCAGAGACCCTTGATGGAGTGCGTGTCACCTGCAACCAGCCCCTGATGTACCAGGCCCAGGAGAGGAAGACCCAGTACAGCTGGACGTTTGCCGTCCACTCTGAGGTGAGCGGAGAACAGCTCCGACTGGGCGGAGGGAGCCCTGGGGAAGTGGTGACTTCAGCCCGGGCAGACGTCAACAGCCTGGGTCATGGAGCTAATACCGAGGCACTGCCGCTCAGCACCTGCGTGACCTGCAGCAGGTCCCTTAGCCTCTCTGCCTCAGTCTCCTCACCTAGAGACAGGGGGCCAGGACAGTCCCACCTTGGCAGGGTTATTCTATGGAGTATATGGGTTAAAACAAGGATTTGGCCAGGTGCGGTGGTTCACGCCTGTAATCCCAGCACTTTGGGAGACCGAGGCAGGTGGATCACCTGAGGTCGGGAGTTCGAGATCAGCCTGGCCAATAGGGTGAAACTCCGTCTCTACTGAAAAAAAAAAAAAAAAAAAAAAATTAGCCAGGCATGGTGGTGGGTGCCTGTGATCCCATCTACTCGGGAGGCTGAGGCAGGAAAATCACTTGAACCCAGGAGGCGGAGGTTGTAGTGAGTTGAGATCGCGCCATTGCACTCCAGCCTGGCGACAAGAGTGAAACTCCGTCTCAAAAACCAAAACAAAAACAAGGATTCACCAGGGTCTGGCACCTGGAGAGTGGGTGGTGAGGCCTCAAGCTGCCCACACTGCCCCACGGGACATCCACAGGGGCCCCAGGAGGGTTCAGCCACCCCCATGTAGCACAGGAAGAAACTGAGGATGGCAGAGGCCGGGTGGCCTGCTTGCGTTCTATCCAGGAAGTGGCAGGGCCAGGACCTGAACCCTGCACTTGGGCTACGCTGGCCAGGCTGCCTCTCGGGAGGGTTGGGGGGAGCCCTGGGCCCCCCTCACCGTCTGGCCTCCTCTCCAGGAGCCCCTGCTACACGTGGCCCTGCTGAAGCAGGAGCCAGGAGCCGACTTCTCTCTGGTGGCTCCCGGCCTCCCGCCAGGCCGGCTCTACGCACGGGGTGAGCGCTTCCGTGTGCCCAGCTCCACTGCCGACTTCCAGGTGGGAGTGCGTGTGCAGGCTGCCTCGTTCGGCACCTTTGAGCAATGGGTGGTCTTCGACTTTGGCCGCCGGCCGGTGCTGCTACAAAAGCTGGGGCTGCAGCTGGGCCAGGGGCGTCGCCCAGGACCCTGCAGGAATCTGGCGCTCGGCCACCCTGAGGAGATGGAGCGCTGGCACACTGGCAACCGCCACGTGGTGCCTGGCGTGGAGCGGACGGCCGAGCAGACGGCCCTGATGGCCAAGTACAAGGGCCCTGCCCTGGCCCTGGAGTTCAACCGCAGCAGCGTGGCCTCGGGCCCCATCTCACCAACCAACTATCGGCAGAGGATGCACCAGTTTCTCTATGAGGAGGAGGCGGCTCAGCAGCAGCTGGTGGCCAAGTGAGCTGGGGGCAACAGGAGCAGCTGGGGTAGCAGGAGCAGCTGGGGCAATGGGAGCGGCTGGGGCAACGGGAGCGGATGGGGGCGTGGACTTGGCAGCGGGGCTGGCAGCTGTGGCCCCATGAGCTGACCCAGGCCATCCTGCCAGGCTGACCCTGCGGGGCCAGGTGTTCCTGAAGACGGCATTGCAGACGCCAGCGCTGAACATGCTCTTCGCGCCTCCGGGAGCACTGTACGCAGAGGTCCCCGTCCCCTCCTCCCTGATGCCAGACACAGACCAGGGCTTCCTGCTGGGCCGGGCGGTCAGCACAGCCCTGGTGGCCCCTGTACCTGCACCCGACAATACGGTGTTCGAGGTGCGGCTGGAGAGGCGGGCCAGCTCAGAGCAGGCGCTGTGGCTGCTGCTTCCGGCCCGCTGCTGCTTGGCCCTGGGGCTGCAGCCTGAGGCCCGCCTGGTCCTGGAGGTGCAGTTCCAGATTGACCCGATGACCTTCCGCCTCTGGCACCAGGCAGTGGACACACTGCCTGAGGAGCAGCTGGTGGTGCCCGACTTGCCCACCTGCGCCCTGCCCAGACCTTGGTCTGTCCCACCCTTGCGGCGTGGCAACCGCAAGCAGGAGCTGGCCGTGGCGCTCATCGCGGGCTGGGGCCCTGGGGATGGGAGGCGTGTCCCCCCGCTACTCATCTATGGCCCCTTTGGCACCGGCAAGACCTACACGCTGGCCATGGCCTCCCTGGAGGTCATCCGGAGGCCTGAAACCAAGGTGCTCATCTGCACACACACCAACAGGTAAGCCCGAGCCTGGCCTGCCCCCACCTCACCTGACGCCCGGCCCAAGTCTACACCGGGCAGGCGGTCACCCCCTGGATGTGCTCCAGTCCTCTGATTCTGCACTCCCTGTAGCCGACCAGCTTTGGGCTTTGGCTTTATCAGGCCCAGCTCAGGGCACCGAGGGTGGCCGGGTCTGCTGTCAGGTGAGGAGCTGGGTGCCTCTGCCGGGGCCCTGGCCCAAGGAGAGTGTCACGGGGAAGGCTGCAGCATGGCCCACCCAGGACTTCTGGGGATGAGTCTTGTTTTTCGTTTTTATAGAAACACAGATCTTTGTCCTAACCACAAGGTTCCCCTTTGGTTTATGTGGTTTCCTCTGGTTCCTGCCACCACCACCTCCCCAGGCCGGGGCCTTCCCATCCCTGCCCAGTGGGGAGTGGGAGGAAGAGCCTGGGACAGTGGCCATACGTCCCGGGCTGATTTCTGGATTGGGGGTTCTGGGGACCAGGGAGGTGCAGGTGTCTGCAGTGTCAGAGGAGCCGCTGGGCTCGCCCAGGTGTTGCCTGAAGCCCTCCGTGGCCTCTTGCCCCTTGGACTCCTGACAGGAGGGACACCAGTGTTTGCTGCTCACCTCTGACAGCCAGACAAGGGCTGTGCTCAGGGGCAGCTCGGCTGGGCACACAGTAGGTGCTTTAGCGGACAGCACTGAGGCCCCCAGCAAGAAGCCCATGAGCTCCTCCCCCTCCCGCAGTGCCGCCGACATCTACATCCGGGAGTATTTCCACAGCCACGTCAGCGGCGGCCACCCCGAGGCCACTCCTCTCCGTGTGATGTACACGGACCGGCCGCTGAGCCAGACGGACCCAGTCACGCTGCAGTACTGTTGCCTGACCGACGACCGCCAGGCTTTCCGCCCGCCCACACGGGCAGAGCTGGCGCGGCACCGCGTGGTGGTCACCACCACCTCCCAGGCCCGTGAGCTCAGGGTGCCGGTCGGCTTCTTCTCCCACATTCTCATCGATGAGGCGGCCCAGATGCTGGAGTGCGAGGCCCTCACCCCGCTGGCCTATGCCTCGCACGGCACCCGCCTCGTGCTGGCGGGCGACCACATGCAGGTCACACCCCGGCTGTTCAGTGTGGCCAGGGCCCGGGCGGCCGAGCACACGCTGCTGCACCGCCTCTTCCTGTGCTACCAGCAGGAGACTCACGAGGTGGCGCGGCAGAGCCGCCTGGTCTTCCACGAGAACTACCGCTGCACGGACGCCATTGTCAGCTTCATCTCGCGGCACTTCTACGTGGCCAAGGGCAACCCCATCCACGCCAGGGGCAAGGTTCCGCCCCACCCCCGGCACTACCCGCTCATGTTCTGCCACGTGGCGGGCAGCCCAGACCGGGACATGTCCATGGCGTCCTGGCTGAATCTGGCTGAGATTGCGCAGGTCGTCGAGAAGGTGCAGGAGGCCTACAACACCTGGCCCAGCTGCTGGGGCGGCCGCGAGCAGAGGTGCATCTGTGTCGTTTCCCACGGTGCCCAGGTGAGCCCGGCCAGCCCGGGACAGCCCCCGACCGCACCCCTGCTGGGGGAGGGGGAGCTCTCCGGCTGATGGACGAGCCCCCGCCTCAGTTTCCCCATCTGTAAGAGGGGGCTGCAGTATTTGCCTCCCAGGGCTGAGGTGGGGCTCGGCCCCTGAGGTGTCTGGAGCTTGGTGGGGGTGCCGTCTCCTTGTCGGGGGTGGCCCAGTCCTCACTGCGTCCTGCGCTCATCCCCGAGCTTGGTGGGGGTGCCCTCTCCTTGTCGGGGGTGGCCCAGTCCTCACTGCGTCCTGCGCTCATCCCCGAGCTTGGTGGGGGTGCCCTCTCCTTGTCGGGGGTGGCCGAGTCCTCACTGCGTCCAGCACTCATCCCCGGCCCTGCTGCGTCTTCAGGTCAGTGCACTGAGGCAGGAGCTGAGGAGGCGGGACCTAGGCCAGGTGTCTGTCGGCAGTTTTGAGATCCTGCCAGGTGGGTGACCAGCGGGGCCAGGTGCTGCCAGCTGCCCCAGGATACCCCGGGTGGCTCGGCCCACTCCTCAGCCTGGCATCGGCAGGGGTGGGGCTGGTCCCACCGTCTTGCGCACCCAGCCTGACCTGACTGCGTGCCCCCTGCAGGGCGGCAGTTCCGGGTCGTGGTGCTCAGCACTGTGCACACCTGCCAGAGCCTGCTCAGCCCTGGGGCACTGGCCCCTGAGTTCTTCACCGACGCCCGCGTGCTCAACACCGTCCTGACCCGCGCCCAGTCCCAGCTGGTGGTAGTGGGGGACGCCGTGGCCCTCTGCTCCTTCGGGGCCTGCGGCAAGCTCTGGGAGAGCTTCATCCGTGAGTGCGTGGAGCGGCACAGTGTCTGCCCCGAGGGCCTGTCCATGGAGCAGGTCGAGCAGGGTGTGGCGCAGAGACGGCGCTGGCCTCCCCGAGGCACACAGGCTGGGGCAGCGGGGAACTGGGAGGCTGCCCCAGAGCCAGTAGGGGACCTGGCCGAGGAGCAGGCGGCTGTGGTGACGGCCATGGTGAAGGCAGAGCCGGGAGATGAGGCTCTGAGCCCAGCATCCCGTGACATCACGGCAACCACAGCGCAGACGGAGGCTGCGGCAGCACCAGCAGGAGACGCAGTGAAGGAAGACGTGGTGCCCGGGGCCTGTGCGGCAGGAGCGGCTGCTGCAGCGGGCGTGGAGTCCACGGAGGCTGAGGATGCAGAGGCTGACTTCTGGCCGTGGGACGGGGAGCTCAACGCTGACGACGCCATCCTACGGGAGCTTCTGGACGAGAGCCAGAAGGTGATGGTGACCGTCGGGGAGGACGGGCTGCTGGACACTGTCGCCAGGCCCGAGTCCCTGCAGCAGGCCCGGCTGTACGAGAACCTGCCCCCGGCTGCGCTACGGAAGCTGCTGCACGCGGAGCCCGAGCGGTACCGCCACTGCTCTTTCGTGCCAGAGACCTTCGAGCGGGCGTCAGCCATCCCGCTGGACGATGCCTCCTCGGGCCCCATCCAGGTCAGGGGCCGCCTGGACTGTGGGATGGCCTTCGCCGGGGATGAGGTGCTGGTGCAGCTCCTTTCGGGAGACAAGGCGCCCGAGGGGCGGCTTCGGGGCCGCGTGCTGGGCGTGCTGAAGAGGAAGAGGCACGAGCTGGCGTTTGTGTGCCGCATGGACACGTGGGACCCGCGCATCATGGTCCCCATCAATGGCTCCGTGACCAAGATCTTCGTGGCCGAGCTGAAGGACCCATCGCAGGTCCCCATCTACAGCCTCCGGAAGGGCCGGCTGCAGCGTGTGGGGCTTGAGAGGCTCACCGCCGAGGCCCGGCACAGCCGGCTCTTCTGGGTCCAAATTGTCCTGTGGCGGCAAGGCTTCTACTACCCGCTGGGCATCGTCCGGGAGGTGCTGCCTGAGGCCAGCACCTGGGAGCAGGGCCTCCGCATCCTCGGCCTGGAGTACAGCTTGAGGGTGCCCCCGTCGGACCAGGCCACCATCACCAAGGTGCTGCAGAAATACCACACGGAGCTTGGCCGGGTTGCCGGCCGCCGAGAGGACTGCCGCGCCTTCTTGACCTTCACTGTGGACCCCCAGGGCGCCTGCAACCTCGATGATGCCCTCAGTGTCCGAGACCTGGGTCCCAGGTGCGAGGTGGCTGTGCACATCACTGATGTGGCCAGCTTCGTGCCCAGGGACGGGGTGCTGGACGTGGAGGCGCGAAGGCAGGGCGCTGCGTTCTATGCCCCCGGCAGGGAGCCAGTGCCCATGCTGCCGGCCAGCCTCTGCCAGGACGTCCTCAGCCTCCTGCCTGGCCGGGACCGCCTGGCCATCTCCCTGTTCCTCACCATGGAGAAGGCCAGTGGCCAGCTGAAGAGCCTGCGCTTTGCACCCTCCGTGGTCCAGTCTGACCGCCAGCTGTCCTACGAGGAGGCGGAGGAGGTGATCAGGCAGCACCCGGGTGCCGGCCGTGAGCTGCCGGCCCGCCTGGACTCCGTGGACGCCTGCGTCGTGGCCGCGTGCTACTTCTCTCGGCTGCTGCGCCGGCACCGCCTGCGGTCCGACTGCTTCTATGAGCAGCCGGACGAGGACGGCACCCTGGGCTTCCGCGCGGCCCACATCATGGTGAAGGAGTACATGATTCAGTTTAATAGGCTCGTGGCTGAGTTCCTGGTGGGCAGCGAGTGCACGCGGACGGTCACGCCTCTGCGGTGGCAGCCAGCACCCCGCAGCCAGCAGCTCAAGGCCCTGTGTGAGAAGCATGGGGACCGGGTGCCCCTGTCACTGCACCTCGGCCACCACCTGCACGGCGGCGGGGGCAGTCCCCCCGACACGCGGCTGCACCTCCTGGCCTCCCTCTGGAAGCAGGTCCAGTTTGCTGCCCGCACCCAGGACTACGAACAGATGGTGGACTTGGTCACCACGGACGACATGCACCCATTCCTGGCTCCTGCAGGCCGCGACCTCCGCAAGGCCCTGGAGCGCTCGGCGTTCGGCCGCTGCGCCCGGGGCCACCAGCAGCAGGGCGGCCACTACTCGCTGCAGGTGGACTGGTACACGTGGGCCACCTCGCCCATCCGCAGGTACCTGGACGTGGTGTTGCAGCGGCAGATCCTGCTGGCGCTGGGCCATGGGGGCTCTGCCTACTCTGCCAGGGACATCGATGGGCTCTGCCAGGCCTTCAGCCTCCAGCACGCACTTGCCCAGAGCTATCAGCGGCGGGCGCGCAGCCTGCACCTGGCCGTGCAGCTCAAGGCCCAGCCTCTGGACAAGCTGGGCTTCGTGGTGGACGTGGAGGCGGGCTCCCGCTGCTTCCGGCTGCTCTTCCCCAGCAACCGGGAGACGCTGCCTGACCCCTGCCCCGTCCCCTACGGCTCCCTGCAGCTGGCCGAGCACCCCCACGCCCTGGCAGGCCGGCCGGGCCTGCGGCTCCTGTGGCGGCGCCGTGTCTACTCAGCGCAGGGATCCAGCCCGCCCCTGCCACTGCCTGGCACTGTGCCGGACCCACACACCCTGGCCGTGGAGACGGCCCTGTGGAAGCAGCTGCTGGAGCTGGTGGAGCTGCAGCGCTGGCCGGAGGCGGCTGCTCTCATCCAGGAGAAGGGCGAGGCGTCCCAGCGGCGGGAGCTGGTGCAGGTGCAGCGGAGCCACTGTGGCCATTTCCTGGAGGTGGCCCGGGAGCTGGGCAGTGGGGACACCCTGCAGGTGCAGCTCGGCACCAGCCTGCAGCACGGCTTCCTGGTACCGAGCCCTCAGCTCTGGACGGTGGCACCGGGCTTCAGCCTCTGCCTGGAGCACGTGGAGCGGCCCGGAGACTGCTTCTCAGGCCGTGTGTACCGGGCCCCGAGGGACCGGTACCGCGACGTGGATGAGTACGCCTGCGTGTGGGAACCATTCTGCGCCCTGGAGTCGGCCACCGGCGCGGTTGCCGAGAATGACTCCGTCACACTTCAGCACCTGAGTGTCTCCTGGGAGGCGTCACGGACGCCGCAGGGGCAGCTGCAGGGCGCCTTCCGCCTGGAGGCCGCCTTCCTCGAGGAGAACTGTGCCGACATCAACTTCAGCTGCTGCTACCTCTGCATCCGGCTCGAGGGGCTGCCGGCTCCCACGGCCAGCCCACGCCCTGGGCCCAGCAGCCTCGGCCCTGGCCTGAATGTTGACCCCGGCACGTATACCTGGGTGGCCCACGGGCAGACGCAGGACTGGGACCAGGAGCGCCGGGCAGACCGGCAGGAGGCTCCCAGACGGGTGCACCTCTTCGTCCACCACATGGGCATGGAGAAGGTTCCGGAAGAGGTGCTGAGGCCGGGCACCCTGTTCACCGTTGAGCTGCTGCCCAAGCAGCTTCCTGATCTGTGAGTGGCTTCCACCAGCAGAGGCTGGGCTGGGGGACCGCCCCGGGCCCCTCACTTGCAGGAGGGGGGAGCTCGTGGGGCAGCAGCCCCTTTCCTGGGAGTCCTGTTGGTTTTCCAGTGTCTGCCTTCACCCCCAGCCGCAAGGAGGAAGCCGTGCGTGGACTAGAGGAGGCGTCCCCGCTGGTCACCAGCATCGCACTGGGCCGGCCTGTCCCGCAGCCCCTCTGCAGAGGTAGGTCTGCCCCACCCCTCCAGCTTCCCCTCTGGCCCCCAGCCCCACCCTGCATGAGTGCTCAGGGAGGCTGCCCCCTCTCAGTGATCCCCAGCAGGTTCCTGGAGCGGCAGACCTACAACATCCCCGGAGGCCGCCACAAGCTGAACCCCAGCCAGAACGTGGCGGTCAGGGAGGCTCTGGAGAAGCCTTTCACGGTCATTCAGGGCCCACCAGGTAGGGCCCATGCCGGGGGAGCCGCAGGCTGCCTTGGGCCACAGGGACCCACAGGGTGGGCTACAATCTCCTATTCTCTGGCTGCAGGTACAGGGAAGACGATCGTGGGCCTCCACATCGTATTCTGGTTTCATAAATCAAACCAGGAGCAGGTGCAGCCCGGAGGCCCCCCCCGTGGGGAGAAGCGGCTGGGGGGTCCCTGCATCTTGTACTGCGGCCCCTCCAACAAGTCGGTGGATGTCCTGGCAGGTGCGCCGGGGTCGGCGGTGGGGGCCTTTGGGGAGCTGGCACGCGGGGCAGGACTCACGTCCCCCAACTACCCTCAGGACTGCTCCTGAGAAGGATGGAGCTGAAGCCCCTCCGTGTGTACAGTGAGCAGGCTGAGGCCAGCGAGTTCCCAGTGCCGCGTGTGGGCAGCAGGAAGCTGCTCAGGAAGAGCCCCCGGGAGGGGAGGCCGAACCAGAGCCTCAGGTGTGCCTGCTGTCTTTGGGGCTTGGGCGGAGTGGGGCCGAGCTGTCCAGACAGTCCTGTGTAGGTGGGTCTCACTGAGCTCTGCCCCCGTGATGGCCCTGCGTGGACAGGGCTCACTGTGTCCTGTCCCCCAGGAGCATCACCCTGCACCACCGGATCCGGCAGGCCCCCAACCCTTACTCGTCGGAAATCAAGGCCTTTGACACCCGGCTGCAGAGAGGGGAGCTCTTCTCCAGGGAGGACCTGGTCTGGTAAGTGGCAGGGGCCAGGGGGTGGAGCTGCCTGCAGCATGGGGGCCCTGGGGTGACAAGCAGTGTCCCCGGCAGGTACAAGAAGGTCTTGTGGGAGGCTCGGAAGTTCGAGCTGGACCGGCATGAGGTCATCCTCTGCACCTGCTCCTGTGCAGCCTCTGCCAGCCTCAAAATCCTGGACGTGAGGCAGATCCTTGTTGACGAGGCAGGCATGGCCACGGAACCTGAAACCCTCATCCCCCTGGTGCAGTTCCCACAGGCCGAGAAGGTTGGTCGGCGGGGGGTGTGGGCAGCATGAGCAGGCGTCCCTGGCACAGTCTCCCACCTGGGGTGCCCTGTGTGTGCAGACGCGGGTGTCGTGTGGGGCTGGGGTCCCTCTGGGTCTAGGGGTGTCAGGGCCAGGCCTGCCTATTCCTCCAGGTGGTTCTTCTCGGAGACCACAAGCAGCTGCGGCCTGTGGTCAAGAATGAGCGGCTGCAAAACCTGGGTCTGGACCGGTCTCTGTTCGAGCGGTACCACGAGGACGCACATATGCTGGACACTCAGTACCGCATGGTGAGCCCGCCCCACTCAGCCCCCAGCCCACCTGCAGCCCCTGGGGGGCCACAACCCCGCGTGGCAGCCTCTGACCAGCGCACATCCTTGCCTGCAGCATGAGGGCATCTGTGCCTTCCCCTCTGTGGCGTTCTACAAGAGCAAGCTGAAGACGTGGCAGGGCCTGAGGAGGCCGCCCAGTGTCCTGGGCCACGCTGGCAAGGAGAGCTGCCCTGTCATCTTTGGCCACGTGCAGGGCCACGAGCGGAGCCTGCTGGTGTCCACGGACGAAGGGAATGAGAACTCCAAGGCCAACCTGGAGGAGGTGGCTGAGGTGGTGAGTGTCTGGTGCCTGTGAGTCAGGGAGGGCTTTCTGGAGGAGGTGGCTGAGGTGGTGAGTGTCTGGTGCTTGTGAGTCAGGGAGGGCTTCCTGGAGGAGGGCAGGAGAGACACCAGGGTCCGCTCCACCTGCCCCCTCGGCTCCTCAGGTCCGTATCACCAAGCAGCTGACCCTGGGGAGGACCGTAGAGCCCCAGGACATCGCCGTCCTCACGCCCTACAACGCGCAGGCCTCTGAGATCAGCAAGGCCCTTCGGCGAGAGGGCATCGCCGGGGTGGCCGTGTCCTCCATCACCAAGAGCCAGGGTGAGGCTGGGGGCTCGTGGGTGGGGCCGGGAGGGTGGGCGCAGCGGCAGCAGGGCCTCACCTCCCATCCCGCAGGGAGCGAGTGGCGCTATGTGCTGGTGAGCACCGTCCGCACCTGTGCCAAGAGCGACCTGGACCAGCGGCCCACCAAGAGCTGGCTCAAGAAGTTTCTGGGCTTCGTTGTGGACCCCAACCAAGTGAATGTGGCTGTCACGCGGGCCCAGGAGGGGCTCTGCCTGATCGGTGAGGGCGGGGCTGGGCTCTTCCAGGGTGGGAACACAGGTGAGGCCAGGGCTGGGCTAGGGAGCTGCCGACTCCTGCCTGACCCTGACTCCGACCTGACCCTGACTCCTCCCACCTGACCCTGACTCCTCCCACCTGACTCTGACTGACTCCCATCTGACCCTGACTCCTCCCACCTGACCCTGACTCCTCCCACCTGACCCTGACTGACTCCCACCTGACCCTGACTCCTCCCACCTGACCCTGACTCCGACCTGACCCTGACTCCTCCCACCTGACCCTGACTCCTCCCACCTGACTCTGACTGACTCCCATCTGACCCTGACTCCTCCCACCTGACCCTGACTCCTCCCACCTGACCCTGACTCCTCCCACCTGACCCTGACTCCTCCCACCTGACTCTGACTGACTCCCATCTGACCCTGACTCCTCCCACCTGACCCTGACTCCTCCCACCTGACCCTGACTGACTCCCACCTGACCCTGACTCCTCCCACCTGACCCTGACTCCTCCCACCTGACCCTGACTGACTCCCATCTGACTCCCACCCTCACAGGAGACCACCTCCTTCTGCGCTGCTGCCCCCTCTGGCGTAGCCTCCTGGACTTCTGCGAGGCTCAGCAGACCCTCGTGCCTGCCGGCCAGGTGCGCGTCTGCAGGAGGCCAACTATGCCTTCCTGAAGAGCCCTCTCCACCTGCAAGGTGCCAGGACTGGGAGGGAAAGTCCAGGGCCCCCCCACCCTCCCCACCACCCTCCGCCATCAGCCTGCCTGGGCCAGCCTGCCTCCTGGCCTCAGGATCTCCCTGGGGCAGGAAGTGGGTGGACTTGGAGGAGGAACGGCAAGGGCCGGTCCCCACACTCTTGCTCCTCCTGGGCATCTGGGGACAGGAACACCTCTCAGGGTGGCCAAGAGGGGCTTCCTTGGGACCAGTGCAAGGAAGTTCTGCTGTCCCTGGGAAGTCTCAGAACCAGGAAGGAAACCCTGTGGAGGCTGCCCTTTGACCTTTGGACGCCACCTGTAATCACTCTGGATGGTGTCTGTGGAGTTCAGGTTTATTTTCTATTTAAATGAACTAAAAGCCAGCATCCTGCCGGGCGTGGTGGCTCACGCCCATAATCCAGCACTTTGGGAAGCCGAGGCGGGCAGATCACCTGAGGTCAGGAGTTCGAGACCATCCTGGCCAACATGGTGAAACCCCGTCTCCACTAAAAATACAAAATTAGCTGGGCGTGGTGGCGGGCGCCTGTAATCCCAGCTACTTGGGAGGCTGAGGCAGGAGAATCGCTTGACTCCAGGAGGCGCAGGCTGCAGTGAGCTCTGATGGTACCACTGCACTCCAGCCTGGGTGACAGAGCGAGACCCTGTCTTAAAAAAAAAAACAAAACAAAACCAGCATCTGTTACTGGAACAGAGACCTCAGCCCAAGCTCAGGACAAGGAGGCCTCCCTGGGAGAGGGGGCCTTTCTCCCACCATCACCGCCTGTGTCCTTCAGGGGCTGCTGGAGGGCAGCCCAAAGCCAGGGGCCCACCCCGCCCCACCCCACCCCACCCCACCCTCTGAAATGTGAAAAGCCTGCACTCTTCCTGTGGGCTGCGCAGTGGGCTCGGGGGTTGGGGGGTGCCGGGGCGATGCTTCCACCCTGGACTGAGTGTTCGGGGCAGCCTGCTCGGCTGTATGTTTCTCGCACGCTCACCCGCTTCAGTGCGGCTCTGTCCCTGCTGCCGCCTCCAGTCCTGAGGGAGGGGCTTGCCCCACCTTCTACATTCCAATTTTTATATCTTTGAATTATGTGATTAGATATTAATTTAATGATAAAACCACTCTGAAAGCTCTTCTCACTTCTGGGTGTTTGAGGTCTGGCTGGGGGGCAAAAGTGGATGGTCACTGTGCTTGGTACGCAGTTGTGGAGGCTGTCGAGGGCCTACTGCAGAGCGCTGGGCGCAGGGGCGTGGGGAGGGCGGTTTTGGGACGCGGCCGTGGAGGCCGTCGAGGGCCCACTGCAGAGCGCTGGGCGCAGGGGCGTGGGGAGGGCGGTTTTGGGACGCGGCCGTGGAGGCCGTCGAGGGCCCACTGCAGAGCGCTGGGCGCAGGAGCGTGGGGAGGGCAGCGACCCCCCCTGCAGGGCCGGTGTCTCCGGCTGCCTGTGTGGGGAGGGGAGGGCCGTGCCTGGTGTGGTGGGGACAAGCCACAGCTCCAGAGCTGCTCCGGTGTCACCAGGCTGGCCAAGTCCAAAGTCCCTGAGGCCACCAGCCTTGACTGTCCTGCTGGTCCCACTTTTAAAGCTGCTCCCCAGGACCCCCTGGCCGCTGTGGACTGGGGTCCCTCCGCACCTGGCCCATTTGTGGCTGCGTCCACAGGGGCTCCTGTGGCCTCCCAGAGCCAGCTCGGGGGTCAGATGGTCGCGGGGGCTATGGTCACTGTGGGAAAAGAGGTTCTGGGCATCTGTGGAGGGAGGGGTGGAGCATGGAGTCTCCAGGACTGTGGCCCCGTTGGTGTGCTGGACGGGCCCTGCCTTGAAGACCATGTCTATTCTTGGACCGTCATGAAATAAGAGTAGTTCTGCAATAGCTTGAGAAGTGCCTGCAGAGAGGATGAGAAGGCGCCTCTAGGAAGGGGGACTTGGGGACCTCACCAGCCTGCAGCCAGGGAAGGCTTCTGGGAGGAAGGGGCAGCTGCGGCCCTGAAGGTGAGCGGTGGGGGGACGCAGGGGCTGGACGCCTAGCAAAAGCAGCTGATCCTGGAGGAGAGAGGGAGCTCAGGGCCGGGAAGGCCCTTGAGGAACAAAAGGTGGGGCGGGGCATGGAGGGGCACGGCTGAGCTGCTCACAGCCAGGGATCCCCGGTGGTGCTGCTGCCTCCTCGGGCGGGCGTGCTGATGAGCACTCGAGGCTGGGCAGGGGATGGTGGGAGGCATCACGGCCTAGGAGTGTCATTCCCTGAGGGAGCCCCACAAGCCAGGGAGGTGGGTAAGGAAGGCCGGAGCCCGGTCACGGTGATGGGGGTGGTGAGGAGGGGCGGGGGCTAGGACCGCAGAGGCCCCGTGGAGCAGCTTTTGTCGTCGTCGTTGGACCCGTAGGTGTCAGGGGCTGGTACTTCTTGCTCCAGGCTCAGCTGTCTTGGGAGGTCCGGCCTGTGGCTCCCCCTGGGAAAGAGCAGGAGCAGAAGGCCTGGGGCTTGGCATGTTTTGAGCCAGGAAAAACACTGGTGGCTGCTGCCTTTAAAACATAAATAGGTTTGCTTCTTTAATTCCATATGTGCATTTACACTCTTCTTTATTAGTGGATAAATATTAGAAAATCATCTCTCAGACAGAGTGGCTGAGGGCGGGCCCCTCCAGGGGCTCCGGCTTGGTGTGCAGGGTGAGGCTGTCCCTCCAGGGCTCGTACACCAGCGTGGAGGTCTCGGCCCTCTTGATGGTGAACTTATAGGATCGGTTGGGCAGCAGGTTTCGGACGTCGAAGGTGCAGGCAGCCACGGGGATGACGCCACACTGGGCGCACTCCTGCTGTGTCCGCGGGTCCAGCAGCCTGAAGCGCAACTCATACTGCTCCGATGTGGCTGGCTGGATGGTGACGAACCAGCGCAGCCGGGCCCAGTCCTGGTGAGCCGCCGACGCCTTTCGGTCAAACACGACAGGCATCTTGGTGCTCAGCATGAGCCAGATGTGCGGGATCTTGGTGGCACTGACATCAGACACCAGGCGGTGCTTGACGTGTAGCCGCCCCGGCACCATCATGGTCAGGAAGCTGTCCATGACGGCCGACACGTCCGCCAGCCGCCGCTCCACCAGCGCCCAGTCGGCCAGGAAGGGCCGTGGGTCTGGCGACCGGAGCAGGGCATCCAGCTCAGCACGGCCATGGTCGAGCTGTTCCAACAGGTCCCCGAGCAGCAGGAGCTGGATCTTGGTCTGAGCTGTGCCCACCTTCTTCATGCGCTGGAACTTCCAGGGGTCGATGAGCTGGAACAAGGCGCTAGGCAGCACCAGCGGGTTCTGGTCGCCCAGGGCCAGGTGCTTGGGCAGGACCTCGATGTAGTAGGAGCACTTACGCAGCAGCTGCATGCGGGCGTGGTGGCGCTTGAGCAGGTGCGGACTCAGGTCCGAGGTCAGGAACTCACGCAGGGCATTGCGGCGCTCGGTGTAGGTCTTCCACGCCTCTGGTTCCAGCAGCTGCTGGTCATCTGCCTCCTCCTGGTCCAGGAAGGACTGGGGATTGCCCAGCTTCATCTTGTCCAGGCCCAGGCCTGCCACATGGGTGCTCATTATCCGGGAGCTGGGGGGAGGGCTGGGTGTCAGCTGCCAGGCAGGCTGGCCTCCCCTGGGCTGTGGCATGTTCGGGGGATGGATTCAGCCCACTGACCCCATGCTGGACCTCTGTCCTTCTTCGGGGGCACAACTCGATGGGAAGAGGCTGCCTGGAGGGCTGGATGGGCAGCCTACAGATCTGGACACAGTTTATACTGAGGGGCAAAAACCTCTACTGACAACCAGTGGCCTGTGGGACAGGACAGGGAAGAACTAGGACTGCGGACTTCTGGCCAGAACCGCCTGACCTGTGGCCTTGCAAGGGCCCCAGTTCCTAACCCTGCTGCTGAAAGGGGTTGCTGGCACCCCTCGGGGCCGTGGAGAGGGGACGGCGTGGTCCTAAGCAGCACAGGATCCCCCTCGGGGACATTCGCGGGCCATCCTCCCGCTCCGGTTCTCCCTGGGGACGCTCCACGCCTCACCGCAGTTGTAGGGCACAGAGACAGGCCTCACCAAAGACGAGGCCAGCTGGCTGGTCAGCATGGGAGGAGGGCGCCCAGGCCTGGGCCCGGAGGAGCAGCCCTCCTCCCACGCTGTGGGCCCTCGCTGTGGACCCGGGATCCTGTCCCTGGTGAGCTCATGGACTCCACAAGTGACACTCCATTTCCCAGATGGAGCCTGAGGCTAAGAAGCTTGGTTCTTGTTCTCATCCAGGGCTTGAGCCCAGTGCTGAGCCGAGTCTGACCCTCTGTCCGTGGGTGCACCGGCTGAGTGCAGCTGTGGCCCCAGGCTCTGCCGCAGCTCCCTGGAGAGCAAGCCGCACCCCTGGTTGCTGCCCCGGCTCCCAGCAACCCTGGAGATCTCAGGTTGTCACAGCCACTTGGGCCTTGGACGACCCACAAATGAGAGCTAAGCAGTTGCTGAGTTCCCCAGGGCCACACAGGTACGTGGTGAAGTCATATCTGCCCGGGAAGGGTTGCCCTTTTGGGCGTGAGGCAGATATGACTTCACGAGCGCACTCCTCGGGAATCCCTCGAGAACAGGCCCCTGGGGGCAGCAGGGAGTGTGTCTGGGGTGAGGTGCCAGCTGAGAGCAGGACCCCAGGACCCCAGGCCTAAGCCCTGCTCTTGCTGGAGGCTGGGGCGGATTTCACCGCTGGAGGGAAACCGTGCCTCTGTGACGTGTGAGGGATGTTTTCTAGTCTCCAGCAGCTGCCCAGGTGGAACACCCAGAGAGGCTGGTCGTGAACCCGGAAAGGTGGTTCTGAGCCCCTCGCTGCTTCCTACACGCCCCGGTCCCAGGCCCGCTTCCCTGAGACCACCAGGTGCCCGCACTCTACCCCCTCCACCACACTCCCCTTGGCTCCCCTGGCCCGGGCCCACCTCCCCGGCCGCTCTGCCTGCCCCTTACCTTCTCGAGACCCCCAGCCCTCCTCTCCCGGCCCCCGCCGCCGCCCCAGGACCGCGCCCACTTGCCCTGCCTCTGAAGCGGAGCCGCGCGCGGACTTCCCAGAGCCCAGCCTCCCTCCGCACTCCGCGGGTTGCCCTGGGGACCAGCGGCCTTTGTGACGCTGCGGCCCGGGGGCGGGGCGGGGGTGGGGACCCGGGACCCCGAGCCGAGTAATCTTCCATCCGCTTCGCTTCCTGGAGAGCCCCAGACTTCTGGGGGCCCGCGTCCCCGACTGAGGGGCCACGGCGGGTGGCTGGTCCAAGAGCCAGGCTCCAAGGGGGGTTCCCGTCCCGGAGCCCTTCCGCGGGCGCACCACTCCCCACGCACCCCCGGCTTCGGGCGGGGCGCAGGAGCCTCGGGTGACTGGGAGGGAGTTCCTGCTCAACCCCCCAGTCCGAGCGCACTCCTCGGGAATCCCTCGGAGGAATTTGGGAGAGAGGCAGTGGCCGGTGACCAGGCGGATGGACCACCCAGCGCCTGGACAGAGGAGAGGGGCGGCTTCCCCCGCCGCGGGCTCTGCCCAGCAAGGCCCCGCCCATTACAGATGCCACCCATTACAGGCTCCTCCCACCGCAGGCTCCCCCCACCGCAGGCTCCTCAACCACAGGCTCCTCCCACCATGGGCTCCCCCCTCCCCCGCAACGGCCCCTCCCATCATAGGCTCCTCCCACCGCGGGCTCCCCCCACCACGGCCCCTCCCACCACAGGCTCCTCCCAGAGCAGGCTCCTCCCACCGCGGGCTCCCCTACTACGGCCCCTCCCACCACAGGGTCTTCCCACCACAGGCTCCTCCCAGCGCAGGCTCCTCCCACCGCGGGCTCCCCCCACCACGGCCCCTCCCATCATAGGCTCCTCCCACTACAGGCTCCTCCCACTACAGGCTCCTCCCACCATGGGCTCCTTCCACCTGGGGCTGCCCAAGCTCAGGCACCGACCTGACTCTGGATAAATGGGGTCTCCATAGCTCCAGGGAGCCCCGCAGGGGAGCTCTGAGGCCATCTGGTCCCGTCTGTATCTGTTCAGTTGGGCTCAGGGCCTCTGGGATCCCCCCGTTCCCCCACAGCACACCCCAGCTAGCTGGGGGTCTCCTGGGGTCACAATCTTAGACACCCCAAGGTGCCCCTCCTTCACCTTCAGGAAGATGCTGGAGGAAGACACCCTTTCCATCCTCCTCATCTCCACCCCCACGGAGGTCAGTGCTGGGGCCTCTTCCAGGATGGGCGTCTTTGAGCCCCTACCAGGCTGTTCTGTAACTTGAGCCTCCCCCCTCCTCCCGGTGACCCCACCCTGGAAGAGCTTTCCCTTGGTGCATGGAGGCCCCAGGGGTTAGGCCTGGCAGGAAGTGGGTGGATGTGGGTGGTTTTTTTTTTGAGATAGCGTCTTGCTCTGTCACCCATGCGGCAGTCTTCACCCCCGGGGCTCAAGTGATCCTCCCACCTGGGTCTTTCTGATCCTTCCGGATTACAGGTGTGAGCCTTGCACCCAGTCCTGTTGGGTGCTGTTTCTGCCCTGCCCTCCCTGCCTGGGCTGGAACTCAATAAATGCCAGCTATTGTTATTGTTATTTAGGGCTCCAGGGGACAAAGCCGGGGTTGTTTGGAGAAGGGGGTGCTGTCTGACGCGGAGGGTTGGGAAGCAGTAGGAGTTAGACCCCTTACCCCCGGCCCTGCAGCCCACTGACGGAGAAGCGGGGTGGGGGCAGAGCAGCCTCCCCTTCTCTTTTGGGGCCAGGCAGGTCCTGGATGTCTCCCCTCTCCTGGGCTCCACCCTACCCCCTTTCTTTCAATTTCTGATTTCTAATCTAATTTTTTAAAGTTAAACTTTTGGCCAGGCTCGGTGGCGCAGGCCCATAACCTCAGCACTTTGAGAGGCCAAGGTGAGAGGATCCCTTGAGGCCAGAAGTTTGAGACCAGCCTCGGCAACACAGGGAGACCCCTGTCTCTACAAATAATTTGAAAAATTAGCTGGGTGTGGTGGTGTGCACCTGTGGTCTCAGCTACTTGGAAAGCTGAGGCCGGAGGATCACCTGAGCCTGGGAGGATGAGGCTGCAGTGAGCCAAGATGGTGCCACTGCACTCCAGCCTGGGTGACAGAGGGAGACCCTGTGTCTCTAAAAAGAATAATAATGGCTGGGCGCAGTGGCTCACGCCTATAATCCCAGCACTTCGGGAGGCTGAGGCAAGCAGATCACCTGAGGTCAGGAGTTCAAGACCAGCCTGGCCAACATAGTAAGACCCAGTCTCTACTAACAATACAAAAATTAGCTGGACGTGATCGAGACCATGGTGAAACCCCGTCTCTACTAAAAATACAAAACACTAGCTGGGAGTGGTGGCAGGCGCCTGTAGTCCCAGCTACTCGGGAGACTGAGGCAGGAGAATGGCGTGAACCTGGAAGGTGGAGCTTGCAGTGAGCCGAGATCACGCCACTGCACTCCAGCCTGGGCGACAGAGCGAGACTCTGTCTCAAAAAAAAAAAAAAAATTAGCTGGACGTGGTGGTGGGCGCCTGTAGTCCCAGCTACTCAGGAGGCTGAGGCAGGAGAATCGCTTGAACCCAGGAGGTGGAGGTTGCAGTGAGCCGAGATTGTGCCACTGCACTCCAGCCTGGGTGCAATAAGACAGAGGCCTGTCTCGAAAATAATAATAATAATAATAAAGTTAAACTTTTACTTTTAAGATAAGTATAGATTCATCTGCAGTTGTAAGAAGTAACACAGAGGTCCCGTTACCCTCTATCCAGCATCCCCAGTGGTAGCATCTTGCAGGACTGCAGTGCAGAATCACGCCAGGACCTTGACGTCGATACAGACGCAAGGCAGTGCCACCCCCACGGGACCCTGACATGTTCTTTACAGCCACGCTGCTCCCTCCCACCTCTCCCTAGCCCTGCAACCACTCATCTCTCCGGCTCTGTCTGGTCATTTCAAGAATGTCCTATCAGTGCAGGCTTTCAGTATGCAGCCTTGGGACTGGCTTCTTGCGCTCAGCATAGTCCCCTCTGTGCAGGGTCAACAGTCACTCCTGTTCACTGCTGGGCACCAGGGGCCAGTTTGTGCTCAGTCTTGCTCAACCCTGTTTGTGGCCACCAGGGCACGGGCAGTGAACACTTTGGATCTGTTGTCCCTGGTGGGGACAAGCTCTCTTCCCTGGGCCCTGAGGATGGTGAAGCCTGGGGGTAGTGGGGCCAGTCTTGGGGGAGAGAATGCACGCTGACCACTGAGACCCTCAGAGCTGTGCCCTCCAGACACATAAACCCGGATGGGGGGTGGCCTGATGTGGCAGAGCTCCTGCCACAAGCCTCCATCTGAACACCAGGAAGGGCCCTGCACCCCATCCCCCTGGTCTGTGTCCTCACTGCCATTGTAAGCTCAGTGCTCTTACAGATGGGGAAACTGAGGCACAGGGAGGTTCAGCACTGTATGCCCAAGGTCATGTGGACAGTGAGTCTGACAGCAGGATTCCAGCCCTGGTCATTTTTATTTTTTTGAGATGGAGTCTTGCTCAGCCGCCCAGGCTGGAGTACGGTGGCGCGACGATCTCAGCTCACTGCAACCACTGTCTCCCAGATTCAAGTGATTCTCCCGTCTCAGCCTCCCGAGTAGCTGGGATTACAGGTGCCCGCCATCATGCCTGACTAACTTTTGTATTTTAGTGGAGACGGGGTTTCACCATGTTGCCCAGGCTGGTCTTGAACTCCTGACCTCAGGTGATGCACCCGCCTTGGCCTCCCAAAGTGCTGGGATTACTGGTGTCAGCCACCGTGCCTAGCCTTTTCTTTTTTTAAAAAAATAGAGATGGGGGTCTCACTATGTTGCCCAGGCTGGTCTTGAACCCTTGGGCTTAAGCGATCCTCCTGCTTGGCCTCCCCAGATGCTGGTATTACAGGAGTGAGCCGCCTCACCCGGCCAAGCCCCAGACTCCTGACCCCGTCCAGACTGATCCTGTACCCAGGCCCCTTTCCTCACTCCCCTCTGTGCCACCCACCCGGTTAGGGCTGAGGGAGGAGGTGAGGTCATGTGGGGGGGGCACAGCAGGCAGGGAAGGGGCTGCTGACACCGACACCTGGCAGGGGCCCTATGCTGGGCTGTGTTGCGCCTGGTGGGTGAGGTGAGGAAGGGGTGGACGGGCGGGCACAACTTGGAGGGCAGCGGGACAGGGCAGCTGGGCATGCGGGGCCGGGGATTCTGAGGACCACCGGGGAGGAGCTGGATAAAGCCGGCCTCGGCTGCCTGCCGACCACACTCACCCTGGCATGTGTGCGGTGCAAGGGCAGCAGGTGCAAGGAGGGGGAAGATGGGGCAGACGTGGGGAGCTGATCTGTGGGCAGGTGGGGCGGTGGGGGTGAGACACGCCGGGGCAGAGGCCCAATGGGGCCCTAACCCTGATGGCCAGGCCTGCCTCTGGTTCCAGCTGGGCATGGAATGTGCTGAGTCCTGTGCCATGATCCCGTGGCTCTAAGGGGCAGGGAGTGTCTGGGAGGAATCTGCATTCAGTGCCCTGAACATCTGACCCTGGTGTGGTGGGCACAGGAGCTTTCCATGGCCTGAGGAGGCCTCCCTGGGGCTCTGCGGCCTTGGCGTTCTAGCGGGGAAGAGTCACGTCCTAGGGAGGATTTGGGAGAGCTGGTAGCCACACCTGTAGTCCCAGCACTTTGGGAGGCAGGAGGATCGCTTGAGGCCAAGAGTTCAAAACCGGCCTGGGCAACATAGTGAGAGCCCATCTCTACAAATAATAAAAAATTTATCTGGGCATGGTGGCGCACACCTGTAGTCCGGCAGGAGGACGGCTTGAGCCCAGGAGATCGAGGCTGCCACTGCACTCCAGCCTGGGCGACAGAGTGAGACCCTGTTTCCAAAAAAAAAGTAAAGAAAAGAAATGGTGGGCAAAAGCCTCACCTGCACGTGAGGAGACGGCGGTGGGTGTGGGGAGGAGACGGCGGCGGGGGGAGTGGAGGGGAGGAGACGGCGGGGGTGGGTTGTGGGGAGGAGACGGCGTCGGGGGCGGGAGGAGACGGGCAGCGGGTGGGGGGAGGAGAGGGCGGCGGGGGCGGGAGGAGAGGGCGGCGGGGGGAAGCGCGGGAGGAGAAGGCGCTGGGGCCCCTCGAAGGCCACCCCCAATGTAGTATTTACAATTCTCCACATTTCTCAACACCCCCCACCACCCCCAGCAGGGCACCTCTCTGGTGCAGAGCCTGCCCTGAGCCTGGCGATGTCCAGTCTCCCAGGGCCCCTGCTGGCTCCAGGCTATCAGCCCGGACACAGCTTGGCTGCTGGGGTGCCCTGAGAGCCAGGCCACGGGTGTCACTGCCACCCCACAATGCACACACCAGTCCCCAGACGTGAGGTTTCTGAGAAGCCCATCTGTGACTCCAGGGCAGGCAGGTGCGAGGGGCTTGTCATTGGCTGGACACTGGTCACGCCTATTGGAGGGATGCATTCAGCCACACGCATGAAGTGGGGGCATGGATGCGTGTGAGATGTGGGAAAGGGGCGTGAGGCTCCCTGAAGGCCACCCAGGTGCGGAAGGGGCTGCTGGGGGAGGCCGGCAGGAGGAGTGAGAGACTGCAGATGGCCTCACCCCACCCCCGTGCCTCAGGACCCAGAGGGGAGGTGGGAGGAGTGAGAGACTGCAGATGGCCCCCACCCCACCCCACTCAGGACCCGGAGGGGATGTGGGAGGAGAGAGAGACTGCAGATGGCCACCACCCCATCCTCCTGCCTCAGGACCCTGTACCGTGCTGCTGGGTTTTGCTGGGATTTGCTCCCCCAGTCCTGCCCCGATCTGGGGACCTACCTGAGCGGGCAGAGTTTGCTTCAGCATGCGGGGGCTTGGCGCTGTCCAGGGAGAGGGTGGGAGGTCCCCAGCCAGGGACTCACCCGCCGCCCCTTCTCCGTGTGCTCATCCCCCTGAACTGGGGCCAGGCGTCCGCAGCCTCCACTTCCCCGCAGTGGCCTTTGGGTATGGCCTGGGCATTGACTGACTCAGAAGCCGGTCATCGGGCAGCATGGGGCATCTGGGTGCCTGGCCTGCGGCCGAGCTCCCTGCAATCAGCATCTCGTTTTACTGCATGAAAGCCGGGGTGCTGAGAGCCCCCTCACTCGCCTGTCCTCAGAATTTACTGCAGAGGCCGGAGGCTCGGCACCTGGTGCAGGGTTAATGATGTTAAAATATCTGGCCAACACTTAAATAAGCAGGCAATTTTTCACCTGAGTGCAGCTCAGGCTTGGCAACCACTGCAGGTGCTGAACAGCAGCGCTTCTCCGTGGAACCCCCACTTCTCCGTGGGCACGGGCGGCTGTTGGACTGTGGTGCCCTTGGGCATGGGCCAGGCCTGACTGGGCAGAGCCATTCCGCCTGCCTGGGCCTTGCAGAGGGCGGGAGAGAGGCTGGCCCTGCCCACCCCGCCCTCCTCGGGCCCCTCCTGGAGCCCGCCCCCGCCCCAGCCCAAGCTGCCCTCTGCCGTCGGGTTGGGGAGGGGACGGTGCACTCCAGACGCCAAGGAGGTCGAGGACAGGAGGTGCTGTCGGTGTGCCTGAGGCAGGGGGTCCGCCCTGCGCCCCACCCAGCCCCAACGCCAGCCCGGACGCCGGTGGGAACCGTGTGCCTCCTGGATCCAGGGGACCTCTGAGTGACCGCAGGGCCGGGGTCCCCTGTCACCCCACGGCCAGGGCAGGGAGCGCTGGACACCGGGTCCCACCGGCCCTGCCAGTTCCTCTTCCGGGCTCGCGGGCTCCCATGGCCCTCGGGCCCAGCGTGGTGACCCCGGGGGATGGAGCCGTTCCTCAGGAGGCGGCTGGCCTTCCTGTCCTTCTTCTGGGACAAGATCTGGCCGGCGGGCGGCGAGCCGGACCATGGCACCCCCGGGTCCCTGGACCCCAACACTGACCCAGTGCCCACGCTCCCCGCCGAGCCTTGCAGCCCCTTCCCTCAGCTCTTCCTTGCGCTCTATGACTTCACGGCGCGGTGTGGCGGGGAGCTGAGTGTCCGCCGCGGGGACAGGCTCTGTGCCCTCGAAGAGGGGGGCGGCTACATCTTCGCACGCAGGCTTTCGGGCCAGCCCAGCGCCGGGCTCGTGCCCATCACCCACGTGGCCAAGGCTTCTCCTGAGACGCTCTCAGACCAACCGTGAGTACCTCGGCCTCGGAGTCAGAGCCTGCCTCGCCCCCAGCTGGGGAGTCCAGAACAACGGCAGGATTTTGAGTTGGAAATCGCATGTCCGTGGCTATCTGTTCATTCATTCGTTCATCCACGCATTCATTCAGGGACAGCTGATGGGCCCCGGGCCGGCAGGTGTGGTAGGAAAACAGCAGTGTCCGCTGTGGGCTGCCGAGAGGGAGAGGAGGCTCCGGCAGGCGTGGTCAGGTCCTGTGGGGGGGAGCATCAGCTGCACCAGCTGGACACCCAGCAGGCGGTTCCTCCAGGACCCTGCCTGGCTGGCCAGGCCCTCCCGCCCTCACACAGGGAGTCCAGTGTTCATGGATCGGTCACTGCTTGGAGGGCAGGGGCTGGGGGCTGGGAGGCACCAGATGACAGGAGCTCCAGGAGCTCTGGGTGACGGCAGGTGAGCAGGGGCTGGGGGCTGGGGGCTGAGACAGGGGCCCATGCTCCAGGAACTCTGGGTGAGGGCAGGTGAGCAGGGGCTGGGGGCTGAGACGGGCCCACGCTCCAGGAGCTCTGGGTGAAGGCAGGTGAGCAGGGGCTGGGACTGGGGGCTGAGACAGGGGCCCACGCTCCAGGAGCTCTGGGTGAGGGCAGGTGAGCAGGGGTTGCAGAGGCGCCTAGTCCAGATGCCCAGTGCGGCTGCTCTGAGCGGCTGCCTTGGTCTGGCATCCAGCTGGGCAAGGCCTGAGCCCTGGAGACCTTCGGGGTCAGCCTTGCTCAGGGCCACTTCCAGCCTCCTGGGGGCCCTTTGGCACTCACACATCGTCCTGGGGGTTGCATGGGCGGGTGAAGCCGGAGTCACAGGAAGGGGCCTTCTGAGGGGCCCCAGGCCCTCACCCCACACCTGCCCCGCTTGTCCTGAGCAGTGGTTGGGGGGCAAGCAGCCTTTGTGATGGGAAGGGGCTCACAGTCACCCCAGGTGTGGAGGACAGACCCCTTCAGCAGTTCCTGGAGGGCAGGGCTCGTGGTGGAGCAGGGCGGTCCATAGGCAAAGCTAATGACTATTTGCCTAGGCTGGAGATTAAAAGACTAACCACACTCAGGTGTCATTAGCTCCAGACACCTGGCCCCACGCCCCAGGGAGAGACCTCAGACACATCCTCTGCATCTCAGGATCCCACAGGGGCTCACCTCTGACCCCCAAGCCCTGATGTGGGCTTCAGAGGAGGCTGGCGATGTTTTGGGGAAACACCTGTGTCTCATCCCCACACCCCACGGTGCTGGGAGGGACCTGAGTCCCTTTACACGTGAGAGGGTTGCGTCTCCCTGCCAGCAGACCCCAGAAGGCAGGGGCCCTGGCTGCAGGAGGAGCTCCATGGACAGAGCGTCCATGGAGTCAGTGCCTCAGGCCGCTGCCTCTCTGTCCCTGGTCCCACACCTCTTCCTGTCTCCATCTTCATTCCCTTCAACTTAAGCCCAGCCCCACGGCCCTGGTCATGTCAGTTTCTATTCCTGCTGCCCCCATTGCCCCCTAGGTCACCGGGGCAGGGGTGCCAGACTGTGTCCTCCGTCTTGCCCAGTCCCAGTCTGCCAGGATGGCATGGCCGTGCCCCAGCCCCGAATCTTGTGTTGACTCTGAGGCCCACCTCGGGTCCTCTCCTAGTCCCGCTTCCCAGGTGGTTTCAGCCCCACCCTGACACCGGCTCACTCTGCTTCTTCCTCCTGGTGCTTACGGGGTGTGCCCTGGGGCAGGGGAGTGGCAGGCATCCCTCTCCGGGTCCCAGGAAGCTCCAGGAAGTGGGAGGCTCCAGGGTGGGAAGCTGAGTCAGGTGTGGAGTCCCCGCCTTGGACTTCAGCAGCAGAGTTATGCAGACGGGGTGGGGCTGGGAGCATTTCTGTCTTCCTTCCAAGGATGCCTCCGGCTCCCAGGAATGAGTAGATGTGACCTGGTGGGCGGCCCACCTGGACAGGGGAGACCCAGCCGGCCCCTCTCCCGACACCCGGTGTGGGCTCCTCGTGTGTGGGCATCTGAGGAGTGGGCACCTGGGAGCTCCCTGCCACCCTGCCACCGTGTTCAGAGAGGTCTCACCTGCACCTGGCTTTTCCGAGGGGGTGTCTGTGCGAACAGACGCCAGTGGGCTTAGGGCCGTCCTGTACTGGGCACAACTCTCCAGCATGGGATGCAGGATGCTTTGAACGTTCGCACAGCAACCCCCCTGCAGCCGCCCACTGGCTGCCCCTCCTGACCTCCTGCACAGCCTGGCTTAGGCTGCCTCCTCAGGACACAGCTTGCATGGGCCCCCTCCACTAACCAACTGCCTGAGGCAGGTGGGCCGTGCCCAGCCAGGTGATGCCCATGGCCCTGTACAGCCACGACAGCCCAGCAGTGCTTCCGGGCAGCTCACCAGGCCGTCAGCTCCATGTCTGTGCAGGGGCTCAGCGAAGCCGAGTTTGGAGGCCTATGGCCCATGGCCAGGGCTGACTGTTAACCTGTGGCTGGGGCTGGCGGTCACTATGAACAGGGAACTGGAGGTCACGCCCAGCAGGGCTAACGGAGAGCCCACGGCCAACGTGAGGATGCTCAGGGCTGAGCAGGAGGATGAGGCCGGCACTGGGGGCTGAGGCAGTGCAGACCTTGAGCTGGGACTCAAAGTCCACGGGGTGGACCTTCTCCCTGAGGCGGTGGGACAGCCGGGCTCAGCCCTGCCGGCAACACGGAGGAGAGCATGTGGGGCCACTGGCTGAGGGGCCTGCAAGGTGACTGCCGCACCTGCTGTTTGCAGCTGGTACTTTAGCGGGGTCAGTCGGACCCAGGCACAGCAGCTGCTCCTCTCCCCACCCAACGAACCAGGGGCCTTCCTCATCCGGCCCAGCGAGAGCAGCCTCGGGGGCTACTCACTGTCAGGTACCTGGGGCGGCCCCTCCTGCCTCTGTCCCCCACCAGGTCAGTGGCCCTTGACCTTGGGGTGGTTGGTCTCTAGGCAGTGCTGGCTCCTGATTCACACCCGGCGCCACTGAGGGCCCAACAGCAGATATGCTGGTCACCTCCTGCACTTGCTAACTCACCCATTTATTCATTCATTCAGTCATTCACCCACTCATTCATTCAGTCACTCATTCACTTGTTCATTCATTCCTCACTAATTCACTCATTCATTCATTCATCCATTCATCTCATTCACTCGTTCATTCCTCACTCACTAATTCACTCATTCATTCATCCATTCATCCACTCATTCACTCGTTCATTCGTCACTCACTAATTCACTCATTTATTCACTGATTTGTTCACTAGCTTATTCTTTCACTCATTTGCTTATTCGTTCATTCATTCATTCACTTTTCCTTCTTTCCTTCCTTATTCCTTCATTCATTCACTGACTCATGGACTCATTCATTCTACAAGTATTTATTAAGTGCCTACTCTGTGCACACCGTCAGCAGAAAAGCTCCAACCTGGGCCGCTCTCGCTGCCCCGCCCCAGCCTGTGGCTGCCCACACTCCCTCCTCCACACAGCTCTGACCATCTCAGGGTCCCCAGCTAGGTCTGAGCCAGACCCCTTAGTGGGTTGTGGCCAGCATCCTCTGGGGTGGGAGGGTCGGGGCAGCTGGCAGCCAAGGCAGGGGTCTCCATCTCTGAACCCTTCCTAGTCCGGGCCCAGGCCAAGGTCTGCCACTACCGGGTCTCCATGGCAGCTGATGGCAGCCTCTACCTGCAGAAGGGACGGCTCTTTCCCGGCCTGGAGGAGCTGCTCACCTACTACAAGGCCAACTGGAAGCTGATCCAGAACCCCCTGCTGCAGCCCTGCATGCCCCAGGTGGGCCTGTGCCTGCCAAGCTGCCCCATGCTGGGCCCGAGGCATGGCCCTGTTCTAGGTGCTCCTCCCCACCCCGTCACAAAACCCCTGGGGCTGTCAGAGGCGCAGCTCCAGGGCCCTGCCCAGGCCTGGGAGCATCGGAGCATCCCAGCGGTTCCAGCACATTCTGCTCTCTGCGGGTGCCTCTGAGGGTTGTTGGGATTCCTGGGGTCCTAGGGGGCTGGGAGTGGGGAAAGGAGACCTGTAGCAGTGCCCAGCTCTGCAGGGGAGCAGCCAGGAGGGTGGGGCCAGTTTGGGGAAGGCACTCAAGGCTGCCCCAGGCCCCAAGGGCGGAAGGTGTGGGAGGAGAGGCAGATCACAAGATGCTGCACCTGGGCTGGAGACACTGGATCCCGGGGACTGTCCCCGATGTGAGCCACCCTGCCGAGGGCCAGGGCAGCAGTCTGGTTTCTCTGGTCTCATAATGACAGCGCGGCCAGGGGCAGTAATGAGCATGTGTAGACGGATATCCGGCTGGGGCAAAGGTGCCACTTAGGCCCCCAGAGCAATGAGCTCCCACGGGGCTGGGCCGGGCCTCCAAGCCTGGCACCCACTCCCCTTTGTCCCAGCCAGGGTGGGGTGAGTGTGTGCTGGGGACAGGGGTGCCCGCCAGAGGCCTGGTGTGGGGGGCTGTGCCTGGGACAGAGCACAGGGGCCCACGCTGACCAGCCTCCCTGCCCACCCTCCCTGCAGAAGGCCCCGAGGCAGGACGTGTGGGAGCGGCCACACTCCGAATTCGCCCTTGGGAGGAAGCTGGGTGAAGGCTACTTTGGGGAGGTGTGGGAAGGCCTGTGGCTGGGCTCCCTGCCCGTGGCGATCAAGGTCATCAAGTCAGGTGAGGCCCCGAGATCCTGCGCCACGGCCGGGCCCCGCACCTGCTGTCCAACCCTCAAGCCCCAGGGCAGTGATGTTCGTGGCGTGGGCCGGTCCTGGAGCCACACCCTCTCTCGCAGCCAACATGAAGCTCACTGACCTCGCCAAGGAGATCCAGACACTGAAGGGCCTGCGGCACGAGCGGCTCATCCGGCTGCACGCAGTGTGCTCGGGCGGGGAGCCTGTGTACATCGTCACGGAACTCATGCGCAAGGGGAACCTGCAGGCCTTCCTGGGCAGTGAGTCCCCTCCCTGCTGCCACGTGGCCCTGACGCGCCTGCGACCGCCCCTTCCCTCCTGGCGCAGAGCTGAACCTGCGGGGTTTCCGAGGTGAACCGGGCCTCTCTACCGGGAGCAGGTGGCCCCGGCTGCAGATCCCATCCCTGTCTGGTCTCCAGCCAACAGGGGGCTGGCGTCAGGTCTGGGCCAGGCCAGAGCCTTGTGGCTCCGGGGCTGGAGCTGGTGTTCGGGGGCGGTGGGGGGCGCGGTCCCATCTGGGTCACCAGCCTTGGTCTAATGTGACATAGACCCAGCCCAGCCTCTGGCTCTTCTCTGCCCTGGTCTTTGTCGGGGGCCTGGGCCGGCTGCCGGGTCACTGTGGTGAGTACAGGACCCTCGCCCTGTCTCACTTGGGGCTTCCCGTGGCCTTAGCCGGCCATGCCATCCTCGCCACGTCTTAGAGATGAGGAGGCTGAGGCATGGGGGAAGGTGACGTGGGTGGACGCTGGCCTCACCGGCCGTTGGCCCCGTGCCCTAAAAGACCCCGCGCTGTCTCCTGCAGCCCCCGAGGGCCGGGCCCTGCGTCTGCCGCCACTCCTGGGCTTTGCCTGCCAGGTGGCTGAGGGCATGAGCTACCTGGAGGAGCAGCGCGTTGTGCACCGGGACTTGGCCGCCCGGAACGTGCTCGTGGACGACGGCCTGGCCTGCAAGGTGGCTGACTTCGGCCTGGCCCGGCTGCTCAAGGTCAGCGGAGGCTCTGGGCCCCTGACCCAGAGGGGGTGGGTGAGGGGACCCCGGTCCACCTGCCCTACCAGGGGCCTTCCCTCGCCCCCAGGACGACATCTACTCCCCGAGCAGCAGCTCCAAGATCCCGGTCAAGTGGACAGCGCCTGAGGCGGCCAATTATCGTGTCTTCTCCCAGAAGTCAGACGTCTGGTCCTTCGGCGTCCTGCTGCACGAGGTTTTCACCTATGGCCAGTGTCCCTATGAAGGTGGGTCCCCAGGCAGCCAGAGGGAGGATGCAGGCTCTGCCCAGGAGTCACTGGCCCCGGGCCTGGACGCTGTCGGCAAGGGGTTGGAGGGTCTGGCCAAGGGCAGGCAGATGACATGGGGGGCTACAGGAGGCCTCCTCCATAGGGACCCCCAGGCAGAATCGAGGCAGCTCTTGCCCCGCGCCTCCCAGGGATGACCAACCACGAGACGCTGCAGCAGATCATGCGAGGGTACCGGCTGCCGCGCCCGGCTGCCTGCCCGGCGGAGGTCTACGTGCTCATGCTGGAGTGCTGGAGGAGCAGCCCCGAGGAACGGCCCTCCTTCGCCACGCTGCGGGAGAAGCTGCACGCCATCCACAGATGCCACCCCTGAGTCCTCACGTGACCCAACGCTCTGGGCTCCAGCCAGGCCAGCCCCTCCTCCCTGCAGAGCGCCAACTCGAAGGGATGCCGGTCTGCCGGACCGAGGAGCCTCTGGCTGTGGGCCTCAGGCCCTGGCGTGCACACATGTTCGTGCACCAGGCAGACGTGCAGACGGAGGGCTGGGGCTGACGTCCCCCGTGCAGTGTGACTCGTGCAGACGGAGGGCTGGGGCTGACGTCCCCCATGCAGTGTGACTCGTGCAGACGAAGGGCTGGGGCTGACGTTCCCCGTGCAGTGTGACTCGTGCAGACGGAGGGCTGGGGCTGACGTTCCCCGTGCAGTGTGACACGTGTCCCTGGCCTCTCAAGAGAGACAACGGCACAGGAGGGTGGGTAGAAGCCTCGGAGGCTCTGGGTGAGGAACCCTGAGCCCTGTGTGTCTCCTGCCTGGGTCCCCTGGACTCCCTCCCAGGGTGAAGAGCCAAAGGCCCAGTTCTCTCCCTAGTCCCAGCTTGGGTTTGTGGAAATGACCAGTGCTGACTCCCAGGCAGACCGTGGTGTTGACCCCACTGGATGTGTGGTATGTAGGCACGGGGTGGCACCGTCACCTGCCCCTCACAGACACACTGGCGGCCTGTGCACAAACCCACTCACGCACACAGCACTCAGTAAGCCGGGACTGACCCACTCAGACACGCACACAGGCGCACATCACACACAGGCTCAGCCCCCCAAACCCAGACCCAGGAGCTGGAGCGTACGGGTCCACGTGGCTAGAAAATGCAGGTTGGAGCGGCCCCCATGCCGCCCGGACCCCCAGCCCAGGACATCATGGTGCCCAGAGAGCGTGAGCCCCAAGGGCATTGGCAGGAGCTGCCGATTCCATCTCCCTGGGTGGGTTCCAGGTGGCACAGGAAGGGTGGGCCGGGAGGCTTGGTGACCTGGGAGCTGCCCTTGGAGGCTATTTCCAGGGGCCTCAGGGTGGGCCGTGGGGGATTTGGAGTCTTCTGCCTGTGCAGGGTCAGGCAGGGTCGGTTGGGGGCTCGGAGGTAGATGCCATGGTATGCTGGGCAGCAAGTGGCTCAGGAAGCCTCTGGGTGTGAGTCCTCGGGGGTCACCAAGGCAGGAGGGGGCAGGGATGTGCAGGGTCCGCCCTCGTCTCCCCACGTCTGGCTCAGGGAAGCTTCTGCTCAGGTCTTCGTGAAACACGTCAAGAAGCAAGGGGGCCGGTGGGGTCTGTTTGTGGCCCCCGGAGACCCTGCCCCCCACCCTCCTGGGAGCCCAGGTTGGCAGCTGTGCCCAGAAGGCTTTCGGGGACAGAAAGTTTGGAGACAAGTTCAGGCCTGACTGAGTCCTTGTCCCCTAGAGTTGGGGTCAGCTCTGTACCTGCTGAGCCGAAGTGCTGATGGCTGCCGTCCACAGGCCCCGGCCAAAGCCTGGCTCAGGAGGGAGCTAAGAGATGAGACTCCCGTGTGCAGAGACAGGTGGCCCCGGGGAAGGAAGAGGCCACTCGGAGGCTCCGAGAACGGAGGCAGCGCGGGGGCTTCCTGGGGCCCGTGCATCGGAGGAACAAGGCCAAGCGGAGGGAAGCAGCAGGAACCAGGACCCCTGCAGATGGTGGAGGCAAGAGGCTTTATCTGAGCCTTTGGGACCCTGGCCACCTGCCCAGCTCCATCTGCATGGGAGAACCTAGGGGAGGGGCTGGTTCTGGTACCTGGGCCCACTGAGGCCTTGAGCTGAGCTTCCAGTTCTGGCAGGTCCCCAGCACAGCAGCCTGGGGGCTCCTCTGGCACAGAAGGCCTCGCCCTCTGTGCTCTCTGCAGCCGCCACTGGGATTAAGGGGACCAGGTGTGTCTGTGGCACCTGTGCCCTCCTAGGCATCTCGCCAGCCACCAGCTGAACAGGTTTGGTGCTCCTGGGTATCTGGGAGGGGCTGGGGACGTTCCTGCCTCCTGGTGTGGCTTAGACTGAAAGTCCTGCACGTCCGAACTCAGGGATACTCGAGGCTTCCTGGACATAGACTCACGGGCCCAGAGTCTGGCCGGGCTCTGAGGGACGCTGCCCGGCCAGGTGCCCCGGCACCCTCCTTCCGCATTCCCCACCCCCCACCCCTCCCCCTGCATCCTCCCCAACCGACCCCAGACAGAGCTGGGAGGGCCTGAGGGACACTGCCCAGGCCGGCACCCCGCTGCCCCTCCCCACCTTGGTCAGCGCTGAGCTGGGCTGCCCAGAAATCTATGAGCCTGTTAAATAATCCAGATTATTGTTCTTAATCTCAAAACAATGAGTGGAAGGTGCCATTATTTCTCTTTGCAATAAAAATAAAAGTTGAAATACGCAGTTTAGGGACTTTCCTTACCACCCCTTGCAGACTTTGAATTTCCCTTCCCGCCCCTTCCTGCCCCCTTGTGGCTGCCAGTCCAGGTCCCTGGGTTGGAGCTCCCGGGTGGACACAGTAGGGTCAGTGGGAGGGTGGGGCGGGGAGGGGCCTCCAGGGAGGGGGTGTCCCGAGTCTCAGGGGCTGGGGGGCAGGCGGCCGTCGGGTGCAGGTGGGGGTCACGGCAGGGCTCACTCAGGCATGAGTCGGGAGAAGGGAGGCCAGCTGGAAGGGGGCAGGGGTCCTGCGGGCTGGACAGGAGGAGGCAGAGGCTGGAGGCGGGAGGGGCTGCCTGGGAGGGACCTGTGGCCTTGGGCCCCAGCGCCATGGGCGCTTCCAGGCCGCACTCACGGTCCTTGCCTGCCCCCTGGCGTCCGTGTGGAGGAAGGCAGTGCCCGTTTCTTCAGCCGTGGGTGCCCCTGGCTCTGCCTCCCCGGGGATCCCCCAAAACCCTCGGGCCCTCCTCTTCCGGGAAGTCCTCCGGGCCGACCCACACAGCTGTCGCTGCCCTGATTCCACTCCCTCTTCCCTGCTTGGCCCTTACCCGAGGGCGGGCCTGCCCATGAGGCCGCTCTCAGGACGCCTGCCCACAGCAGCTCCTGACATTGGGCCCTGTGCTCAGGGGTGGAGTCTGGGGCTGGGTGAGGGCACCGACGGGTGGAGGGGAAGCTGCCGGAAGCGGGGAGAGAGGCGGCCCCCACCTGTGCCCCCGCAGCTCTGAGGGTTGGGAAGGCAGCGCCTGCAGCCCTCACCTTCCTGCCCTCAGGCTGCGAGGCTTGTTCCCAGAGGGCCGTTGGCTTCCCTGAGTGCCTGAGTGTCCATAAGTTGGACCCCCAAGAAGCCCCAACCGGGAGGTCCTCCTCCCCCTCTCCTGCGCTCAGGCCGGCCCTGGCGGTGCTTGCCCAGTGGGTTCCCATAGTGCGGGCGCTAAGTGCTCAGATGGGCCCCAGTGGGCCTGAGGACTTGTGGGGCCGGCTGGGCCCTCAGGAGGAGCCGGGGTGCTCTGGAGCGCCTGTGGGTGCTGGGTGTGGCTGCTTCCCGGCCTGTCATGAGGAAGTGGGACGGCCCGCCTGCCACGCCCAGCTCTGGGTGCTCCAGCTGGGCCACAGCCTGGTCCTGCCGCTGCGCCCGCCCGCCATGGTGTCCCGGGACCAGGCTCACCTGGGCCCCAAGTATGTGGGCCTCTGGGACTTCAAGTCCCGGACGGACGAGGAGCTGAGCTTCCGCGCGGGGGACGTCTTCCACGTGGCCAGGAAGGAGGAGCAGTGGTGGTGGGCCACGCTGCTGGACGAGGCGGGTGGGGCCGTGGCCCAGGGCTATGTGCCCCACAACTACCTGGCCGAGAGGGAGACGGTGGAGTCGGAACCGTGCGTGTCCTAGGCTGCTGGGAGCTTTGGCACAGGCCACCCTCTAGGCACAGGGGAGGGACAGGGCTCTGGGCTGCTCAGGGAGGCCCAAGAAGGTGGGGACCCCGGTTCCATCTTCCTGCACCCCAAAGTCCAGGCTGGGCATCCCGCTTGATCCTCCCTGCAGGCCCCATGCGCTGGCGCCCAGGAGTGCCCAGGACTGTCCCTGCGGGAGTTGGAGCACGGGGGTCAGAGGGCACGGCCCCTGCCTTGGGCTCATCCTTGTCACAGCTCGGGGGTGGACGCTGCATTGCCGGGACCCAGGGAGGACAGAGGGTCCAGGGTGGACTTCTGGGGCCCGGTGGCCAGTGACAAGGTCTGTCGGAGCGTTCCAGGGCCTTTGGGGGAAACGAAGCTTGAAGCTTGCCCAGTTTCCAAAGTGCCGGAACCAGACACACGACCTAGTTAGGGGAGCGGGCCGGCTGCCGGGCAAACTTCCTGCCTGCTGTGCCCTGCGGGGAACCAGACAGCAGCTGGTGTGGCCTGGCCCTGGCTTCCACAGCTGCCCGGAGCTCAGGCTGAGGAGGGTCACGCTCCTGAGATCCCGCGTTTCTCATCAGTGATTGGGCACCCACTGTGTGTGTGCGTGAGTCACAGGCTGTGTAGGGTTAGCTCCCGGGGGACCCAAGCAACAAGCAGGGGAGGCTGTAAAGAGGCCGTCGGGCAGGGGCCCATGGTGGAGACCCCTCTATTACGTGCAGACCCACGACCTCGTTAGCAGGGTCACGCGCAGACCCACGACCTCGTTAGTGAGCAGGGGTGCAGGGGTGGGGTCTGGCCGGAGGCTGGTCAGCTCCCAGGTGCAAAGACCCTGAGTCCTGAGAACTCGCCCAGGTGAGAAGTGGGGAGGAGGCCAGGTGAGGAGGGGGTGGGAGGCCAGGTGGGGGGGGGAGCGGGAGGCTAGGTGGGGGGGGCTGGAGGCCAGGTGAGGGGGGGCGGGAGGCCAGGTGGGGGGGGCGGGAGACCAGGAGAGGAGGGGACGGGAGGCCAGGAGAGGAGGGGGCGGGAGGCCAGGAGAGGAGGGGGCGGGAGGCCAGGTGAGGAGGGGGCGGGAGGCCAGGTGAGGGGGGGGCGGGAGGCCAGGTGAGGGGGGTGCGGGAGGCCAGGTGAGGACGGGGTGGGAGGCCAGGTGAGGGGGGGGCGGGAGGCCAGGTGAGGAGGGGGCGGGAGGCCAGGTGAGGAGGGGGCGGGAGGCCAGGTGAGGGGGGGGGCGGGAGGCCAGGTGAGGAGGGGGCGGGAGGCCAGGTGAGGAGGGGGCGGGAGGCCAGGTGAGGGGGGGGGCGGGAGGCCAGGTGGTTGGAGGGGCAGGTGGGGCAGTGCTTCCAGGTGTGCGGAAGTGGAGGGGGTGGACCCCAGGGGCTCCATGCTGGGCCGTGGTCTTCTGTGTGGGGTTTGTGTTCCAGTGACCTGAGGGAGTCAGACACACAAAGGGCGCAGGTCACCTGGAGCTTCTGCAAGCTCCACCTGGAAGTCCACAGTCCAGGGCTGGCCCACACCCCGCAGCCGGGAGTTAGTGCGCGCGAGTGGCTGTGTGTGCGTGCGTGTGAGCGTGTGGGCAAGTGAGCACACATGCGCGTGTGTGTTCAGGTGTGCGGGTGAACTGTGCGCATGTGTGGGGGTTTGTGACTGTGTGTGTGTGAGCGTGCGTCACACATGGGTGTGTGCAGGCAGCTCTGGGCAGCCATCCTGCTCAGCTGCCCTCCCCAGCTCCACCCTAGGCTCTGACCCCTAGACTCGGGCCACTCAGGGCAGGGTGTGGTAGCGCCTGCCCCTGCCCCCGCCGGGTCCTCAGGGGCCTGTCCTGGCCTTTCGGGACATTCAGGGCGTCTGGGTCAGCGACAGCTCCTGAGAGCAGCTGTGGTCAGGGCTGGGAGCTTGAGGTGGCAGGCAAGGGCGGCTGGGGTTCCAGGCGGGCAGGCTGGGGCCAGCGTGGGGTCCACGTGGGGTGGGCCCAGGTCCGCGTGTTCTCAGACTCCTCCCCTGCAGGTGGTTCTTTGGCTGCATCTCCCGCTCGGAAGCTGTGCGTCGGCTGCAGGCCGAGGGCAACGCCACGGGCGCCTTCCTGATCAGGGTCAGCGAGAAGCCGAGTGCCGACTACGTCCTGTCGGGTGCGGCCCCGGCCTCCGAGCCTGTGCTTGCCTGCGGGGGCTCCTGGCTCTAAGCCCTCCCAGCCACGTGGTGAACCCGGCTCGCTCTGGCTGAGACGGGGGACATGGGCTCCTCTCCAGGGAGCTCCCATCCCCTCCGCCCACCTGGCCCGCTCCTCCCTGGGGCCTGGGTCACTGGCTGCTAGGGTAGTCGTGGGGCAGGGCCCCTCCCTGGGAGGGCAGGGGCTTCTCCAGCCAGCCCTGCCCGAGGCACTCGTGGGAGGTCCTCAGCACCCATGGGAACCTCGCCCAGCATGAGACCTGAGCCTGGGGTGTGCGGGGCGCAGAGAAACCCCATCCCTGCCCCTGAGGATCTCAGCATGGCTGGGATTTTAGGCAGCTGCCATCCAGGCGGAGGCCACTGGCTGCCTGGCACGGGGGCAGGAGGGGCCAGAGAGCTTGGCCAGAGCGTGCAGGGCAGGAGGGAGCCGTTCTGAGGGAGGGGAGGCAGGGGTGGTACTGAGGAAGCACCAACAGCAACTGTGGGGACCCAGAAACTCTGCGCAGGTGTGGCCAGCAGGGCTGGGGACGCAGGGAGGCGTCGGAGTTGGGGTGGCCACACAGCTCACGCTCTCCCTCCCAGTGCGGGACACGCAGGCTGTGCGGCACTACAAGATCTGGCGGCGTGCCGGGGGCCGGCTGCACCTGAACGAGGCGGTGTCCTTCCTCAGCCTGCCCGAGCTTGTGAACTACCACAGGGCCCAGAGCCTGTCCCACGGCCTGCGGCTGGCCGCGCCCTGCCGGAAGGTAGCCGCTCCGCCCTGACTTGGTCACGCGGGGTCAGGCTGGGGGGTCACAGGCTGGCATTTCCTACTGGGAGAGGTTGGCCGGGCAGCATGGGAGGGGTCCTGACTCACTGACCTGGGGCCCACTGGAGGGAAGCCCATGGTTCTGCAGAGCACAGGTGTTTGCCTGAGTTGGGGGTGGGGCCAGGAGACCATCCCCGGGCCTGGCCACTCTCGGAGAGGCCAGCGGCACTCTGCAGGGTCCTGGCTCCGGTCTGTCTGGGTGTTTCATGCTGGGCTGGGGGCAGCCCCCAGGAGAGTCCACCCTTGTGTCAGACACTCAGAAACCCCCAACCCAGGCTGATCGTGGCCCTAAATCTGAGGCTAAATCCAGGCTCCCTGTGCTGGCTTCAGACTGGCACTTCCTGAAGGATGAGCCCCTGCCCTGTGTCCCCGACTCTTCCTCCAGCACGAGCCTGAGCCCCTGCCCCATTGGGATGACTGGGAGAGGCCGAGGGAGGAGTTCACGCTCTGCAGGAAGCTGGGGTCCGGCTACTTTGGGGAGGTCTTCGAGGGGCTCTGGAAAGACCGGGTCCAGGTGGCCATTAAGGTGATTTCTCGAGGTGAGTGGGCCCCGATCAGGGCTCTGTGTGGCCCCGTGCCTGCCCTGGGCCACCCTCCCACCCCGCCAACAGGGACCTCTGGCCTCGAGCCCCAAGCAGCACCCACAGCGTCCATGCGAGAGTGGTTCCCTTTCAATTGCACCTATGTTTTTACCTAAATACATTTATTATAAAAGAAAATTTTAGGCCGGGCACGGTGGCTCACATCTGTAATCCCCACACTTTGGGAAGCCAAGGTGGGCGGATCACGAGGTCAGGAGTTTGAGACCAGCCTGGCCAACATGGGGAAACCACGTCTCTACTAAAAATACAAAAATTAGCCGAGTGTGGAGGCATGTGCCTGTAGTCCCAGCTACTCGGGAGGCTGAGGCAGGAGAATCGCTTCAACCCAGGAGGCGGAGATTGCAGTGAGCTGAGATCGCGCCATTGCACTCCAGCCTGGGCGACAGAGCAAGACCCCGTCTTGGGAAAAAAAAAAAAGAAAGAAAGAAAGAAAATTTAAAATCCTTGACGTAATGGAAAGCCATTAAAATAGATCACTGGAAATGGGTAAAACTTCCCTGGAACCCGTCTGGGCCCCAGCAGAGGTCTGGCCTCTATGTCAGAGGTCTGGGCCGGGCACAGGAAGAAATCGGGTGGCCACCACAGCCCCGTGGGTACGCCAGGCTGGGGCCCTGTGGGGCCGGCTGCATCTGCCATTTCGTGGCCTCGGGAGCCAGGTGCCCTGTCGGGGGCAGGAGGTCTGTGTGTCCTGCACAGCTGCTGGGTGTGATGGCTGCTGTGTGTGGGGGCAGGGCCTTGGCCTCTTCCTTGGGGCCTGGGGGGTCAGGGGCTGCATCCACCGAGGCCACCCGTCCCCGCAGACAACCTCCTGCACCAGCAGATGCTGCAGTCGGAGATCCAGGCCATGAAGAAGCTGCGGCACAAACACATCCTGGCGCTGTACGCCGTGGTGTCCGTGGGGGACCCCGTGTACATCATCACGGAGCTCATGGCCAAGGGCAGCCTGCTGGAGCTGCTCCGCGGTGAGTGGCATGGGCCGGGGCTCTTGCTGGAGGCAGCGGGGGCACGTGAGGAAATAAAGTGCACACCCCCCCCCCACGTCTACACACACACACACGTAGACACACAGACACACAGACACACACATGCACACACAGACACAGACACAGACACACAGAGACACACACGCACAGACACACATGCACACACACATGCACACAGACATACACATGCACACACAGACACACACACAAGACACATCACATGACACACACAGACATACACATAGACACAGACACACACACAGAGACACACAAAACAGATCACACGGACACACACAGACACACACACAGATCACACGGACACACACAGACACACACACACACAGACACACACTGATCCAGACACACACACAGACACACACAGATCACATTGGCTCAAAGACTTCATCCTCTCTAAGTTCCATTATTTCCTTTCTCACCAAAACCAAAGACAATCGCTGCCAGGGAATGGAGATGCCCGTGCGTGAAGGCGCAGTTTGGATTCCGATGTTAGAATGGGAGGGAACGTTGTGGTATAGGAAAAATGCCGTGTGTGTCTGAGGAGAGCTACACTGAGGCACCACGCACGTTTGCGCTCTGAGCGAAAGGCTCCGTACCCCTCGCCCTCACACAAAGGGCTTGATCATCTCAGACAGTCCCCACGCCCTTCAGGGTCCTCCGGGAGGGAATGTGGGGTAAAACAGGCACCACCAGGCCGCAAGCCGCTGACAGCCATTCTCCTGTTCGAGTTCCCACTGCCTACATCACGCAGTCATGAGCCTCTTCGCTGGTCCTTCTGCGTCCAGCTCCTCCCGCGTCATCACAAACTTCCAGAAGGGAAATCGCTGGGCTAGACCACTAGGAACTGCTCCTTGGTTCTTTTTTTTTTTTTTGAGACGGAGTCTCACTCTGTCGCCCAGGCTGGAGTGCAATGGCGCAGTCTCGGCTCACTGTAACCTCCACCTCCTGGGTTCAAATGATTCTCCTGCCTCAGCCACCTGAGTAGCTGAGATTACAGGCACCTGTCACCACGCCCAGCTAATTATATATATATATATATATATATATATTTTTTTTTTTTTTTTTTGAGACGGAGTCTGGCTCTGTCGCCCAGGCTGGAGTGCAGTGGCGTGATCTCGGCTCACTGCAAGCTCCGCCTCCCGGGTTCACGCCATTCTCCTGCCTCAGCCTCCCGAGTAGCTGGGACTACAGGCGCCCGCCACCACGCCCGGCTAATTTTTTGTATTTTTAGTAGAGATGGGGTTTCACCGTGTTAGCCAGGATGGTCTCGATCTCCTGACCTCGTGATCCATCCGCCTCAGCCTCTCAAAGTGCTGGGATTACAGGCGTGAGCCACCACGCCCAGCTTGCTCCTTGGTTCGTGATAAACAGTTGCCTTCCAGAAGGGCGGTAGCTGGCCTGCAGTTCCAATTTTCAATCAGGCCAGCTGCCCTTTGCCCCGGCCCCTCCTCTGAGCCCGCAGAGCTTGGAGGCAGATGAGACATGGCCCAGCCTCCCCAACCCTTCCCCACCTCAGCTGGCTCAGCTGACCCCAGGCTCTGCTCCACTCCCCTCTGCAGACTCTGATGAGAAAGTCCTGCCCGTTTCGGAGCTGCTGGACATCGCCTGGCAGGTGGCTGAGGGCATGTGTTACCTGGAGTCGCAGAATTACATCCACCGGGACCTGGCCGCCAGGAACATCCTCGTCGGGGAAAACACCCTCTGCAAAGTTGGGGACTTCGGGTTAGCCAGGCTTATCAAGGTAGGGCCCTCAGAGGGCGTGGCTGGGGTCGTGGCCGGGGCGTGGCCGGAGGGCTGGGGGCTTCCTGTGTGTGGAGCTGGGGACTCGGCTGGGAGCAGGATGCGGCCCCTGCCCTCGGGAGCCCAGGCTGGGCAGGGAGGTGGGAAGCCACCGTGAGTCCGGTGGGGCCCCCATTCTGAATGGCACGCACAGCAGGGCCCACCACGCAGCCGCTGCCTTGTTCACGTGCCTTGTTCACTGGCCCAGCCCTGGGCCCCTCTGACGGCCTGGGAGCCTCCCAGTTCCCTGTCCCCCGGGCCCTCCGGTCCCCACACACCTGCAATCCCAGGGGAAGTTGGGCTCCTGAAGGTGGTCAGGCCCCAGTGTGGCCTTAGCTGCAGCGGCCGTGCGTGGGTCAGACAGTGGGGTCATCACCGTCCCACTGCTGGGGCAATGCGGCCGCTGTGCCCGTCCATGCTTCGGGGGCAGGGCACAGGCAGCCCCCACGGCCCACTCAGCTCCAGGCTGATTGCAGGAGGACGTCTACCTCTCCCATGACCACAATATCCCCTACAAGTGGACGGCCCCTGAAGCGCTCTCCCGAGGCCATTACTCCACCAAATCCGACGTCTGGTCCTTTGGGATTCTCCTGCATGAGATGTTCAGCAGGGGTCAGGTGCCCTACCCAGGTACTGTCCCCACTGTCCCTGACTGGGCATGAGAGGCAGAGTGGGGGAGGTCCTGGGTAGCCGGCAGGGACGCTGGGGGGTGCCTCCCCCACGGGCTTCAGGGCCCTCCGCGGGCCATCGCCTGAACTCCACACCTGCACCATTCTCTGAGCACCCAGGCTGGTGCCTGGAGCTGCCTGTTGGAGCCCTGTCCAGAGGGAGGTGTTAGCAGTGGACAGTGTGCTGGGTGGCGCCAAGGCATGGCAGCTGAGGCTGCGGGGAAGGCCCCAGGAAGGGGCAGTGGATGGCTGGTGTGGCTTCTTGGGGGAGGGTAGGCAGGTGGGCCCCAGCTCTTCTCATCCCTGTCGGCCGCAGGCATGTCCAACCATGAGGCCTTCCTGAGGGTGGACGCCGGCTACCGCATGCCCTGCCCTCTGGAGTGCCCGCCCAGCGTGCACAAGCTGATGCTGACATGCTGGTGCAGGGACCCCGAGCAGAGACCCTGCTTCAAGGCCCTGCGGGAGAGGCTCTCCAGCTTCACCAGCTACGAGAACCCGACCTGAGCTGCTGTGGAGCGGGCATGGCCGGGCCCTGCTGAGGAGGGGCCTGGGCAGAGGGCCTGGACCTGGGATCAAGGCCCACGCGCTTCCCTGGGGTTTACTGAGGTGATGGGTGCAGGAAAGGTTCACAAATGTGGAGTGTCTGCGTCCAATACACGCGTGTGCTCCTCTCCTTACTCCATCGTGTGTGCCTTGGGTCTCAGCTGCTGACACGCAGCCTGCTCTGGAGCCTGCAGATGAGATCCGGGAGACTGACACGAAGCCAGCAGAGGTCAGAGGGGACTCTGACCACAGCCCGCTCTCTGGCTGTCTGTCTGCAGTGCCCGGCTGAGGGTGGGAGGCAAACACGCCTTGTTCCTGCTCTTCCCAGTTCAGCTTGGTGGGAGAAAGTCATTCGCGTGGCTCGGGACGCTCATGTAAATTTGGTTTTGGTGCTCAAGGGTTCTTTCCTCCCAGGGGCAGGTGTTTCTTTCCTGTTTGTCTTGTGTCTTGAGAGCTTGGCCTTATGACCAGTGAGAACTCTCTCCCTGGTCTCTGCCAGCCCAAGCATCACTGCCCGAGGCGCCAGCTCAGTTTCACCGTCCACGTCCACAAGGGGCTTTTCCCACCTTCACCTTTGTCGCTGGGTCAGTGCTGGAAAGCGCCCCTCACTCCTGCGCTGACAAGGGCCCTTCTCTACTGTCTGTGGGGTGGTTCCGGGCTGGGGGGGCTGCCTCCTTTGCACCTGATTTTGAAGGTGTCTCTTTCATCCATGGTTAAGTCATAAAAAGCTTATTGGTTTTGGTTTTGACTCACCTGAAAGTTTTTTTGGTTTAAAAGAAGAATAGGCGGGGCACGGTGGCTCATGCCTGTAATCCCAGCACTTTGGGAGGCTGAGGCAGGTGGATCACGAGGTCAGGAGATCGACACCATCCTGGCTAACACGGTGAAACCCCGTCTCTACTAAAAAATACAAAAAATTAGCTGGGTGTGGTGGTGGGGGTGGGCGCCTGTAGTCCCAGCTACGTGGGAGGCTGAGGCAGCAGACTGGTGTGAACCCGGGAGGTGGAGCTTGCAGTGAGCCGAGATCGCGCCACTGCACTCCAGCCTGGGCGACAGAGCGAGACTCCATCTCAAAAAAAAAAAAAAAAAAAAGAAAGAAAGAAAAATAATTTTGGGAGTTTCTGGAAAGGTACTAGGATTTCTCAAAAGGATTTGTCTTCTGCCTTGTGAAAGACAGATGTCAGACTAATCAGGCTTATCCGATGTGCTACATGAGATGGAAAGCGTGTGAAATAGTAAGTCACACTAAGTCTTCTGGAGGTTCTATTTACGGGTTTGGTTTTGATATGAATGTTGCAGAAACTCTATAAAATTCCTAGAAATCTGATACGTTATCCTATGATATATATCCTATCTCACATGCTATTCCTAGAAATCTGGTGCAATGTTATCAGTCATAATTTTGGTTATTACATTAAAATGCTGCATGCCACAGAAATAACCAAGTTTCCTTGCCAACCGTGTCACGAATATAATAAACTCTCATCAGATCCTGAGCCATGGCTATCTTAAGTCTTCGGTCATTCACAGTTATTATCTTACTTTGATTTTTTCTGAAAGCTTTGCAATCAGCTAGTCCCAAATTGTTTATTCTTCAAAGAGATTCCTGGGAAGGATTCTGACAGGTGCTCTGGAGCACAGGTTTCTGGTTCAGGTCATAGCCTTGGATTGGGTGCAAATTTCCAGAACTCGAAGGAGGGACCTGGCAGGTCCATGAAAGTTCTGTCCCAGGATCAACCAGAACAAGAATTAATGACATGGGAATGAATGAACTGACGAGGATGTTTACTGTTTAATGACTTTTGTCTGAAGCATTACGGTTCTTTAATATTTTGTTTTCCAGATGTAAGAAAACGTTTTTTGTTTCTGTTTTTGTTTTTGAAGACAGGGTCTTGCTCTGTCACCCAGGCTGGAGCGCAGTGGCGTGACCACAGCTCATTGCAGCCTTGAATTCCCAGGCTCAAGTGATCCTCCCGCCTCAGCCTCCTGAATAGTTGGGACTACAGGAATGCACCACCACACCTGGCTAATTTTAAATTTTTTTTTTTTTAGGAGATTCAGGGTCTTGCTATGTTGCCCAGGCTGGTCTCGAACTCCTGGGCTCTAGCAATCCTCCTGCCTCGGGACTACAGGCCTGAGCTGCTGCGCCCAGCCTGGGCACGAAAGCCGTCTGTACGAGAGTTGCTGGGGAAATTTCTCTGAAGTCTGTATCAAGTGGGGCAGCTTCAGCTTACAGGGCTTTGGGAAAAGAGCAGTTTTAATTTTCAGTGACTCCATGAGGAATGGTGGAAGAAAAAATTGGAAAGAGTGGTTTGGTGAGCTGTAGGCAAATATTGGAGGAAACTGAAGTTCAGGACCCGGTCCGGACCACAGGTGGGCGACAAAACCTCCAGACAGCAAACCGGGCTAGAGTCTAATAGTGGGGGCACGAGTTTTATTTTGAAACATAATTTTTCTCTCTACAGTCAACAAATTTCTTTTTCTTTTTTTTTTTTTGAGATAGAGTTTCGCTCTTATTGCACAGGCTGGAGTGCAATGGCTTGATCTCGGCTCACGGCAACCTCTGCCTCCCGGGTTCAAGTGATTCTCCTGCCTCAGCCTCCCGAGTAGCTGGGATTACAGGCATGCGCCACCACGCCCAGCTAATTTTTGTACTTTCAGTAGAGATGGGGTTTCTTCACGTTGGTCAGGTTGGTCTCGAACTCCCGACCTCAGGTGATCCACCCACCTCGGCCTCCCAAAATGCTGGGATTACAGGTGTGAGCCACCGCACCCAGCCAACAAATTTCCTTCTTCCTTTTTTTTTTTGAGATGGAGTCTCGCTCTGTCGCCCAGGCTGGAGTGCAATGGCGCAATATTGGCTCACTGCAACCTCTGCCTCTCGGGTTCAAGTGATTCTCCTGCCTCAGCCTCCCAAGTCTCTGGGATTACAGGTGCCTGCTACCACGCCCGACTAATTTTTGTATTTTTAGTAGAGATAGGGTTTTGCCATGTTGGCCAGGCTGGTCTCGAACTCCTGACCTCAGGTGATCCGCCCACCTCGGCTTCCCAAAGTGCTGGGATTACAGGTGTGAGCCACCGTGACCGGCTGCAAATTAACGCATTTCTATCAAAGATAATAAAAGTAGGATTGTTTTCAAATTAACACATTTCTATCAAAGATAATAAAAGATTGATTTGATTGCAGAGTAAGTTTGGCCTCATTAAACCTGGTGTGGTTATTTATGTAAGTGGAACAAGAATAGTGATTAACCACATAGGTTCTTCCTCATTTTTGTTTTCCAACAGGGCCTCACCCTGTCACCGAGGCTGGAGTGCAGTGGTACCATCATGGTTCACTGCTGCCTTGACCTCCTGGGCTCAAGCCACCTTCCAGCCCCACCCTCCAGAGTAGCTGGGACGACAGGCATGTGACACCACACCTGGCTAATTTATTTGTATTTTAGTAGAGAGGGAGCCCCACTATGTTGCCCAGGCCAGTCCTGAACTCCTGGGCTCAAGCAAACCTCCCATCTCAGGCTCCCAAAGTGCTGGGATTATAGGTACACCTGGACACGTGGGCTCTTTTAAAATTTGCTTTACTGGAACTTTTTTTTTTTTTTTTCCTGAGACGGAGTCTTGCTCTGTCGCCCAGGCTGGAGTGCAGTGGCGCGATCTCGGCTCACTGCAAGCTCCGTCTCCCGGGTTCATGCCATTCTTCTGCCTCAGCCTCCCGCATAGCTGGGACTACAGGCACCCGCCACCATGCCCGGCTAATTTTTTTATTTTTAGTAGAGACGGGGTTTCACCGTGTTAGCCAGGATGGTCTCGATCCCCTGACCTCGTGATCTGCCCACCGTGGCCTCCCAAAGTGCTGGGATTACAGGTGTGAGCCACTGTGCCTGGCCTACTGGAACTTTTTATAAGGAATCTGAGATTGGGCTTTTAAAAGCCTCTTGAGGCTAGGAAGCCATCGCAAAGACTTGCCATCAGACTTTGCCTGCAATAAGTACAGATTTAGGGGAATTCCTCTCTTCTTGAGGTCCCTAAGGTATCTTAAGATTCTGGGACCTGCCAGGAATTGACATTCTTTACTCATCTGTAAGGGAACCACGTATGTGAGGTACCAGGCCAGCTTTTTTCCAAGGGGCTTTATTGGACCATGCAGTCAACCCTAACTCCTTTAGTCGTATCTGAAAATAGGACATTCCAGTCAAAGCCTTGGTAATATAACCAATGTTTTCAATTGTGCCCTATTACAAGAACAGATTCTCATTGAACTTATGCAAACCCACTAACAGTTTCTGAATTCTGGGATTAGGGAGGAAGAAAAAGATAAATATTTCACCGTTGAGGCCATTCTAACCTCCCTGCCTTTCTTCCCTGAAGCAGGCCATAAAACCCAGGAAGGCCACTCCCAGACCCTCTCCCTGCAGACCCTCACGTGGTGTCCCGCCCCCTAACCAGAGGAAAGGGATGTCAGAGTCAAGTCGGGCCTTGATCACACCCTTCCATCCTCCGCTCACTCCTGCTCCGCTGTGAAATAGACCATTTCTTTGGTCTTTGTTTTGAAGGGGCCCACATCACATGGAACTCGCATTAAATGTTTGTATGCTTTTTCTTTTTTTTTTTTAAGACAGAGTCTTGCTCTCTGACGCCCAGGCTGGAGTGCAGTAGCGCAATCTTGGCTCACCGCAGCCTCCGCCTCCCGGGCTCAGGGGATCCTCCCATCTCAGCCTCCCCAGTAGCTGGGACTCCAGGCATGCACCGCCACGTCTGGCTAATTTTTTTGTTTTTGATAGAAACAGGGTTTTGCCGTGTTGGTTGCCATGTTGACCAAGCTGGACTTGAAGTCCCGGCTTCTAGTGATCCACCTGCCTCAGCCTCCCAAAGTGTTGGGAATATAGGCGTGAGCCACTGCGCCCAGTTTAATCTGTCTTTTGTTCAAGGGTCTGTTGGATACAGTGAGTTCTAGATTTCTCTTAGAGGACTCAGCATGTATGTTCAGTTCTTTGTTCTCCATTTAACTCGTGCATAGTTTCAGTAAACAACCTTTTCCACCAGTTTTAATCAATAGTTCACATCTGTTCCCCTGGTCACCTGCTCCGTCCTGACTCATCCTGGTACCTGTTTTTTTTTTTTTTTTTTTTTGAGATGGAGTCTCGCTCTGTTGCCCAGGCTGGAGTGCAGTGGTGCGATGTCCGCTCACTGCAAGCTCCGCCCCCCGGGTTCCTGCCATTCTCCTGCCTCAGCCTCCCGAGTAGCTGGGACTACAGGTGCCCGCCACCACGCCTGGCTAATTTTTTTTGTATTTTTAGTAGAGACGGGGTTTCACCACGTTTGCCAAGATGGTCTCGATCTCCTGACCTCATGATCCACCCGCCTCGGCCTCCCAAAGTGCTGGGATTACAGGCGTGAGCCATCGCACCCGGCCCCTGGTCACCTGCTCTGACCTAAGTCATCTTTAGCTACCTGTTCCTGTCCTTCCTGCCAAACTACTCACCCCACCACTCTGGGTCACACCCCTGCTCTCTTTAAAATAGTCAATCAGAATTACCTTAGAGTGTGCAGTCCAACCCCACCCAACAGGGGAATGACACAGCCGTAGAGGCTACCTGTGTCAGGAATAAGAACCCCTTCCCCTCCCTTGTCCAGGTGCGCTCTCACCATTGCTCCATCCGCGAGTCGCACCCTTCTATAGAAGTAAAAATTGCCTTGCTGAGAAAATTAATGTTTGAGTGCTATTTCTTTGTGGCACCGAGGAAGCATTTTGTTTCTAACAGGTCTCAGCCATGAAGCTTGTGATGGGTGAGGAAAAGATATGACTTCTCCCCCTACAGAGAATCTGATGAGGGTGCAGCTCCCAGGAACAGGCCATGGACACCCCCAGGGTTGTGAGGTCCTCCAGTCAAGGGGCCCCCTGACCCGAGGCAGGGGACGATGCCGCGGGCAGCCTGTGGCTCGGCTGCTCCCTACTCCCAGCTGCCCCTTCCAACAAGACACCAGCTCCCGGGCAGTGCCCCTCCCCCGCTGACTCCAAAAGCCAGGACAGCTTCTTTCCAAGCAGGGTGGACCCACCCTTGGTCCTGACCCCAAGCCCTCCAGCTCAGCCAAGGGCGGAGCCCCCCCAGGCCATGTGTGGTGGGGACCTGAGCGTGGCTGGGCTCTCCCTTCAACACCAACTCCTGCTACCCTCACAGCTGTGTGTACATGGAGGAGGGTCTCTGTGGGCTTCATCTGGACACTGCAAAAGGCTGCAGGGGGCTCAACTGCCATTAGGAGCAGCCTCCCACTCCTGGGTCCATCGGAGGCTCCCCCACCCAGCCTCAGCACTGACCACCGGCTTGGATGGCTGGGTGAGGCTGCCTCCACCCTGTGGACAGGACAAAGGCTCAGCCATCAGAGGCCACAAGCCAGATGCCTTCCCACCAGCTTCCCACCAACTAGTACAGCTATTTATAGTGCAGTGGAACAGGGTACCAGGCAGGGAGCACCCACTGATCCCCACCCCTCCCCAGAGTCCCTCCCCCACCACTGAACCCCACCCTTTCCCACCCCACGGAGGCCCCTCCTCTCACCATGTCCCTGGCCACACATCAAGTCTCCAGCTATCTCACTGACTCCCACCTGCTCACTAAGCTGCCTCTCAACAGAACTGAGTCAATCCCTGTAGGCTCCTGGCAGAGGTGTGGGGACACCACCCACCTTGGTTATGAAGGAGTCTACTAAGCTCACAGCCCATGCACTCCTGTGTGTGGACCCCCATCCCTGCCAGCCTGCAGCACTCCCGGACTCCAACACTCCATGCCTATACCAGGCCAGAATGATGCAGCCACCCTCACTTTAAGCTGGGCTGCCTGTGGCAGGAAGACCCCTCCACGGTGCCTGCAGCCCCTACCCCTCAGCCTGTCTTGGGGCAACACCCCTATGGGAGGCCCTTGGGAGACACCTACCAGCAGGAACCAGGTCCCTCCAGAGTGAGGGCTTCCCAGCTCACAGCCAGAGGCTACTCCCCGCCCCGCAGGCCCTCGGGTAAGGGGCCTGAATCCCTCAGAGGACCAGCCCTCCCTGCTCCCTTTCCCCCCGCTAAAGGTGGCACGGGGGCCCACCTCAGTGGCTGCCCTGGGTCCTGCTTGTCCAGCTCCAGGACTGCCTGCTGTCCAAGGCTCTCCAGAAGCAGCAGTGAACCCCACCCTTATCAGCCCCAGCAACAGCCTCACAGCGTGAGGAGGCCCAGAAAGGCCTGGGAGCAGGGCCAGCCCCCACAAGGCAGTGAGGTCGGGAGGGATTCAGCCATTTCTCACACTCAAATGGAACCTCGGGCCACACAGCTCAGGCACACACCATCGGGGCTACTGGCTGCTTGGAGTTTATTTTCCGCTTGGTGCCAGGTGCACAGTTCCAGGTGTCAGGAAAGCTAGCGAGTGCTGGGGCCGGGCGGTAGAGAGCGGGGCTCTCACTGGTTTTTGGTGTCTGCTGTGTTGATGCGAAGGTCTGCTTGCTGCAGCCGCCTAGTTTACAGGGTGGGGGGTGGGAGGTGGGGAGGGGGGCGAGGGATGCGGAGTGGGGAGAGGGGCGGGGAGGGGCTCTGGTGGACTAGCGCCTCCGCAGGCCTGGGGCTGGTGGTAACCGCTCAGGTCAGGACGGGGGCCCAGCGCTGGCTGTGCTGGACTGACCGCCGGGCTGCTTCCTCGGGGCGTCCCGAGCCAGGCCACAGGCGGTCATGCTGCTGGAGGCCTGGGGAGGTTCCGAGTGCTCTGCGGACTCCAACACCGTGGCCATGAACGGGAGGGTGGACTTCCCGAAAAAGAAGCTGGCCCACCAATGACCCGGGTCAGCCTTGGGGAGACCTGAGAGAAGCGAAGTGGGGTCTTGATGCTGCCAGCTCCTGGAGGAGCGGGGGGAGAAAGGGGCGATCCTGCACTCACCTGGGGGGTGGGGAATGGCTTCCCCGGGGCACTCGGTACTGCTGCAGGAGCTGTTGCTGGAAGTGGAACCCAGGCGGCCTGGAGAGGAGAGGTCCCGTCAGCAACGCGGGGCGCGGAGCCCCCCAGCCCACCGGCCTTCAGGCCGAGCGCTGGTTCCGCAGCCTGCACGGGGCCGGCACTGGCGCCAGCAGAGCATCCGCGTGGATGGGGGGCAGGGGCTACTCACGCCGGTAGTAGTCGTGGGTGGCCACGAGCGAGCCGCTGGAGGGGATGGCCGCCATGCTTTAGCTTGCTGGCTGGTGGGATCTGCGCATGGGGGTGGAGGAGCCCCTCGGGTCAGCGGCCTTCCGTCATGAAGGGCGCTCCCCAGCGGGTGGAGCCGCCGCGCTGGGTTATTTACCGAGGCGGGGCTCCCCAGCTCCCGGCACCGCCTTCGCCGCGCGGGGCGCGGGCGGCTCCAACCAGCCCAAACCGGCCGAGCGGGTGGAACAAAGGCGCTTTGTGCGCGGGGCCCCGGCCCAGACGTCGGGAACCTGGTGGGCGCCGTCCCAACCCGCCCGACCCGAGAGGAGCCCGCCGGGGACCCCGAGCCCAGCGCTCGCCAGGCGGAGAGGAGAGGAGCCCCCGGCCCAGCCCCGCCCCTCGCCCCCCGCCCCTCGGGCCTGCTCGTCCCACCCGCGCGCGGCGCCCCTCACCTGGGCGGCGACCCCTCGCGGGCCTCGGCGCACGATCACGGGTGGCGGGGACGGGGGCGCTAGGCCACGGAGCCCATTTGCAGAGAAGACCGCGGGAAGCCGCGCCACGACAGAGAGGCGCGCGCGGGGTGCGCACGCGCGGACGCGCCCACTTATATGCGCGGGGGCCGCGGCGCGTCACGGAGGGCGGGGCGCACAGGCTCCTCCCCGGGCCCCACCCGGCCCCGCCCCTTTCCTGGCCCCGGCGAGGCCGCGCCCCCAGCTTCCACCTCGGTGCGACTCTCGCCGTCTGGCTTGGGCTGAGCCCAGCCCTGCGGCGTTCGTCTTGGGGCGGCCCGGCCGGTCCTGGGTCTGCAGGGGTTAAAAGGCCCCGCGCCCGGGTCCGGGAGCCCAGCCCCCGCCCCTCTCCCGGGCCCAGGCCCCCGTCTCGGACGCGTCTCGGAGCCCCGCCTGGTCCAGCCCGCCCGTCCTCTTCAGCCCTTGTGGAGGCGACGGGGGCGCCGGGCGGGCCAAAAAGTGCTACGTGCGCGGAGCCCTCCGGCCCGGCCTCCAGGGACTTCGCAGCCAGAGGAACCTGGATCTCTCCCGAGTCCCCCTCACAGCTCTGGCAGCTCCGGAACCTGCACCCCGGTTGCCCAGCCCCAGGACGCGCCTGCTGCCCGCAGGGGGCGGTGAAAGGGTGGGCGGATGGCGGGGCAGTGGGAGGCGGGGCCCAGTCGGAGAGCGGGGCGGATTTGGGCGGGTGAGGTGAGTCTCCAGTCGCCGGAGGCAGAGGCTGGGCCCCACTGCTCGGAGACCCCATGTTTGGGGAGCCCAGAGCGTTCCCGGCAGGGCCCTGGGGCCCGGGGGACGGCCCGCCATGCCAATCAGGAGGGGGCGCGTTTTCCCTTCCCAGGCAGAAAGGCGTCCTCCCTCTCCTCCTCCCCCCAGCGCAGAATCCTCCCCACACCTCCCTCGGCCCCGCAGGGGAAATCGGCCTGCCCCTACGGAAATCCCGTTTCTTTATACACCCGGTCCTGGCTGGGCGGTGTCTTCCCCGTGGAAGAGAGGGTCCGGGAGGTCCGTGGGGCGGAACAGTCCGAGGGCTTCGGGAGTCAGCCCGGGTGGATTTGTTTCGTGGCTCTCGTTGCTGGCTGGGACGGCCGTGTGCCCGTGTTGTTCCGGAGATCGAGGCCAACGGATGCCGTACTCTGTCCTCGCCGGGTGCTCAGTGAGGACCCACAGCTGGGCAGGGACCCTGGGAGGCCCCTGAGCAAGACTTGGAGGGACGCCCTTGTGCCCCCTGAGCACGTGGGGAAGGCGCTGTCCTGGGCCCTGCACCGCTCTGTGTGTTCATTGCACGAGTGTGGTAAGCACCTACTATGTGCACATGGCCGAGCCAAGCGCAGGGAACGGTAAACCAAGGGAGAACGGCCTTCCCGTGGGGAGCAGTGCAGAGGCTGGCGGGGGCGGGTGGTGGGGAGAGCTCAGGTTTCAGCTGAGGTCTAAGGACGGAGGGCAGGGAACCGCCTGAGCCCCACCTGGGAGGGGGAGCTCGGTGCCGGAGAGCAGTGCCAGGACCTGCGATGGGAGAGGTGTGCAGCCCCGAGGGGTCACTGATGAGGCAGACGGGTCAGTTGGGTTGACACTCAGAGGGTCCTCAGGGGCAGACGCTGAGACGGGGTTTGGGGTTTGGGGTGCAGAGTGAGTACTGGTGATCAGCACCTGGGAAGGGGTGGGGAGGGTGCAGGGCCGGGCAGGGACTGTAGGGGCGGCCTGCGTTGGGCTTGGCTGGCACAGCCTTTGTGGCTTGCTTGGACCCATATGCAGCCGCCCAGGGACGGGAGACCCTGGTGAGGTGTCTGTGGTCCAGGCCCACCCTGAAGGAGCCGTGGGGCCGACTGCCGACCACGCCTGACAGCACGGCCTTCCAGGTCACCCGCTTCCCTCTAGGCTGGCCTGACCCAGCTCACCTCATTCTCAACCTCACCAGTCAACACCGGTCAACATCAGTCACAGAGCGTCTGAAAGGAGGAATTTTCATTTTCCTTTAAAGTGAAAAGGTAAAAACTGCATTTACTAAACCAGGCCGGTGGGGGCTCTGTGAGCCCCTCTGCACAGGAAGCCTCAGAGACGCTGCATGGTGTTCCCGGGGCATCCTGGCCAAGGTGGGAGAACGCAGCCTCCGTGAGGACCCGCGGGATGCCCTCGGGGGCCGCCTCCTGGTTCTCGTCTCCTCTGAAGTGCAGACGACGCTGGCCCACATCCTTGTCGGGCAGAGGGGCTGCCGACTGGCCCCTGGCCATGGCTCTTGCTGGGAGCCGTGTGGCCTGGGCTTGGACCCACATCCACCTCTTGCTGGCTGCCTGCTCTTGCCAGTGGCTGAGCCTGGCTTCTCCCATGACAGTGGCCGCAGACAGAGGGGACCCGTGCCACCAGGCAAGGTGAGCTCAGGGAACGCTAGCTCTCCTCTCCCTTGGCTCTGAGGGGTTCGGCGGTGCCCTTGGTGTGTCTGGGGGCTTTTGGGAAGTCCCAGGTCTGGGCTCTGGGTCAGGAAGCAGGAGCGAGGAGAGACACTGCACCCGAGCCTCCCCGGCTGTAGGAAATGGGGGCAGAAAAGCTAAGCGGACGGAAGATGCATTGTGCGCAAGCTATAGCAGGCCGGTTCAGGCCCGGTTGCTGCTAGGATGTGATCATTGGCAGGGATGAGATTGACGGGGACGGTCAGCTGGAGAGGACAGGGCACAGCTGGACGAGGGCGGGGACGGCCACAGGCTTCCCACAGGGCGGGAGGGAAAGGCTTCCAGTCCCACTTGTAAGGGCTGCCTGCCACCCTGTAGCCACTGTCTCCTCCCTTGTGGACGGGACGATGGTGGCACCTTGTTATGGTTGGGTTAACATACATATGTTAAGAATGCGTTAACCCCAGCGTGTGGGGAGGACTAGATGGGAGAGGCCCCTAGTGCGGAGGCTCACAGCCTTGCTCGGCCCCTGGGAGCTGTCGCCACCTGCACTGTGCTCCTCCCACAGGTGTCTGGGGGCGAGGTGAGAGTTCTGCCAAAGCCGGAGCCAGGGTTGGACCCCCGGAGCTCGTTGGTCGGCCCCTGGAGGGAGAGTGGTGTGTTCACACCACGGCCCTGGTGGCCCAGCTCTGCCCATCTTCATCCCAGGTGGCAGCTGCTGCCCAGCTCTCTGGCCAGTGCCTCTTAGATGGTGTCACCACCTGCAGAAGAAAACAGAAGTGCTGACTAATATTTGATGAAGGCCTGCTATGCCGGCGGCACCTGATGTGGCAGGTGAAGTCCGGGGGGCAGCAGCCAAGGCTGCCTGTTCCTCAGTGTCCCTGCGCGTGAGACGGGCATAGCTAACTCCTGTGGCCACCTTGAGGGTAAGATGCTTCCTGCAGGTGCTTGGACCAGTATCTGGCACGGGGCAGGTGCTCAGCGAAAGTTCCTTATTAATCCCTGTACCTTTCACTGTTGGAAGTAACTCAGGACATTGGCTTGGTGGTTACACAAGCACTGTGGGAGAAGGTGGTGTATCTGTTCACCCTGGGTCCCAGTGGCTGAGGCAGAGCCAGCCATGCAGGAGGCAGGCGTCCAGTATGTATATTGGATGGAAGGTTGAATTGCATAATAAAATATATTAAAGATTTCCAGAGTGGAGGGGTGAGGAGGTCAACAAACCCTCTCTCCAAAATGTACCTGTAAATCTAAACAAAAGTCAGAAACAACCATGTCAGTGCTTTGGAATTTAACCAAAGGCAAACAGCAAACCAAGGAGTGTTTATTCATCAAAGAGCCACGCGCTGTGGTCCCAGCCACTCAGGAAGCTGAGGCAGGAGGGTCACTGGAGCCCAGGAGCTGGAAGCTGCAGTGAATTACGATGGCACCTGCTCTCCAGCCTGGGTGACAGAGAGAGACCCCATCTCTAAAAAGAATAAAACCCTGGACTTAGGATAAAATCCAAAATTACTTGGCATAACTGAACCAGGAAAATCTCAACTTAAATGGAAAACGAGGCCGGGCACGGTGGCTCACGCCTGTAATCCCAGCACTTTGAGAGGCCGAGGTGGGCGGATCACGAGGTCAGGAGATCGAGACCATCCTGGCTAACATGGTGAAAACCCATCTCCACTAAAAAATTACAAAAAAATTAGCCGGGCGTGGTGGCGGGCGCCTGTAGTCCCAGCTACCTGGGAGGCTGAGGCAGGAGAATGGTGTGAACCCAGGAGGTGGAGCTTGCGGTGAGCCAAGATCGCGCCACTGCACTCCAGCCTGGGTGACAGAGCGAGACTCCGCCTCAAAAAAAAAAAAAAAAAAAAGAATAAAACCCTACACTTTAGGATAAAATCCAAAATTACTTGGCATAAGTGAACCAGGAAAATCTCAGTTGCTGGGCATGGTGGCTCATGCCTGTAATCCCAGCACTTTGGGAGGCTGAGGCAGGCAGATCACCTGAAGTCAGGAGTTTGAGACCAGCCTGACCAATATGGCAAAATCCCATCTCTACTAAAAATACAAAAATTAGCCGGGCATGGTGTCGGGCACCTGTAATCCCAGCTACTTGGGAGGCTGAGGCAGGAGAATCTCTTGAACCTGGGAGGTGGAGGTTGCAGTGAGCTGAGATCACACCATTCCAGCCTGGGCGACAGAGCAAGACTCCATCTCCAAAAAAAATAATAATAATAATACAAAATTAGCCAGGCGTGGTGGTGCATGCCTGTAATCCCAACTACTCAGGAGGCTGAGGCGGGAGAATTGCTTGAAACCTGGAGGTGGAGGTTGCAGTGAGCTGAGATTGCGCCATTGCACTCCAGCCTGGGCAACAAGAGTGAACTCCATCTCAAAAAAACCCCGAAAAAACAAATAAATGGAAAAAAACAGTCAGCAAATGCTAACACTGAGATGGCACAGGTGCTGGGATTTGTAAAAATGCACCAACCTGCAGTTGTAAGCCCCTTACATCAAGCGATGGACAGTGAGCGAGCATTGGACAACATTTAGTGTGCGTTCACGGTGAACATCTCGGCAAAGCAGGAACAGAAAACAACTTCAATCTAAGAAAGAGCTCTGATGAAGTATTTACAGCCAGTGCTGTACTGAGGTGAGAGAATCCTTTTCCCAGGACTGAGAGCAGGACGAGCGCATCCACTCCTACTCCTATTATCAACATTTACCGGCCGGGCGCGGTGGCTCACAACTGTAATCCCAGCACTTTGGGAGGCCAAGGCGGGTGGATCACTGGAAGTCATGAGTTCAAGACCCGCCTGGCCAAGGTGGTGAAACCCCATCTGTACTAAAAAACAAACAAACAAACAAAAAACATGCTAGGTGTGGTGGTGCGTGCCAGTAGTCCCAGCTACTCAGGAGACTTAGGCAGGATTGCTTGAACCCAGGAGGTGGAGGTTGCAGTGAGCCGAGATCATGCCACTGCACTCCAGCCTGGGTGACACAGTGAGACCCTGTCTCAAAAAACAAAAACAATAACAACAACAAAAAAGCCATCTATTGGAAGTCTTAGTCAGTAAAATACAAGAGAAGCAAAGTACAGGCATACAGATTGAAAATGAAGAAATAAACCTCTCCCGATTCCCAGACAACATGATTGTCTATGTAGAAAATCCCAAGGAATCTACAAAAAAGCAAACTCAGTGAATAAGTGGGGTTAGCAAGATGGCAATATACAAAGTCAACATGCAAAAATCCATTGTATTTGACATGATTTGGCTGTGAGTCCCCAACTGCATGTTGAATTGTGATCCCCAGTGTTGGAGGTGGAGCCTGGTGGGAGGTGATTGGGTCATGAGGGTGGTTTCTATTTTCTTTCTTTCTTTTTTTTTTTTTTTTTTGAGACAGAGTCTCGCTTTGTCCCCCAGGCTGGAGTGCAGTGGCCCGATTTCAGCTCACTGCAACCTCCGCGTCCTGGGTTCAAGCAATTCTCCTGCCTCAGCCTCCCGAGTAGCTGGGACTATAGGCGCCCGCCACCATGCCTGGCTAATTTTTTTTTTTTTTTGTATTTTTAGTGGAGACGGGGTTTCACCATATTGGCCAGGCTGGTCTCAAACTCCTGACCTTGTGATCCGCCCGCCTCGGCCTCCCAAAGTGCTGGGGTGTCAGGCGTGAGCCACTGCGCCCGGCCTCATGTTGGTGGTTTCTAATGGTTTGGCACCATTCCCGAGTGCTGTCTGGTTATAGAGTTCTCACGAGACCTGGTGGTTTGAAAGTGTGTAGCAACTCCCCCTTCACTCTCTTCCTGCTGCCACGTGAAGATGTGCTTGCTTCCCCTTTGCCTTTCACCATGATTGTAAGTTCCCTGAGGCCTCCTGTACAGCCTGCAGAACTGTGAGTCAATTAAACCTCTTTTCTTTATAAATTACCCAGTCTTAGGTAGTTCTTTATAGCAGTGCAAGGACAAACTAATACAGTATTTCTACCTGCAATGTACAGTTAGAATCAGAAATTTAAAAAAATGAAATGTTAATGAAAGTATCAAGACCCAGGCAAACGGAGAGACATGCTGTGTTCCTGGGTTTTGGACTCAACAGTAGAGATACTGATTTTTGCCATGTTGATTTATACATTAAATGCAATTCCAGTACAAATCTCAGCCACATTTTCTGAAGATATAGACAAGCAGTTCCCACAATTAAAATGGAAAGATGAACTAGAACAACTACAACAATTTTGGAAAATAATGATACAGAGGCCGGGTGCGGAGGCTCACGCCTATAATCCCAGCACTTTGGGAGGCCGAGGCAGGCGGATCACTTGAGGTCAGGAGTTCAAGACCAGCCTGGCCAACATGGTGAAACCCCGTCTCTACAAAAAATACAAAAATTAGCCAGGCCTGGTGGTGCACACCTGTAATCCCAGCTACTCAGGAGGCTGAGGCAGAAGAATTGCTTGAACCTGGAAGGTGGAGGTTGCGGTGAGCCAAGATCACACCACTGCACTCCAGCCTGGGTGACAGAGCGAGACTCTATCTCAAAGATAATGATATAGAGAAATTATGCTACCTCAATAATTTTTGTTGAGGTAAAATTCCCATATCATAAAATTAAGCATTTTAAAATATGCAATTCAGTAGCATCATGGAACACTCGCAATGCAGTGCACCCATCACCTCTGACTAGTTCCAAAACATTTCATCTCCCCAAAAGGAAACTACACCCATTAAACAGTCTCTTCCCCTGTCCCCGTCCCCAGCCCCTGGCAACCACTAATATGCTTTCTGTGTCTCTGAATTTACCTATTCTGAACACATCATACAAATGGAATCATACGAGTTGTGCCTTTTGTTTCTGGTTTCTTCACCCACTTTTCTAGATTCATTTTTTGTGGCTGAATAGCATTCCTTTGTATGGATAGACCACATTTCTCTCTCCATCCATTTATGGACGTCAGTTGTTTCCACCTTTTGGATATTATAAATAGTGCTGTTGCAAACATTCCATGTACAAGTTTTTGTTTGAATACCTGTTTTCAACTCTTTTGGGTCTGTACTTAGGAGTGGAATTGCTGGCTCACACATCGCTGTCTATGTTTAACTTACTGAGGAACTGCCAGACTGTTTTCCGCAGTGGCTGGAACATTTTATGTTGCTACCAACAATGGAAGAGGCTTCCCATTTTTCCACATTTTTGCCAACCTTGATATTTTTCATATTTCTGATTATAGCCACCTCAGAGAGTGTGAAGTGGTGTCTTACTGTGGTTTTGATTTGCATTTTCCTAATGACTAATGATATTGAGTGTCTTTGTATTGTTGAGTTGTAAGAGTCCTTTGTATATTCGGAATGCTGGACCCTTATCTGCTGTGATTCACAAATATTTTCCCCCATTCTATAGATTCTCTTTTCATTCTCTTGACAGTGTCCTTTGATGCTCAAAAGTTTTTAATTTTGGCAAAGTCCAGTTACCTACCTTTTCTTACTTTGCTTGTGGTTTTAGTGTCTTATCTAAGAAGGTCATGAACAATTTACCTATTTTTCTTTTTTTTTTTCGAGACACAGTCTTCCTCTGTTGCCCAGGCTGGAGAGCAATGGCACATTCTCGGCTCACTGCAGCCTTGACCTCCAACGCTCAAGGGATCCTTCCATCTCAGCCTCCCTGGTAGCTGGGACTACAGGGGCACACAACCACTCTCAGCTAATTTCTTACTTTTTTGTAGAGATGTGGTCTTTCTGTGTTGCCCAAGCTGGTCTTGAACTCCTGGGCTCAAGTGATCCTCCCATCTTAGCCTCCCAAACAGCTGGGGGATTATAGGCATGAGCCACTGTGTCCAGCCTACACCTATGGTTTCTTCAAATAGTAGTATATTTTTATTAGATCACATATTGATATATAGGTGAGGGAAGAGCCCGGCTTCATTATATTGATTGACAGGTGAGGGAGGAGCCGGCTTCATGATATTGATAGACAGGTGAGGGAAGAGCCGGCTTCATGATATTGATAGACAGGTGAGGGAAGAGCCGGCTTCATGATATTGATAGACAGGTGAGGGAAGAGCCGGCTTCATGATATTGATAGACAGGTGAGGGAAGAGCCGGCTTCATCATATTGATAGACGGGTGAGGGAAGAGGTGGTTTCATTGTATTGATAGACGGGTGAGGGAAGAGGTGGTTTCATGATATTGATAGACAGATGAGGGAAGAGCCGGCTTCATGATATTGATTGACAGGTGAGGGAAGAGCGGGTTTCATTATATTGCAGGTGGATATGCAGATTTTCTAACGTCATTTGTTGAAAAGACTATTCTTTCCATATACGACCTCATTTTATTTTATTTTACTTTTTATTTTATTTTATATTTTTGAGATGGAGTCTCACTCTGTTGCCCAGGCTGGAGTGCGGTGGTGCAATCTTGGCTCACTGCATCCTCCTGGGTTCAAGCGATTCTCGTGCCTCAGCCTCCCGAGTAGTTGGGATTACAGGGATGTACCACCACGCCCCGCTAATTTTTGTAGTTTTAGTAGAGACGGGGTTTCACCATGTTGGCCAGCCTGGTCTCGAACTCCTGGGCTCAGGGATCTGCCCGCCTCAGGCTCCCGAAGTGCTGGGATTAATGGCGTGAGCCACTGCACCCGGCCATGATCTTATTTTAGAAATTGCTACAAAATCGCAATATTGAACACAGTGTGCGATAACAAGATGTCTTAGAAAAACAAAAATAACAGAATAAAACAAAACAAGACAGTGAGGGCCGGGAGTGGTGGCTCACACCTGTAATCCCAGCACTTTGGGAGGCCAAGGCGGGTGGATCACGAGGTCAGGAGATTGAGACCATCCTGCCCAACATGGTGAAACCCCGTCTCTACTAAAAATACAAAAATTAGCTGGGCATGGTGGCGTGTGCCTGTAATCCCAGCTACTTGGGAGGCTGAGGCGGGAGAATCGCTTGAACCCAGGAGGCGGAGGTTGCAGTGAGCTGAGATCGTGCCACTGCACTCCAGCCTGGCGACATAGTGAGACTCTGTCTCAAAAAAAAAAAAAAAAAAAAAAAACAAGACAGTGAGGTCTTGGTGAGGAGACAGATACAGACATCAGTGTAACAGGATGGAGTCCAGAGACAGCCTCACACAAATGTGACCAAATGTTCTCGGAGAAAGGCACTACAGTGATTTGACAGAGCAAGTATCATCTTTTCTGCCGGGCACAGTGGCTCACGCATGCAATCCCAGCGCTTTGGGAGACTGAGGCGGGCGGATCACTTGAGCCCAGGGGTTAGAGACCAGCAGGGGCAACATGGTGAGAACTTGTCTCTACAAAAAATAGCTGGGCTTCGTGGCACGTGCCTACAGTCCCGGCTACTCAGGAAGCTGTGGTGGGAGGATCGCTTGAGCCCGAGAGGCAGAGGTTGCAGTGAGCTGAGATCATGCCACTGCACTCCACCCTGGGCAACAGAGTGAGTCCTTGTTTCAAAAAAAAAGAGTATAATCTTTTCAACAAATGGTGCTGGAAGAATTTGACATTCACATGCAAAAAAAAAAAAAAAACAAAACAACAACAACAAAAAACAACCAACCAAACAAAAACCTTGACCTAAATCTCACATATTATACAAAGATTAACTATACAAATGGATAATGTATCTAAATATAAAATGTAAACTATAAAACATCTAGAAGAAAGTACAAGAGATAATCTTTGTGACCTGAGCAGCCAATATTAAAAGCATGATCCACTTAAGAAAAATATGGATAAACTGGGCTTCACTGAAATAAAAAACTTGTATTGTGAATGATCCTGTTAAGAGATTAGAAAGACAAGCCACAGACTTGGAGAAAATATGTGCAAGTCACAGAACTGACAAAGGACTTGTATCCACAATACATAGAAAACTCTCAAGACTCAACACCAAAAAATAAAAATAAACAATTCAATTGAAAACTTGGCCAAGGGGCTGGGCGCCGTGGCTCACGCCTGTAATCCCAGCACTTTGGGAGGCCTAGGCGGGCGGATCAGGAGGTCAGGAATTCGAAACCAGCCTGACCAACATGGCGAAACCCTGTCTCTACAAAAAAATACAAAATTTAGCTGGGCATGATGGTGCGTGCCTGTAGTCCCATCTACTCGGGGGGCTGAGGCAGGAGAATCACTTGAACCTGGGAGGCAGAGGTTGCAGTGAGCCGAGATTGCACCACTGCACTCCAGCCTGGACAACAGAGTGAGACTCCATCTCAAAAAAAAAAAAAAAAAAGTCAAGGATTTGAATAGACATTTCTGCAAAAAAGACATGCAAATGGCTAAAAGGTACATGAAAAGATCCATAGGGTTAGTCATTAGGGAAATGCAAATCCAAACCCCAATGAGACAACACTTCACACCCAGCAGAGCTCTGATAAAAAGACACACAATAATAAAAGCAGAGGAATGGAAACCCTGCTACACAGCTGCTGGGAATGTGAAATAGTGTAACCACTTTGGAAAACATTTTGGCATTTCCTCAAAAGGTTAAATATAGTCACAGGATTTTGCTCTTCAATATCTACCCGGGATAAATGAAAACGTGTCCACACACAAAAAACTTGTACCACCATAGAGCATTATTCATGTTAGCTAAAAAGTGGAAACAGGCTGGGCGCGGTGGCTCATGCCTGTAATCCCAGCACTTTGGGAGGCCGAGGTGGGCGGATCACCTGAGGTCAGGAGTTCGAGACCAGCCTGGCTAACATGGCGAAACCCTGTCTCTACTAAAAATACAAAAATTAGTCGAGTGTGGTAGCAGGTGCCTGTAATCCCAGCTACTTGGGAGGCTGAGGCAGGAGAATCACTTGAACCCGGGAGGCAGAGGTTGCAGTGAGCCGAGATTGCACCACTGCACTCTAGCCTGGACCACAGAGCAAGACTCTGTCTCAAAAAAAAGTGGAAACAACCCAAATGTCCATCAACTGATGAATGATGAACAAAATGTGGCCCGTCCCTACAGCAGAGGATTGTTTGGCAATAAGAAAGAAGAAAGCACTGACGCAGGCTGCGACGCAGAGAAACCAAACCCAGAAGCAGCCAGTCAGCAAAGACCACACACTGCGCACGGTTCCATTCATACAAAATGCCCAGAACAGGCAAATGCATGGAGCCAGAAGGCAGATGAGTGGTTGCCCAGGGCTTGGTTAGAGGTGGAGGAGGAATGGGGACTGATTACTAAATGGTACAAGGTTTCTTTTCGGGGTGATGAAATGTTCTAAAATTAGATTATGGTGATGGTTGCTCGGCTTTGTAAATATGCTAAGAGCCATTGCATCATGCACTTTAAATGGGCGAATATTATGGCATGTAAATGATATCTCAATAAAGCTGTTTTAAAAAAAGGATAAAAGGATGGGTGCAGTGGTTCACGCCTATAATCCCAGCACTTTGGGAGGCCGAGGCAGGCGGATCACCTGAGGTCAGGAGTTCGAGACCAGCCTGGGCAACATGGAGAAACCCTGTCTCTATTAAAAAAAAAAAAAAAAAAATTAGCCAGGGTGGTGGTGCATGCCTGTAATCCCAGCTACTCAGGAGGCTGAGGCAGGAGAATCGCTTCAACCTGGGAGGCAGAGGTTACAGTGAGCCGAGATCGCACCACTGCACTCCAGCCTGGGCGACGAGAGCAAAACTCCATCTCAAAAAAAAAAAAAAAAAAAAAAAAAGGATAAAAGACTTAATGGGAGCTTCACCAAAGACCGTGTACTAACTAGCCCATGAAATGTTCTTCAGCAACATTAGGGAAATGCAAATTAAAAGCACCATGAGAGGCCACCTATGAGAGCAGCTGAAAAAAAAAAAAAAATTTCCAAACACCAAGGACACCAAGTGCTGCAGCGGCCGTGAGGCTCCGGGAACTCCCCTGGGGGTGCAGACGGCGCGGGTTTCCCTCCCGAAGCCAGGTCGGCAGCTTCTGGTGAAGGGAAACCTGCGCCTGACGTATGACCCAGCAATTCCGCTTCTGAGCATTTATCCAAGACAAATTCAAACAGGTTTACGTTAAAGGACGGTACACAGATGTTTATGGGAGCTCTATTCATAGCTGCCCAACCTGGAAACATTGCAGGTGTTCTTCTGCGGGTGAACAGAGACTGTGGTGTGTCGTGTACGAGATACTGCTGAGTGATAGAAGGAACGAGCCGTCGATCCGTGAAACCCCCTGGGTGGGTGTCCACAGCGATGTGCCAAGTCAGAAAAGCCAGACCTCAACGCAACCCGGTGCGTCTACGTCCTGGGCCTCATCTGACATTCTTAGAACAAATGGGGTTTCCAGGGGGAAGAGGATGGGTGACCGCAAACGGTATGTCTGGGGAGATTTCCGAGTCGTGGGATGTCCTGCTTCCTGAGTGCGGCGGTGGCAATACGTGTGTGTGAATATTCACAGAGTCGTACATCTTCCAAAAAAGTCAACTTACTGTGTGACAATTCAAAAAAATAATGACAGATAAAACAATGATTTAAGACGCACAGCCATCATAGTAAACACTGATCCATGAATCATCCACGAATGCTAAGTCCAGAGATGGATTCTGATGAGGGACAGGACATTTACCTAACCCAAAGTGAGACAGGACTACGACAGGGTGGCCGCAGGAGAACAGATGATTCCAGGTAGCAGTTTCATGGCTATCAAAAGAGAGCTGTTGAAAAAGCTGCAGAGGCCAGGGGGTGACCAGACACTGAAGACCAGGACATGGGCCAAGCTGGCCGAGACGACTGGACCCACTGGGCCGACCTGGGCCGAGACGACTGGACCCACTGGGCTGAGCTGGGCCGAGACGACTGGACCCACTGGGCCGAGCTGGGCCAAGAGGACTGGACCCACTGGGCCACGCTGAGCCGAGACAACTGGACCCACTGGGCCACGCTGGCCGAGACGACTGGACCCACTGGGCCGAGCTGAGCCGAGACGACTGGACCCACTGGGCCGAGCTGGACAAGATGACTGGACCCACTGGGCCACGCTGGCCGAGACGACTGGACCCACTGGGCCGAGCTGGGCCGAGACTACTGGACCCACTGGGCCGAGCTGGACAAGATGACTGGACCCACTGGGCCACGCTGGCCGAGACGACTGGACCCACATGGCAGCGGACTTGACCTGGGTTTCACCGGTGACCTAATTATATGCTCATCAACACACAAATCACACTCGGCAGTGCCATGACAGTTCCAGGAACACACATATTTGGTGTAAAAAAGGGTGGCACCACAGTTCCTAGAAATCTTCACCTTTTTCCAGAAATCTTTATGAATATTCCACTCCTTGGTTAAAGAAACCCATTAAAGGTAGGGGCCCCAAACCCTGCCTCACGACTCACTTTCTTGAGAACACCCATACTCCCCTTTCTTCTTTGACTTTTTTTTCTATTTGCTTGTTTATTTTTATGAGGCAGGGTCTCACTATGTTGCCCAGGCTGATCTCGAACTCCTGCCTCAGCCTCCCAATGTGTTAGGATTACAGGCGTGAGCCTTCACACCCAGCCACACTCTGCTTTCTGGAGGGTGTACTTTTTGCTTTGCAATAAATCTCTACTTTCATTATTTTTTAACTCATCCTTGAATTCGTTTTGTGATGGTGTTAAGAGGCAGGACACTGGCCTGGGTCAAGGTCCCATTCGCATTTGGGGACCTCCCCTGGCCACCAGTATCAAAAGTACTTCCTTGTTAATTTTCAGGGTTTTTTTTGAGACAGATTCTCACTCACTCTGTCACCCAGGCTGGAGTGCAGTGGCATGATCTTGGCTACTGCAACCTCTGCCTCCCGGGATCCAGCGATTCTCGTGACTCAGCCTCCTGAGTAGCTGGGAATACCGGCATGTGCCACCATACCTGGCTAATTTTTGAATTTTTAGTAGGGATGGGGTTTCACCATTTTGGCCGGGCTGGTCTTGAACTCCTGGGCTCAAGTGATCCACCCGCCTTGGCCTCCCAAAGTGCTGGGATTACAGGTGTCAGCCACCGTGCCCGGCTTACTTATCAGTTACAAAGGGCAAAGTGGTAACTTTACTGTGAGAAGCTTGTGGATGCCAGTTTAACCAGAGGATCAAAGGTACCGTTGCCGCTGGTGGGCAGCCAGCGTCCCGAGTGCTGGGAAGGATGCCTGGCTCTTGGTGCCAATCTGTTCATGCAGAAATGTCAGGAACGCTCAATGCGGGGACAATCTACAAAACAACCGGTTTGCATTCTTCAAAAGTTTCAGTGTCATAAAAGATTTTTAAAAAGACAGGCCCAATGTATATACCGTGAAAATAGTAAAACAATAAAATATAAAAGTAAAAAGACTGAAGTAACCTTGTCTTTGTATTGATGTGGAGTCAACCGCTGCTTCCAGTTGCGGGGGAGTAGCTGCTGCCAGGTACGTCTCCCTCCAGAAACGACTCTGAGACCAGACAAAATTCGTGCGCTGCTCTCTTCAGGCAGTGGGGTGAGGACAGCACAAGACCGAGAGGGTGCTTGGAGGCGCCCACACTCCCGGCTCTCCTTGGCCATAACCCCACAAGCAGGGCTCCAGGCAGAGCACGGCAGTCCCCCTGGGATGAGAGGCAGAGACTGGAGTGAGGGGCTTAGGTGTGCATGTTGCTGGTGGGGAGTGCTTGGGACCTCTGCAAGCCTGTGGCTGAGGGTGAGGAGGTGCCGGAGGCTCACCAGAGAGCAGTGACTATAGGCCCTGTGCTGTTATCCGTCACTGCATAACCAATCAACACCGATTTAGTAGCTTTAAAAAACATGCATTTATTCTCAGTTTTGGGGGGTCAGGAGCCCACACACAATTCCGCTGGGTGGCTCGGGGTTTCAAGAGTGCCACCAAGGTGTTGGTATTTCTTTCTGAAGCTTGAGGTCCTCTTTGAAGGCCACGTGGTTGTTGGCAGAATTCAGTTCCTTGTGGCTGTAGGACTGAGGTCCCTGCTTTCTTGTTGGCTGGCAGCCTGGGGCCACTCACTGGTTCCCTGATACGAGGCCCCTCCCATGCCTTCCAACAGCCATATCTTCACAGACAGCAGGGGTGTCTTGCTGCTCCGTCCCCCAGGACAGAGCCTGGAATGATGCAGCCAATCACAGAGTGACTTATCACCTTTCTGTGTTCTATGGGCTGGACACAAACCGTAGTGTTTCTCGGAGGAAAGTACTCAAGGCTGCGACTCACCAGGGATTACCTGAGGTTGTATCCACCCAGGTTAGAGCAGAACAAAGATAGTAGAGGACAAGCTGTGTCGGGCAGTATTTTGGCATTTGGCATTTGGACCTGGCCAGAGTGGAGAGACTTGGGCGGCATTGGCATTTGGCATTTGGACCTGGCTAGAGTGGAGAGACCTTACTTTTTTTTTTTTTTTTTGAGGAGAAAGGACTACAATGTACAATAATGCCTACTCCACACTCACCTAACGAAAGTTCAGACCAAGCCCCACAGAGATCTGCAGGGGAGACTGAGATTGAGGGTTGAGTCTTACCAAGGTAGCAGGACTTGGGAAACACTTTGGGCTTTCGACATCGACACTGACAAAGCATGAGAACAAGTCCACAGGGCCCAGCAGTGAACCAACCTGCAAAGCAAACACCGACAGCTTCAGAGGAGGAAGCAGAGTAGACTCTCCACATGATGTTCAGTATTCAGTCAAAAATCACTAGACACACGAAGAAACAGGACAATGCAACCCACGCTCAAGGGGTAAAAGCCAATTATCAATTGATTTATTTCCAGCTGCAAATTCACCCTTTATTGCCTTCCTCAAAAAAGTGAATCTCAGCTGGGTGCAGTGGTTCGCGTCTGTAATCCCAGGGCTTTGGGAGACGAAGGCGGGTGGATCACTTGAGCCCATGAGTTGGAGACCAGCCTAGGCAACATGGCAAGACCCTATCTCTATAAAAAATACAAAAATTAGCTGGGCGTGGTGGTGTGTACCTGTAGTCCCAAATACTTGGGAGGCTGAGGTGGGAGGATCGCTTGAGCCTGGGAGGCCGAAGCTGTGGTGAACCATGATTGTGCCACTACTCTACAGCCTGGGGGACAGAGTGAGACCCTGTCTCAGAAAAAAAGAAAAGAAAAAAAATGAATCTGCCCAGTGTAAAGGAGAAATGCTTAAAGTAATTCTGTCCACTGCTGTGGAGCAGGTATTGAAGGTTAAATTTCGAGCCAAAAGACAATAAACTAGTGGTTGGCATAATGCACCTATCATGTGGCTGAAACATCCTGGGGTGTGTACTGAGCAGGTACACCCGCACAAGAGAGACGCACACAAGTGTTCGTAGCAGCTTTATTTGTAGTCGTTCAGAACTGGAAGTGGAATGCAGTACAGTGATGAAAATGAACAAATGCCTGCTGCACGGGACGGCATGGAGGCATCTCACAGACACGGTCGTGTGTGAAAGAAGCCACACAAAAGGATACACACTGTGCATTGTGTTCCCTTTATATAAAGTTTAAAAACAGGCAAACGTGATCTGTGCTGTCAGAAGTCACCTTTACCGAGGGGCAGGAGGGAATGTTGTTTCTTGGTCTGGGTGTGTTTTCCTGGTGATAACTCATCAGGCACATTTGCAGTGTGTCACTTTTCTCTATGTATGCTCAAAGTCACGTCTTTAAAAAGGCAGACGTCCCCTCTGTGTTCTCCCTGCCCTTCCTCCTGCCCTGGCCCAGCTGCTCGGTTCCTGGCCGTGTGGGGAGGTCCCTCCAGGGGTGGGGAGGCTCTGAATCTCTGTGGGAGGCGATGGTGGGCGGCAGCCCCTGGGAGGCTCATCCCCAGGGTGCAGGCAGGGTCCTGTTATTCCCTTCATAAGATTCCCAGCTGCCTAATTGAGGGAAGGGCTATTCAAAGAGGTGAAAACAGGGCCTCCAGAGCTGCTAATGAACTTCAGGTTCCCCAGGGCAATTTCCCACCTTGAGAGATCCCCCTTGAACCTGGTGCCGGCTACATAGGAGAGGAGATGGGACCTTGGGTGGGGCCCAGGAAGGGAGCTCTGCTTTAGTGGGCCCTTGAGGGGGCCCTGACCACAGACACTGGACCCCCCATTCTCTCCAGACCTGACCACAGACACTGGACCCCCCATTCTCTCCAGACCTGACCACAGACACTGGACCCCCCATTCTCTCCAGACCTGACCACAGACGTTGGACCCCCCATTCTCTCTGGACCAGCTGCAGAATGAGACACAATTGATGGCCCCCTCTTCCTCCAGGGCCCAGAGGAGGCAGCTGTAGGGTCAATGGTCTGCAGACCCTACCCAGGCTCTCCCCTCTGCCTCTGGGCACTGGAGGGCACAGCGCCCCTGTGCTGGCACCAGGGGCTGCCCTTCTTGGGTCCAAGAGGTGACCCCACCCTGGTCGGTGACCCCGGCCTCCTGTTTAGCCTCCCAGCCTGCAATGGGCTGTAATGGCCAGGGGCCGGGAGGGGCTAGCGGGGACTGCAGCTGGAAGCCCAGAAGCCCAGAAAGTGCTGCTTGCGGCAGGAGCACGTGCTGTCTGCTCCCCACCAGGGTGGGTGCTGGGCTCCCGGGCAGCAGGGCCTGGAGGGAGGGCATCCTGCTGCTGCTGCCTCTCACCATGGCAACGCTCCCTGCTGGGGCCTGCAGGTCGGGGTGGCAGGCCAGGCCGCCCTTCCCCCTGGCGGAGGGGCTGCATCCCTCCTGGGCCTCCCTGGTAGACTCAGGTCTGCCTCAGGCACACCCAGATACCGGGTTGGAGGGTGGGCTGTCGGGGCCGTGGCTGGCCCTGGTCTGTGGCCTGACCTGCAGGCATGTTTGCCCGCTGCCAGCCCAGCCCCAGCTTCTCTGATCTGGGGGGACATGAGCTGCTCCTCTAAGGGAGGCTCCAGAGGCAGGAGCTCCTCTGCTGCCATGGAGACTGTTTAATTCGCTGCCTCAAGGGCATGCTCAGTCCCCTGGGAGCCAGCCCCAAGGCATGGCCGCGGGGGTGGGCCTTGTCCTGGTGGCCGTCCAGGGGGCCCAGGTGGGCCAGCAGACGAGATGCTCCGTGACCGGAAAATGAATCCACACCTGCTCTGGGGCCAGGCCAGGGCTGAGGTCATCCTGTGACACTGGGGGCCAGAGAGCGGCCTTGGCCTTGCTCCCCACCCTGCCTCCAAGCCCCTGTCTGCCTCTGGGCTGCCAGCCTCCACCTGCCTGCGACGGTGGCCCCGGGGTGATGGCCTGGCTGTGCCCCATGCACAGGTGGTTCGTTAGGCACTCGGCGGCTATTATTAACCCAGCAGTGACGTCACCGGCAGCCAATGGGAGGCAGGTTTATTTCCAGGGCTGACAGCTTGATAGCGGTTAATTTTAGCTGCATCTTCTTTCCCGAGGCTCGTGAAACCCTAGCCAGCCAAAGAAGGGGTTGCCTGTGTCTCCCCAAACAGCTCAGGGATGGGTCCTGGGGGCTCTGGGAGGCGGCAAGGAGGGGCGGGGCCTGGGGGCTCTGGGAGGGGTCGAGGAGGGGCGGGGCCTGCCCCCAGGGAAGCCCTGATTGGCTGGTGCCCTCTTGACTCGCCATTTCCCCTCCCCCCACCCCCCCCAGGTTGTTGGTGAGGACGGCACTGTGACCAGGGACTCAGATGCAAGAAGAGGGGCCCAAGTCCTGACCTGGGGGAGGGCAGGGAAAGCACAGGCCACAGGCCCCCTTACTTGCTGCGTGTCCTTGGACAGGAATCTTGGCCTTTCTGTGCCCAGTTGCCTCACAGGTTCTCAAGGTCCTCCAGCCAGCCTTGTGGGGCCTACCTTGTAGCCTCTGTCCCCGCAGCCCCCATCCCCGCACACTGTGCACGTGCACGGCCCCCTGTCCCCCGTCCCCCACACTGTGAACTCACACAGCTGGGCGACTTGGCTGTGACTAATTAGGATGCTTGGTACTTGAAGTCATTTGGTGCTACCCGGCCATTGACAAGTGTTTTGCCTGCTTGTTGTGCTATGACAGAATACCTGAGACTGGGTAATTATACATTACTTAAATTTAAACATTTATAAAGTTTGCTTTATAAATTTATAAATTATTATAAGTAAACAGAAGTTTATTTCTCAGTCTGGAGGCCAGGAAGTCCAGGATCAAGGTGCTGCCATCTGGTAGGGCCTTCTTGCTGTGTCCTCACATGGGAGAAGGCGGAAGAGCAAGAGAGAACCCACTGCCATGAGTCCTGTTTATAGGGCACAAATCCATTCGGAAGGGCAAACCCTTTATGACCCAGACTCCTTCCCGAAAGCGCCAGCCCCCAACACTGTTGCATTGGGGATTAAGTTACAACTCGTGCACTTTGGGGACGTGGTCAGGCCACTGCCGTTATTCAGCAGTTAGCATTCCGTAGTTAGTAGCCATTCAGTCCTGTTCAGTCTCCGCGGTGGCTCGGAACCATCAGTGTGTTAGTGTTTAGCCTTGTGACCGCAGCCCCGTTAGCTGTGTGTTCCAAGTGTCTGCGGAACTGAGTCGGTGGCTCCCAGGACCCCGAGGGGCCACACCGTGGACCAAACGTGTCCTGGCGCCTGGGAGACCCTTTGGAGCAGCCACCGACACCCTTGCCCAGAGTCAGCACACAGGTGCTTTGGGGAGGTTGCCACATTCCACTCTCAGGGGCCACTCCTGTGGGTGGCAAGGCCCCACGGCACATGTGAGCCCCTGGCACTGCTATGGGTGAGCCGGGAGCCGAGGGGGAAGGGGTGTCTGGAAAAGGTAGCCCAGAGTCCTGGTGATCCCTTGGGGGAGTGGGGTGGGCATCCCCGGGACCCCGGCCTGGGCCACTCGAGCACCTGCAGCAAGCCCACTTCCAAATCCCTGCCTAACCTTCAGGCTGCAGGGGAGGCGTTAAATATAGAGACCAGCTGGGTGGGGTGGGGCGGGCCTTGCTTTCTTGCCAGGCGGTTATTTTTATTCCTGGCTCCTGTTTGACGGCATCGGCAGCACTCGGAAGTGCCGGGGCACCTAGCAGGCCCTCCCTGCCTCCTCTCCTGCCTGTGGCCCAGGAGCCCAAGTCCCTGGACTCCTATGGGGCAGACGCAGCCACAGACCAGGGTCCTCCTGAGAGGCCCTCTCCACAGGCTGGGGAGAACTGTTTGGCCCCGACCCTGGGCCCCCACCTTTCCTTCCTCCTCACACCTGCCAGCAGGCCAGGTAGGGGTCCAGTCGCTGGGGATCCCCATGGATTTGCCCAGTCGCAGCTGCTGGGCCCGACCCGGGGCCTCCATGTCAACACCCAGTGGGAACTCAGGGCTGAGAGGACAGGTGCCAGGGCTCTGCCCCCACTCAGCACACACCTCCCGAGACCCCGCTGGCAGGAAGATCCGAGTGCGTGGGGGTGGGGGGGCAGCGTGGGAGGGAAGACCTGAATACCTGGGTGAGACGACAGGATCTTGGGGTCTGGAGAAAGCCCCTAACCTTGGTCTTCACACAACACATGGCTGCCACATCCCCTTCCTCACAACCCACGTTGGTCATTACCCGCGTGTGCCAGGACCTCAGGGACTCCCCACTTCCTACAGAGCGTGGCCCGGTCTTTGGCTTGGCATCCTGACCCCATATGAGCATCAGCTACAAGGCGCTGAGGTGCAGCGGGGTGGGGCGCTGGGCGGGGGGGCCTGGGTCTGTCTGGATCTGACTCGCCCTTGGCTGGCGCTGTTTCCCAGCAGCAGCCGGAGGTCGGCGCACCCGGAGGGGAGGGTCCCTGGAAGATGTCAGTGGGTCTGGGAGCGGGCTTCCGGCGTTCCCTGCACCGTGGGAGACCAGCCTCTCAGGGGGAGGGTGGTTCTGCGCTGGATCCTCGGGGCCTGTCATGGTGCGCCCAGGAGGGCAGGCACGTGAGGACAGGGACTGGAAACCAGCAGATTTCCACCCTGAGGCCTGCACCCCCGGGCCTCATTAGGGAGAGCCCCTCAGAGCCGGGCTTCGTTGGTTCTGGGGCGTCCCCCATGAGCAGGGCCGGGGAGGGGCCGGTAGACCCAGGCTCGTCTCCCAGGCTGCAGCCCACCTGCTCCCCTCCCCCGCCTGCCGGCTCCGGTCCTCGGCGTCTGCCCTGTCCCCGGGGACCGCTTTTCGCGGCTCAAGCGTGTTCCTGCCCTGAGCCGGCTCTCGCCCCGTCTCCCGGGCCCGCCGCGCTCTCCCCGCGCCGTCTCCGTCCCGGTCCCTCCCTCCCGCCGCCTCCCTGCCCTGCCCCCCGCCCCGCCCCCGCCCGCGGCGCGTTTCTCCCCCGCCTCCCGCGTCCGTCTTTGCAGCCCGCGCCTCCCGCATCGCCTCGCGTCCCCGTGGCGCCCGCCCGCGCGCGTCCGCGCCCCGCCCCCTCCCGCGCGGTTCCGCATTGGCGTGCTGCAGGGCGCGGTGCACTGCGCCGCCACCGTCAATAGGTGGACCCCCTCCCGGAGATAAAACCGCCGGCGCCGGCGCCGCCAGTCCCTCTGGCTGAGACCTCGGCTCCGGGTAAGGACGCTCGGCCCCCGGGCCTCCGCCCCCGCCCCCGTCTTCCGAAGAGGGACCCCCGGGGCCGGTCCTGGGGGGCAGAGGGTGGCCGGGCCCCGCACCCGCCCCCGCGCGCGCCCGGAGTCCGGCTTCCGGGGGTCCCCGCGTCGGCCGGGCTGGGCCCGGGGTGGGGGGCGGCGCGGGGCGGCGGGGCCGGGTCCTGGGCGGCGATCGCCCCGTAGCCGTGACCTTGGGGCCGCGGGGACCCTGCGGGCCGGGGGCTGATGGGGGTCGGGCTTCGGGGCGCTGGGCCAGAGGACGCTGAGGGAGGTGGTGAGATCTGGGGGCCCTGGCCTCCCCACCCCCACCCGTGTTCCCACCCCAGGGTGGCTTCTGTCCTCTTTCCCTCCCCCAGCCACCTGTCCGCGAGGAGCAGCGTGGGTTTCTCCACTGACCTCTGTGATGGGACAGGGCTGTGACCCAGGGTCCTGAGTCACAGGGAGGGGGGGAGGGAGGGTGCCCCCTATACCCCCACGGGGCCGAGGGCATCTCCACCTGGCACTTGCTGGGCTCGGCAGGGCCGGGTCCTCCTTCCTCAGGCTGGAACAGGGACCCCCACCTCCCGGCCGCTGTCTGTCCCTGTGAGAGTCCGGGAGGGGGGTGCCTAGAGCTATTCTGGGTTCCTAATCTGGGCAGCGCATCTCCGTCGGGGCTCTGGCCCAGCCTGCCGGGCAGGGATGAGGGGAAGATGGCGCCGTCCCTGCCTGAGGAGGGGAGTGGGGAGCAGTGGCCATCTCTCCCCGGTGGCAGCGGGTGGGGGTGGGGCGCCGTGTCCCTGGCCCTGCCGCCGGGGAGGGGAGTGCGCGTGCAGGACAGGGCCCTGGAGCGCTGGGCAGGTGACTCATCACCCGGCTCTGCTGGTCACGGACGTACCCAGCCTGGCGCTGCGTGGTCTCTCCAAATGGTGGCTAACCCCTTCCCAAGGAGCAGCCCGCGGGCTCCAACGCCCAGTTATTTACAGCAGATGGGGCTGTTTGGGCTCAAGTGTGGGGTGGGGGCAGTGCACAGCCTCTGCTTGCCCTGGCCAGGCCCAGCTGTGGGTGGGGGCCCTTCCCTCCCCACCAAACATGGGGGCTTGGTTTGTGGGCAGGGATGCCTGTCCAGCCTGTGCCAGGACAGTCTCTGCTGGTGTCTCCCCCTGGGGCTCCCCATCACCGGTCTCCCCACCACCACTGGCCCCACAGAATCACTGCAGCCCCCCTCGCCCTGAGCCAGAGCACCCCGGGTCCCGCCAGCCCCTCACACTCCCAGCAAAATGGGCAAGGAGAAGACCCACATCAACATCGTGGTCATCGGCCACGTGGACTCCGGAAAGTCCACCACCACGGGCCACCTCATCTACAAATGCGGAGGTATTGACAAAAGGACCATTGAGAAGTTCGAGAAGGAGGCGGCTGAGGTGAGCTCCCCAGGCTATGGTCTTGGCCCCCTGAGAAGGAACCCCCAACTCCCGTGGTGGCCAGGCTTGGCATCTCCCAGCCCCAGGGCATGGGGCTCAGGTGACCTCCTCCAGGGCAGGAGGGACCCCCGCTGTGGGGCACTCAGGCCTCAGAGGGTCTGGTGGGGCAGCCTCTCTCTTAGGGGGAGCTTGGTGGGGGAGGGGTGGCCATCGAGCTGCCGGACTTGCCCTGTGGTGAGGGAGGTGACCTGGGAGGGTCTGCAGAAGGCTCTGGAACTCTGCCATGTTGAGCTGGGGCTGGAGGGCGCTGGAGCCTTACCCCCTTCCCCCCAGGGCCAAGGCTGGGGCTGGAGATGGTACTGCCCTCACTTGTCCTAGGGCCCTGCCAGGGCACACGCTACTATTAATAGCTGATTGATGGGCAGCCGGCCCGTCTGCTCCATTTTCTTGTGCTGGGCTGTGGAGGGCTGCTGTCCAGGGCAGCCCTGGGGTGGGGGTCCTGGATGAGGTGACCTCCTAGCTGACCTTTTGAAGCGATTTCTCTTTGGTGGCTGAGACGGTGGTGGGGAGCGGTCATGAGACGGGGTCTGCTCTCTGATCCCCATCCCCCACCCAGGACTCTGGGGAGAAGCCCACTCCTGGGAGGGCCTGTGGGAGCTCTCACCTGGATGATGAGGGCGGAGGCCAGGGCCCAAGGTGGGGGCACTCGCTGTCCTGGGCTGAGCCTCTGCCCTGGCGGGGTTGGGGGTGCTCTGAGCTGCACCCCTGAGTTTGGGCTGCATCACCCTTTACCTGGCCTTGTCAGGAGGAGGCGGGGGTTTCAGAGGGCCGCTGTTTCAGGCCCCAGCTGGGTCCCATCTGGGTCTGCTCCAGACTGGGCAGCCTCCTGGAGGGCAGAGTCCTGTCTGTGCGAGGCCCTGGCGAGGAGTTCTGCCCAGCTGGGTAGTGACCGCCGCTGCTGCCCTGACTGAAGCCCGTCCCCTTCTGTGGGGGTCTCACTGGCCGAGGCCCCCCAGCTTCCCGTGTCCGGCAGAGCGAGGAAGGGGAGGAGAAGCCTCAGAGGGATGGGGAGGCTGGAGCAGCGGGAAGGAGCTGCGTGGCCAGGCCCTCCTCCTGACCTCATTCAGTTTTCCTTTCTCCTTACCTTAAAAAAACACACACACACAGAGGGTTATTTATCTGACAGCCCCAAACACGGTGGTATTATTGGCCTCTGGTTGAGGAAGGGATCTGGGGGCGTCCGCAGCTTCAGATAAAGGGGAGCCCTCGCCCGGGAGGGGTTTATCCCATCTGGCGGCTTCGCTCGTAGAGCGAGCGACTCCCAGGCCCTTGCGCCACCTGCTGGTGGACCTGCGTAGCCGCGCCCATTTCGGAGCAGGTGCGGAGGCCGGCCCTGGGGGGCAGGGTCTGGGTGTGGGGTCCCGACGGAGGGGGCCGGCGTCCCAGGACCCCGACGGAGAGCAAGGGGGTGCTGGAGCCCATCTCCCGCCTCTCGCGGCCACTCTGCTGTAACAAGCAGCTCGCACCACCAGGGACTCCTGGGTCCCGGGTCCCGCCCTCAGCCGTGACCCTCACCCGCTCCAGATGGGGAAGGGATCCTTCAAGTATGCCTGGGTGCTGGACAAGCTGAAGGCGGAGCGTGAGCGCGGCATCACCATCGACATCTCCCTCTGGAAGTTCGAGACCACCAAGTACTACATCACCATCATCGATGCCCCCGGCCACCGCGACTTCATCAAGAACATGATCACGGGTACATCCCAGGTGAGCAGGGCACAGCAGGCGGGGCTGGGGGAGAGGCCGCTGCACCCTTCAAGGGACACTGGGGGCCCCTGGGGTCACTGGGATGGTAGGGTCTCCTGTGCTTCCTGTGAGGGCAGGGGACCCCTCACCTGGGCCACCCTCACCCAGTCTGGCTCAGAGCCCCCCTAAGGATGAATCCAGTGCTCTGGCATCTGAACCAGTGCCTGTGAAGGCATCCAGCCAGTGTCAGAGTCCCCAGATAGATGGGGGCAGATGGGGACGTGGACACACCTTCATACATGGAGGGGTTGGAGGCCAGGATGGGGAGAGTGAGCAGTGGGCAGAGGTGCCACCCGCCAGGTGTAGACTGTATGACATTTCAGGGCACTCACAGAGACGCACGGACACCCCAGACACAGCACCCTGCAGACAGCAGGACACATGCCACCACCTCCAAACTGCTTTGATAACTGTGACTTCTATCCGTCCTCAAGTGAGGAACAGGAGCAGATAGGCTGAGTGACTTGTCCAGGGACACACAGCCCACTGGTGGTGGAGCCAGGGCTGAACCTCGGTCCCCTGACCCAGGGCCTGGCGATGAGCCCCCATGCTGCCCTTGAAGTGGGGACCCCCATGCCTCCCTCCCCAAGGCCCCAGTGGGCTGCTCAGGCCCCAGCCCGCTGCCTGGAGAGGCCTGGAAGTGAGGTGGGGCCAGGCTCGCTCTGTCCCCTGCCAGGCAGGCGGGGCAGGGCTCACTGTGTCCCCTGCCGGGCAGGCGGACTGCGCAGTGCTGATCGTGGCGGCGGGCGTGGGCGAGTTCGAGGCGGGCATCTCCAAGAATGGGCAGACGCGGGAGCATGCCCTGCTGGCCTACACGCTGGGTGTGAAGCAGCTCATCGTGGGCGTGAACAAAATGGACTCCACAGAGCCGGCCTACAGCGAGAAGCGCTACGACGAGATCGTCAAGGAAGTCAGCGCCTACATCAAGAAGATCGGCTACAACCCGGCCACCGTGCCCTTTGTGCCCATCTCCGGCTGGCACGGTGACAACATGCTGGAGCCCTCCCCCAACGTGAGTGGCGGCTAGGGCGGGGCGGGCCACGGGAGCTGGCTGGACCCCCTGGCCCAGAGCGAGGCACCGGCAGGTGGCACGGGGAGGTCGAGGGCCTGTCCCCGGGAAATGCAGGTTCCCCTCGAAACCTGCTGGGTTTCCCTAACTGGCTCAGGGCCCGGCGGGGAGCCCCATGCCCCTCAGCACCGGGCTTTGCTCCTACACTCAGCCTCCCACGCGGCTGGCCGGGGCCAGGGCCCATCTACGATGTCAACACAGCAGGGGCAGCGGCCTCCAGCACCAGGCCCATGTGCTTGGTCTCCAGAGCCCTGCCATGGGGGCGGTCGGTTTCATCTCTGCCAGGCCATTGTCCTGGTCCTGGACACCGTGCAGGGGCTTTGGGCTGGGCCGTGGGGGCCTCCTTGGCTGCCTCCCCTGGGATCTTGGAGCAGGGTTGGGCTTTGGGAAGTGTGCATGCTTCTGGGCTTGCTGGGATGGCCAAGGGTTGGCTCTTGGCCGGTCACCTGGGAGCTCAACGTGCGAACAGTCTGTAGCCCAGGGACTCTGCCTTGGCTGGAGGTGACGCGTGGAGACACTTGCAGAACCTGAGACTGTTCCCAGGGTTCTCCAAGCCAGAGGAGACCCCAGAATGGCCACCACTAGGCTCTGCCAGCACTGTCGCTGCCCACAGTGAGGGTGCAGGTGTGGAGTCTAGAGACAGCAGGGAGACAGACCAGCAGCACTGAGCCTGGAGCTGAGGTCTGGGGACAGAACTGGGAGGGACTCCCCCAGCTCCGCCTCCATCTCACGAGGCTCGGTGTTGTTTACCTGTGATGGCGTTTTCCTCATGGGGTATCATGTGGCGAACGCCACTCTCCCCTCCCCAGGGAGGCCTCCAGCCATCAGGGACCCTGCACTCCCCTCTGGCCTGAGCTGCTAGGTGGCTCGTGCTTACACAGGCCCTGGGGGGCTGGGGCACTGTGCTGCCGGCCCCCTCCCCTGCTCCCTGTTTGTGGCAGGTGGCCCAGAGGGAGGCTTCATGGGATGGGAGTGGGGGCCACACTAGGAGAAGCTCCGGACAAGGCTGGGCCAAGCTCGGAGGCAGCACGGTGTCCAGAAGCTAGGGTGGGGCGAGGCTCCTCCAGCTCTGTCCCTGGCCTGGCCCTTGGCCAGACTCAGCATCCTCCTAGTCAAGTCATCTGCCCTGCCTGGAGCTGATGGTCAGGGGCCCGGGGTTTCGGGGACTTGGGGCTGGACTGGGGATTTGTTCACAGTGTCAGCAACTCCTGAGCAGCCTGGGCTGGGAAGGGTGCTTTCCCTCTTTGTCCTCCTCCTTTTAAGAGGGATCTCCTTCCCAGAGTCCCTGTGATGCTGGGGCTATGGGCTGGGGAGGAGCAGGGTGGGGAAATTCCTCATCTCAAAGGGCACGAGGCAAGTTTAGCCTGAACAGCAGTACTCCTGGAAGCACCCTGGGGAGGCCTGAGGGTGGGGAGGCCACCAATGTCTCTTAACGGATTGATTTTCTCCCTTTGGTCCAGATGCCGTGGTTCAAGGGCTGGAAGGTGGAGCGTAAGGAGGGCAACGCAAGCGGCGTGTCCCTGCTGGAGGCCCTGGACACCATCCTGCCCCCCACGCGCCCCACGGACAAGCCCCTGCGCCTGCCGCTGCAGGACGTGTACAAGATTGGCGGTGAGCAAGGGCGCTGTGCTGGAGCTCCTGCCTGGCCAGCTCTGCCTGCCCTAGACCAGGGGCCCCTACAAGGCATCTCAAGACTGGGCTGTCTCCAATCTCTCCCCTTACCACACACTTTCTGTGGGACAGTCCATCCCACATCCATCCATCCATCCACCCACCTCCCCACCCATCCATCCTCTGTCCATCCATCCACCCATCCATCTATCCACCTCTCCATCCATCTATCTATCCATCCATCCATCCATCGATCCATCCATCTCCCCACCCATCCATCCTTCACTCCATCCATCCATCCATCCATTGTCCCATCCATCCTTCTCTCTATCGAACCATCCCTCCATCTCTCCATCTATCCACCTCCCCACCCATCCATCCTTCTGTCCATCAATCCATCCATCCATCCATCCATCCACCTCTCCATCCATCCATCCATCTCCCCACCCATCCATCCTTCTCTCTATCCATCCATCCATCCATCCATCCATTGATTGTCCCACCCATCCATCCTTCTCTCTATCCCTCCATCCATCCATCCATGCATCCATCCATCCATTGTCCCACCCATCCATCCTTCTCTCTATCCATCCATCCATCCTTCCATCCATCCATCCACCTCCCCACCCATCCATCCTTCTGTCCATCCATCCATCCATCCATCTCTCCATCCATCCATCCATCCATCCATTGTCTCAACCATCCATCCTTCTCTCTATCCATCCATCCATCCATCCATCCATCTACCCACCCATCCATCCTTCTCTCTATCCATCCATCTATTGACCCACCCATCCATCCTTCTATCTATCCATCCATCCATTCATCCACTCACCCACCTACCCACCCATCCATCCTTCTGTACATCCATCCATCCATCCATCCACCCACCTACCTATCCATCCATCCTTCCATCCATCCATTTATCCATCCATCCATCCATCCATCTATCCACCCACCTACCCACCCATACATCCATCCATCCACCTCCCCATCCATCCACTTCCCCATCCATCCATCCATCCATCCATCTCCCCATCCACCCATCCACCTCTCTATCCATCCATCTCCCCACCCAGCCATCCTTCCCTCCATCATCCATCCATCCATCTCATCCATCCGTTCATCTCCTCATCCATCCATCCATCCATCCATCCATCCATCCATCCATCCATCCACCTCCCCATCCGTCCGTCCATCCATCCATCCATCCATCTATCCCCCCATCCATCCATCCATCCATCCATCCATCCATCCATCTATCCATCCACCTCCCCATCCATCCATTCATCCACCCACCTTCCTACCCATCCATCCTTCTGTCCATCCACTCATCTACCTCCTCATCCATCCATCCATCCATCCATCCACCAATCCATCCATCCATCTCCCTACTCATCCATCTCCCCACCCATCCTTCTGTCCATCCACCTCCCCATCCATCTACCACCCCATTCATACATCCATCCATCCATCCACCCACCTCCCCATCCATCCGTCCATCCATCCATCCATCCCACCAAGAAGAGAAACCATAAACAAATCTGAGACCCTAGAGAAGGGCACTGATAGGAGACCCCCAGCCAGTGGGCTGCAGCCAAAGATGTTGCAGGCATCTCTGTGTGCACTGTGGGGGCATCATGCTCACCCCAGCACAGAGCACAGCCACTGGCCTCAGTGAAGTTGGCTGGAGGCTACAACAGGCCTCCCTCACAGCCCTGGGAGGTGAGGGTGGAGACCCAGTAGCCTGGGGGGGGACAAGACCCCCATGTGGCAGCTGCACAATTGGTTTAAGTAGATCCATGAGAAATGCCAGGGACGCTCATGTGCCGCTGTGCCTGTGCTGCATCTGGCTGAGAGGCCCCTTTAGTGATAGAGACCTGCAGCATCCAAGTGGGGCCCAGAGAGCCTGCAGGGAGCAGGGAGCAGGGCCTGCAGGGAGCAGGGAGCAGGGCCACCAGGCCCCAGGCAGAAGCAGTCAGTCGCCCCGCCCACACTCACAGGGAGGAGTCCTCAGACAAAGGAGGGGTCCCATAGTGCCTCCTTTGAGGGAAAGTGCTCTCCGGGGGCAAGGATGGGACCCCAGGTTCAGACAGCCCCTCTCTGCCCATCCTCCCGCTTCTCTGTCCCTGTGGCTTTTCCGTGGGTTCCTGGGAGCTCTGCTGCTCAGCCTCTTATTTCCCCAGCTGGGTGGGAGAGCCCCCACTTCCCTTGGAATCTCTGTGTCTGCCCTTGTCCCTGGCCTCCCTTCCCCTGCACTCCGCCCATGTGGCCCCAACCCCCAGGCCTGTCGGGGGGATCCAGTCCCAGGCTTTGTTGGTTTCCAGGCTCTGTCCCCGAATATCCTGCCCCAGCATCCCCTCGGGCCCCACCTTCCCCTCACACCCCCTCCCCTCTGCAGGCATTGGCACGGTGCCCGTGGGCCGGGTGGAGACCGGCATCCTGCGGCCGGGCATGGTGGTGACCTTTGCGCCAGTGAACATCACCACTGAGGTGAAGTCAGTGGAGATGCACCACGAGGCTCTGAGCGAAGCTCTGCCCGGCGACAACGTCGGCTTCAATGTGAAGAACGTGTCGGTGAAGGACATCCGGCGGGGCAACGTGTGTGGGGACAGCAAGTCTGACCCGCCGCAGGAGGCTGCTCAGTTCACCTCCCAGGTGGGGGGCTGCGCTGGGTCCAGGGGGCTGGCGCCTGCTGGACAGCAGCAGGACTGTCCTGGGTGAGGCTGCTGTCGGCAGGTGGCCTGGCGTGGGGAGAAAACCAGACCCTCAGGCTGGGCGCAGTGGTTCACGCCTGTAATCCCAGCACTTTGAGAGGCCGAGGCGGGCAGATCACGAGGTCAAGAGATCAAGTCCATCCTGGTCAACATGGTGAAACCCCGTCTCTACTAAAAATACAAAAATTAGCCAGGCGTGGTGGCACGTGCCTGTAGTCCCAGCTATCAGGAAGCTGAGGCAGGAGAATCGCTTGAACCTGGGAGGCGGAGGTTGCAGTGAGCCGAGATTGCGCCACTGCACTCCAGCCTGCGTGACAGAGCGAGACTTCGTCTCAAAAGAAAAAAAAAAAAAGAAAAGGGACCCGCATACCACCGAGGGGGCCACCGAGCACTCAACGAGGGGATCAATCAGTTCTGGGAGGGGTGCAGGCCCTGTGGCTCCCAGCCTGTGTGCAATCGCGGGTCTGTCTTCCACGCTGCACTGCTGGGATGCCCAGCCTTTGAGGTCCTACATTCGTCCTAGAAAAACGCTTTTGTTAACTTACTGTCTGAGACATCTCTGTCATACTTTTATTCTCTACAGTCTTCATTGCCCCTCTTTGCTGGCCTCTTCATATGATTTATTTATTTTTTTTTTGAGACGGAGTCTCGCTCTGTTGCCCAGGCTGGAGTGCAGTGGTGCGATCTCGGCTCACTGCAACCTCCGCCTCCCGGGTTCAAGTGATTCTCCTGCCTCAGCCTCCCAAGTAGGTAAGATTACAGGCATGTGCCACCACGCCTGGCTAATTTTTGTATTATTAGTAGATACGGGGTTTCACCATGTTGGCCAGGCCGGTCTCGAACTCCTGACCTCAAGTGATCCACGTGCGTCAGCCTCCCAAAGTACTGGGATGACAGGTGTGAGCCACCGTGCCTGGCCTCTTCATATGATTTTTAAAAGTGGCTTTATTGAGATACAACTGAAACACAGGAATTGAGGTCCAGTTTTGTCACCCCCCCGCCTTAGTTCCAGCTGGGGTTGGCCGTGTAAGTGCTGCCCCTGCCCCTTCGAAACAATGAATCTCAGTTGTTTATCTTTTGCTTAATGAGGATGTTGAGGTTCAGGTCTGGGGGCTGGGTCCTCAGAGCCTGAGCCCCCTCCAGTCAGCACTCCGGGCCCAGGAGCCCGTGCAGGGGCGCCGGTGACTGGGCCTCCCAGCCCCGCTCTGGCGCCCTCCCGGTGCCCACCGCCGATGTGCCTGATGGCCGCCTGTGGCTCCGCTCGCAGGTCATCATCCTGAACCACCCGGGGCAGATTAGCGCCGGCTACTCCCCGGTCATCGACTGCCACACAGCCCACATCGCCTGCAAGTTTGCGGAGCTGAAGGAGAAGATTGACCGGCGCTCTGGCAAGAAGCTGGAGGACAACCCCAAGTCCCTGAAGTCTGGAGACGCGGCCATCGTGGAGATGGTGCCGGGAAAGCCCATGTGTGTGGAGAGCTTCTCCCAGTACCCGCCTCTCGGTGAGCCGGGGTGGTCCGGGGAGGTGCAGCCCCCAGGCTGTGGCTGATCCAGGCTGAGGGCAGAGGACTGCGGGGATGGGGCGCTGGGGACAGCAGTGGGCCCCCTTTCCTGCGGAGCTTGGCCCAGAGCATGGCAGGAGAGCCACGGCCTCCGTGTCACTGAGTGCAGGTGACCCTGCCCAGACGAGCTGGGGTGGGCCCTGTGTGCAGACGAGGCCCCGAAAGTGAGGGAGGCCCCGCGAGTGAGGAAGGCCCGCGGTCGCCCAGTGGCAGCGTTAGGGCTGCCCCCGCCCCGTGGCCGCCCCGCAGACCGTGGAGCAGCCGCCCAGGCAGGACTCCCGCGAGGCCGGCCGTCTTCACAGGGGCGCGCTCTGCGCTAAGCGTGTTCCGAGGACATTCCCGACGCGGTTGCGCCCCCGCCCGGCCAGAGCCCTGGGGTTGGGGGGGGTCAAGTCCTCCGGCCCCGCCCACACGCCGCCCCCCGCCCCCCAGGCCGCTTCGCCGTGCGCGACATGAGGCAGACGGTGGCCGTAGGCGTCATCAAGAACGTGGAGAAGAAGAGCGGCGGCGCCGGCAAGGTCACCAAGTCGGCGCAGAAGGCGCAGAAGGCGGGCAAGTGAAGCGCGGGCGCCCGCGGCGCGACCCTCCCCGGCGGTGCCGCGCTCCGAACCCCGGGCCCGGGCCCCCGCCCCGCCCCCGCCCCGCGCGCCGGTCCGGCGCCCCGCACCCCCGCCAGGCGCATGTCTGCACCTCCGCTTGCCAGAGGCCCTCGGTCAGCGACTGGATGCTCGCCATCAAGGTCCAGTGGAAGTTCTTCAAGAGGAAAGGCGCCCCCGCCCCAGGCTTCCGCGCCCAGCGCTCGCCACGCTCAGTGCCCGTTTTACCAATAAACTGAGCGACCCCAGAGCCGTGTGCGCCTGCTGCTGGGGGGTGGGCCCCGCGCCCCCCGGACCCCCTCCCTGCCCAAGTGGCCGGCCCAGCATCCTTCACTCCCTGCCCGGGGACCCCAGGGTGGGCGGTGGGCCTGCAAGAGTGGTCCCCTGCGCTGCACAGGGTGAGCGCTGAGCGCTCGCTGAGGAGGGCCTGGTGTCCCCCAGGCCGTGGCCCAGCAGCAAGACCCCATCCGAAGGCCAGGTGGCCTGGGTGGCTTTGAGGGGCTTCTCCATGGCTACTCAGGGCAGAGAATGGTGCCTTCAGATCCACAGAACCAGGCTGCGGGTTTTGGGATCTCTGGGGGCCGCATGAGAGCTGAGGGCTCCTCCACCGCGAGTGACTGTCACACACACACTCATTCTTCCCCTGGCCCCGCACACCTGGTCTCACTCTCCTGCTAAGCCGGTCACCTGTGGCTGCAGCCTGTACCTATCCATCCTGCTCCCAGGTCCAGGCCCTCTGTACGTGGTTGTAGGAACTCCAGCCCCCGAACCCGGGAGGCTGGTGACTTCAGTCAGTGGGCTGGGGGCTTTGGGTCTTCCCTAGTCTCTCTGGGCTAGAACCTGCCCCGACCTTGGCTGGGAAGAGTGGAGGGGTGGGGAGAGGGGAGGACAGCTCCTTTCCACCCCTCCCTGCTCTGGGAAAGCGGCCCCGGCCCACAGCCAGTCATGCTGCAGCAGGTGAAGGTCGGGGTGGAGGGTGAGCAGGTTCCCTGAGGATGCAGAGGAGGGTCAGGGTGGAGGGTGGGCAGCTTCCTTGAGGATGCAGAGGAGGGTCAGGGTGGAGGGTGGGCAGCTTCCCTGAGGATGCGGAGGAGGGTGGGGTGGAGGGTGGGCAGGTTCCCTGAGGATGCAGAGGAGGGTTGGGTGGAGGATGGGCAGGTTCCCTGAGGATGCAGAGGAGGGTGGGGTGGAGGATGGGCAGGTTCCCTGAGGATGCAGAGGAGGGTGGGGTGGAGGTTGGGCAGCTTCCCTGAGGATGCAGAGGAGGGTCTGGGTGGAGGGTGGGCAGGCTCCCTGAGGATGCGGAGGAGGGTGGGGTGGAGGGTGGGCAGGTTCCCTGAGGATGCGGAGGAGGGTGGGGTGGAGGGTGGGCAGGTTCCCTGAGGATGCAGGTGAGGTCAGGGTGGAGGATGGGCAGGTTCCCTGAGGATGCAGGGAGGGTGGGGTGGAGGGTGGGCAGGTTCCCTGACCCTGTACACAGCACTGAGGCAGGCCTCTCTGTCGCCCAGCCCCCAGCTCCCAGCCTGCAGCCGGGTACCTGACTCGGAGGGTTCCGCAGAGCAGGCAGGCTGACCGCAGGGCCTCATAGCGCCTTAGTCTCTTAGGGATGCTGCGACCAATGACGGCAAATGGCGAGGCCTCCTGGGGTCAGGCCAAAACCAGCCTCCCTGCCGAAATCAAGGTGTCGATGGGGCTCTGCTCCTCTGGAGGCCCCAGGAGAGTCGGTTCCCTGCTTCACCCCTTGCCGTGGCTGCCGACACCCCTTGGCTTGTGGCTGCGTCACTCCAGTCTCTGCCTCTGTCGCCACACTGCTCTCTCCTCCTCTGTGTCAAATCTCCTTCTCATGAGGATGCGAGTGACTGCACTTAGGGCCCACCTGGGATAATCTGGGATTGCCCCCATCTCAACATCCTCAACCAAATCTTCAAGATCCTTTCCTGCCACATGGAGTCAGCCACAGATTCCAGGGTTGAGGTCCTGATACCCTTGGGGCATGTTGGACCCACTGTGCTAGGTGAGGACGGAAACGAGGCAGCCCAGGTGACAGGCAGTGGTGATGGGGGCACTGTCTAGGGGCGCCCTTGGAGGGCCTGCTCATGTCTCCCTCCATTCCCAAAGTGGGGTCCCTCAAACCCACACAAAAGGGAGGTAGAATGGGAGGAAGAGTGGAGCAACCAGGGAGTTTGGGCCCCCAGGTGGTGCTGGCAGCCCACGGCCCCAGATGGGGAGGATTTGAACCCACGAACATCAGAGCCACGAGGCCTCCAAGGAGGGGATACAGGACCCAGTCACGTCGGGACTTTGGATATATATCAAATAATTGTTTACTGTAAAATATTTGGGGCATATTTACACAAAAATGGTACTCCTTATTTATCTAAAATTCTGATCTGACTGGGTGTCCTGTGTTTTATCTGGTGGCCCTACCCAAGGACACAGGTGTTCCTGATGGACCCTGGCCCATCCTGGGCCTCTGTGGGGCCACATAGATGGGAGGGGCCTAGTGGGACCTGCAGGGCCTGTCTGGAAGGAAGTTGTCCTTTCACACGTGACCTGGCTAGAACTGGGGCCAAATGGGAGAAATTTGCCAGCCTGAGATGGGACAAAAGTGAAAAACAGCCCCCAGCTGGAGTTGCAGGAATCCCCCTTGGGTGGTCCCTGAGGTGCTCAGGGGTCCCCTCACCCCCATGTCCCAGTTGCAGTTGCTAACTCTGGATGACTCTGGCAGCCTTGGTCACCAGGCACTGCTGGTGGGGGGCAAGCCCAGCCTGCCTGCCATGGTCTGTGCTGGGGCCACAGGGCCCCCTCCAGGTGGGTGTGTTTCTGGGGTGGGGAGGAGCACAGGGAGGGCAGAGAGATGGGAGCACTCCCTGTTCCCACTGGGGTCCCCAGCAGATGAGAGTCCTGGCCGTGGTAGCCTGGAGGGTGGGTCTCCTGGGAGGGTCTCTGACCTCGGCTCCCCTTCTGGGGTAATGAAGGCAGGCCCAAGTCCTTGGGTCTGATGCCTGGCAGGGCTCCGGGCCTTGCTGCGCCCCTCGTGCTCAGGTGGGGGGCTGTGGGGTGGGGACCGGCAGTGGCTGGAGGAGGCCAGGATCTGGGACTGGGCTCCTGGTGTCCATCGTGGGTGGGGGCAGCACCCACAGGGTGCCAGGATTGCCCTGCTGGATGCCGGACAGGGGATACCCTGTGTCCAGCCCACTGTCAGCTCTGGGGAGGGCAGGGGCTTGGCCAAAGCCGCCCTGGGGTCCCCAGCCCTCGGTCTCTGGGGAGTTCTGGTGCCACCCACACCGAGGGCAGAGGAGCTTCTGGCAGGTGAGAGACCCACCGAGGGCAGGAGGAGCTTCTGGCGGGTGAGAGACCCAGGGAAGCAAGCTGTGCTCGTTAATCAGGAAGGGGGGCTGGGGGGACACCAGGCAGAGCTCTGCGTTGCCTCCAGGACAGTAATGCTCAGAGCTTTCGTGTTAGGACCCTTGCACAGTGTTAAATGTCAGGGAGGTTGCATCTGCCACTGTTTAGTATGCTAGAAACTAAACGTGTGGATATTTAAGACACGAGAAAGCAGGGGAGTGTCACACCTCTTATGGCCTCTGAGAACTCCACTGTCCAAGCCAGGACGGGAGAGAGAAGCCTTGGCATTATTGTGAAAACAGATTTTGACCTTGGGGCTTTCTCGAAGGTTCTCGGGAGCCCCGGGGGGCCTGGACCGTGCTTTGTGAACCGAGGCTTTAGGCGGCGGAGCAGTGGGGAAGGCGAGGGGTGGGGTCCCAGCTCTGGCACCTGAGGCCAGGCAATGGGGCCAGAGACGCCGCGGTGCCCCTTCTCCATCGGTGAAAGGGGGTTGTGTGGCACCTGCCCTGAGGGTCGGGCCAGGATGAAAGGAAACCACGGCCTCACGCGGCCTCTGCGGCTGCCTCTCCAGCTCCCTGAACAGGGGCTGCAGTGGAGGTGTGAGCTGTAGCTGCTCCCTGGGGTCCAGAGGAGGGTGGGTTTTTCCCCATAGCAGGTGGGGGTAGGGGGGTGGGGGGGCAGAGCTCACTGGGGTTGGGGTCAGGACAGAACGCTCCGTGGGTGTCGGCTTGGGGAGCCTGAGGACAGCTGGAGGGCGGTGGCCGGGGTGAGGGCAGGGGACCACAGGCAGACAGTGCCCTGGAGCCCTGCAAGGGTGGGACCGTGCAGCCTCAGGGCCCCAGCGGGGTGTTGATGGATGCTTGCAGCTGGCTGGACACCTGGGCTGCTGTCTGGCTGAAGGGGGCGCCAAGGCCCAGAGAGTGGCTCTGACTGGCGGCCACTGGGACTCAGGGTCAGTCCTGGGGCCGCTGAGGCCCCAGAGCAGGTCCTGAAGTCAGGGAGGGCATGGGTGGCGGAAGGAGCTCCACCCTACTTGGGTTGGTGAATAATTTTTTTTTTTTTTTTTGAGTCTCGCTCTGTCGCCCAGGCTGGAGTGCGGTGGCGCGATCTCCGCTCACCGCAAGCTCCGCCTCCCGGGTTCACGCCATTCTCCTGCCTCGGCCTCCCGAGTAGCTGGGACTACAGGCGCCCGCCACCACGCCCGGCTAAGTTTTGTATCTTTGGTAGAGACGAAGTTTCACTGTGTTAGCCAGGATGGTCTCGATCTCCTGACCTCGGGATCCGCCCGCCTCGGCCTCCCAGGTGCTGGGATGACAGGCGTGGGCCCCCGCGCCCGGCCGGGTTGGTGAATAATTTAAAACAGAGTCCGCCAAGACGCCCTGTTGGCGGCTTTGGTCTGCACTTTGCACGTCACCGAAAAATTCCTGAGGCCTCGAGAGGCTGTGGGGCCCTGCTGAGTGGCCGAATGCCATCTGTCCCTTGCCCTTGTCTCTCCCGGGCTCCCGGTGCCCTCCTGTAACCCAGGCGGGAAGGACCTTCCCACCCCGTGCAGGTTCCCAGCGTGGCTGGAAGGGCCTGGGTGCCCCTGGCAGTCCTGGGTTTGAGCAGCGGCTTCTGGGCTCCCTGCCAAGGGGCTGGGCTTTGCGGCAGCCGGTCAGGCCTCCACAATGGGACCCCGGGGATTTCCCATGTGCTGTGACTGTGGGAATGACTGTCCTTGTGGGTGACTTAGTGTGTCCCGGAGTGGGGCTGCAGGCACAGGGTTACATCCATACCCTGGTGCGTGTGTGTGACCTGGGTGAGCTGTGCATACCTGTGGGTGGCTGTGTGGGGTGCAGGGGAGAACTTGGCGGGGTGTCCTGGAGCCCCTGGAAACGGTCAGGATGTATGTGCTCGTGCGTCTGTTCATTTGTGCCTGCATGTCTGTGTGTCGGGCATCCGGCTGTACCTGTGCTGCCGGCTGGCCGCCTGGAGTCAGGGCTGAGTCTCTGGGGGTGCCCACCAGGTGGCTGGACTCAGGAAGCACTGGGCAACGGTCCCTATCCAGAAGCCAGGGAGGGAGAAGGCAGCCCGGGGGACAGGCTGGACTGGCAGGTGCATGGGCCTTGAGGCAGCTCCTGGCTCTGCTGAGGGGAGAGAAGCCCCGTCCCCATGAGAGGGTCAACCAGGAGCGTCAGGGGTCTTTGGAGGAGCTGTGGGGTCTGGCTTATTTCCTGGCTTCATGCCGCTCTGGCATCTTACTTTGGGGGTCGGCTGGGGGAGGTGGGGAAGACCCTGAGGAGGATGTGTGAGGCTGAGAACAGCTCCAGGATGGAGAGCAGATGCAGGTGGGGTCAGCGGCCCCAAATCAGGGCCCTGGCTTGGTCTGTGGGGGCTCCGAGGCAGGGGCAGGAGGCACCAACACCCAGAGGAGGGGAGAGAGGGTCTGGGCCCTGGATGGTGTGGGGTGGGAGCAGGAAGGAAGCCGTTGCCCCTGGACCCCCTGCCCAGACGTGGGGCCTGGTTGCAGGCCTCCTGCTGCAGGACAGCAGTTCCTAAGAGCCTGCGGGCCTCCTGCAGGGACAGGACTGGAGCCGTGGGTGTGGCAGGAGGCAGAGCTCCCAGGCAGGACCAGCCTGGAGGGGTTGGAGGGGCAGAAACCCACGCCCCCTGCCCTGCCCACTCCCTGAACATCTAGGGGGAAGGAGCCCCAGGCTCTGCCACACAGCCTGTCATGGGCTGGCAGTTCTGCCCCAGGCTCTGGCTATGAGGATCCTGCCAGCCACTGTCTGAAGCCAGGTCAGGCCAAGCGAGCTGCCAGCTGTGGGGTTCCAGGGCTCAGCTGCCTGGGGGGAGGGGGCGGTGCTGAACTGGGCAGTTGGAGGGAACGGGCGAGGGGGAAGGAGAAATCCACTGAGTCCCACGGTGGGAGGCTGTAAGATCTCCTCTCTCCATTTCCTAGTCTCTGTAAACCTTTTACCCTTCAGGGTGTGGGGAGGAACCTTTAAGTATAAAAGGGTCCCTGTGGCCCCGCCCTCCCCAGAGGCTGTGGCTGCCTCCAGGGGTGGGGGTTTCTGGCACTTTAGGGGCCTTAACTGCCTCCCACTGCTCTGTCTTTACTCTGCATCTCCCGACACCCAGGCCTTCATCTTGGGTGTGAGGCGGGTGGCACACAGCGGGGTGCGGTACCCATGGGGCAGCCAGGAGCTGACTCAGCATCTTCACCTTCCCGCTCACGTGACGCCTCCTCCTGCCACCGCTGGAGACTCTTTACAAACCTTGCGCCCTTCCTCCATCACCGCAATTGTCTATCTATGGTCAGCACCCCCACATCACAGGTAAAGAGGCGGAGGTGCGGAGAGATCCTGCAGCTGCCCAGAGCCACACAAACTAAGCTCACAGTGAGTGAAACACAGCAATGGCTCCAGTGTCCTGCGATGATGTAAAAGCAGCATTTTTCCATCAGGCTAGGAACCAGCAATGCAGAACGCCCAGGATTCCTTTGCTGAACTCCACTGCTGCCCCGACCCAACCTCACTCCTTGGGTGCTCCCCCACCCAGTGCCCGGACTCCTGGCTCCTTTCTCAAGAAGATTCTCAGCCCTTGGCTTACATATTCAGGAACTCTTGGGAGGAAGTCCATTTATTTATGCTGTTTCATGCTAAAATGTGAATGGCTAACATACCAGAACTATTTGCTTTTATTTTTTTTTATTTTTATTTTTTTGAGACGGAGTCTCGCTCTTGTCGCCAGGCTGGAGTGCAATGGCACGATCTCAGCTCACTGCAATCTCCGCTCCCAGGGTTCAAGCCATCTTCCTGCCTTGGCCTCCCGAGTAGCTGGGATAATAGGTGCCCACCACCACGCCCGGCTAATTTTTGTATTTTTAGTAGAGACAGGTTTTTGCCATGTTGGCCAGGCTGGTCTTCAACTCCTGACCTTAGGTGATCCACCTACCTTGACCTCCCGAAGTGCTGGGATTACAGGTGTGAGCTACCTCACCCGTCCTATTTGCATTTTAAGAAAGGACATTGTTAACTTACACCATGTTTTCTTTTTTTTTTGAGACGGAGTCTTGCACCGTCGCCCTGGCTGTGCAGTGGCGCGATCTCGGCTCACTGCAACTTCCGCCTTCTGGGTTCAAGCGATTCTTCTGCCTCAGTCTCCCGAGTAGCTGGGATTACAGGCACCCACCACCATGCCCAGCTAATTTATTGTATTTTTAGTAGAGATGGGGTTTCATTATGTTGGCCAGGCTGGTCTCGAACTCCTGACCTTGTGATTCGCCCACCTCAGCCTCCCAAAGTGCTGGGATTACAGGTGTGAGCCACCGTGACTGGCCTTACACCATGTTTTCTTAATGTCAGCATGACTGGCATTGGGGCTGGATGACGCTGTGCTCTGTGGGGGCTGCCCTGTGCCCTGCAGGGTGCTTGGTGCCCCCCCACCCCCCTGGCCTCCACCCACTGGATGCCATACCATCTGCCCCTCTGCTGTGACGACCAAAACTGTCTCCAGACTCTCTAGATGCTCCCTTGGGAACAAAACCCCTGGGTGAGAGCAATTGACCTAAATGGATTTCATCTCTGTAGGTGGGATGCCAGGAAGTGTGATTAAGCAAAAGGCTGGTCTCCAGGATGGGGCCAGCTCGTCCGAGCCGCAGGGATGGACACATCATGCTCTCTTCAATTCAACCAGTGGGAGGATCTGTGAGAAACCAGGGAAGAGGGGCGTGTCCGAGCCAGGAACTGGACTCACCTGGGCAACTTCCCGCACGAGACCAGGGAAGAGGGGCGTGTCCGAGCCGGGAACTGGACTCACCTGGGCGACTTCCCGTGCGAGACCAGGGAAGAGGGGCGTGTCCGAGCCGGGAACTGGACTCACCTGGGCGACTTCCCGTGCGAGACCAGGGAAGAGGGGCGTGTCCGAGCCGGGAACTGGACTCACCTGGGCACCTTCCCGAGAGAGACCAGGGAAGAGGGGCGTGTCCGAGCCGGGAACTGGACTCACCTGGGCACCTTCCTGTGTGAGACCAGGGAAGAGGGGCGTGTCCAAGCCGGGAAATTGACTCACCTGGGCACCTTCCTGCCCTCCTCCTGACGCCCTCTCAGAATAAGGCTCTCGCTGTCTCGCTCCCATCCCCACCCTCCCGTGGGGTGGGGGCTGACTCTCTCCACTTGTCTGGGTAGCATGAGGTTCTGTCTCACTTGGGCAACTACAACAGAGTAACTTTGACTTGGTGCCTTAAACAACAGAAATTTATTTCTCACAGTTCTGGAAGCCAGAGGTCAAGATCAAGGAGCGGGCAGACTCGGTTCTGTGAGGGCCGGCTTCCTGGCTTGCAGACGATGCCTTCCCATGTCCCCACATGGCACGAAGCAGAGAAGGGAACCCAGCGCCCGTGTCTCTTCCCCTGAGGGTGCTGGTCCTCTTCCGAGGGCTCCACCCTCCTGACCCAGTCACCCCCAAAGGCCCCCTCTCCTAACACCATCACACTGGAGTGAGGGTTTCAGCATGTGGATTCTGGGGACACATCCAGTCCACGCAGGCCTGAGTGGCCGCCTGGTCTGCTGAAAGCCACTCAGCTCGGGCAGGCCCATGGCGGCTGCCTGCGGGCCATACTCTCTGCAGCCCACACCAGCGCCGCCCTCTGCAGGGGCTGAGGCAGATGCTGCTGGGTGCCGAGGGTGGCGCCTTCGTGTTTGCCGGAGGGTGTGGGGCAGCGGGCCGCCCTGGGAGCCTTGGGACTCGCCGGACTTCAGCTCTGTGCAGCCTCTGGTGTGCAGCTTGGAGAACCCAGCCTTTCTGAACCATCCACCTGGTGTGGCGCTAGATGACCTTGTCCTGGATGTGGGGTGGGGAGGGCTGTGACAGTCCATGGGCCTTGCCAAGGCTGGATGGCCCCGCCCAAAGCCTACTGGACATCTGGCCAAGCAAGGCCCTGGTGAGCGTGGGCAGGACGTTGGTGGGTGGGCAGCCAGGGCACAGATGCAGCCTGCATGGGCAGGACGTCTGGCCGCTCCGCTAGTCCTGAGCTCCAGCTGCCCATGTCCTCTTGGGGTCTCCCCGGCAGCCCTGAGCCACACAAGCCCCAGGCCTGTGACTGAGGCCACATCTGGCTGGGGGCTCCAGCGACGTCCAGCCCCAGGTCAAAGTGGCCATCTGTCATCTGACAGGTTGACATGCACCTTCCTTGGGCTAGGTGGGGCTGTGAGTGTCTGTGCCCACCCCTCCCCCCACACCTTGTGCGCTCTGTGCAGTGGGGCAGCAGCGCCAGGCAAAACAGTTTCCCATCGGGATGAGGACCAGCTCCAGAGAAGGTGGGGAGGGGACCCCGCGCCAGGGCCTCCCTGAGAAGAAGCAGTGTCTGCCATCCTGGTGAGCAGAGGAGACAGCAAATGCAAGAGCTCCTTGCCTGCTCAGGGATGTCGGGGTGGCCGTGTGCCCAGGAAGGGAGGACGGGGGCAGAGGGGTCGGTGGTCTTGGAGCGTGTGGCAGGGCCAGGTCTCAGGAGCGAGGAGGCCTTGATGAGGAAAGCATTTGGGTAGCGTCGAGGTGCCAGGGAGTCTGGATGTGTAGATCCACGGTGGGGCCTGGTCTCTCCCACGAGTGAGCGTGGCGCCTGCGTTCCTCACGATATATCTGCCACAGAACGGGGACGATTGCCACAGCTTCTCCATTTGCCTGAAGGCATAGGAGGGGGCGTGTGGGAGGCCACCTGTGACACCTGTGGACCAGAGATGACAACATATGGGGTTTGGGGATGCCACGGCACAGCATCAAGCAGAGAGTTCCCTCGAGGTCCCAGAGCTACAGGTGGATTTCTGCCCTTTCCGGATGCCTCCGGAGCCACCGTAGCTCCCCAGCCGTCACAGCTGACCACGGGCTCCTCAATTGACGGTATTATTGGTGGCTGGGAAGTACAAGTCAACTCCCTCATGCAATTAGCCGGCTTGCCAGGGGCTAGGGAAGCTTATTGAGAGCCTTGGTCCTTTAGAAAAAACTGTAAATTAAATTTTTATTGACTTTAGTGTAAGATGTTAAAAAAAATCAATGCTTTCATATCTTAAATCTTTTCCTCACTCCCCTGCTCCCCCGCAAGCGGATAAATACAGCCTTTCCTCCTCCTAATAATGTAAAATTCCTTTGGGGGGGCTGGGCCTCCCTGTCTGGGGAGGCACTTCCTGTCGCCCAAATTACAGGGTTAAACCCGCAGCAGCTCTGGCCCAGGTGAGATGACTGAGAACCTGTCTCTCCTCATCTCATTTCCCCAAATTAAATGTTGTTCCTCCTCCAGGCCTCTGTGGGGTCGTCTGTTTTTCTGAAGGTGCAGTGACGGGGAAGCAGCTCCCTCCGTTTCCACCGGGAGGCACGGGCCCAGGTGAGATGACTGAGAACCTGTCTCTCCTCATCTCCTCATTTCCCCAGATTAAATCTTGTTCCTCCAGGCCTCTGTGGGGTCGTCTGTTTTTCTGAAGGCGCAGTGACGGGGAAGCAGCTCCCTCCATTTCCACTGGGAGGCACGGGGTGGTGGCCTGGGAGGCCCTGCTTTCCAGTGTCCGCAGGGGCTATTGTCACTGGTGCCGAGGCCCTCAGAACGCAGGTGAAGCTGAGCACCTGGGCACAGATCCCACCCATGACAGCACAGCGTCAAAAGAGCATAAAATCTGGCCTGTTCTAGCAGGGGCCACAACCCGCGGGGGCCACCAGCACCATGTAGCCGTCTTGCACAAACTCACAGTGGCAGTCCCCGCCTCCCCGATCCCGCTGCTGACGGCCCCACACAGGAGGGCGGCCAGAGGAAGCTCATATGCCTCTCAAGTCACTACCCATGCTTGGTTTCCTGGGGTTTTTGTTCGTTTGTTTTTTTTGTTGTTGTTTTTTGTTGTTAAGATGGAGTCTCGCACCATTGCCCAGGCTGGAGTGCAATCATGCAATCTCGGTTCACTGTAAACTCCACCTCCCGGGTTCAAGTGAGTCTCCTTTCCCAGCCTCCCGAGTAGCTGGGATTACAGGCGAGCGCCACCCTGCCCGGCTAATTTTGTATTTTTAGTAGAGACGGGGTTTCTCCATGTTGGTCAGGCTGGTCCCGAACTCTCGACCTCAGGTGTTCCACCTGCCTCGGCCTCCCAAAGTTCTGGGATTACAGGCATGAGCCACTGTACCCGGCCTGTTTTGTTTTTTTTTTGAGACGGAGTCTTGCTCTTGCCGCCCAGGCTGGAGTGCAGTGGCATGATTTCAGCTCACTGCAGCCTCCACCTCCCGGGTTCGAGTGATTCTCCTGCCTCAGCCTTCCGAGTAGCTGGGATTACAAGTGCCTGCCACCATGCCTGGCTAATTTTTGTGTTTTTAGTAGAGACGGGGTTTTACCATGTTGGCCAGGCTGGTCTCGAACTCCTGACCTCAGATGATCCACCCACCTCGGACTCCCAAAGTGTTGGGATTACAGGCATGAGCCACTGCTCCTAGCCCTCATTTTTGAATTTAATTAATTAATTTTTTCTTTCTTTCTTCTTTTCTTTTCTTTTTTTTTTTTTTTTGAGACAGGGTCTTGCTCTGTTGCCCAGGCTGGAGTGCAGTGGTGTAATCACAGCTCACTGTAGCCTCCAACTCCTGGGCTCAAGTGAGCCTCCTGCCTCAACCTCCTGAGTAGCTGAGACAACAGGTATGCACTAGCAAGCCCAGCTAATTTTTAATTTTTTTTTCTTTTTGAGACAGGGTCTCTCTCTGTTACCAAAGGTGGAGTGCAGTGGTGCCATCATGGCTCACTGCAGCCGGGACCTCCTGGATTCAAGCGGTCCTCCCACCTCAGCCTCCTGGGCAGCTAGGATCACAGGCAGGCCACCAAGCCTGGATAATTTTTGCAGTTTTGTAGAGAGAGGGTTTCTATGTTGCCCAGGCTGGTCTCGAACTCCTGGGCTCAAGCAGTCTACCCACCTCAGCCTCCCAAAACTCTGGTCTTACAGGCATGAGCCGCCTGGCCTGGCCTCGGTTTTTCACTTTTGGTCCCACCATTCCAGTGCCGAGCCTGTGAGACTGGAGTCATGACCCAGCAGGACTGCACCTGCACCTGAGGGAGAGCACAGGCGTGGGTTCTGGAGGGCACCGAGTCTGCTCTGTGACCAGCACCATATGGGCAGGGTTACCCTGTGGGTTCTCCCTGGCAGTGACCCAGATGTGCTTCAGTTTGTCCTCCAACAACCATTGACTCTGGGCCCCTCTCTGCGCCAGGCTCCAGGGAGGACAGTTCGGGAAGCCCGGGGGAGCCCGGGCAGTAGGCGGTCACAGCCCCTGTGGTTTGCTTTCTGCTGGGGAGGGAGCCCACCAGAGGACTTTGGGGACAGATGAGCTGGCCTTGATCGGCAGGAGCAGCCAGTTCTGGCAGTACAATCTTCATGTTCTCTGGTCGCTTAGTGCAGCCCAGTGACGTGGGACACTGGGGAGGCCTTGAGGTTACTTGCCTGGAGGAGACCAGAGAAGGGGCTGGGCTTGCAGGTTCCGGGGAGAGGATGGTGCTGGAGGTGCTGAAGGGACAGCGCCCGCGTGGAATCCGCTGCTGCCCTGGCCGCCTGGGCGAAGACTGACTGTCTCCTCCGCTGGAGCTGGGCACCACGTACGTCTGAATTCTGCTCATCCTCTCTGGAGTCCTGTCGATGCGGTCTTGGCAAAGATTGTTTGAGCCTGAACGCTTTTCCCATCTATTTTTACATAAATGGAATTCCTCCTGCTTGGATGAAATTTACCCCAACTGGGCATTTTCACGACCCACTTTGCCTGGGCGCAGAGGAGGGGACAGGGGGCAGGCATGCGGGTAACCAGATTGCTGACAATGTAGCCCGTGGGTGTGCAAGACACAAAATTAAAAACATAAATGATTAATGAGCTAGCTCTTTGAAAGGACATCCTAAACAAAGGAGGAAGCAAGGATTTTCAAGCCTTGATGCAGGATTCACTTTCCAGAACCTTCCAAGGTGTGGCAAAGCTGCTGGAGCCAACGCCATTTGTAGACGGGAGAACCGCGAGCTGCAGGGTGCAAAGCTCCACCTGCATCCTGAGCCGGCCCCTCCAGCCCGGCATCCCCACGGGGGATGCCACTCTCGGCCACCCCCAGGAGGCTGTGAAGCCAGCCGATGGCTCCCCAAGACCTCAGCAGGGTTTTCCCCTTTTTTTTCTGAAAAATAAGATGAACAGGTTTGTCTCTCCCAATGTCCTGGACACCAGAGCACCTTAATCCTTGCTCCCATCTCAGCTCTGGTGCATCTGCTCAAACGGGAACTGGGGTCACTTTTCCTTCATCCTCTGTGGATCAGCCCTGACCTTGGGTCCCACTGGGCTCTGACATCAAACCTGAGATGACTGCTTGCCCAGGAGAGGTCACGTGTAGCCCGGGCACTGCCGAGGGGCACCGGATAGTCTGGGGCTTCCCCCCACAGGATGAGGGGCCCCAGCCCTGCAGGGTTTACATTTTGAGCTACGGCTGCTCCCTCGGGTCTTCTGGTGAGTGGGAAAGACCAGCGGCACCAGCCAGCGTGTGCAGGGAGATGCCACGGTGCTCTCTTCCTTCTGCATACTGAAGTCCTCTCCCTCCCCTGAAAGCACCAGGCTGGTGCCTCCTCCCTTAACAATCGAGAGAAACCGCAGCCGCTTGGGGCAAGCCCACTTCATGCTGGTAATCACAGCCAATGCGTGGGCACAGAGGCAGGGAGGCGGGGATCCAGAAAGTACCCCTGGATGTGCACAAGCTTGTGTAAGTTGCCGTCTATCCCCAACGTCCTGGATAACGTACAGGTTAGCATTCTGCCTGCACCGACCCTTCTGTATTCAGCCTAGTTAAAAACAAAACAACAACAACAAAAACAGGCCCCGTGGCCACTAGCTCTGGAAACCAAAGGGCAAACACAACTCAAGAGCTCACTCTGCACCAGGGTTAGGGCTGTTTTATGAGCAGGTCACCTGCGAGGACGGCGCCAGCGATTCAGCAGAGGGCCTTTCTCTGGGTAGAACCCATGGTGCCAGGCGAACGTGCAAACAGGCTGGATGTAGTCAGAGACGCACTCGAAGATGACACCCCTCCTGGATGTGCAGAGGAAGGCCCAGTGGCGGGGCACCTCACAGGGCGGGCAGCACTGAGCCGCAGGGGTCCCTTGGTCTCCCAGCAGCAGCTCCAGAGGGACCCCTCCCAGGACACATGGCTGCCGGCAGGGGGGAGGCCACCTCCGCGCACTTGCCCCCAAGGAAACACCGTCCCATCTGTGTCCAGGAGGCACAGATCTGCCTCCTTTGTCCCGAGGTGTGGCACTGGGCTTCCTGCTGGCCTGTCTGCTGCCCTGGGGCCACCCTCCAGTCCCTGCCCCTGCCACAGGCCCCTTCTGGGGTCTGCATAACTAAGTCCAGGCCCCTTGGGGGGCTTCAAGGCCCTCTAGGAGTGACTCTCTCCCATCCCCCACCCCATGGCCCTTGCTCCTCTTCTTGCCTCCCGGCCTCTGTGGCCACCCCCTTTCCCCTGGGCTGCTTTCCTTGCAGGGTGCCTCCAGCCTCCACAGACCCTCCCTGCACACACCCTGGGGTCTAGGGGGTCCTACTGCCTGGGCAACCCTGACACCGAGAGCATGAGGTCACCATGGGCTGAGCCCTAACAGAGTCTTGGGGAGAGCCCCTACCCCCATCCCTTCCCGGAGGCGTCCACTCCCAGGGCCCAGCTGAGAAGACTCCAGTCCTGCTCAGGCGGCTGGGCACCGCTCTGGGACCCCAGGAGCGCTGGGGCCACCAGGCAGGTCCACTTGGTTAGTACTACCGGACTCAAAGGTGACCGCAGGGTCAGTGTGCACATGGCCGGGGGATTGGGCAGGCTCAGCCCAGAGCTCTGGTCCCGCGGGCCTTGGTCCCTTCTGCCTCCCCCTCCTCTCCCCCTGCCCTCCCCTCCCCCTCCCCCACTCCCCCTCCTCTCCCCCCTCCCCTCCCCCTCCACTCCTGTCTCCCCCCTCCACTCCTGTCTCCCCTCTCCCCGTCCCCGCCACTCTCCTCCCCTCCCATTCCCCTCTCCTCCCCTCCCCCTCCCCTCCTGTCTCCCCTCTCCCCGTCCCCTCTCCCTCCCCTCCCCTCCCTTTCCCTCTTCTCTCCTCCCCTCTCCTCTCCTTCCCCCCTCCCCTCCCCTCCCCGTCCCTCCCTCTCCCCTCCCTTCCCCTCCCTCTCTTCTCCTCCCCTCTCCTTCGACTGGCGTCGCGGGGGTTAACGCGGGGCGGGGCGAGGCGGCGGGCGGAGCCGGCGCGGCCGCGGGCCAGGCGCCGAGGTGCGCGCGGAGCGAGGTGGCCGCAGCGTCTCCGCGCGCGGCCCAAGCCCGGCAGGAGTGCGGAACCGCCGCCTCGGCCATGCGGCTCCCGGCCGGGGGGCCTGGGCTGGGGCCCGCGCCGCCCCCCGCGCTCCGCCCCCGCTGAGCCTGAGCCCGACCCGGGGCGCCTCCCGCCAGGCACCATGGTGCAGAAGTCGCGCAACGGCGGCGTATACCCCGGCCCGAGCGGGGAGAAGAAGCTGAAGGTGGGCTTCGTGGGGCTGGACCCCGGCGCGCCCGACTCCACCCGGGACGGGGCGCTGCTGATCGCCGGCTCCGAGGCCCCCAAGCGCGGCAGCATCCTCAGCAAACCTCGCGCGGGCGGCGCGGGCGCCGGGAAGCCCCCCAAGCGCAACGCCTTCTACCGCAAGCTGCAGAATTTCCTCTACAACGTGCTGGAGCGGCCGCGCGGCTGGGCGTTCATCTACCACGCCTACGTGTGAGTGGCCGGCGGGGCCCCCGTGGCGACCCCCATGGCGACCCCCATCGGCGACCCCATCGGCGACCCCGGCCAGGCTGGCTGCGGCGGGTTTGGCTCCCTGCCCCTGGGTCTGGGTCCGGGGCCGGCGCTCCCCGGCGGGAGTGCTGGGCCGAGACCGGAGAGCGATTGTACAGCGCGCGGGCAGGAAGGATTCCGGGGTCGGGGCCGCTCAGGTCGGGGTGGGGGCTCCAGGCCCGCAGGACAGAGACGTGCGGCCGCCCCAGCCCCCTCCTCAGCCTGGGAGGCCCCTCCCCGCGGCCTCTGCGCCGAACAAAGGGCCGGCCGGGGAGGGACGGCGGCAGCGCTGGGTCTGGACTCTCCGGGACTCTCGGGGACCCGCGGGGCTGGGGCCGCCCGACCAAGCGAGGGCGGGGGGGAGGGGTCTGGCCTGTCCTCCGCCATCCTCCCGAGCCGCTCTCCCTCAGACTAGGGTGAGCTTCTGGGTTCCTGAGATGGGGGAGGGGCCCTCCCATGACCCCCCCACCCCAGCCCGGGCTGAGCGCAGCTGTCTGTCCTGCCCCCTCGGCGCCGACGCCCCTCCCTGGCCCCGCGAACCCCCTCAGCTCCTGCGCTCAGCTCCTGCGCTGTCCCATCTCTGCAGCCGCCGGCCGCCCCCGTGCACATCCCGGGCTCAGGACCCCTCCTTGGCAGAGCGAGGCCCGGGGGAGGGGCTGCGGCAGACCTGGGACCCCCAGCCCTGGGCCTGGAAGGGGCTGTCCCCTCTTCCCGGGCGAGGCTCAGGGAACGGCTGCCTCCTGGGGCAGGGCTGGCGGGGGGCGGCCGAAGCCTGCGTCCGTGTGCACCTGGGTGTTCGCATGTGGAATTGCACGGCCCGCTGCGTGTGCGGCCTGTGCGGCCGGTGTGCACAGCCTCCCCGCGCCAGGGCGCTTGCTCTCCCATCCCAGCTGAACAAGGGACCCGCTGAGCTCCGGGACCGGCCATTTTGTGTGAGAGGCATTTTGGGATGGGAGTGAGGGGCAGACTGGTCACAAGCTGGTCGGGCGCCCACCTGGGCCGAGAGGGGTGTGTGCCCCACGAGTGTGCCCCAGCCTGCGTGTGGCCTTGAGTGTGCCCTTAGCAGACCCTCCGTGGACTGTGATATGAGAGGGTTCTGGGGTAGGGAGAAGATCCCAGAGGGAAATGCCAGGCCGCTTACAGGGAGGGTGTCTCCGTGGAGGGCCCCTGGGCACCCAGCCTGGGACTCCCCAAGCAGAAGCTTCTCCGACCTCCTGGGTCCTGGAAGCCCTGTGGCCCCCAGGAGGTGAGTCTAGCTTTTCCAGTCCAGGGTTCATTCCCGAATCCCCAGATGAGCTTCTGTGTTCTCAGGAATGGCCTCCCCTGATGGCCCCCACCTGGCTGGGGGCCAAAGGGGCTCTTGGTGGGCCGGTACTGGTCAGCCAGGTCCCTGCCCAAGGTGACTCCCCGGAGGAGGGTAGGATAGAACCCACCCCCACAACCCTCCTGCCCTGACAGCCTGGCCAGCGCCCCGCTCTGCGTCTGACCCAGGGTTGGTTCTGCTTTGAGTCCATGATCCAAGGGCCCAGCGTGGCTGTTCCTGAGGTTTCCCGTTGGGTCAGCAGCTCTCCGCATGGCCGCCCCCTGCCTGGGCCTGCGTGGGTCAGCCCCTCTGTCTCTCCTTCCTGTCTCTGCCTCCTGAGAGCAGCAGTCCAGAACTGGGGCAAAGCATGGGGACACTTGCACATGTGGGGTCTGAGCCGTCTCTTCCTGACCACCCCCAGTCCGGACGGGCCCCCTCTAAGATAGAGCAGCAGCATGCGGGGGCTTCAGGCGAGACCCTCAACGTCTGAACAGCCCCGCCTTCCAGCCTGCACTAGGCCTCTCCTCAGCTCCTTTGCTGTGGGCACGGAGCTCCCTGAACCTCCCTGAGCTCCCAGGCTCTCCTCAGCTCCTTTGCTGTGGGCAGGGGTGGCTTGGACTCAGGGAGGCGGCCCCTTTGGGAGGGGGATTTTTTCTAAGCGGCGGGGCTGGAGAGCAGGGTTTCTGGTCCTGCCTCGGGTTGGACACTGGGGGCTGGTCTCAGAACCTCTGCAAACCTCAGTTTTCCGTCGGTAACGTCGGCACAGCTGCTTCTCAACCCAGGGCTTTGTGAACACCACTGCTGGGGGGCATCACACTCTTCCAGGCCGGCCCAGTGCCCTCTGTGAAAGGGGATGTGGCTCAGCACTGCTGGTGCAGCTCACCGCCCGGCTCCCAGACCCCTGGTGTGGTGTTTGCTGCTGTCCCCGTGGCCCAGCCCATCCTTGGAGTGCAGCCCCCACCTCCACTTGGGAGGCCTGATGGCCCCATGTCCTCTGGCCCGGCATGGACTGGCCCGTGTGGCGTGTTAGGCAGCATTTGGTCTGTTTGTTCATCAGCTAAACGGAGACGGAGCTCAGTTGGGCCTGGGGCAGCCGGGAGTGGGGGGAAGGCCAGGGCTCCTTGTGCTGCCGCACCCAGCTGTGGCTGAATACAGGTCCCCAGGCCCACCTGCCTTTTGCCTATTGCCACCAGTGTCTGGCTTCGGAGAGGTCAAGTTGTGAGAACCTCTCTGGGCATCCCTGTTGGACCCGGGGTAGCCACTGTCTGGGGTAGAGAGGGCGGTGGCTGCTGCCCCATGGCCCCAGGGCTTGGTGGGCGTCAGGCCAGGCCCCTGCTGCCCCCGCTCTGGGGAGGTGGGGACGTCCAGCACTGAGTTAGAGAGGGACTTCATCCACTGTTGCTCCTCTGTGGGAGCCGTGGCCTCTGCTCGCACTGCCTGGGTGCTTTCCCAGAGGCTCTGGAGACAGGGCCTTCTCTGAGTTAGAAGGGCGTCAGACCTGCTCTCTGCCTGGTCGGGGCGGGGTGCTGGGCCACCTCTCCCAGACCTCCCAAAGGGAGTGTGAGCTGCAGAAATGGCCCGAACTAGCAGATGATGTGCCCCTGGGGCTGCCGCAGGGGACTCTGGGCCAGATCACCATGGGGGGCCCTTCGGAGCCTGAATCCCGGGCTCCAGCCTCTCTCCTGCAGCCCATCTGCGCATAGGACTGGAGCCGGGCACTGCTCCACCACGGAGTTGAACCTCCTCGTCCAGGATCCCCGCGTGGGTTGCTGGGTGTGGGAAAGGGAGCTCCGCTCTGTTCCCGCTGGGTGCGGACCTCAGTTACCGCTTAGTTACAGCCTGCCAGAGGGTCACGCAGCCTGGTTCCTGTGGATGGGGAAACTGAGGCAGAGGAAGGTTGAGTGAGCTCCAGAGTTGTCCTGCTTAACTGAAAGGGGGGGTCCCAGCCTGAGATGAGAGCTTGGGGGTGCAGATTGCTTGATCTTGCCAGCAGCCCAGCCACGTGGAGTGGCCAGAGTGAAGCTGTGTTTAAAATAGGCCAGATGGGAAATCTGGCACCGGGGAGGGCCTGTCCCTGGGGCTCGCTGTGCCATCCTGGCTTTTGCGCCAGGCCTCAGCTGGGGTCCAGGGTTTTAGGGGCCTCTGGCCCTGGGCTGCTTGACCAGGTGCTGTGTCCCATTTCACTGCAGGGAAGGGCCTGGGACGGAGGGCCTATGTTCAAGTCCCCCGGTGCCGGGGCCCAGGCGCTTCCCCTCACAGTCCTGGAGAACTCGGGTGGTGCTGAGCACAGGCCGCTGGGCCTCTTTCCCACCCCTTCATTCAGCTCTGGGGCTGGTGTGAGCCCTCGAAGGGCTGGCTGGGGTGGGCAGGCGCCTGGCACAGTGGTGGGGTTCAGACACTCTCTTCTTGGTCAGGCTGCTTTGAGGGGTGAGTGCAGGCCTGGGCTTTACCCAGCACAGAGCGGGGCCCTGGCAGGACCAGGGTCCAGTCTCTGCTGACGGAGCATTGTGTGCCGAGAAAGAGACTCGAGTGCTTGAACGGCCACATTCCCCTTCTTCCCACAGCCTCCTGTGTAGGAAATCTTATGGAAATTTCCCAAAAGGTGAAGAAGCCTCGGAGAGTTGTGGTTTCTGGGGAAACCTGGATTTCTCTGGTTCCTGGACCCCTTGGGAGGTCTCGGGCTTCCTCGCAGGATTTCTGCCCCTCACCAAATAATTTAAAGTGAAATTACTCTGGAGTGATAAGACATTGTACATGATGCTGCTTAGTTACACAGTGGAGTCAATCTCTGTGCACATTCTGTGTCTGTGAGAGGATAGGAGCTAAAGGATAAGCAGAAACTCTCCTCCTGACCATTCCACAGTGAGAGCAGAGAAAATCTGTTTTATTAGAAATCACTGCAAGCCAATCTCTGCAGAGACGCGGTCTCTCCAGAGGTGCCGGCGCCCTGGATATGGGCACTGCTGGGCACTAAGGATTCTCGGCCCCCAGGATGCTGACCACGTGGGAATCCTGTCTCCAGTTTTGAAAATGCTTAAATCCTGGAGTGTTTCAGAACTGGGGTCACTTCTCACGGCACAGGCTGAGTCCAGTGGTGGAGAGTGGCTTAACATAGTGATTTTCCCAGTTTGTTTTAGTCAATAAACAAATGAATCTATGGATCTCCGTTAGTCCCTGTGCTCCTGACACGTCCATGGCCCCTGTGTGCACACTCAGCAAGTCCGTCTGGCAGCTGCTCGCAAGAGCACGGGGCTAGCCTCTGCCCTGTAGGAGTGACATTCCATAGCCTCACAGGAGCTGGGCTAGCCTCAGCCCCATAGGAATGACATTCCACAGCCGTAGAGGAGCCAGGCTAGCCTCAGCCCTGTAGGAGTGACGTTCCATAGCTGCACAGGAGCCGGGCTAGCCTCAGCCCTGTAGGAATGACGTTCCGCAGCCGTAGAGGAGCCGTAGAGGAGCTGGGCCTGAAGCTGCTTCCAGTGTGGGGAGATGAATCTGCTACACAGAGTGGGTTCCCTCCTAGGAAAATGGGCAAGTCTGGAGGACCAAGGGGGACCTGTGGGGGCCTTGAATATGGGGAGAAGGGATATGGGATGGCCGAGCTGCCTTGCCCAGAGGCAGGGGAGGGGCAGCCTGTGCCCTGGGCCCTCCGAAGGTCCACTTGAGGTTTGACGGGAGGCTGGGGCCAGCGGCCAGGCCGTGTCCTGTTAAAGGCTCAGGCGGGAGCAATGTGCCCGTTTTGGGAGGATGGGGGGCAAGGATGGTGGGGTGATGCCTGCGATGTCCCCCGGGGGAGACCTTGGCCTTGTGTCCGACATCTTGTCATCACAGACAGAGCCCAAGCGTGTTACCTCACGGGGGGCTGTCTTAACTATTTTCCAGTGTGCATGCCAGGCAGCTCTGAGACGGGAAACTGCTCGTGTGTGCGCGGTCTGTGGACGCAGCCCCGCTCCCCTCTGTGCTTCCGCCCGTGTGAGACGTGCTCCTGTGTGGCCGTGACCTGTGAAGACCCTGCGTGACCCGTGGGGCGTGAGGCTCGGGGAGGGCAGGGCTGGGGCTCTGGCCGGGGGCGTCATCCTGAGACTGGCCAGCGTCGGGCTCCTAGACCCGAGTTTCCTTGTCTGCGTGGTGGGGGTAACCTGTCTGCATCTGTGTCACGTGATGGCCGCCGGGATTCAACGTGTGAGTCACTCCACACGATGCCTGATGCGTGCGATGTTCCCCAAGCTCGTAGCTGTCATCGCCGTGACCGTGAGGCTCCTTCAGCAGAGTGGAAGGCCTCACCCCGGACGGAGCGTGGAGGCCAGGAGGGAGGATGGCTGGCCGGTCCGGGACGGCGTCGCTCTGCCCCTCCGGCCGATTCTCAGTCCCATTGGTCAGCGGCTGGGCCGTGACGGAGAGGCCTGCGCTGCTGTTGAGGGCCAGGTCGTGGGTTGAAGTGCGGGGCCCGGGCTCGAGCGTCGGAAGCCTGCGGGGGTCGTGGGTTGAAGCGCGGGGCCCCGGCTCGAGCGTGGGAAGCCTGCGGGGGTCGTGGGTTGAAGCGCGGGGCCCGGGCTCGAGCGTGGGAAGCTTGCCTGTTTGTCGTGTGGGACCGGCCGCGGAGATGCCGGCTGTTCACTTGGAACGAAGGTGCCTGCCCTGTGTGTGCCGGGTAGTTTGGGGGATTGTCTTCCTGTTCGTGGCTTCCGGCGTGTTCCCAGCATCCTGAGGGTTGAGGCTTGGAGGACAGGAATGATCTTCGGCTTGAGAAACCACTGTGGGCAGGTTTTACCAGGGAACCCCTTAAGCTGTGAAAGAGCTGCAGTGCAAGCTTCTAGTTTCCACGCAGACCGCGCCAGAGAACCCGCCGGGCCGCCTCGGGACGGCAGCAGAGGACCCGCCGGGACGCCTCAGCACCGACACGCGCCCAGCCATGAGGCCGCCTTTAGCACGGAGCGTCGAGCGGAAACGGCGGTGCCCGGAACGCGGATGCCCTTTGCAGGGCTGGAGCTCAGCTCTGCCTTCCGACAACACTTGGCTGACAGCTCTGGGAGTCTCAAAACGGTGCCTTTGTGGAGGGGAGGGCCCTGGACATCCTCAGAGGAGGAAGCGCGTCCTGGGTAGGGTGGGCGGCACCTGTTCAACACGCCTAACAGATGCAAGGTCGAAGGAGGAGGGGCCTGCAGATCTGAGCTTGTCGCCGAGGAACTCTCTGGAAATGGCTCCCGCTGGCCCCTGCGTGCGACCCCTACGCTCACCAGCCCGTGTGCCGAGCTTTCTCTGTTGATTTCGGAGTGGGTTCTGGTTCCTGCCTCCCTAGTGGGCTCTGAGTGGCAGGGCCCTGCCGACCGCTGGCCTCAGCAGCGGGTGATGGAGTGTGGGCCCTGCAGGAGGAGGCTCTGTCCTTGATGGCTCCTGGGTGAGGGGGTGTGAGGGAGGCGGCCAGCACAAGGCGGGTGGGCCCTGAGAAGCCCCTCTGTTTCCCCTTTAGCCTGAGAAAGCTGTACCCACAGAGCTGGAGGAGGGAGTGGCTCAGGATGCTGCTTAGCAAATAGGTTGGTCTGGAGTCTGGGAAATGGAGGGTTAGACTTTTTGTTTTCTGAAGCTGGGATGGGTCGTGCTTTTAATTCGTCCAGGAGAACATGGGGCTGAAGAGCTCTCTGCTCTTGTGGCCCCTGATGGGAGTGCTCTGAGGTCTGGCAGGCCACAGAGCTGCTGGGACGGCCTCAGCCCCAAACCTGCGCCTGTCGCTTCCCGGGGCCAGGCCAGAGGTTTCCCAGTGAGAGCTTTGGGGTCGACATTTCCAGGAGGAGAAGGCACTTCTGAAATAGCGTGCCCTTGGTGAGCTTGTGTGGCTTTTCTTTCTCTGTAACCTGCTCTGAGTTGTCCCATTGAGTGTTCTGGGGATGTGGGCATCTGGAGCCTGTGGAGAGGACGGGACTGGGGGTGCGTGGGGGAGACGCCCCTGCCAAGGACAGGGGAGACCCCCTCAGTCCCACCTGGGAGAGTCTGTGCGCGGGGCTGTGGTTGATTGGCTGGCAAGTTTGAATGCGGATCAATGTGCCACTTGTTTCTAAGTCAGCAGGGCCCCTGCCCCCACACACTGAGTGGCTGGATTCTGGGAGCCTTTTCCTGTGGAGAGTGGAGCTGGAGTGTGGGGCGCAGGGCCATGGCCCTGTTCCAGCGTCGGGGAGCTAGTGTGCAGGTGCTTTCTCCTGTTAGCAGTGGGCCTGTGCTGTGCTCCCTGTGGGGTTAGGCGGCCCCGGTGGGAGCTTCAGTCTTGAAAGGGGCTCATAGCCCTGGGGTGCAGGCTGCTGTGCGTGGGGGGCATCACACGCAGGTCCCCAGGATGATGTGTGGTGGAGGACGGGGCGACGGGAGCTCTCCACAGAGCTTCATGTCCCTTCTGTTGTCTAAACCACAGACCCCGTGCCAGGTGAGGGGCTGGGGTGGGTGAGGCTAAGGTACCTGCCCCGAGGCCTCGGGGCACTTGGCGGCCCCTCCACCCCCACAGGAGACATCGGCTTGAGTGGAGAGGCCAGCCTCTGAGAAGGCTTCTCTCTGGCCACCAGCTGCCCAGAGCTCCCAGCCCAGGGCCAGCAGCTTGTGCTGGCCCCAGACAGGGGATGCTGGGCGGCCTCTCGCAGGGGGAGTGGTGGTTTTCAGACAGTGGCTGCCTCGCTTTGGGGATGAGGATGTTTTCCAGACGTGCTCTGGAACTGACATTAGGCTCTGCTGCCTACCCAGCTTGAACAAAATTAGGTCTTTCATTTTTTTGGGTTGCTGGGAATGGCTTTGTGGATGCATAGGAGAGCATGGTTGCTCCAGGAAGTCCGGCGGGGAGTGGGTTGAACAATCGGAGTCTCCCATCCCTGAATCATCTCAGTGGGGGCGGACGGGCAGCTCCTGGGGGTGTGGCAGGGGCTGGGCTCCAGGCTGCCCAGCCTGCAGGGAGCCTCCTTCTAGATTCTTCCTCTGTATCTGTGGCGTGGAGGCATCTGCTGCCTCTGTCTGCCCCCGCCTCATCCTCCAGGTCTTCTCTAGTTTTGTTCCTCCCCATGGAGCCCTTACCCGTGACGTAAGCTGAACACCTGAGAACTTTCGAGCTTGCTTTTCTGTTTAGGTTTGGAAAAAACATGAGAAGGGTGAGTGGGAGCAAAAGGCCAGTTTCTGCCTGGCTCCCTGTCCTGGGAGGAGGTGGGGAGAAGCCTCGGGCAGGGATGAGAGGTTGGGATGTCTGCCCTGAGGGGCTGTGGGCGGGAGGCCGGAGGCGCCTGGTTAATGTGTTTCTGCCCCTGTGTGCGGGTGCAGGGTTCTAAGCTGGGACTCAGGGTGCAGAGGGCACGTGTGTGGGACTTTAAAGTTTGTCATGGAGGCTGAGCCCTGGGGAAGGGCAGCAGCACTCGGCCGGCTGGGCTTCCTTCTCCTGGAGTAGGGTGGTCAGGGAGGCAGGGATATCGGGGAGCGCCACCCCAGGACGGAGCAGGAGGCAGCCTGGAGTCCCCTTTGTAGACCAGATAAGGCCAGGCAGGGCCTGATGTCCGTATTCTATTATTTATTTATTTTAAGTGTGGGGGTCTCGCTCTGTGGCCCAGGCTGAGTGCAGTGGTGTGATTGTAGCTCACTGCAGCCCAGAACTCCTGGGCCTGAGCGATCCTCCTGCCTTGACCTCCTGAGTAGCTGGGAGATGACCCCCTTCTTACCCGTTCTTCCAGAATAGGTCAAATTCACATGACATGTGCACACACACACACACACACACACACACACACAGAAAAGACACCCACGGAAACCCTGAAATATATAAAATGATGTCCAGCCAGTATGATTTGCCCCCTCTGCGCTGCCCCATCTCCGTACCGGGTCAGCCATGGCCCATCTCCTGGAGCCGTTCTCTGCATGCGTGCCACGGTACAGCATGTGTGTGTCTGTGTGTGTTCACTCACTTCTTTTCACATGTGTGGAGTCACTCCGTGTCCTGCCTTGTGCGTGTGGCCCCCTCTCCCTGCATGTCCCCCTCTAGGCTCCGTCGGGCGCTCACGACTTCTCTGACCGGTTTGCAGTGATGGACCTTGAAGCAGGTGCTAGGACTTTGCCGCTGCAAATGGTGCTGCGTGGGGCTCCATGCACATCTTCACGCAAGGTGCAGGTCGGCAGGATGAATTCCTAGAAGCTGCCTGGTGGCTGTAAAAATGTTCTCATCCCAAAGGACCAAATATGCAGAGAAGTTTAACACTCACTTTTCCTGTCATTGAAAAGTTACATTTTTGTGGAAACCCGTCCAGGCTGGAGACAGAAGGTGTGTGCAGGGAGAGGAGGCTCTGGGGCACCACTCTAGGCTGCCTGCTGCTCAGGTGGTTGATGTGGGGGCAGATGCCCTGTTCCTTGGGGTAGGTGCCACCTCCTCCCTGCTCCCTGGGGTAGGTGCATTTTCCTCCCTGCTGCCTGGGGTAGGTGCCGCCTCCTCCCTGCTCCCTGGGGTAGATGCAGCCTCCTCCCTGCTGCCTGGGGTAGGTGCCACCTCCTCCCTGCTGCCTGGGGTAGGTGCAGCCTCCTCCCTGCTGCCTGGGGTAGGTGCTGCCTCCTCCCTGCTGCCTGGGGTAGATGCAGCCTCCTCCCTGCTCCCTGGGGTAGATGCAGCCTCCTCCCTGCTCCCTGGGGTAGGTGCAGCCTCCTCCCTGCTGCCCCGGGGTAGGTGCAGCCTCTTCCCTGCTCCCTGGGGTGGGTGCAGCCTCTTCCCTGCTCCCTGGGGTGGGTGCAGCCTCCTCCCTGCTCCCTGGGGTAGATGCAGCCTCCTCCCTGCTGCCTGGGGTAGGTGCAGCCTCCTCCCTGCTGCCTGGGGTAGGTGCTGCCTCCTCCCTGCTGCCTGGGGTAGATGCAGCCTCCTCCCTGCTCCCTGGGGTAGGTGCAGCCTCCTCCCTGCTCCCTGGGGTAGGTGCAGCCTCCTCCCTGCTGCCCCGGGGTAGGTGCTGCCTCCTCCCTGCTGCCCCGGGGTAGGTGCAGCCTCTTCCCTGCTCCCTGGGGTGGGTGCAGCCTCTTCCCTGCTCCCTGGGGTAGGTGCAGCCTCCTCCCTGCTCCCTGGGGTAGGTGCAGCCTCCTGCCTGCTGCCCGGGGTAGGTACAGCCTCCTCCTCCCTGCTGCCCGGGGTAGGTGCAGCCTCCTCCTCCCTGCTGCCTGGGGTAGGTGATATTTCTGCCCTCCTACCTGATTAGGCTCTGGGGCCACTCTTGGGGATGGGGGAGGAGGGCCGGCCCCCGGGGTGCTGGCCATGGTCCTGACCAGGAGCTGCAGTTGCGGCTCCTCGTGGGCCAGAGGATCCCCTTGTGTGATTCTTGTTTGGCATCCGCCCAGGCCATAGAGTCAGGGGCTTGGCTCACCTCTGGGCAGCTATGGGGAAGGGGCTGGTGTTTGGGAGGTGCCCGAGGAATGATCGGTGGGGGGTGGCTGCTGGGGCAAGGTACACGACCGGCTTCTCTCCTTTACAATTAGCACTGAGCCAGCTTATCTGAGACCATCCCTTCCCACGGGTGCCATTTAATTAGCCAAGAGCTGAGTTAAGATCACGTGAAGAAAGTTGGGGGGGCCTTGGCCTGAGCGGCGGGTGGACAGGGCTGCGTCTGTCAGGGTGAGGGGGTCTGGCGGCCCCTGCCGCCCTCGTTTCTTAAATAAACGTTTGGTCGTGGCTTATTTTCTTCTGACTGCAAAGTAAGCACATCCACCGCAGGAGACTGGGAAAGCGTGGAAAACAGGGAAGGACGTTTGCTCTTCCTGGTTTCTTTCCAGGTGTCTGCGCCCGCCTGTGCGTTTCTAAACAGAATAGGATTCAGGCGGTCCCGTCCCGCTGTGGTGTTAACGGCATACTGTCCACACTTCTCATGGGCAAGATGAGTCTCGCGTGCCAGGTAGTTGGCTTGTCTCTGACCTGGGGCTGCCGCAGCACCTGTCCAGCCACCTGTGGACATGGATGACGGCAGAGTCCCTGTGTTGTGTGGTGTCCCTGCGTGGATGTCGACACCACAGCTGTCCTGGGGACGTGTCCACATGAGGCTTGGGGAATCCACATGTGTCCCATCCAGGGCTGTCCTGCAGGCCCCGGGTCTGCCTGAATGTGATTAGGTGATGAGGCCACCCTGGCCAGGAAGGCTGGTGAGGGGAGAGGGAGGACGCAGGCTGGCCCAGGAGGGGCTTGTGTTGGAACGAGATTCTTTCTGTGGGGTGAGCCCTCCGTCGCCGGAGGTGTGCAAGTGGAGGCCGAGAGAGAGCACTCACTAGGACGTTTGTAGGGGGCCAGGGACTGGAGCTGTGAGCCGTGGACCAGCTGAGGGCACTGGCCTGCTTGGGAGGGGGTTAGGCGTGGCTGTCTCAGGGGGCTGTGGGGGGGAAGGCCTGCTGGGAGCCTCGGTCAGGAGTGCCACTGTTGGGGTGCCCTCAGCACCTGAATGGGTTTCGGGTGGGGCTGACAGGCAGCTTGAGCCCATGAAGGGAGTGTGGGATGTCTCAGGAGGAGCCCCCTTGTTGAGGGTGGGGGGAGCCCCTCTCCACCCCAGCTCCCCTGGGACCTCATGAAGCCTTTGCTCCCCAAAGCTGCTAAGGGCTTGGGTAAGGCCAGGGAGGGACCTGCAGGGTCAGGAGCCCAGGCCAGGCCAAGCAGGGGTCCCCAAAGGTGCTGGGGATGGGGGTGTGCATGACAGGGAAGCTCCGGGGCTCGGGTTTGGGGAGGAGTAGGCTGGGCTGGGATGGGGACACTGGCCAGGGCCAGAGCCAAGCTTCAGCCACAGAAGAAGGGGCGATTCTACAGCTCACAAGGTCCCCGGGTGCCGTCTGCTTCCTGTAGTGTAAACGCACCTGTCCACATTCCAGCCTTCCTACCGAGACAACAGCACCATGGACTGGAGGAGTCTGGAGGGGACAAGGTGTGGTGAGTGTTAACTCTCCCCACCCAAAGCTATCCTATTCAGAGAGAAACTGAGGCACAGGTGGGTGGACACCCTAGGCACAGAGCCACTGATGGGCAGGCAGGTTACCTGTGTGCGCTTGCTGTCCCAGACCTTGACAACACGGTTTATTTTGTTTTTTAAAAATAGAGGTTAAATTATCCTAACATGCAGATAGCATTTTAAAGCGAGTAATTCAGAGGCGTTTAGAGTGGAGAATTTAGTGATGGTCTGCCGCCACCAGCCCTATTTGAAAACTTGTCACCCCATGTGGACACTCTTGCCCTCTGCCATCGTGTGCCCCACCCTGTCCCTGGCAGTTGCCGGTCTCCTGCCTGTCTCTGTGACGTGCCTGTTATTTTATTTTATTTAATTTATTTATTTTTGAGGCAGGGTCTCTTTTCGCCCAGGCTGGAGTGCAGTGTCTCAATCACAGCTCACTGCAGCCTGGACCTCCTGGACTCGAGCCATCCTCCAGCCTCCGTCTCCCGAGTCGCTGGGACTGCAGGTGCCCCACCACATCTGGCTAACTTAAATCATTTGTAGAGATGGGGTCTCATTGTGTTACCCAGGCTGGTCTCGAACTCCTAGGCCCAAGCTGTCCTCCTGCCTCGGCCTCGCCAAGCTCTGGGAGTACAGGCGTGGCCGCCGGGCCTGGCCTGTTTGCTTCGGATGTTTCGTGTAAGTGGAGTTGTCATCGTGGTGCCGTTTTGTGCCTGGCTTTCCTTGCCGAGCCTGCCCTCAGGTTCCTTCGTGTTTAGGGTACTCCTTCATCCTCTCCGTGTCTGGGGGCCGCTGCCTCGTCCTTCCTGTGGCCGCACGGACGGACCTCAGTTTATCTACCCACCCACCAACTGGATGTTGGGTTGCGTCTGCCGTGAGGCTGCTGTGGACACGCGGTGAGTGTCTCTGGACATTTCGTCATTCCTCTTGGGACGAAGCCTGCGTCACATGTGGCCAGGTGCCCTGGGTGGGCCGTGCCCTCCTCATCTCAGCCCCCCAGACCCACACAGGCCCCCTCCCGGAGCCCTCGCCTTGCTCTTCCCGCTGTGCGGAAGGTGGTGCAGTGACGCCTGAGTGTGGGCCCCAGGCCTAGCTGCCAGCCTGGGCTCTCGAGCAGGTTCAACTTGGCCAGGGCAGGGTCTTGGCTGCCGCCTGCCTGGATGTGGGGAGACGCCTCTGTGCAGGTTCTGGGCTGGGCACTTGGGGCCACTGTCTGAGCAGAGGATGTGGGGTCCTGCCTCCGGGAGGGCGAGCAGACCGCTGCTCTGGGGGGACAGTGCTCGGTCAGGCTCAGGGCCCTGGAGAGAATACACCAGGGAGACTTGGGGGCTGCCCGGGGAAGGGATGGTCGGGCAGCCTTTCAGAGAAAGTGACCTGAGATTGAAGCCTGGGGGATGAGGGGGCGGCTCTGGGACCTGCGGGTAGGAGAGGATTCCAGGCAGCAGGAAGTGCACGTGCAAAGGCCCTGGGGCAGGGACGGCGTTTGCCGAGGGCAGGAGGGGAGCAGGGTGGATGGGTCGCGTGGGGTCCACCATGAGGCACTGCAGCGGCCTCGAGGGCCAGGCCAGGGTGGGGTCTATCTTCAGGGCCTGGGGCTCGCCTATGCTGGCTGCCATTCCCACCCAGCTTCTCCACATGCTTCTGGGATCAAAGTGGCTGGTACAGGGGCGCTTCTCTGCGGGCTCAGTGGGTTGGGATGGGGCAGTGGAGAGTGGGTAGCCGGGGCATGCCGGGAGGAAGAGTAAAGTCCAGGGGACCCCAGGCCAGGGGCTGCGAGCCCAGGGAGGTTGCGGGGTCGGGGAGGGCGGGCCAGGACCTCTGCATGGGGCTGGGCTGGGCACTTTGGCCAGCCCTGCTTGGTGCACCGGCTGGGTCTCTGTCCAGCACCTGTGGTCTGGGTGGGACAGGTGACTAATGGAGAACAAATGAGCCCTGCGGAGCTTCCGTCTCCAGGGACCGTGAGCAGGCGCTGCGAAGTCACGAGGCAGTGCCCGGGGAGCTGATTTAACCACGTGCTGAGCCAGCGGGTTTCCTGCCAGGGCCTGGGAGTCTGCCCACAGCTGCAGCTCCCAGAGCCCCTGGGGTGCATGGCGGATGCCCCCTCTTTCTGGGCCGGGGCGAAGGCCCTGGAAGGACCTGTGGTTGCTGCAGCAATGCAGGGGGCTGGGGGTCCCTGTGGGCCTTGGGCGTCTGCTGCGGGAGTGGTTAGGGAGCAACGTGCAGGTGGGCAGGACCCCCGCCTCCAGCTCCTCCACTCCTGTTCCCGAGGGAGCCACAGCTGGCTGAAGGAAGTGGCCATCCTGGGGCCATGGTCAGTGTGGGGCATCGAGAGCCCCCTGAGAGCGCCTCCCTGCCCAGGATGTTGGAAGGAGGGCTGTAGGTGCCAGGTGGGTGCAGGCGGGCATAGGCAGGCCCAGGCCGTTTGGAGGCCGTGAGCATCAGGCTAGCAGCTGGGCCTTCTGAGGACCTGAGACTTCCTGACCTGTGTCCTGTCAGGGTCCAGTTGAGCACCCAGTGTTTGGGAGGCTCGGTCCCACCTGGGTCACCTCCCGTCCCTGCCCCATGGCCTTAGGCTCAGGTGGGTGCTGCCGGAAGCTCCGAATGAGGGTGGACCCTGGCCTGGCAGGTACAAGCCACGCAGTGCTCAGCATGAGGCGGCTCCACGCGAGAGGTCTCTGTGTGCAGCTCTGCAGGAGCGTGGCCCTTGTCCCCTCCAGCCCCGGCGGTCTGCAGTGATCCATCACGCTTGGTTCATGCCCGGTTCACGCCTGGACTCTGTCAGCGGCGCCCGCGCCCGTCACTTCTGAGGTGGGAGGTGGCGTGTGTCCTGGAAACAGAGCAGTTCATTAGATGGTGAAATTAGATTCCAGGTTGCAGCGTGGCGGCTGCCTAATGGACGAGGCGAGCGGGGCCCCCAGGGAGGCTCGAGCAGTCCTGGACCTGGTGCCCACTCCGGCCTCACGCTGGCTTTCTGCTCATCCCCGGGGCCCTGCTGGGCTCCCAGGTCCCCAGCCCCGGGGAGGTGCAGCCTCATCAGCATGGACATTGTTCTGGACAGGGAATTTCTGCCTAAGGAGGCTGCGTGGGACCCCCCAGGACCCCCTGCAGTGGGAGAGGGGTGCATGGTGGGGGCCGTGCAGCCAGCCAGCTCTGGCCAATCCGCACGTGGGCCTCTGAGAGTCTCCGGAGCCTCTGTTTTCCCGACTGTGAAATGGGCACGTGACTGTAGGGCTGCTTCCCTCCTGGCAGGTCATGGGTGTGCTGAGAAGCTTAGCCCGTGGAGTGGGAGTGGGGTCTTGATGTCAGGGGCCCCTCCTGACCCAACCCTGGCTCTGTCTGAGGCAGGGGCTGAGGGTGGCGGTGAGGTGGTGACGCCTTCCCTCCTGCCCGCCCATCCTTCACGTGTTCCGTTTTCATTTAACTAAATACGCAAGATGAGATGAACAGCCCTGGCCAACTTGGAGTCAGCCTCTGGGGAAGGGGCCTGACTGGAGGATCCAGAGTCGCAGAGCGAGGGGGCTGGCTGTGGGACTGACTCGGGGGGCCCAGACCCCTCCTGCGTCGAGTCCTCTTCCCCAAGTGCATGAAGCGAGTGAGGAGCGGGGTGGCGGCGTCTGTGTCATGCTTTCCCAGAAAAGAAATATCCCCTTCAACCAGAATGGGGAAGGAAGGCGGGGGAGACCTGGAAGCACAGGAGTCTCCCGGAGGTGGGGGGCCCATGAGCAGAGGGGTCTCCCGGAGGTGGGGGGCCTGTGGGCAGAGGGGCCTCCCGGAGGTGGGGGGCCCGTGGGCAGAGGGGCCTCCCGGAGGTGGGGGGCCCGTGAAGCAGAGGGGCCTCCCGGAGGTGGGGGGCCCGTGAGCAGAGGGGCCTCCCGGAGGTGGGGGGCCCGTGAAGCAGAGGGGCCTCCCGGAGGTGGGGGGCCCGTGAGCAGAGGGGCCTCCCGGAGGTGGGGGGCCCGTGAGCAGAGGGGCCTCCCGGAGGTGGGGGGCCCGTGAGCACAGGGGTCTCCCGGAGGTGGGGGGCCCGTGAGCAGAGGGGTCTCCCGGAGGTGGGGGGCCCGTGAGCAGAGGGGCCTCCCGGAGGTGGGGGGTCCGTGAGCACAGGGGTCTCCCGGAGGTGGGGGCCCCGTGAGTAGAGGAGTTTTTGCATCTCAAGGCCTGAGGGTGCCAGCGTGGGGGCCCCAGGACTGTGGTCCGGCCTTAACTGGGCGGTGGGGGCCCCAGGACTGTGGTCCGGCCTTAACTGGGCACCCCTCTGGCCTGGTGACCCTTTGGTCCCTCCCATGGGCCCCTCCCTGCCCCAACTTCTCCTCTTTGCACTTGGGTCCCAGGTCCCAGGAGGAGATCCCCCGCTGCTCCATGCTCAGTCTGTGACTGCATTCGGGGTGCCTGATCCCCGCCATGGCCTCTCTTGTGATCTGGGGCTGTCTGATGGGCACGGGGCTGGGCTGTGCGTCAGGGACGTGCGGTGAGCCCCAGCCGACGCCCGCGGTCCAGGTGTCCCCCTGCCCCTCTGCTCAGTGGTGGGTGCCAGGGCTCTGTGGATCCTCCCTGCCCCCACCTTGACTCTTTGCCTGAATCTGGGGCTGGGGACCAGCTACTTGCCTTATCTCCTTGGCAACGGCTGCCAGGGAAGCTCCGGAAGTTGAACCCATTATCATAATTAGCTTCGAAACCCTTTGTGTTGTAATTCTGGGCTGCAGAGAAGCTGCTCGGTCCTCCCATCGTCCTCCCAGCGTCCTCCCACCGTCCTCCCATCCTCCCATCGTCTTCCCGCCGTCCTCCCCTCATCCTCCCCCATTCTCCCGTAGGAAGTCTCTTCTTTCTTTTCCTGCAGACTTGGCCGCTGCCTGGGCAGGAGGGGGCGGGCAGCCCTTGCCGAGCCAGCGAGACCTCAGCTGAGTGCCCCGTGGTGGGCTGTGTCCCCCAGCTTAGTGCAGGAGGGGCTGTACCCACACTGTGGGCCTGGGTCTGAGGTGGTGATGGCCCCGTCCCGAGAGGCCTCTGGCAGCTGGCCCTCAGGGAGTGTCCCACATTTGGACGCTCGTCGTGCCTGGGACCCTGAGGCCACATGGGCAGGGAGTGTGTCCCAGTGTTCCCGGGGAGCCTCCTCTCCCGAGGCCTGGGGGATGCCATCAGGGGTCTCCTGCCGCCCTCTCCCTCCCCTGGTTCAGAGGCAGAGGCCCTCACCTGCCTCAGTGAGCCTCAGTTTCCCCTTCTCTAAGATGGGCATGAGTGTGGATGTCTTGGGGACACCACGGTTTGTAGGCGGAGGCCTGGAAGCCCCTGTGTCTTCCCCACGGTTCGGCCGACCGGATGGCTGGCCAGTGCGTTTGGGAACTATCCGCAGTTTGGAGGTTTCTTCCCTGGTCTGTCCTGGGGCCTGGAGCCACGGCCGAGGCACCGGGATCTTTGCGTCCCCCAGACGGGCCCAGACGCACCCCGTGCCGCCTCCTCCCTCCTCCAAGGCTCTTCTCGCACGTCCGTCTCTCTGCCTCCCCTGCACCGGCCGCCCCCGGCAGCGCCATCTGTGCCATCTGTTCCAAAAACTTAAAAAACAAAAGTCGGAGCTGTTGCCTGCACTTTCCGGGTGGGGCTGTGGCAGGAGGGGCAGCGGCGGGAGGGGCAGCTGCTTCCTTCATGCAGGGTCTGCGGGCCGGCGAGGCGGGGGCAGATGGGCGGAAGCTGAGCTGGAAGGAGCTGGAGCCTTCTGAGGGCCTGGCTGCGAGATTCATCTCCCTGAATTCTGGCTTTATTCCTCCTGGTCCACGCCTGCTGGGAGGAGCCACAGATCTCGGCCGCATCCGGCTGCATTCTGTCTCCAGGGTTTCTGGAATGCTCTGAGATGCCTGGTCGGAGCCACCTTAGGAAGCAGGCTGAGTCCTGAACATTTGGGACCTGGGCCTCGTTTTTTTTAGTTTAGAGGAAGGTTCCCTGCAGCCCGAGGAGCTGCCTTCCTGGATGCGGCACTGAGGACTCAGAATTCAAGTCTGTGGGGCTGTCGTTGTCCCCACCCCGCCCTGTTCTCAAGTCTGGTCAGCCTCATCCTCGGTGGGATGCAGATACGCCTGCCCTTCTCTCGCCAGGCCTCCCCAGCGGCTCCTCCCTCTGCTGGGAATGCCCTTCCCCTTCTCCCCCTGTGGCCAACTCCTCTGTATCCTGTAGCCCCCCCGCCCCTGTACACGCCTCCTCCGGGAAGCCCACAGGATTATGTGCGTGGCTCTGCTGGGCTGAGCTGGGTCCCTGAGCCCCTCCTGTGATGTGTGATGCCCTCTGTGTCCCCGCGGCGCCCCTCCTGCCTCCCAAGCCTCTGGGCTCCTGACTGGGAAGCCAGGGACCCCCGCGTCCTCCCCTGCTCCTACCCCGCTGAGAGTTCAGAGAAAACCCCGTTAGGCAGACAGAGGATCGCCCGCAGAAGGCGCACGAGATGTCTGCGCATTTTTCCCAGGGCTCAGTTAATTGAAGAACTTGGCCAACGAGCACAGGAAATTAATCGCGGCTTGGAAATGGGACGTCCCTTGCGTATGGTTTGTCTGCCTGGGCCTCGGCACCACTGCCAGCGCCCCTGCCTGGAGCCGGGAGCTTCGGGGTCCTGGCGGAGGCCTCTGGGTCGCACACGTGGGCGGGGCCGAGTGCCCCCTGGCGACGGTGCCTCAGGGCCAGTGCCTTCGAGCTGGAAGCCGTGGGCCTGTGGCGGCGGGCGGAGGACTGGTGTCTCCTGGGGTGCCCGACACAGGGCCTTCCTGGTGCTGCTGTGCCGACGTCCACCGCGGGGCGGCAGCTGGATAGGGCAGGACCTGGCTGTGGCTTGTGGTCTTGGGGGTGGCGGGGAGGGGTGCAGCGTGGGGCAGGCTCTGGCTCTTGGACCCACCCGGCCTCCACACGCGGTGCTGCGCTTTGAGCTTCTCACTAGGCCCTGGACCCTCCCCTCAGCCTGCAGGGACTATTCTTCCTGGAAGCCCCCGCCCCAACCCCTGCCCCTGCAGCTGGAGCTCCGGCTGGCGCGTCGTCCCGGGCTGAGGCATTCTGGCTGGCCTGTGTGGAGGCTCCCAGTTCCCACGAGGAGGGTCCCGGTGGGGCCTCTCTCTGTGGCTGCAGGCCAGCTGGTGGGGTCCTGGGCAGGTGTGTGGCCTGGACCTGCCCTGGAGCCGAGCTGCCGGCGAGAGACCTGGCTCTCCCCACCACTGTCCTTCAGCATCAGTCAGGGTGTTCTGTGCCTGCACCGCTGAATCAGCCCGTTCCTGCTGCAGTCCCAGGCCTCTGGCCGAGGCCCCTGTGTCCTCTCCCAGCCCGTGATGCCCACTGTATGCATACACTCTGTATACACGCAGCTGCGCCATGGTGCCCGGCTGGTGGCCACGCACCTGCCTCGACGCTGCTGTGCAGGTGTTTTTCGGCATGAACACTTAGCTCAGCGGACTTCAAGTGAAGCTAGTGACCCTCTGCCGTGGGGGTGGGCGTCGTCCCAGCAGCTGAGGCCTTGAGAGCAAAGACTGAGGTTTCCGGAAGAAAAAGGATTTTCCTCAAGACCGCAACATGGAAGTCGTGCTGAGTTTCCAGCCTGCTGCCCTCAGCTCAGAGGCAGGCACTGGATTACAGCTTCTCAATGGCATGGAGCTGGGACGTCCTCGGGGTGTACGTGGGTAGAATCTGAACTTGGGCTCACGCTAGAGATGCTGACAGTTTTCACATGAGACGCTTTAAAATGTGGCTTTGGCCCCTGCGCCTTCATCTTTGGTTTGGGTGCTGGGCCAGAGCCTTCACAGGCACAGTTTCTGCCGCCGCTGCCTGTGGCTGAGCAGTGCCAGGCCTCAGTTGGCTCTGGTGCTGGAATGGGCAGTTGGTGGGGCTGACCTTGGCCGGGCCGCCTGTGCCCGAAGCCTCCACCTCTGCTTCAGACTGTGTGGTCCCGGGTGCTTCTGAAGCACGGCCGTGGTCCTTCCCGGGGCAGATCTTGGGAGGACCACCCTGTGCCCCGCCTTCCCTGCCCTGGACGCCCTGGGCCGTGCAGCAGAGGCCGCTGCTGGGGAGTCGGAAGGTGGAGCTATGGGGACTGCGCCTGCCCAGGCCAGAGGACTCAGGCTGCCTGGACTTGGGGGTCTCCAGCGAGTGGGAGGGGGGCTGCAGGGGGCCATGCTGGCCTCCCCACATCCAGAGGGTGTTCAGTGGGGAGATGACTGGGTCCGGGCAGAGGGAAGCCGTGGGGGTGTCCGTCGTGAATCGAGCCTGGAACAGCATGGCCACCCTCTTGTTCTTGGCTGAAGGGAGCTTGCCCAAGTCCCCAGGTCCTGGAGGCACTTTGCACACAGGATGGGCTTGACACGAGGTCCACGCGGGTTTGTGTCTTTCCACAGGGTCAGGCTTTTATTGATGCTGTTTCAATCACAAAAGCCACGAGCTACGTGGAGTCCCCAAGCAGGCAGGTTCTCCCTAGAGCTTCTGGGTCATGCTGCGGTCACGGCCACTCCATGTTGGTCAGTGTTGCAGACCGTATATTGCCGTGTGCTCATCTGGTCAAATTCCACTTTCCACCCAAAGCCAGGTTTAACATCATGAGGAAAAAGACACAAGACAGAGGGTTAATACCAGCCCAGAGGCCTGGCCTGGGCTGCTGCAGGTGACTGTGAGACAGCGGCGGTGAAGACAGAGGCCTCCAGGGAGAACTGAGCACGGAGGACTGGCTTGTGTGTGTCCTTATCTGGTTGGACTTGGTCTTCATTTTTTTGTTTGTTTGTTTCTTTTTTTTTTTTTTTTGGGACAGAGTCTTGCTCTATTGCCTAGGCTGGAGTGCAGTGGCATGGTCTCGGCTCACTGCAGCCTCCGCCTCCTGGGTTCAAGCGATTCTTCTGCCTCAGCCTTCCAAGTAGCTGGGATTACAGACCTGCGCCACCATGCCTGGCTAATTTTTGTATTTTTAGTAGAGACAGAGTTTCACCATATTGGCCAGGCTGGTTTCGAACTCCTGATCTCAAGTGATCTGCCCGCCTCGGCCTCCTCCCGAAGTGCTGATGCGTGAGCCGCCATGCATGGCCAGGTTTTCTTCTTTTTTGCTTTTTGGTTTTTAAACAGACATCTTATCCTTCTTGGTAGAGTGCCCTGTGAGACAAAATGGAGTCTTTTCCTAAGATGGAGTTAGTTATGCCAAGGGCTCTCTGCACAGGTCTGCCCTCCCCTGCTTCCAAGCCCCCGCAGCCTCGGCTCCACAGACGCTGCTCTGCCAGCTCTCACCTGGGCGCCTGCCACTCTTGTTCAACCTTGACCCCACCTTGACCCTGTGTGACCTCTGCGCTAGGGATCTCCTGGCTTCCCCCACCCCCAGCAGGTCTTCCCCCACCCCCAGCAGTCTTCCCCCACCCCCCAGCAGGTCTTCTGGGGCTCTGCCCCCAGGGGTGACTGCAGCGCCCAGTGCTGCCTCAGGGAGTCCTGGCCCTTGCATGGGGCAGCCACAGCGTCCCACACCTGGGGCAGCCCCAGGGCCCTGGGAGCGGGGGCAGGCATCAGTGCTGCCTTATTCCTGGAAGCCTAAAGCCACTTGGGGAGGGAGATCCAGCCCTGACCTCATGTGTGGTGGCCTTGCTGGGCCTCTGCGGCCGCCCTCGTCCGGCACGTGTGCTGGGCCGTGACCTCTGGAAGAGCAGCCAGGGTTTCGTCTAGGTCCCTCCGGAGCAGTGGGAAGAGGGTTTGGGGCACTTCGTCCCTTTGGGTGAGGGAGGGGTGGGGGAGGAGTGGTGGTGGAGGTGAGGGGCCTGTAAGTGAGGGACGGGGTGAGGCGGGGTGAGGGGCCTGTAAGTGAGGGAGGGGGTGAGGCGGGGTGAGGGGCCTGCAGGGGCAGAGGCAGTGAGCTCGTGTGGTGGCGGGCGGGTTCCAGGGGCGCAGGCAGCGCAGGGTTGTGTGCTGGGTGTGGGTGCTGGTGATGGCACTGATGGTGCGGGACGGGGTCTGCTCTGAGTGCTGTGTGTCAGATGTGGGCCCAATTACGTGCTCCAATTGCTGCCACCACCCAGTGGGCTGGTCCTGGTTTGGGGGCTCAGAGCCTGAGCCTGGGGTGATGGGGGCCCCGGGTTTGTGCCCGGATGGCCTGGCCCTGTCCTTCTGCCTCCGCGGCCAAAAGTCTGAGAAGTCTCCCTGCAGGCCGCAGACACTGGGGCTTCCCTCTTCCCTCTTCTCCCAGGAGCTCAGACGCTGGGGCTTTTCCCTCTTCTCCCGGGCTGTGGAGCTCGGCCTTTGGTGAGTCCCTCCTCTCTCTGCGGTGCTCCCCAGGGGCTCTCCCACAAGACAGTGAAGCCGTGAGCAGAGTGGGGTCCTCTTCCCACCAGGCACCACAGCCAATGCTGACCTCTGCTCCCCAAACCCTCCAGACCCTCCAGGCACTGCGGCCAACGCTGACCTGTGCTCACTAAATAGCTCCGCACATCGAGGACTTGTTTTTTCCTTTTTGATCCGTGGCAGCTTGTGTCACAGCCGCGTGGCTTGTCTGCCCAGGGAGGAGCTGTGGGTCAGAGTAGCATGTGGCCACAGCATGGTGGAGTCAGGCGTGGGCTCGCAGCAGGGACACACCGATGTCAGCTGCTCATAGCGTGAAAGGTCATGGTCTTTTATTTGCAAGGGGCAGAAAACAAATGCAAAGGGTTGTAAGGAATGGGCTTACATAACCTGGAAGTCCAAGGGGCTTCAGGCACAGCTGGATCCAGGTGCTCACATTATGTGTCTTAAGGCCTCTTCTCCCATCCTTCTGTGCTGCCTTCCTCATGACCTCATCTTCAGGCAGGTTTTCCTGTGCCCACCCGTCCTCCTGCCAGTGCCCCAGGCCTGCCTCCTCCTAGTTGGCAACCTTTGTGGGAAGGGGGTGTCTTATTCCTGGTAGTTCCAGCAGAGATTCTGGGGCCACCACTCGCTGGCCGTGGTTGGCCAGCCTCGATCCCATGAGCATCCCTGCACCCCCAGACTGGAAAGGAAATTGCAAGGCTGAGACAGGAGGGGTGGGTCTAGACAGGTGCTGTGATGCTCCGAAGCTCCAATGATGAGGGGGCGTGACCAGTCTGGAGAGACTCCCCCCCAGGATGCCCATGCCTGTGGCCAGTGCCCCGGCCCAGCAGGTCAGGGGTGGGCGTATCCGGGCTGGAGGGACTTCCCCCAGGATGCCCGTGCCTGTGCCCAGTCTCGGCCCTGCAGGTCGGGGCATCCAGGGAATATTTCCTCTGTGGGAGTGGGGAGAGGGGAGCGGGGACACTGCCCGGAACCCAGGCTGGACTGCAGCACTGCTTTGGGGACAGAGGGAAGGAGATCCTGAGTGTGGGGAATCTCCCTCCCTTGACACCCACCTGGATGTGGGCGCCGGGGAAGGGCTCGGGTTTGAGACACAGGAGGGCCCCACAGGCTCCGTGGCGGTCGTGTGGTGCCGCAGGGTGTGCAAGGTGATGGCGAGTGTGAAGACAGTACAGGGGCGCGGACACGGGGAAGCGGCTGCTCTGTGGCTCCGTCCCCGCCGGCTCCTGGTTCTGAGCACGGTTGGAACGAGAGGCAGCAACACGGTCAAGGTGAAGGCGTCTCTCACATTGCCTGGAATGAGGGCGTGTCCCACGCATGGCCTCCTTTATGGCTGTGACGAAGGACCTGGACGTTGGACACGTCCCCTTCACATCCCAGAACACCTGCGAAAAATGTAAATGAGACAAAGCATTTGCTTCCTGCGAAGTGGGTTTCTCTCTGGTGTGCATTCAGTGACTTCAGCACGCGGGAGTTGGCTTTCCTGCCAAAGCGGCAGCTTGAGGCTCTGGGTTGCACAGCTTTGCTCCCAGGAAGAGCTGGGAGATCTTCTATGTCTCTTCTATGTGGGTGGCCTTGTTGCAGCCACAAGCCGGGTTCCCGCGGCAGGGTCTTCGGGGGCTAGCGGGCTCCTCCTGTCTGCAGCTTCCTGGGGTGGGCAAGGGAGCAAGTGTAGCAGAGTCGCTTGTATCAGAGGAGAATGCAGGGCTGAGAAAAAGTCACGCATTTGGGCCGAGCATGGTAGCTCATGACTGTAATCCCAGCCCTTTGGGGGGCCGAGGCGGGAGCATCACTTGAGCCCAGGTGTTCGAGACTAGCCTGGCCAATGTGATGAAACCCCATCTCCACTAAAAAAATACAAAAATTAGCCTGGTGTGGTGGCACATGCCTGTAATCCCAGCAACTCTGGAGGCTGAGGCGGGAGAATTGCTTGAACCCGGGAGGCGGAGGTTGCAGCGAGCCAAGATCACGCCATTGCACTCCAGCCTGCGCGACAAGTGAAACTGTATCTCAAAACAAAACAAAACAAACAAAAACAAAAATACCCACATGCATTTGGGGGAATTTTGGTGGGGTGTGAACTTGAGCATCTGAGGGGAAATTGAAGAAGGATCAGTGAGTGAGGTAATCGCGTGGGACGTGAATGGGAAGAGCAATCATGGTGGAAGTCACTGGCGGGAGGAGGTGCCTGCAACCCGGGAGGAAGGAGAAACGGAGCCTCCTGGCAGCCAGGACGAGGCTGGAAAGAAGGTGATCCGAGGAGCTCCTGTTGCTTGGCTCCGGGTTTAACTGGCAGAGAGAAGCCCTCTGCGTTGGGGTCTGGAGGAGGTGGCCGAGAGTGAGGAGAGGGGAAGGCTGATCGGTGCCTTCTGCCCCAGGGGTTTTGCTTGTTCCTGTGTTTGTAGCAGTTGATGGGCAGGCCTTGCTGTTCCCATTTGACTGAGAGTTTTGGAGACGTTGCCAAAGGATGAGGCTGCCAGGCTGAAACCAGACAGAAGGGGCAGGGGCCAGAGTGGAGAGGGGGGTGCGTCCTGGAGGGGGCAGCTGCGCATAGAGGGGGCAGCTGCCACTGTGGAGTTCAGGGTCCCGGGAGGTGGCTATGGGGGTGCCCTCTGGCCCGAGCGAGCTCTGGTGGGGTGGGTGGGGAGTGGGGTCCTGCGTTCTGGAGACGCGGCCATGCTGGTGCCCTGCTGCGGCCTGGTGGGGAGTGGGGTCCTGAGTTCTGGAGACACAGCCATGCTGCTGCCCTGCTGCGGCCTGTCTGAGAGCGCGCGTTCCCTGCCCCCAGGTTCCTCCTGGTTTTCTCCTGCCTCGTGCTGTCTGTGTTTTCCACCATCAAGGAGTATGAGAAGAGCTCGGAGGGGGCCCTCTACATCCTGGTGAGCCCCGAGGGAGGGCGGGGGCTGGAAGTGCCCAGGAAGGAGCTGGAGCTGCCTGGGCGTCTGTCTTCCGTTCCTGTTACTACAGGGCCTCTGACGCCCCCAGCCCCAGCTCTGGCCATGTCTTTGTGCCCTGTCAGTTCCCATCTGCCCCCAGCCCCACAGCCCGGGCTATGCCCCAGCCCCACCCTGGCTGTAACTCAGCCCTCACCTCACCCCTCCTGGTGACCTCACAGTGGCTGACAGCCCCGCCTCCATCGCCCCCACCCTGGGTGGGCCACCCTCCCTTTCCCATCCCCACTTTATCTCTGGAGCCGGAGATGTGGGGCGTCCCCAGCAGACGGCAGACGTGGGCGTCGGGGTGGGGGCTGTGACGCTTGCAGCAACCCTGTGCCAGGGCAGGGTGGGCGCCATGGCAACGGGAGTGCAGTTCCTGTGTTGCTGTTGGTAACGGGGTGGGGGGCCCTCAAGGAGACTGGTCCCCATCCAAATGCACCTCCCTCTACTGCCCGCCCTGCTCCTCTGTTCTGGGGCTTCCCAAGGTCTGGGTGGAGACTGTGGCCCCCTTTGCAGTTACCTGGGGCCTTCCCTCAGCTCAGCCCTGCTGTGCACCCCCCAACTCAAGGCAGGTCCCCCACTGGCTCAGACAGGGTCCCCCAGCTCAGACAGGGGCCCCCAACTCAGATAGAGTCCCCCAGCTTGGACAGGGCAGCTCCCCAACCAGCTCAGACAGGGTCCCCCAGCTCAGACAGGGTCCCCCAGCTCAGACAGGGTCCCCCAGCTCAGACAGGGCCTCCCAGCTCAGACAGGGTCCCCCAGCTCAGACAGGGTCCCCCAGCTCAGACAGGGCCTCCCAGCTCAGACAGGGTCCCCCAGCTCAGACAGGGTCCCCCAGCTCAGACAGGGCCTCCCAGCTCAGACAGGGTCCCCCAGCTCAGACAGGGCCTCCCAGCTCAGACAGGGTCCCCCAGCTCAGACAGGGTCCCCCAGCTCAGACAGGGCCTCCCAGCTCAGACAGGGCCTCCCAGCTCAGACAGGGTTCCCTAGCCCAGATAGAACCCCCTAGCTCAGACAGGGCAGCCCTGCCAGCTCAGACATGGTCCCCTAGCCCAGATAGAGTCCCCAGCTCAGACAGGGAGGTGGGGAGGGTGGCCCCATGGTGTTCATGCTCAGCTGTGTTCCCGGATGCAGGGTCTCCAGAGGGCCCAACCCTTCCTGCCCAGAGGCTGGAGAGGGGTGGGGGGGTCAGCTTGCAGTTTCCTTTGGGGGCCTCCTGCCCTGTGGCTTGGTCCCTGGGCCAGAACTGCTCCTGTGGGTGTCCAGGCTGGGCCCCCAGGCCCTCCCCCAGGCCTCAAGGTGGCCTCAGCTTTCCTCCCCTGCAGGAAATCGTGACTATCGTGGTGTTTGGCGTGGAGTACTTCGTGCGGATCTGGGCCGCAGGCTGCTGCTGCCGGTACCGTGGCTGGAGGGGGCGGCTCAAGTTTGCCCGGAAACCGTTCTGTGTGATTGGTGAGGCCTGGTGGGGGTGGTATTGCTAGAATCAGGGCCAGGCACCCAGGGACGGACTCAGCCCTGGGGGGAGCTGGGGCGTCTGCGTGGGCCAGAGAGGCTGGGCAGGACTGGCTCCTTCTGGAAGTTTCTTTTCACCTGCTGACTTGGAGTCAGAGGCTGTGGTTAACTCTGCCTAAATGTCAGGAAGAGGAATGTGGCGCTGGGCTGCCCATCCTGGGCCCCACAGGCAGGGTGGACGATAGTAATGTCCTTCCTGGGGCCTGACAGAGCCCACACCAGGCGCTGGGCATACACCTTCCCGCCCCTCTGCACATCCTCCTGGAACGCGGGGTGGGGAGTTTTCTCCAAGGGGGTGCGGGGAGCGGCCCAGCAGCTCACCAGCTCCACGCCCGCTTTGTAGACATCATGGTGCTCATCGCCTCCATTGCGGTGCTGGCCGCCGGCTCCCAGGGCAACGTCTTTGCCACATCTGCGCTCCGGAGCCTGCGCTTCCTGCAGATTCTGCGGATGATCCGCATGGACCGGCGGGGAGGCACCTGGAAGCTGCTGGGCTCTGTGGTCTATGCCCACAGCAAGGTGAGTCACGGCCCCAAGGCTGGCGGTGGGCGCCCCCAGCCAGCGAGAGTCCTGGCCCAGACCGGGCCCCACCCCTGCCTGGGGTTTGCTTCAAGAGCCCTGGGTGGAGGGATGGAGTCAGTGGTGGCTCTGGCTGGAGCCCATCAGGTGTGAACGAGCCTCCCTCCCCTTTCTTCTCGGTGCTTCTTCTCGTGACTTGGGCCATCTTTGTCATCTGTCTCCAGAAAGCTGCTTTTTCGAAAGGCCAGGCCAGGCCATTTTGGCCCCTGCCACCCCCACCTTCCTGCCGCGAACCCTTGGCTCTGTGGTTGGGTGTCTTCTTTCCTGGGTTTTTAGTGCCTGGATCAATACAAAGTGCTAGTCACCTGCCTGGTGGTTGTTTAAGCTGCGGCTTGCGGCGGCCGCTGTCCGGGGGACCCAGAGGGTGGCTGTGGCCACACATGCTGAGTTCCAGGGGCCCCAGGCCCCCCAGTGACCGAGACCCCATCCTGCCAGACTGTGCTGTCCCTCCACCTTGCTCACGGGTGGGCTCATTTGCTCAAATGGCCCCCTCCCCATTTTCTTCCCTCTTGAGCCCTGGCAGGGTGGTGGCTTTGTCTGCAGAATGGGCAGGGGTCAGCCCCCGGTGGCCCCTCTCCCTCCCTGGACGCTGTGGGGGTTGAGTGCTGACTGCAGTGGGCACCCTTTTCACATCTGTGCCCGGAGGCTCAGGGAGGTTGGGGGAGGGTCTCAACAGTCCCAAGATTCTCCAGCCCTGCTGGCCGCCAGAATAGACGCTACTGACCCTGGAGGGCACGGTGGGCTGGCCGTGCGAGCCACTGTTGCCCAGGCCAGGAGGCTCAGGGGAATGGGCTGCCGTAGCTAAGATGGTGAAGCCAGCGGCGCCTCCTGGTTCCCCTGTGCCAGCCCTGCCACCGACCCTGGCGTGGAGCCTCTGCTGGCCTCAGGAGACGGGTCCATCCAGCCCCTATATCCCTGGAGACAGAGCCCAAAGTGGGCTGACTGGCGAGGCTGCAGTGCTCCTGGAGGCAGGTGGCGGGTGGTGATGGTGGTGAGGGTGATGGTGGTGATGGTGGTAGTGATGGTGGTGGTGGTGGTGATGGTCATGATGGTCATGGTGGTGGTGGTGGTGATGGTGATGGTGGTGATCGTGGTGGTGGTGATGGTGATGGTGGTGGTGATGATGGTGGTGATGGTGGTGATGGTGATGGTGGTGGTGATGGTGATGGTGATGATGGTGGTGATGGTGATGGTGGTGATGGTGATGGTGGTGGTGATGATGGTGGTGATGATGGTGATGGTGGTGGTGGTGGTGATGGTGGTGATGGTGATGGTGGTGGTGGTGATGATGGTGATGGTGGTGGTGATGATGGTGATGGTGATGGTGGTGATGATGGTGGCGATGGTGATGTGATGGTGGTGATGGTGATGGTGGTGATCATGGTGGTGGTGGTGATGGTGGTGGTGGTGGTGATGGTGATGGTGATGTGATGGTGGTGGCGCCGGTGATGGTGGTGGTGATGATGGTGGTGGTGGTGATAGTGGTGGTGGTGATGGTGATGGTGGTGATAATGGTGGTGGTGGTGATAATGGTGATGGTGATGCTGATGATGGTGATGGTGGTGGTGATGTGATGGTGGTGGTGATGGTGATGGTGGTGATGGTGATGGTAATGGTGGTGATGGTGGTGGTGGTGGTGATGGTGATGATGGTGATGGTGGTGGTGATGGTGATGGTGGTGATGGTGATGGTGGTGGTGATGGTGGTGATGGTGGTGGTGATAATGGTGATGGTGATGGTGGTGGTGATGGTGATGGTGGTGGTGGTGATGGTGATGGTGATGGTGGTGGTAATGGTGGTGGTAATGGTGATGGTGGTGGTGGTGATGGTGATGGTGGTGATGGTGATGGTGGTGATGGTGGAGGTGGTGATGATGGTGGTGGTGGTGGTGATGGTGATGGTGGTGATGGTGATGGTGGTGGTGGTGGTGGTGGTGATGGTGGTGGTGATGGTTTTGGTGGTGGTGATGGTGGTCATGGTGTTGATGTGATGGTGGTGGTGTTGGTGGTGGTGATGGTGATGCTTCTGGTGATGGTGGTCATGATGGTGGTGCCGTCTGCCTCTCAGGAGCTGGTCACTGCCTGGTACATCGGCTTCCTTTGTCTCATCCTGGCCTCGTTCCTGGTGTACTTGGCAGAGAAGGGGGAGAACGACCACTTTGACACCTACGCGGATGCACTCTGGTGGGGCCTGGTGAGTTGTGGTCATTGTGGTTTTCCCTTTCCCTGCTGATACACCCCTGTCCCTGTGCTGGGACCAGGCTCTCACTGGCTGAGCCTGCTCCATACATCTCTTTGGGGCCACCTGCTGGCTGCCCGTGGTCATGATGGCTTGTGGTCGAGGCGGGGTGGTGGTTGCCAAGCTGGCGGGGGAGTGGGTGGGGAGGGCTGGGCCCCAGAGAGCCTGAGCTCAGCCGTGGTGGGCATCTTCCTTCCTCCTGAGCTCAGCCGTGGTGGGCATCTTCCTTCCTCCTGAGTGACCCTCCACCTGCTCCGTGTCCCGATTATTGGGGGAAAGGGGAGAAGAGGCATCCCTAGGAGATCTGTCCTGGGCAGCCCTGAGTTTTTGGAGACTAGGTGGCTCTGCAGGCCCCACTCTGATCAGGTCTGAACAGATCTGGCCCCTGGGCTCCTCCTCACCTGGGGCCACAGACACCCTCAGGCTGCTGGTGCACAGGGGCAGGGTCTGTGCTCTCCTGGGAGGCTGAGACCAGACCCCGGGCCTAGCCCCGCACATGCCGGCTGAGTGGGCTCAGCCCTGCGGGGAAGGCATGGGCAGCTCCACCTGGTGCCTAAGCCGGATGCAGCTGATCCGAAGTTATTTTATTAATTTCATGAGACCTGGACACTGTCTTCCCAGTCGGGGCTTGGGTGGGGGTTGAGAGCTGAGCGTGCCCCGGGGCCCAGGCTGTGGACCATACAGATGACCTGGACTCACTGAGCCATCTTGTGTGGTTCAGGCCCCACCACAGGGTCAGGGTGGGGCCCGGGGCGTCCTGAGCTGTGACTGCTGGGCCCTAGGACTTTTGATGGGGACAAGCCCATCCCCCAGGTCTTTTGTGGGCAACAGCCTTCTTATCTTTACGATTGGGTGTTTTTTCAGAGTAATGCTTGTGTATATTTTTAAATGTCAGAGAGTTACTAAGCCTTATGGTGAGAATAGAGCCCCACTCTGTGGCCGCGGTGCCCTCCCCTCTGGGTCCCTCTGCAGCGGATGCGGCTGCTTCTGTGTTTTTCTTTGGGGTTTACCTGATTAGTCTTAAATAGCAAATAGGGATGCTGGTATTTCCTGATTCAAACGCGCTGACTGTGTACCTCCTACTGGGATGAGATCTACCCCCAGTTTCCCTTTCTTGCAGCCTTTGGGGGTTTTCAGCAGTGTGGGGGGAACCCCGCCCTCACCTCCCCCGCAGGCCAGGCCCCATCTGCCAGGCCTCCGGCTTCCTTTTCCTTGAATACAAAAAATTAGCCGGGTGTGGTGGCGGGCGCCTGTAGTCCCAGCTACTCGGGAGGCTGAGGCAGGAGAATGGCGTGAACCTGGGAGGCGGAGCTTGCAGTGAGCCGGGATCACGCCACTGCACTCCAGCCTGGGGGACAGAGCGAGACTCTGTCTCAAAACAAACAAACAAACAAACAAAAAACCACGCCTCCTTTGGTAACGAAATTGTGTAGAGGGCTGAGGCCCTGGCTTAGTCTCCCCAGGAGAGGTTTCTTGGTCAGGCCTCGCCCAGCCTCCCGCCCACTCTGTGTGGCAGCCTCCTTCCCAGAGTCTCCTGTGCGCTCCGCGTGGTGGTGGCAGCCAAGGCCCCCAGGTGCTGGCGCTGCTTTGCACCAGGCCACAGCTTCCTGTCGGTGTGGAGCAGGTGCGGCCCAGCCGGCCCACCCTGTCCTCAGACCACACAGCAGCGTCCTCGGAACCCAGGGTAAACTCCCCAAGGTGGGGCTGCAGGTCCTGGTGAGAGGTCTCCCCTTCCCGGCCCTGCTGTCTGCGCTCAGGCCTCGATCCCTCTGTCTGTTTATCTAAGACTCTGCCCTCACAGGGCCTGTCCTGGGCCCACCTTCTGGTCCTAGCCAGAGTGGCCTCCGTGCGGCTGTCCTGAGCCCGTGGCTTGTGGTGCGTGCGGTTCTGGCAGGCGGGGGTGGGCTGCGGCCCCAACATGTCCAGCACTGAGTGCAGGGTGCCTGCCCCTGCCTTCCTCGGCCCCGGCACAGGCATCTCTTGTCGGAGCTGCTTGGAGACGTGTCCGTCCTTCGCTTCCCCTCATCCAGGCCCCGAGTCGGGTGCTCCTGGGCTCACCGGGACCCTTGGGGAGGTCCAACCTGGCCTGACCTCCCCCTTGCCCACCACCCCTAGAGAAACTAAGCACAACCCCTGGGGTCCCTGCTCCAGGAGCAGCCCACCCCGCCATGGCTCGGTGGAGACCACTCCCCCGCCTCTTGTGGTGGCCTCCTCCTGCCCACCCCTCTCCTCTGGCCTCAGCTCAGCTCAGGCTCAGCGAGCCCCCTGCACGCCCTGCCCGTTCCTCTGGGTCCCTCTGGGCACTCCCTTCTCCCCAGCTGCACTCTTCACCTGGCGGGGATGCAGTGGGGGCTGCTGTCCTAGCCGAGCCTCGTGGGAGTCACGTCGCTGGGCCTCTGGTTCTCGATGTGAGATGGGGACACAGCCTTTGGCTGGACCCCGCTTCTGGCCTGTAGGGGAAGAGGAGAGAGGGCTCAGGGGATGAGGGGCGGCCGACACCGACCCTGGCCTCACTGGGCCTCCGTGTGGATGGTGACACGGGGGTGGCCCCGCATCTGTCCCATCCCAAGCCCCGAGTCGCCAGCGGGCGTCCAGCCTGCCCTCAGGGGTGTGAGCAGGCCCTTCGTGTGACTAGAGCCTGCGGTCCCACAGATCACGCTGACCACCATTGGCTACGGGGACAAGTACCCCCAGACCTGGAACGGCAGGCTCCTTGCGGCAACCTTCACCCTCATCGGTGTCTCCTTCTTCGCGCTGCCTGCAGTAAGTCCAGCTGCCCCTGCCTGCCTTGGAGGGGGACGAGGTCTTGTAGGCTCCCGAGGTGACCACAGGCCCCTGGGCACAGTTCCCTAGGTGGGACCTGGGGCAGGAGCAGCTCTCAGCAGGTCCACAGCCCCCAGGAGCTGGAGGTGGCAGCTCAGGGTCAGAGGCCTTGTTCCCCAAGGACTGGAGTGGGGGTTCCCCAGCCCCGACAGGAGCATGCCCAAGGCTGCGGCTGTAGCTTCAGGGGGCTCTGTTAGTCACTGGTGGCCCCTCTTAGTCTGAGTGGGGCTGAGCAGGAGGTCCTTGTGACCAGGAGCAGGGCGGCTGGTGACACAGGTCCCTCATGGGTCTCTAGGCAGTGAGGCCCACCCAGCTCAGAGGGAGGTGGAGGGGCCCTGTCAACCCTTGTTGCCCCAGGGCAGGGCAGGGCAGGGCAGCTGGTGCACGGCAAGAGGCTGGCCCCGGTGTCCCCTTCACTGTGTGCCCTTCAAGATGGGCCTGCAGACTCTTCTGTGTGGAAGGGAAAGAGGCCACTCTGAGTTCAGTGTGGGTCCTGCCATGTCTCCTGCAAGCCAGAGGGTTCCTTCCTCTTGATGCTGACAAATTGTGGGGATATGGGTTCCTGGATTAGTCTGACCTTGATGAAGGTGGGGGAGGCATGGATCGGTGGAGACGGGTCTGACCCTGATGAACTGGGGGGTGTGTGAGTCCCTGGGGCGTGGTCTGACCCTGATGAATTGGGGGGTGTGTGAGTCTCTGGAGTGTGGTCTGACCCTGATGAATTGGGGGGGGTGTGGGGCCCCAGAGCATGGTCTGACCCTGATGAATTGGGGTGTGGGGGGTCCCTGGGGTGTGACCTGACCCTGATGAATTGCAGGGCATCTTGGGGTCTGGGTTTGCCCTGAAGGTTCAGGAGCAGCACAGGCAGAAGCACTTTGAGAAGAGGCGGAACCCGGCAGCAGGCCTGATCCAGGTGAGTCCAGGTGTCCCCCGGGGACCAGCACAGCCCTTGTCCTGGTCCCACCTTGTTGAGGAGTGGAGGCCGCTGGGGCTTTGGCATTGCCCTGTCTGTGGATGGGCCACAGCGCTCACCCTCTGCAGGAATCTGTGGAAGGAGCGAGGATGTGAAGTGTGTGTGTTGAGAAATGGCTCCAACCCCTGAGGCTGCACAGGGGTGGCTCGTGTGAGGACGCTGGGGTGGCCCTTGCCTTGTGTGGGTGCTGGGGCCCGGCCATCAGGTCCTCTCTACCGCACCCTGGGAGGTGAGCACACCCGTTCTGCAGCTGCAGGGCCAAGGCTCCTAGAGCCCACACACTGCAGTGAGTCAGTGCCTGACCTCGTCTGACCCCTGATGCTGGCTGTGGGCCCCCATGATGCCCGCCCGGACCCCACCCAGTGCCGTCCCACCATTTGGGGGTGGGTAGCGTGCAGTGACCACTGTGGCATCCACAAGTAATTCCTGAGCCACCTTGAAAATACGGACAGACAATGGCCGGGCACAGTGGCTCACGCCTGCAATCCCAGCACTTTGGGAGGCCGAGGTGGGAGGATCACGAGGTCAGGAAATCAAGACCAGCCTGGCCAACATGGTGAAACCCTGTCTCTCCTAAAAATACAAAAATTAGCTGGGCGTGGTGGCGTGCGTCTGTAATCCCAGCTACTCGGGAGGCTGAAGCAGGAGAATCGCTTGAACCAGGGAGGCGGAGGTTGCAGTGAGCCGAGATCACGCCACAGCACTCCAGCCTGGGTGACAGAGCGAGACTCCGTCTCAAAAAAAAAGAGAAAATATGGACAGACAGCAGGACCCCCTTGGGACCAGCCATTCTTGCAGCTCCTCCCCAAAGTCTTCCATCCACTGGACCCGCAGAGCTGACCAGGATCCCTGCCAGCGGAATGTGGCTATAGGCTCTCTCCTGTCTTAGACAGCAAATCTTGAGATGGAGATAATCCTGGGTTACCCCAGGTGGGCCCTAAATGCAATCACATGCATCCTTATAAGAAGGAGATTTGACACAGAGGAGGGGAAAGCAGTGTGACCACAAAGGCGGAGACTGGAGACGTGGCCACAAGCCGCGGAGTGTCAGTGGCCACTGCAGGGGATGTGCCTCTTGTGGTCTTGGCTCTGGGTCCAGCCTACCTTAAGGTGTGTATTTATCTTCCACTATAAAAACTACAAACAGCTATTTATTTCCAGGCAAGAGTTTTAAGAAGAACCAAAATGCCCCCAAATCTCACTCCACTATTGACGGTTTAAAAAGTGACCACGTACGTGTGGTGAAAAGGTTACAATAGTGCCAGAAAAAGCAGCGTCTGAGCACCCAGGGTCCCATGCGCCCTGCTTCCCTCGAAGGTCACTCTTAGCAGCTGGTGCACATTTCCAGAGCACAGCTGGGCCTCTCCACAGGCGCACCTCAGAGGACCTGCAGCCGTGGTTCCAGACCACTACGGTAGAGATACGGCAATAAAGCGAGTCACACAAATTTCGTGGTTTCCCAGTGCATATGGAAGTTATGTTTACAGGCTGGGCACCGTGGCTCCCACCTGTAATCCCAGCACTTTAGGAGGCTGAGGCAGGCAGATCTCTTGAGGTCAGGAGTTCGAGACCAGCTTAGCCAACATGGTGAAACCCCATCTCTACTAAAAATACAAAAAAATTAGCTGGGCGTGGTGGCACACGCCTGTAATCCCAGCTACTCAGGAGGCTGAGGCAGGAGAATCACTTGAACCCGGGAGACGGAGGTTGCAGTGAGCCGAGATTGCGCCACTGCATTCCAGCCTGGGAAACAGCCCGAGACTCCGTCTCAAAAAAAAAAAAAAAAAAAGTTATGTTTATACCATGCCATAGCTTACTAAGTGTGCAGTAGCATTATGTCTAAAAAACAGTAAAACACTGCACGTACTTTCACTTACAAATACTTAATTGCTAAAAAAATACTAACAATCACCTGAGCCTTCTGCGAGTTGCAATCTTTGTGCTGGTAGGGGGTCTCACCTCGATGCTGGTGGCCACTGCTGATGAGGTGGGGCTGCTGAAGGCTGGGGCTGTGGCGATTTTTTTTTTTTTTTTGAGACGGAGTCTCGCTCTGTTGCCCAGGCTGGAGTGCAGTGGTGCGATCTCAGCTCACTGCAAGCTCCACCTCCCTGGTTCCTGCCATTCTCCTGCCTCAGCCTCCCAGGTAGCTGGGACTACAGGCACCCACCACCACGCCTGGCTAATTTTTTGTATTTTTAGTAGAGACGGGGTTTCACCGTGTTAGCCAGGATGGTCTCGATCTCCTGACTTCGTGATCCTCCCGCCTTGGCCTCCCAAAGTGCTGGGATTACAGGCGTGAGCCACTGCGCCCGGCTGTGGTGATTTCTTAAAATAAGGCAAGAATGAGGTTTGCCGCATCGATTCACTCTTCCTTTCACGAAAGATTTCTCTGCAGCATGCGATTCTGTTGGATAGCGTTTTACCCAGTGGACCTCCTTTCAGCATCGCAGTCAGTCCTCTCAAATGCTGCCACTGCTGTATCAACTAAGTTTATATAATGTTCTCATTCCTTGTCATTTCAACACAGTTCACAACATCTTTGCCTGGAGTAGATTCTGTCGACCAAAAAAAAAAAAAAAGAAACCACACACATGTCAAATGTATTTGGGAATTAGAAGAAAGGATTATAACCAGAGATGAACCACTGTGGCCAGAGGGTGGGGGACTCTCGAGAGATGAGCCAGTGTGGCGAGCCACCCATGTGCCGGAGAGGGAGGGGCAGGGAAGCTCTCCCTGGCTGAGAAGTTCACATAAGCTGCTTGGAAACAGAGTTCACTGGCTCTGAGGCTGAAAACCAGAGTTGGCAGCCGTTCACTGGTTGAGATGCCGCTGCTGGGCCAGTGTTCTTCCTAGAGCATCTTGTCTGAATTGCTGCATTCCTGATAAGGAATTCCTTGTGGGGTTATTTTAGAATGTCTTTGACACTGTCCTCATCTCAGCCATGCAGGCGTGAGCCCTGCCGCCGTGTACTCTCTGGCCTCGGTTGGTTTGGACCTGACAGAAGTGACCTTACCCTGCTGTCTGCAGTGTTCACCGTCCATCCCAAGAAACCACTTACTTTGCTCATCCATAAATGCTGCTCCTCACCTGTTAGAGTTTTATCCTGAGATGGCAGCAGTTCAGTCCCGTCTTCAGGCTCCACGTTAGGATGGCCAACTTTTTTTTTTTGTTGTTGTTGAGATAGGGACTTGCTCTCTTGCCCAGGCTGGAGTGCAGTTGTGTGATCTTGGCTCACTGCAGCCTCGACCTGCCAGGTTCAAGCGATCCTCCCACCTTAGCCTCCTGAGTAACTGGGACTACAGGTGTGCACCACCATATCTGGCTAATTTTTTGTTTTAAGTAAAGGCAGGGTTTTGCCATGTTTCCCAGGCTGGGCTTGAACTCCTGGGCTCAGGCGATCCACCTGCTTCAGCCTCCAAGGTGTTGTGAGCCTCTGCGCCAGGCCAGGGCGGCTGACATGTTAGCAAATGGCAAATCAGCGTAGTGAGGATGTGTGGACACCGCCCCCCCTGCTGGTAGGAATGTAGCGATGCAGTCACCCTGGAAAGCAGTTCGGTTGTTTCTCAGAAAGTTCGTAAACGTGGAGTTGTCACGTGACCCGGCCATTCTACCTCTAGGTATAGACAGACACAAAAGAATTGAAAACAGACCTTCAACCAAAAACGTGCACACAAATTTCACAGCAGCACCACTCATAGGAACCAAAAAGTGGAAACAGCTGAAATGTCTATTAATGGATGAACGGAATGTGATTTATCCATACGATCCTCCTATCAGGAGGAGCGGGCGCTGCCCCTTGCTACGACGCGGATGGGCCGCGGGGACGTCACGCTCAGTGGAGGGAGCCAGACGGGGAAGGCCGTGCAGCTTGCGATGCCCTTGGCAGGAAATGCCCGGGGCGGGGAAGTCCGTGGAGCCCCGTACACCCTGGCGGTGGCCAGGGCCTGGGGGACCAGGAACCAGGAGCGCCTGCTGAACGTCGGGGGTAGGAGGGGGTTTATTTGGGGGCGACGAAGAGGTGTGGAGTTAGATAGGGGCAGTGGTCGCACAGCACTGTGTGTGCAGGCGCTACTGAAGTGCACGCTTTAACATGGCTAACATGGTGAACTTCAGGATATGTCTATTTCAGCACCGCAAAACAAAACAAAGGCATAGAGAACGGAAATCCAGCCAGGCGAGGTTCAGTCTGACGTACAGGCTCATGCCCCGAGCCGGGCTGAGTCCCCGCCCTGGGAGGTTGGAGGCTGAGGTCCCTGGCCCTACCCATACTCCCAGCGCCTCAGGTTGCCCAGGGCCCAACCAGGAGGTCAGGAAGGTAACCCCCAGGACAGGTGATACCCGCCAGGGGCCAGGTAAGAGTCATGAAAAGGAAAGAACACAGCCTCCCTGCGAGCTCGCTCAGGGCCCCGAGTCAAGCCCCAACCGCTCCCCTCCTTCAGGCCCCACCGTCTGACAAGCGGGCTTGCCTGTCTGTCCTACAGAGGGTAAACTGAGGCTGTGGGGCTGATGCAGCACTGGGGCCTGGCCTGCTGGCCCAGAGTCCTGAGTGCCTGGCCTACAGCATGGGGGTCCCCTCTGCCCCGTTCCCTCCACGCCCGGCCCTCCTGGGCGCGCCCCTCGCCGCCTGCCCCTCGCCAACTGCCTTGTCTTTCCCTCCGCAGTCGGCCTGGAGATTCTACGCCACCAACCTCTCGCGCACAGACCTGCACTCCACGTGGCAGTACTACGAGCGAACGGTCACCGTGCCCATGTACAGGTACCGCCGCCGGGCACCTGCCACCAAGCAACTGTTTCATTTTTTATTTTCCATTTGTTCTTAAACCCCACTTTTTGTTGTTCATTATTTTGATTGATTTTTTTTCTTTAAAATGTATTTTTCACAAAGGAGTTCTGTGTGTGGTTTATTTCGAGGCGTTGCTTCTGCCCTTTGTGTTAGAGCTGCGGCTTTCTCTTCACTTTCATTTCCTCACCCCTTTGCTTTATCGTCCTGGCCGTGGGTCGTGCTGTGTTTTGTGCGTTGCAAGGACGCTCCCCAGGGAGCTCAAGGTAAATGCCCCCCGCCCCGGGCTGCTCTGGACCGACAGCTGCTCCCCGGGCTGCTCTGGACCGGCAGCTCGAGGTGCCCAAGCTTCAAGAGTGGAACCAGTACCATGACCCCGTCCCCCATCAAGGACCTAGGGCTCCGGCGTGGGGGGCAGGAAAGTAACCCCGGATCACAGTGAGACTTTCAGACCAGGAAACTCAAATTATCCTGGGGGTCCCAGGTGTTCCCCAACAGGACAGAGCACACAGACAACCTTGGAGCCCCTCGGGCAGCAGAGAAGGGGGCCTAGAAAGTGCCTGTCGAGGCAGTGCTAGCAGGTCCTGTGAGCCTGTGTGGTCGGAGGGCGGCTTTCCCGTGTTTTTTTGTTTTACAAAAGGGCAGGTGGCAGCCAGCTGGGATTTTCGTTGCCTGGCTCTTGCTTAAATTAAGGTCTGAGATGAGGGGTTCTGAGGGCCTTTCTCCTGGTCCACGCGGGCCTGACCCCTCGAGTCCGTCTGTGTGGGCACCACCTTGCCCGCCCGCCCTCTGCTCTGAGGTGGGGAACTGAGCCCCGGGACTTCCCAGCTCCCGCGCCCCCCGTCACCTGCTCCTAGGGGGTTTCTGTCCCCTGGAGCCTTCCCTAAGGGTGGGGCCTTCCCTGTGGGTGGAGCCTTCCCTGAGGGTGGATCCTTCCCTGGGGGTGGGGCCTTCCCAGAGGGTGGAGCCTTCCCTGAGGGTGGGGCCTTCCCTGAGGGTGGGGCCTTCCCTGAGGGTGGAGCCTTCCCTGTGGGTGGAGCCTTCCCTGAGGGTGGAGCCTTCCCTGAGGGTGGGGCCTTCCCAGAGGGTGGGGCCTTCCCTGAGGGTGGGGCCTTCTCTGTGGGTGGATCCTTCCCTGAGGGTGGGGCCTTCCCAGAGGGTGGAGCCTTCCCTGTGGGTGGAGCCTTCCCTGTGGGTGGATCCTTCCCTGAGGGTGGAGCCTTCCCTGAGGGTGGGGCCTTCCCAGAGGGTGGAGCCTTCCCTGTGGGTGGATCCTTCCCTGAGGGTGGAGCCTTCCCAGAGGGTGGAGCCTTCCCTGTGGGTGGAGCCTTCCCTGTGGGTGGATCCTTCCCTGAGGGTGGGGCCTTCCCTGAGGGTGGGGCCTTCCCTGTGGGTGGGGCCTTCCCAGAGGGTGGAGCCTTCCCTGTGGGTGGATCCTTCCCTGAGGGTGGAGCCTTCCCAGAGGGTGGAGCCTTCTCTGTGGGTGGAGCCTTCCCTGAGGGTGGGGACTTCCCAGAGGCTGGGGCCTTCCCTGTGGGTGGATCCTTCCCTGTGGGTGGAGCCTTCCCTGTGGGTGGATCCTTCCCAGAGGGTGGAGCCTTCCCTGTGGGTGTGGCCTTCCCTGAGGGTGGGGCCTTCCCTGTGGGTGGATCCTTCCCTGAGGGTGGGGCCTTCCCTGAGGGTGGGGCCTTCCCTGTGGGTGGGGCCTTCCCTGTGGGTGGAGTCTTCCCTGTGGGTGGATCCTTCCCTGAGGGTGGAGCCTTCCCTGTGGATGGGGCCTTCCCTGAGGGTGGGGCCTTCCCTGCGGGTGGGGCCTTCCCTGTGGGTGGATCCTACCCTGAGGGTGGAGCCTTCCCTGAGGGTGGGGCCTTCCCTGAGGGTGGGGCCTTCCCTGTGGGCGGGGCTTTCCCTGAGGGTGGGGCCTTCCCTGAGGGTGGGGCAGGTGCACAGTGTGGCTGGGAATTCTAAGCTGGGGTGGGGCCCAGGATTCTTCTTGAGGATCCTGAGTTGGCCAGGGTGGACAGACCCGCGGCAGTCCTCAGTTGCTACCTGCCTTTTCAGGGTGTCACTTGGGAGGAGGATGCCAGAGCCCTTGGCGGTCCTCGATGTTTGCAGTCGCCCTCTGGGGTCTGCCCCAACCCCTCCCTCAGCACCATCCCCCCTGCACCTCCTGGAAGCCCGACCTTAGGAGCCTGGCCCTGCTTGTCTTTCCTGGGAATGTCGGCCATGCCCTTGTTTCTGCAAAGTGACCTCTCTCAGCCCAGGGCAGGGACAGAACCAGCCCTTGTGCTAATTTTCTTTGTTCTGTTGTTTCCCCTACTTTCCTCAACTATTTGTTTCATTTTCTTTTTCTTATCCCGTTCTTTTTGAAATTTTCCGTTCTTTTCCCTTTGTGTGTGTGGAAACACTTGAAAGTTCGCAAACTCAAACCTACGGGGCCTCCAGGTAGGAAATGCATGGACAGAAGCCCTGTGTGTGTGTGTGGTTCTAGTTCTGTGTCTGGAACTGTGACCGGGCAAGCCCCTGGAGCCCCGTGGCCCACCCGGTCTGCAGAGTGACCACTGTCCCTGCCCACCGAGCATCCCTATGCCCCCTGCCCTGCGTGGCCCCATGCTGGGCGGCCAGATCACCCTGGGCCCTCCCCTGCCTGGAGCCCACGTGCCAACCCTGCCCTCCCAGGGCCCATCCACCCTTCTCGTCCTGCCTCCCCCCAGCCGCTGCTTCCTGTTGCCAGCCCGCCTGTGTCCCCCGTGGTCTCGTTCTGTCCTGCTTCTGGCCTGGCTCCCCTCGTGCCTCCATCCCCACCCCACAGGCCCCATCTGTGAGCAGAGCAGGAATGATGGATGGGGGGCTTCCCCTGCCCTGGCGCTGGGCACCCATCTGGGGCCAAGGGTGCTCCCAGGCCAGGACCCCCAGACCAGCCACAGTCCTTGTCCCACCGTGGCTCACAGGGCAGCCTCTGCGGGCCAGCTAGCCTCAGGGGTCTGCCTCAGGGTCTCCTGCCCTGGACTCAAGTTTCTCCTGAGTCTTGCCCTGGCATCACAGGGGAACCCCAGGGCTCCAGGCCGTCCCACCCCTGTCCCCACTGCTGAGAGCAGGAAACAAGGCTGTTTGTTCAGACTGGAGAGCGCTGAGCTGCTATGGGAAGCCTCACCCCCATACAGCACAAAGGGCCTTTACCTGTCGGGTGGGCAGGCTTGTGCTCTGTGATGACACTGCCCTGCAGAGCCTGGGGCCAGCCACTCCCCACATAGACCAGAAGGGCTTCCTGCACAGAAGCCCTTGATGACTCCTCCAGGGGCCAGTCACCCGTCCTGGAGGAGAGACCTGGCTGCCCTTCCTGGGAACTGTTAGAATGTTGACTCTCCATTCCCAGAAAGGAAGTGGGTGCAGTGCTGGGCAGTGGTGGGTCCAGGGCTCCTCTGCCCCCGACATGCTCAGCCATAAGACATCTCCAATGTCTGCAGAGGCCCTGCTGCCCCTGGGGCCAGGAGGCTGGCGCTGAAGCCGGCTGCCTCCTCCCCAGCCTCTGCTCTCTCCCAGGGCCGCCCCCTCCCCTTGTTGCACCCTCGTCCCACAGCTCCGTCCTGCCCTGGCCCTGCCGCCCGCCTGTCTGCCCTGGCGCTGCTGCTCTGTGTGTTCGAGGCATGGCCTCCTATGTGGCTCTGAGGGCTGACGTGTGTGTCTCTCACCTGGGCCTGCGTGCGTGTGGGTCCCATCAAGGAGGGGTGGGGAGCCACCTGTGGCCCCCAGACAGACTCCGGCCAGGCTGGGCTCTGCTGCGCCCACAACACCAGCTCACCAGCTGCCTGGTTCCTGCTCCATCCCGACTTGGACAGCGGACTGTCCTCTGCAGGGAGGGGGCTCACAGGAGCCCCACTCCTGCCAGCATTTTGGGGGCACCTCTGGGGCTGCAGAGGGAACAAAGAGGGGCCAGGCACGGCTTTACCAGCTCACACCTGCCTAGCCTGTGGGGGGGCACCAGAGGCTGGTGGGGTGCAGGGAGGGGCTTCTGGACAGCTCTGGAGGGAGGAGTGTGGCTGGACGAAGTGGGAGTCGGCAGTAGGGTGATCACCAAGCCCTGAGGGACAATGGAGTCAGCCATCCTTTTGCTTTGGAGGCAGTGGGGAGCCATTGAGTGTTTGGTCAGGAGAGTGGCAAGGATGCCCATCTGGAGGACCAAGTAAGCCTGGGTGGGCAGAGGCAGGGCAGGTGAAGAGTCTGGAGGATGTGGGCCACGGCCCAGCCTGGGGCAGAGGGAGGACACGGGCAGGGGCATCTCCAGGGGGTGGCCGTGGCCATAGCCGCGTAGGGAGTCAGCTGGGTGAGGGCTGGGCTGGGAGGTGGCCGTCCTGCCTCCAACGCAGAGGAGAGACCAGGACGTGGCCCCAGTGGGGAGTGCTCCACAGGTGGGTGTGGGGAGGGGTGGAGGCCGTGGATGGGATGGCAGGGCCTGGGAGCAGAGGCTGAGGAGGCGGAGTGGAGGGGGTTCAGGTGGGTCAGGGAGCCGGGTGGGGGAGGCCCCAGAGGAGGGTGTCTCTTCCTGAAGCGAGCTGGAATGCTGTGAGGGCATGGGTGGTGAGGAGGAGTGGGCAGAGTGAGGTGGGTGGGAGTGGGGAGGGGTGAAGAGGGGGACGTCCCACCCAGACGTGAGGAGGTGCCTGCATACCTGCCTGGGGGGCTTCGGCGGGCCCGGACTTGGTCCTGCTGGTGGCTGTGGGCGGCAGGGCAGGAAGACAGGGGTGGGTATGACCAGGACTGGGAAGGGGGCTCGGAGCAGAGCTGGGCCACCTGCGGAGGATTCCCAAGGCATCTGGGCCTGATGAGGCTGGGCTCATCCTATAGACTCCAGAATGAGCTGCTCTTTGCCAAGCAGAATCCTTTTCTGTATCCCCACCTCCCAACTCCTCCAGCTTTGGCAGAGAAAGTGGCTGTGTAGAGAGGGGCCGGGGCCCTAAATATATTCGCGTGCTGTCCCTCTAGGATGTTCAGGGATTAGAAGGGGGAGTAGCGCCTCCCCCTACCTGCGCGCCCTCCTCCACCTGCTCCAGGCTGCAGGGTCGGGGCTGCATGGGTGGCCAGGCGCCCTCTTCCCTCCTCCCTGCTGTCCCTGCTGGTTGACAAGGCCCCAGGCACAGCCAGAGAATGAAGATGGCTCCCAGGCCTGCCCAAGAGAGGTGGGCCTGAGCCCAGGGCCCAGTGGGCAGCTGCCTGAAAGCCTGGCCACGTCACATGCCGCCGGGTGTCTGACACTGCAGGCGCCTGCCCATGGAGCTGTGCAAGCAGAGGGAGGTGTCCCAGGACTCGGGAGGGTGAGACGCTCACTCCCCTCTCCTTCTCTTGCCCCAGACTTATCCCCCCGCTGAACCAGCTGGAGCTGCTGAGGAACCTCAAGAGTAAATCTGGACTCGCTTTCAGGTCAGCTGGGGAGCTCCAGGTGGGGCGGGTGGGCGTCTCAGTCCTCCTGGGGGCCCCAGCTGCCCACAGAAGACACGCCAGGACAGTGCCCCAGGGACTCCAGGGAGCTGGGACGCGCGGGGACGCTGGACTTGGTGATGGTGGTGCTTTCTCTTTTCGCGTCTGCTGACCTGGTCTGGGCTCCCACCCCCAGAGGGGCAGCTGGTTCGGGGGACGGGCAGAGAGGGAGGGGCGAAGGTTGATATGGGGCCGGGGGCTCTGCATGGCTCCTAATGGGGCCCAGGCGCGTGGGTCGTACGACAAAGTGTCCCAGCCCGTCGTCCTCTCGAGTGCCTGGTGGTAACTCAGGTGCTGATGGCGCCTGCTGCCTCTCCTTCAGGCCCAAAGCCCACGGCTGTCAGAGTGCCGGCTGTCGAGGTAGGTTGCAGAAGGGCCTGCTGAGCAGGAGAGGTGGAAGGCGAATGCACCTGCCAGGCCTGCCCAGGCCCAGAGCCGTCCCCAAGCAGTTCCATGTCTGAAAGCCCTTGGTGGGGCAGGGGCTTCCAGTGGGTTGGATGCTGGTTTCTGCCTCCTAGAGACACTCTTCTGCTCTGGAACCTATCAGGACGATCTCAGATCATCCTGGATTTTCCGGGCGGGCCCTGAGTCCAACAACGAGTGTCCTTACAAGGAGAGGGAGATTTGGAAGCACACAGAGGTGATAGCCAGCTAGGATGGAGAGAGAGACTGAAGTGATGCGGCCACAAGCCAAGGGCTGCCTGGAGCCACAGAAGCTGGAAGAGGCAGAAAGGACCCTTCCCTGGAGCTTTCGGAGGGAGCAGGCCCCGCCCGCACCTTGATTTTGGACTCTGGCGTCTAGGACTGTGAAAGAACAAACATCTGTTGTTACACACTCCAGCGGCACTTAGTTACAGGAGCCGTTGCACATGAATCCAGACTTTAATACCGGGAGCCGCGTGCGGCTGTGGCAAACGCCTACAAGCGCGGGTGTGACATCAGAACCGGGTGAGCCAAGGGCTCGTTTCCTAGAATCACAGGTTCATGCGTGGAGGACTCCAGCCCCAGGCTGATGCACACCTGCAATCACACACACCTGATTTAAATGATTCTGATGACTTTATTATTTTATTTATTATTATTATTTTGAGATGGAGTCTTGCTCTTTCGCCCAGGCTGGAATGCAGTGGTGCGATCTTGGCTCACTGCAACCTCCACTTCCCGGGTACAAGTGATTCTCCTGCCTCAGCCTCCTGAGTAGCTGGGATTACAGACACCTGCTACTACGCCCGGCTAAGTTTTGTTATTTTTGGTAGAGATGGGGTTTCACCATGTTGGCCAGGCTGGTCTGAAGCTCCTGACCTCAAGGGCTCTGCCCGTCTCGGCCTCCCAAAGTGCTGGGATTACAGGCGTGAGCCACTGTGCCCGGCCTCTGATGACTTCAGATGATGAAATTTGGGACTTTTTGAACTGATGGGATTTGGATGAGATTTTGGACGTGAGTATTTTGAGGTGCAGGCTGGAAGAAACTGAGGTGTCCTGAAGAGATGGTGGGTGGGGACACGGATGTTGAAGGTGCTTCTGGTGCGGGCTCAGGAGGAAGTGAGGATGCAGGTGTTGGAAGCTGGAGGGAAGGCTGTCCTTGTGTTGTTGGTGGCAGAGACTCCACTGGGCTGTGCGCTACTGTTGGGCAGAGGCAGAATTTTTAAGTGATGAACTGGGATATTTAGCCAAGAAGATTTCCAAGCAAAGTGTGGAAGGTGCAGCCTAATTTATTTCTGCTGCTCATAGTAAAGTATGAGAGGAAACAGGGAGATTCAGAGCAGCACCTGGCCGATCCGCCAAAAGACTATTAAAAAAAAAAAAAAAGGCATTCAGGGCAGAACTGCTGTAAGAAACCAGAACTTGAAGGTTTGGGAGGTGCTCAGCCTGTCCAGCTTGCAAAGGGTCTTAAATTAGGAGATTCACTGTTGGCAAAGCCTGCTTTGGAGAGAAGCCCACAGGTGTGGCCAGACAGCCTCATGCTGAAGGCACCAGGTGTGCGGCTGCAGCCTCCACCGTCTCCACAGAGGCCTGAAGATGGAGCTATCGGGAAGGATGTGCAGAGGGGCCTCTTGTCTAACGGCGTTGCGGCCTGTGGCATATTCAGGAGGCCCTAGAGGTTTTGGGGAGTTTCATACCAGCAGAAACTAGATTGGCAGAGACAGCGTTGGACGAAGGTAAGAGGGCATCGAACTTCGGGAGTCTGCAGGCAGGAAACAGGCCGGTGGCGCTCCTCAGCTGTGAACACGAGCTGCCCTTTAGGAAACGGGGAACGATCCCGAGGCTCCCGCAGAGGCCGGCGGGGCTGAGAGCCCCCGAGGAGCGTCCCCAGAGCTGTGCCACGTGGAGTTTGCCCCGCCGGATTGGAAACGTGGTGGCCGGCGGCCCCTCTGTCATTCTCCCTTTTTGAGTGGGAAGAGCTGTCCTGCTGTTGATACTTTAAGCAGATGGCTTGTTTTCTAGTTCACAAGCCCATGCATGGAGGACTTTAGCCCCAGGTTGGCGCACACCCACGGTCTCACACATACCTGATTTAAGTGATTGTCATGACTTCAGAGGATGGGATTTGGGACGTTTTGAATGGGTGGGATTTCTTTTTTTTTTCTCTGAGACGGAGTCTCCCTGCGTCACTCAGGCTGGAGTGCAGTGGCGCAATCACAGCTTACTGCAACCTCTGCCTCCTGGGTTCAAGTGATTCTCCTCCCTCAACCTCCCGAGTACCTGGGATTACAGGCACCTGCCACCACACCCGGCTAATTTTTGTATTTTTAGTAGAGACGGGGTTTCACCATGTTGGTCAGGCTGGTCTCGAACTCCTGACCTCAGGTGATCCACCCGCCTCGGCCTCCCAAAGTGCTGGGATTACAGGTGTGAGCCACTGTGCCTGGCCAACGGATGGGATTTCGATGAGGTTTTGGACACACAGTCCATGCTGCAGAGGGTGGAGATTTTGGGGGATCTTGGCAGGGGTGAGTGTATTCTCGATGTAAGATGGACATGAATTTTGGGGGGTCGGGGGAATGCAGTGGTTGAATGCTGGTCTCCAAAATGTCCCAGAATTTGCAAATGTGACCTGATTTGGAGAAAGGGTCCTTGCAGCTGTAACTGAGCTTGGGATCTTGAGATGAGGTCATCCTGGAACATCCTGATGAGCCTGGTGACAGCTTGAGCCCTAGCCCGGTGACAGCTGTCCTTACAGAGGTAGAGGAGGAGAAGACACAGAGACACAGAGAATGTCGTGTAGAGACGGAGGCAGAGACGGGGCGGTGCAGCCACAAGCCAAGGACACCTGGGCCACCGGGAGCTGCAGGAGGTGATGAGGGACCCTCCCCGAGAGCGTGGACCATGTTCCACGGCAACACGGTCCCTGTCACATGAAGTATTTGGAAGTGCACCAAAGAGCCTGCTTGTAACACGGCGTACCAGCCGGGGCACCAGCCCAGGTGTTCGAATGAGATCGCTGGGGCCTCCCCATGGATGAGCCAAATCACGATCCGCCGATCTCTCACTCAATCCATAACGCCTTTACCCGCGGAAACAGCCCCAGATGAGACGCCGGAAGGCCCAGACAGCTTTGCCTGCAGGACGAGGCCGGGACAGTTGGTCAGCGGTGCAAACCCTGGGCTCACTGACTGTGGCGCAGTGGAGCCACCCCTGGAAAGTCACGCGGAAGAGAATCATTCCATTAGGATGAGCGTGGAAAAAAGAGTCGGAGCAGCTCACTCTGTCTCGAAAATTGATTGTAAATTAAACTCCCTTCCAGAGCTTCCTTCAGCAAACACGTGCTTTTTGGAACTTTATTAATATTGGTGTGGTTCTGATTAAAATGAGTGTCTGTAAATGTGGAGGGGTAGAGACCCCCAGGTCAGAAGAGCAGAGGCCCCCGCCCCATGGAGTCCCTCTTCCCTCTCGGAGCTGCCTCCGTGGGCCCTGGGGTGCCCGTTCCTGGGGCCGTGGGCTCTCTGGGGTGGGTGGGCCAGCTCCACCCCTGCCCAGCCTTTTCTGAGACCCCCCTCCCCTGCAGCCCCTGACCCATGGGACTGTGGGGGGCTGGACTGGTTGGGGGACCCTCATGGGTGCTGAGTGGGCGGCCACTAACTCTCTGTTGCTTCTGTTTGAAGGAAGGACCCCCCGCCGGAGCCGTCTCCAAGGTCAGTGCCCCCTGCTGCTACCCTGGTGTCTGCCGTGTGCACGGCCGTCTGGTCTCTCTCCCACACGTGTGCGCAACCTGTCATGGAGATGTGAGGGCCTTGTGTGTGCTTCCGTGTGTGACTGTGTGACTGCGGGTCCAGACCCCCGCCTGGCGGTGATGTGGGCCCTTAAATCACTCTTCCTGCTCACCCCCTCCCCAGTGATTCGGTTTTACTTTGCAGCACTGTGGATCCGGGCAGCTGGGCGGCTTCTCGGGGGTGGGGGATCCCCCACCCCGCCCACAAGTCTGGCCCCAGGGTTCTCGGAGGCAGGGGGTCTCTGTTAGTGCGCTCCCTCCAGCTGCAGGCACATAGCCCGAGCTCACAGCTGGCCTGAGTCGACGCCGGCTGGGGTGAAAGCTCCAAGTGGGCCTCTGGCCTTCCCGCTGCTCTGGGTCCAGAGTGTCTGGAGCATGTGGCACAGACCAGGGCCCCTCGTCCTCCGAGGAGGGTGGGACATCCTCTCTGTCTCACGCCCCTGGGTGGAGATTCTGGCTGGCCTCCTCTCCCTGTTTGCCAAGGTCAAAGTGGGCCAAGGGTGCAGGTGCTTAGCCTGGTTCCCTCTCCCGGGCCCCGAGGTTCTGTGGGTCGGGCAGATTGGAGACAGGACTCGTGTAAGGGCTCTGCTGGGGTGAAGGATGGAGACAGAGAAAATCAAGATCCTTTCACAAGTTAATTCTACGTCTGCTGAGCCCCAGCCCCCGACACATCACCCTGAGGAGGTGCTAGGCTTCTCTGGGCCCCCTGTGCCCCATCCACATGTTGCAGAGTAAATCTGGCCCCTTGGACCTGGGGTCCGAGATGGACGCCTGGCTGCCCCTCCTGGACTGCGGGTGACAGCTGGCGAGACACTGCGGGGCTTGGGTGCGGGGAGATGGAGTGGGGCTGAGCTGCATTTTTCCAGCCACCCCACATCCCACAGAAGGGGAGTCATGGTCAGTGCCTTGAGCTGGAAAGACGGGCAATGCTTCCGGCCCACACCAACCAAGAAAACCACCAGGGGCTCATTCATCCTCTCAAAGAGGCTAAGAAAACGGACGAGGGCCCAGAAAGAGCTGGGTCGGCAGCGTAGCCTCTGCTGGTGCCAGCCCCCAGTGCTGCCACTGCCTCCCCCGCCCCTGCTGCTGGCCCTGAGGCTGGGAGTGGCTGTGGGGATGAGCACTGTGCCCCCCACAATGGGCACCCTTGGCTGTGATTTGGGCGGAACCTCGGTGCTGTCCCAGGTGGACGCGAGGCTTCCCGACGGCTTCCGCGTGGCAGGGCCCCACGCCCTTGCTGGGAGCGACGCCGGAACCCGCCCCGTGCCTCACGGCCCCTCGTGCTCGCTGCCCCAGCCCGGCCCGCTCCACGTTCTCGTCTCAGCCTCTCTCTTTCTCTCTCTCCCTCCCACCCTCCACTCCACCCATCTGGACACCCGCTGCCCCCAAGTGCTTTAATCCCTGTTACTGCCCTTCTCGGGCCCCTCTCTCGTCTGCCCTCTCTTTGGGGATGAGGTGCTGGCCCTGAAGGCGAACTCCAGGTGAGGACACGCGGGAGCCTCCGGGCTCTCCGGTAAGCTCTGTGGCTCCCCACCCCTCCCCCGTCTCTTCCCCATGTGTCCGGGGGGTCCTTGCCTGTGCCTCCCACGCCCTCCCCCACGGGCGAGCACCCACCCGCCCCGGCCCTCCTCCTGGGACGCCTGTGGTGGGGGACGTGGGGCTGCTGGGTCTGGGGCTTCTGGAAGGTGCCTGGGGTGCGGTGGGAGTGAGGAGCAGTCTCTGCCCTTGAAGACCCTCCCCGCCCATCCTGGGGTGCTCACCTGGCAGGTCACGGGGTGGCATCTCTGTTCCCTGGCCTGGGGCAGCCGCAGCCTGTCCAGTGTAGGGTCGTGCTTAGGAAGTTGTTCCGCAATCATTGCCTGCCACGTCCCTGGGCTGCTGGGTGAGGGGCCTGCTCTGCGAAGCTTGATGGGGAGCTCGGCTCCTGGCGCCCCTCTGCTGCCTGACCTGGGCTCTGTGAGTCTGGTGGGACCTGTGCCTCCGCCTGCCCTTTGGAGGTGGAGCCCGCACCCCGCATGGCAGGACCCCGCTGGTGTCAGCTGGTCTTGGCAGGTGGATGGTGTGGACACAGGGACCCTCACTCACTGCTGAGACCCCCACCCCCATCCTGGCTCAGAACACAGGCACGTGGTGGCAGGCGACCCGGCTGGCGGGGGCTCGGTTCCCGTAGGGACCACTGGGGCTGTGCTGGAGTCAGAGGAAGCGTCTACGTTGGGGTCGGGTGGGGAGCCAGGCAGGCTGCGGGGCTCGGGCCGTGCTGCCCCAGGGGGGTCCCGGGGGGTCTCTTTGGCCACGGCGGTTCTGACTTGTGCTGTCTTGTCCGACACCCCATCTCACTGCCTCCTGCCCCCGTGCTGGAGGAGGAGCCCCCAACACCGGCTGCCCCCTCATGCCTGTGCGGGCTCCCCCGTGCCTGTTCGGGCTCCCCCTCCTCTTCTCAAGCACACGTGTCCGCGTGTTTTTGGTGCATGTCTGTCCTGTCGGGTCTCGGTCAGTGTCTGTGGGTCTCGAGCTCACTGTGGGCCTGTCCGCCTGTCCGACCTCGGGTCACAGGGCCTTCTCACGCAGTGTGGAGCTCCCTGTGGCTGATGGGGCAGGAAGGAAGCCCAGTGCCAGCTGCGGACCCCAGGGGGAGGTGCAGCTGCACGGGTCCCCCACAAAGCTTTGGGGGTCTTGGGGGGCTGTGCCTGCAGCGCCTCCCTGCCAGCTCTCCCCGGCTCTCAGACCACGTTGCCCCATACAGGAGCTGCCAGCCACATGTGGCTGTTAAAATAACATGGATTATAACGGGCACGGTTAGAGATTCACTCTCGAGTCTCAGGTGCCTGGTGGCGACAGCCGGAGCTTCAGTGTGGCTACAGGACGATCCCATTGCAGAATCGGGCGGCAGGGCCGGCCCGGGAGGGGCCTCTTGGTCAAGGCGATCATGCTGGGGTCAAAACAGGAGACCTTGGGAGGTTTGGGGAAGCGGGACCCTGCCTCCTTCATGCTCTTTCCCTGGGGTGGGGAAGGTCTCCTGGGGCCCTCCAGGCAGGGGCTCTGTGCTTGGGCCTGGGTGGTGCTGGTGGGAGTCTGAGGTCTTTGCCTGCCAGGAAGGCCTGGGTGTCATCGTAGCTGGGGTGGTCACAGCGGGAGAGACTCTGAGCAGCCAGAACCTCAAGCCAGGCGCAGGGAGCCGGCTCCCTCCTGCCTCGTCCCACCGTCGCGTTCGTGGTTAACCAGCAAACAGAGTCCAGCCTTTGCACTACATCCCTTCGTGCCTGGGGACCCCAAAGTCGCTTGTGTACTAAAAAGCCGGACCGGCACGGGGGCTGGGGTGGAAGCCGGCCACCCGCCCTTGGAGTCTTGCAGGCTGGTGGGGCTTGGGGAAGGGTCCAGAGCCCTCAGCCTACCCGGGCGGCTGAGTGCTGCCGTGACTGGAGCTAGCCGTGTCTGTGACGCCGCTCGGAGAGCTGCCTGCGGGTGCGTGCAGGGACATCGGTGTCTAAACACACGTGTGCGCAGGAAGACGGGAGGCTGGGTGCTTTCTTCCTAGAGCCTGTGTGTTCTGAGTGGATGCCGTCGCCACGCTGGGGTTCCTGGGGCACCGAGTTTGAGAAGTGCTGTCTCAGGAAGCAGTGGCAAGGAGGTTGGGGGTGGCTGGGGTGGGGAAAAGGAAGAGTTCTTGAGTTCTTGGTGATTGGTTTCATTTTTTGCTTAATCATTTGCACATTGTGATGCAGAGCTAAATCGCCAGGGTTTTTGGGGAGATTCTTGGGAAAACGTTCCGTGTTTTCTGAGCCTTTTCTAAGGAACGCCCCGGCGGGGAGCTGCGCTCCTGAAGGGCTTCACAATGAGGGGATCCACTGAGCCCCAACGTGACTGTCCTCAGGGGAGCCCTTGAACCCCCAGATAGCCATGCCTGCAGTGGCAGCCACGCCTCCTGGGTAAACCGAGACCCACCTCCAACTGGGGGACTGGCTGGCATGGCCAAACGTCGCCGATTGGTTTGCAAAGCGGGACAACTGCACGTTTTCCTCTCTCAAATGTGTGTGCTTCACACCCACGCCCTTTCCCGGGGTCACGTCCTTCCCAAGCAGGGCTTCTGCGGCGTCTGAGGCCACATGTATTATTGTTTTGTCAGCATGAATACTGCAAAAAATAATACATCTTTTAAGACATGAACCCAAACTGTGGCTTTGGAAGGAAAAGGTATTTTTGGAGGAAAAAAAAAACAGGGATTTTTTTCCTTCAGAAATAGGGAAGTGTTTTCTTCTCCGGACGGTGGAGACGATGGTGCACCTTCCTCGCTGGCCTTGCTTGGGCGCAAGCTCTGCCGCTGGGGACTGCACACAACACCCTGGGTGGTTGCAGTGCCTCAGTTTCCCTGCTCCCGGCCGTGTGCTGTTGCCGGCGCCCAGGACTAACTGTGCTCTCCTCATTTCCAGTAAAGGCAGCCCGTGCAGAGGGCCCCTGTGTGGATGCTGCCCCGGACGCTCTAGGTACCGCGGAACACGCCGCACGGACTGACGGCTGCTGCACGGCTCCTCTGCCCCTCCCTGCTTACTAGAGGTTCTGGAGGAGCCAGGGGGAGGCTGGCGCCCCAACCCCAATTCTGACCCACCGCCCTGGCGGTGCGGGCTCAGCTCCCTCTATTCTAGCCGACAGCTGCGTGCAGGGCGGAGCTGGGGGAAGGTGCTTCTTCTTGCTCCCCACGCCAGGCGATGTCCTGCGCACAGCCAGAGGGGCCAGCCAGGGGCTCTGAACCCAGCAAGGCGTCCGTGCCTCCTGGGGTCCCCGACTGCTCTTCAGGGAGCGTTTCCCCTGGGGCTGTCACTCTAGCACCTCTGCTGCGTACCTGAGGATGACTGAGCCTTCCTGGCTGCCTCGACCGCGGGAGGCAGCTCCGTCTGTGTGTGCCGGGCTCCTCAGGGTCCTGATGCATCAGAAGCCCCAGAAAGCCAGAGGCCCGCGGCTCCCTCTCCCAACAACAGGCCTGGTTTAGGGCAGGTGGAAATAGGACGGGGGAGGAGCCGCCCCCTTTGCACCGTGGGCTCCTGGCCTGCACCGTGACCCGCACCTCCCCTGTCCCCGCGTCCCCTGTCTGCTGTTGGGTGTGTGCAGGCCTGCGCTGGGGGCCCCTCCCTCCTGGCCAGCACAGCCCAGCAAGGTGGAGGTGGCTGTGTCGTGCTCCTGTGGGGCTCTCCTTGGCATGTGCATGCCGCCGGTGGTGCTGGCCTTGGAGGGCTGGTGGGGCTGCATGCTGCCTATCTGCATCCGTGCATGCTTCGGACCCTGCTCCATGGGGGGCCCGCGACTCCATGCCACCCTCTCCCTGTGACTTTGCTGCTTGTGTGCTTCTGGGGGCGTTGGTGCTTGCGGGGAGACTGTTGGCAGCTCCAGAGAGGGAGACGGGCGTGTGGGCTGCCTGGGGCATGGCCTGCTGGGGCGCTAGCAGCTGTCCTGCGTGTCCGGAGCATCTATTCAGGGTGCTTCTGGCCGCAGGCTGGTCCCTCAGGGCAGGGGCTGAGGTCAGGCTGCTTGGGGACCAGAGGGGTTTGAAAGTGGGGGTGGGAGCCCAGGCCAGAGAACAACCCAGGGCAGGCCCTGTCCTGCTGCGAGCAGCCCCCACGGGAGGCCCCTTCATCCTCACGCTTCCTGGGCGTCGTTGGTCCGGACACCAGCTGGGCAGGGGTCTGGATGCTCCTCAGCCTCCTGTTTCCTGCGGGCACCGCACATCTGAATTTCACCATTGGGAGGGAGGGTGGCAGGCCGGGTGGGGATGGCGCGCTCTCAGGTGCTTCTTGAGCCTGCCCCGGCCCCGTAAGCCCCAAGCGTAGGTGCCACGGACGCCCCTCGCACACAGAGGGCAGCTCTGGCCGAGGGCTCCTCCCAGGTGGGTGGCGGCAGCTTTTCGCGTGCGCTTGTTCTTGGCTTGTGGCCGAGGGAGGGCCTGCGAGACCACGCGTGCTCCTGGCAGCTGAGGCAGGCTGGCGGGGTCGGGTGTCTGCAGCATGGAGCCTCACCAGCTGTGCTTGGAGGGTGCAGAGTTTGGGTCATGGTGGAGGTCCAGGGGAGGGAAGGACATGTCCAGGTCGCGCCACCCTCCTCTTCCTGGCAGAGCCTCCCTCGCAGATCTGAGGTGGGAGCGGAGCCCGAGACCCGGGACAGCAGGGCCGCGCCGAGGCCAGGGCAGGCTCCTTCCCGCCGGCTCTGTCTGGGGCAGTACACGTGGGCTGCGTCCCGGCGGCCCCTGGGGCTGTGCTGGGCATCGGGTCCAGCAGGGTGTGTCTGCCGCTGGCGGGGCTGTGGCTCCTTGTCGTGGTCAGCGGGGGGTCCCCCCTGAAAAATGGGAAGCAGACGTCGGGGCTGGGTCTTCTCTCCTGGGGCCTGTGGAATCCACGCCACTCCCTTCCTGCAACTCCCTGCGGACTGTGGGGCCTGACCCTTCCTGGCCCGCACGTCTGTGTGGCCGCCTGGGTATTTGACCCGTTCCCCTCCGGGGCCGCAGGTGGGAATCTGATGCCCATTCCTCAAGCTGTGCCTTTCCCACTGCAAGCCCTCAGCACCGGGCTCTGCCCAGAGACCAGCCAAGGGCAGCCCCGAAGCTACAGTTGGGCCGACCGGCTCTGTCCTCCACCCGGTGCTTTGCCAGCTGCCGTGAGAAAGGAGGTGGCTGCTTCTCTCTCTGGTGACTGGACCTGCCTCGGGTGGAAACGCAGAGAGAGGAATTGAGTCTTCCAGTGACTCCCACTTGCCCTGAGGCCTGCCTGAGCGGGGTCAGGAGGGGCCTATTCTTGCCTTTGAAATGGCTCGTGCGGTGGAGAAAGAGAGAACATTCCAGGAGTCCCGCTGAGCCTGTGCCCATGTGCTCCCCTGGCCCCCGTCCGGTTCTCCCCGACCACCTGTGCTTTTGTTGTTGGGATGGGGACCAGAGGCCGTTGGGACAGAGGCACCCACAGCACCAGGACTCTGAGCACCCCTGGCCCCCATGGGCACGGTGTGTTGGCCTCAGGCAGTGCAGGGGTGTGGACTCAGGACTGGGGTCCTGAGCGAGCCTGTACCATCGGCTCCTGACGTCCCCAAGCACGCGACGCCTCGGGACTCGGGGGATCTCGGCCACTCCGTCTCTGCTTCCCCGAGCGGGCACAACACCCAGGGGCTTCTTTCTTTCTCTCAGAGACGCCTGAGTGGGGACAGATGGTCTGCTGAGTGGGCACAGATGGTCTGGGCGGTCACCTGCTGCCTGGGGGATGGGGTGGGGAGGGGCAGCCAAGCGATCCGCGTGTCCAGGCCAGGCAGACGGGCGCGGTGGGCTCTCATGTCTGTGGCTGGTTATCTCTGTGCCGTCTGGTGGGCGTGTCTCTCTGGCTGTGGGTCTGGAGTCGGGGCTGATGGTGGCTGCTGACCGGGGCCTCAGTCCCTCGCTGTTGGCTGGGGAGCCGCCGTGGGATCAGGGAGCCCGTGAGGCACTGGGCTTCCTCTCTGAAGTGTGTCAGGGATCTGCGGGGCCTCCCCACCCGAAGGCTTGTTTCAGGCTCCAGCAACAGTGCTCTGGGCCCTGCCCAGAACCACCCTGAGAAGTTCCGTGGCTGCTAAGCATGGCTGGGCATGAGCGGGTCCCCAGTTCGTGAGAGCCCCACTGTCCTCAAGGGAGCCAGGGGGTTCTGATGCTTTCCAGACCTCAGGAGGCCACATCTGCCTGGCGTCTCCCAACCACCAACCACAGTGAACCCTCCCCTCCCCTCACTGTCGCCCGGCGGACGCTGGAGTTGAAGAACTCGGGTGCAAACCCATCTCCACGGTCACCAAAAAACTCGGGGGCAAGGCAGGCCCAAGGACCCCCCGAGAGTATGGAGCTGGAGACCCAGCCAGACACAGCTGCAAATCCTGCTTCACGCCTCGCAGGCCGAGGGGGCCGGGCCACAGCGCTGTGGCTTTGGAGGCTGCCTCCCCCTGCCCTGGGGCAGGACTTGGATAGTGAGGCCCAGCTGGCGGAGGAGCCCCGTTATCCATTCCTTCCTTCCAGAAGCCGGAAGGAGCAGTTCTCTGACACGGACCTGGTGGGAGGGGAGCCTGACAGGGGAGGCCTGAGCCCTCCTGAAGCCCATCCCACCAGGCAGGCCCCCGGGGTGGGTGGAAAGGCCGGAGTGTGGCTGAACAAGGGTCCACCGCAGACTTGGCCCCCAATGTCCTTGTTGTCCCCTGGCCCCTCGACTCTGGGGCAGAAGGAGAGGGACAGGCCGTGGGAGGGGAGGAGGGAGGCTGCTTCCTGGGAGCAGTTACGGGTGTGAAAAGGCCACAGGGGAAACCACGGGCGGGGCCGGGGCAGACAGAGGTGCCCGAGGAAGAGCCACAGCCCCGGTGTTTGGGATGCCCGTTGCCCTGAGTGTCACTGGGTGAGGGGCTGGCAGGACAGTGTGAGGAAGGCTCCGGCACCTCGTGGTGGTAGCGGAAAGTGATTTAAGAGTCCACAGACATCAACTCTCCCCACATGGCCAACCTCTGGCCACGCCTGAGCCAGCCGGGGGAGCTTGCTGCCCACCCAGCCTCCCCTCCCTCCCTCCCGCCGGGTGCTCAGTGTCTGTGGCCTCCCCTCCCTCCCTCCCGCCGGGTGCTCGGTCCCCGTGGCCTCCCCTCCCTCCCTCCCGCCGGGTGCTCGGTCCCCGTGGCCTCCCCTCCCTCCCTCCCGCCGGGTGCTCGGCCCCGGTAGCCTCCCCCCCTCCCTCCCGCCGGGTGCTCGGTCCCCGTGGCCTCCCCTCCCTCCCTCCCACCGGGTGCTCGGTCCCCGTGGCCTCCCCTCCCTCCCTCCCGCCGGGTGCTCGGTCCCCGTGGCACCTGCTCTGAGCCACCCGTGTGGCTGGCTGTTCTTCAGACCTGTGTCTCCCTCCGGCGCATGGGCGGCGTCGGCCATGAGCAGACACGGCCTGTGTTCTTTGCAGAGTGACTTCTCTCCCTGTTTTTCTGTCTGTCTGTCGGTTCCCGTGGGAGCAGCCAGAAGGTCAGTTTGAAAGATCGTGTCTTCTCCAGCCCCCGAGGCGTGGCTGCCAAGGGGAAGGGGTCCCCGCAGGCCCAGACTGTGAGGCGGTCACCCAGCGCCGACCAGAGCCTCGAGGACAGCCCCAGCAAGGTGCCCAAGAGCTGGAGCTTCGGGGACCGCAGCCGGGCACGCCAGGCTTTCCGCATCAAGGGTGCCGCGTCACGGCAGAACTCAGAAGGTGGGTGTGGCCGCATCCTCTCCTGGTCCATCCTCTCCGGGGATGGATGTGGTGGCCACGCTACTGTGGCCACCCTGTGGCGTCGCAGCTGCTTTTGCTTGCTCTTGGAGTGGGAACCCCCTATCCTTTCTAAAATTGAGGTGAGACTTGTGCAACCTAAAATTAACTATTTAAAAGTGTAGGAATTCAGTGGCATGTAGCACGCTCACGGTGGAGTTGTCACCACCACCTCAGCCTAGTTCCAGAACATTCTCATCACCACAGAAGGAAACCATGACCCCATCAGTAGTCACCCCATTCCCCGCCTCAGCCCCAGCACCCGCTGCTCTTGGGCCGTGCGTGTCTGCGGCTCCCACGTGGGGCCGTTGGGTCTGGCTTCCTTCACTGAGCCTCAGATGTCAGGCCTGCACCTTCCGCCGTTAACATCTGTGCGTGGATGCGCCATGTTCTGTTCATCCATTGGCCAGAATGTCCTTTGACGCCCCATATCGGCCACTCCCTGTGGCCACAGCCTGCCGGGGAAGGTCCTGACTCGAGAGCAGCTGGGTGCAGATGGGTGGGTTTCCAGAAAAGCAGGTGCACCCGAGGGGCACCACAGGGAGCCTCGAGGGGCTCCCTGGCGCTCTGTCTAGCCGGTGTGCCCTGCAGGACCCCGGGAATAGGTCTCCCGGCCCCCTCGGCCCCTCACGGCCTGTCTCCTTCCCCCCAGAAGCAAGCCTCCCCGGAGAGGACATTGTGGATGACAAGAGCTGCCCCTGCGAGTTTGTGACCGAGGACCTGACCCCGGGCCTCAAAGTCAGCATCAGAGCCGTGTGGTGAGGCCCCTGCCCAGCCGGGAGCCTGGGGGAGTGAGGAGGGGCCTCCCGCTCGGTGGTCCTGCCTGCTGCCGGTGCTCATGGTGCTGGACAGAGCCGCCCAGAGACAGAGTCTACTGGGAAAAGAAAGGGCTAAGACACGGGTGGACCTGGCTGAATGTCCTGGAGTGCACTCCTCTGGGACTCAGGCGGGTTTCGGGTGGGATGCCGGTTCAGCAAGAGGCCTGAGGCCGGGCTCCACCTGGCTTAGGAAGCAACTCAGCCACCTTCTGCCTGCTGTGGCATGGAGTCCAAGGGGGCATGGCCAGGCCTGCAAGCCCCACCTGTCCCGGGCAGAGCAGGGCCACATAAAGGCCCTTCTGTGTGTGGAGCTGGTGGGCGGCAGACAAGAGGGGCAAGTCCAGCCATCTCCAGGCGCCGAGGTCTCAGAGGTGCTAGGAAGGTCCTGGTGCCTGTGGCCGGGGGTCTCTGGCCCAGGGCTCACAGCCCCACCCACCCCCCTGCAGTGTCATGCGGTTCCTGGTGTCCAAGCGGAAGTTCAAGGAGAGCCTGCGGCCCTACGACGTGATGGACGTCATCGAGCAGTACTCAGCCGGCCACCTGGACATGCTGTCCCGAATTAAGAGCCTGCAGTCCAGGCAAGAGCCCCGCCTGCCTGTCCAGCAGGGGACAAGAACGGGGTGGGCTTCTGGGACAAAGCCCACTGTGGCCCATGGTGGGAGTGCAGGGGGTGTGTGGGCGGGGCCTCCTCCCCACCCACGTCGGCCTCTGTCAGCTTCTGTTGTGTCTTCACAAAGTCTGTTTTAATATTTCTGCTGTCTCTCCCATCTCTCCCCCATCCACACCGCGGTGGGCAAGTGCGTGCACCTGTGTGTGTGGGTCCCTGAAAATGTGTGTGTGCATGTGTGTGTGTGTAAGTCACGCATGCACACATGTATGCTTCTGCACAGGTGTATGTGTGTGGTTGTATGCACGTGTGGCTCTGCTCTGCCATGTATGCACGTGTGTGGGGTGCATACATGTGTGTACACATGTGTGCATGTGTGTTGGGGATGGAATAATTCTGTTCAGACATGAAGCTGCAGGGTTCCCGTGGGCCCCACCAGGCATCAGTTATGCTACTTGGCACCTTTTCTTCTACCTGCCCTCCTTGGCATAGGTGTCCCCTAAGTCCACACACGTGCCCACACATGTGCAGCCTCAGGCACATACAAACAAGGATATACACACGAGTGGGTGTTTATGTTGCCTGTAATGGGGACACACGGCTGTTGAGAGTCTCTCCTGCAGTAGGGGACATGCTCCTGCCTATCAGGGTCCCCTCCCTCTCCCAGGCCCCCCAACCAAGGCTGTACCAGTTTCTCAGCCCTGGAAGCGAGGCTGGGCCCCTGTTACAGGGAGAAGGCTGGGATGGTCAGGGACAGCCTGGGGGTCACAGCCCAACTCCGGGCCCTCCAGTGGGAGTGAAGCTCTCATCTGAGGAAGTCGAGAGCCCCACCCTGGGGCTCCTGCCCAGTCCTGCTTCAGGGGGCCAGGGAAGGGGCGCCTCCAGGCCTTAGCCCACTCCTGCTGTGCAGGGGCCACTGAGCCATCCCCTTCACCCCGCTGGGCTCCAGCTGTGAGGCCTCTTTCCCAGCGTCCTCTCTGGAGCAGCGGCCAACCCTGGCTGCGTGTGCGTGTGCGTGTGTGTGCGGAACGCCCTCCTGTCTTGACTTCTGTGCTTTGTCTCCACATCTCTCTCACTTCAGCTGTTTTTGTTCACCAGGATCTCTTGTCCTAAATTTTCCCTTTCCTTCCCTCTCTCTCTGGAAAAACAAACAAAACAAAGCAAACACCCCAAGGACCCCAGGAGTCCTCGGCCGGCTCCTGACAATGCGTTTCCCGTTGCCCCGCCGCGGCCTGTCTGGTACCGGCTCCTGCTGCGGGCACCTCCCCTGCACTCCACGCTCTGGGACGTGGCACCCGGGTCTCCGCAGTGGGGCCGCCCGCCACCCGCTCCCGAGTCAAAAGCTTTGCTTGAAACACGGGAAGGACTTGGCAAATCCAAGGTCCAGCGAGGCGGCGTCCACACCCTCTGTGGGAGAGCACCTGTTTCGACGGAGCCTCCCTGTTGCTTCCGTTTCCGCCAGTTCCTGGCCAGCTCCTCATTTCCTGTGGCTTTACGATGCGTTTCGCCGGTGTCTCTTTTCTTGTTTACTCTGCCAGGATAGATATGATTGTGGGTCCCCCGCCCCCTTCAACTCCCCGGCACAAGAAGTACCCCACCAAAGGACCCACGGCCCCTCCGAGAGAGTCACCCCAGTACTCACCTAGGTTAGGATGCCAGCGCCTCTCCGACGTGTCTGTGGAATGGCCGGCCCCTTCGCTCCAGGCCACATGACGGCAGCACCTTGTACCACCCTTTCCCCGGGACAGAGGGGACACTCGGGTTTTCTCTGTTCCTGAAAAAGCCACAAGAGGGAGAAGGCCCTTCCTCCACCAGGGCCCCAGGCAGGCTGTGCCCCTATCAGGACTGCCAGGGGCCCCACTGCTCCTCTCGACAAGTGCCCTGGGGAAGCCGGGGGCTCTGTGGATGCCCTGTGAGATTTCCCTCTGGGGTTGGGAGGCCCCCGGGCAGCACCTCCAGGATCAGATGCCATCAGACCTGCACAGACATCCCTCTGGCCCTGCCCGTGCCCCCTGGACAGGCCCCTCCTGGCTGAGGGCTCTCCAGCCTCCCCAGGCACTGACCTGCCCCTCAGCACCTGCCCACTGTGGGGGTGGGCCTGGCCACGTGCACGGCCCAGACCTGGGCCCTGGGTGGCTCCGAGCAGGTGGAGCCGCATCTCTGTGTCTCTTCCCTCTCGTGGAAGATACAGACGGTCACAGCATCTACCCCTTAAGCCACCGGGAAGAAGCGTGAGAAGAGGCCTGCCAGGTGCCCGGCACAGGCGTGCGCTCCAGCAGCTCCGGTGCTGGCTTTCAAGCTGCCAGCATCCTAATTAGTGTTTTTGATAAGGGAGCTGGCGAGAGCCCCGGCTGATGGGCAGAACAGAGGTGCGGCCCAGCTCCACGTGAGCTGGCAGAAGCCAGTTCTTTAGTGATTAACTCAGACTTTCCAAGGCCTTCTTGCCTCCCAGGGACTATTCAGATGACGGTGGTTCCCTGTCTTCTGGCAAGTCTGATTGGCTGAGGGAGGGTAGAGCCCCTGGGGCGGAGGCCTGGAGGCTGAGCATAGACCCCTGGCCTTCCCTGACAGCTCAGGGCAGACAGTTTCTGGGTACAGCCAATGCCAGTGTCTGGGCAAATGAAGCCCAGGCCTGAGCTGGTGGGGACGGCGTCTGGGGTGAGTCTGACCCCTCCTCCCTCTGTGGTGGGGTTTCTGCCTGTGAGGCCAAGTGTCTGTGCACTGGACATGTCAGCCCCGTGCTCCTCCCGTGAGAACGGAGTTTCTGGGAGCAGGCAGGGCCGTGTCTGTTACTGCCCAACCCAGGGTAGCCCCGGACGGAGTTTGCCGGGTTCCCTGCTCTGTGGTGTCCCCCATGCCCAAGAGTGCTGTGCCCTGGGGCTGGTCCTCCGTCCTCCTGTGCCTTGCCGCAAGAGACAGCAGCTGGGCATCCACAGCTGTGAGCTCGGACGGTCTTGTGGCTAGGAGACGTGCAGGTTCACACAGGGGGCCAGGGAGACAGTTGGAGCGCTTGCCCCACCTCACGGGGCACTGAGCACTCAGGGATCAAGTCTCCTCCAGCCAGGGGCCCAGGGCAGGAGGGGCACAGGGTCCTTGGAGGAGCCCCCAGCAGCAGCTCCAGGCTGAGCCCGTGGCCAGGGCTCCTATTGGGACTGAGCAGGCGGGCGGCCCGTCATGTGGCAGGGGCGAAGGTGCTGAGCATCTGCCTGGACTGTGTGGATGCCCCGAACACCAGGGACTCCCATCTCCTCCATCGCCACTGGCGTCTGCTCGGAGCCAGAGGGTCCCCTCCCGCCGTCCCCTCCCGCCCTCCTGGCCCTATTGCATGAGTCCAGCATGAAGCCCCGCGGAGCATGAGGAGCTGCACTGTGGCCGACGCGAGCCTGAAACCCTCTCTGTTTCTCGCAACAGAAAGAAGATAACACCCCTGGCCCACCCTCCCCCCTCCCATCAGAGGCAGGTAGGGCAGCCCAGTGGCAGGAAGTCCCGCCCCCATCAGAGGCAGGTAGGGCAGCCCAGTGGCAGGAAGTCCCGCCCCCATCAGAGGCAGGTAGGGCAGCCCAGTGGCAGGAAGTCCCGCCCCCATCAGAGGCAGGTAGGGCAGCCCAGTGGCAGGAAGTCCCGCCCCCATCAGAGGCAGGTAGGGCAGCCCAGTGGCAGGAAGTCCCTCCCCCACCATCAGAGGCAGGTAGGGCAGCCCAGTGGCAGGAAGTGAGGACTTGGCCCCGTCGGCTGGTGTGGGGCAGTCTTCATGTACCAGGCCCCAGTCCAGGGGAGACTTGGGAGCTTGTGGCCTCTCCTGGGTGGGTCCTGCTCAGCCACACCCCGTCTTGAGCTGCCCTTGTCCAGCTGGGCTTTTGTAGACTTACTGCAGGGTCTTTGTTTCCAAGTGAGTTCCCACGTAGCTGCAGGCCTCAGCGCACACCCACCGTGGTGGCCCCTGCCAGCCCAGCAGTGGCCGTGACTCTGTGGATACCAGACTGGTCAGAAGCCCCCGTCCCTGAGGGCAAAGGAGCCTCCCTCCCTTCTTATTGTCATGAGTGACCTGTGGCCTCATTGGAGATCAGCTCAGCTGAATTCTGCATCCTACACACACACATGCACACACGCAAACGTGCACACTCTTGCACACATGAACACATGCACACGCGTGCACACAGAAACTTGTGCAATGCACATGAGGGCACACACATGCACATCGAGTGCACACACACGTGCACACACAGACCCTCGCAGCTTTGTCTCCCCTCTTCTGGTTTGTGCGTTGGTTCCTGTGCTGCTCTGGGCCTTCTCTCCTTGTCCTGGTGCATGGAGCCGCAGCTCTCACGCCTTTTCTGCTTCTGTTGTCCCCGCCGCAGACATTTAACTCCGTCCCCATCAGACCCGGTGGGGCCGACGGCTTCAGTGGCACATTACGTAGGAGTAAAGCTCCGGGGTGGGCACGGGTAGGGGGAGGGGCATCCTCTGGAGTGGGCTCCAGGCCCTGCAGTGGGAGACCCTCCGTGGGCTGTGGGGCCAATAGGCCTTGGGCAGGGAAGAGGGTGAGCAGGTGGGGCTGGCTGGAGGGGGCGGTATGGAGCCGGGAGCCCACGGAGAGGAGCCGGGCGACTCGGCCCTGGTGGGAGCGTCCTTACTTTACTCCTCGCTAATGTGCCAGGCCCCTTGGGGACAGAGCGGGCAGGAGCAGAACCTCACGGTGCCAGAAGACGGGCTGAGAACGGGGCGCACCCCGTCCATCTGTCCTGGCACCCACTGCCCCCTGGTCGGCTCTGGGCTGAGCCTGCAGCCTAGACCCAGGGGCACTGTGGCCTGGTCCAGGAGGAGAGGGCAGGGGCCCTGCTGCACCCACCCGAACTCATGCTTTGGGGTCTCTGTTCCCGGTAGAGTGGACCAGATCGTGGGGCGGGGCCCAGCGATCACGGACAAGGACCGCACCAAGGGCCCGGCCGAGGCGGAGCTGCCCGAGGACCCCAGCATGATGGGACGGCTCGGGAAGGTGGAGAAGCAGGTGCGAGAGGCTGGGCGGGAGGGGTGCGGGGCTGGAGGGCTGTGGTGCCTGCCGTCAACCTGTGGCAGTGTGGGCTTCAGGGGCTGGGTGCCACGGAGGGCTCCTCAAGTCTAGGGTTTACATGGCCCTGTCACCACTGACAGCTGCTCTGTGCAGACCCCTCACACCCCACCGTGAGCCTCCCACCCCCGGCCTGGGTGCCTTCCCTCCTGACAGTACCCAAGGGCCAAAGTCCCCAGGAGTCCTGGGTGGGGGCTGCTGAGAGGTGGATCCCTCAGGGGTTCCTTGTGGAACGTGCCGGAAGTTGTACCTGCCTGGCCTTCCTCCTCTCTGTCCTCCTTGCCCGACACCCTGGCCGCTGTCTTCTGGGGGTGCATTCTCAGGAACCACCGCAGAGGACCCTTGTTTTGGGGCCTGCTTCTGAGAGCCGGGCCTGAGCAGTGAGTAAGGAACTGCCAGGTCCTGCCCTGTGGGGCTTTCCTGAAGGGGGTTCCACGGTGGGCAGCAGGAGGGCCTGGCTCTGAACACACGCCCCAACCGTGGAGCTGGAGGCTTTGCCCCTAGGGGTCTGGGAAGGAGGAAGAGCTGCTCCTGGGCCTCCTCTTCCCGCTCCTCCAGCTTCCAGGGAGCAGGGATCCCCCCTCCCTGTACCTCTCCAGGGAGCAACCCAGGTCCCCCCACCTCCTGGGACCAGCCCAAGTCGACCGACTTCCTGGGAGTGGTCCAGGTCCCCCCATCTCCTAGGACCAGCCTGGGTCCCCCCCATTTCCTGGGACTAGCCTGGGTCCCCCATTTCCTGGGACTAGCCTGGGTCTCTCCTGTTTCCTGGAACCAGCCTGGGCCCCCCCATTTCCTGGGAGCAGCCCGGGTCCCCACATCTCCTGGGACTAGCCTGGGTCCCCCGTTTCCTGGGACTAGCCTGGGTCTCTCCTGTTTCCTGGAACCAGCCTGGGCCCCCCCATTTCCTGGGAGCAGCCTGGGTCCCCACATCTCCTGGGACGGGCCCTCGCACCCCAGCCCAGCAGCCCCTTTTGCAGGTCTTGTCCATGGAGAAGAAGCTGGACTTCCTGGTGAATATCTACATGCAGCGGATGGGCATCCCCCCGACAGAGACCGAGGCCTACTTTGGGGCCAAAGAGCCGGAGCCGGCGCCGCCGTACCACAGCCCGGAAGACAGCCGGGAGCATGTCGACAGGCACGGCTGCATTGTCAAGATCGTGCGCTCCAGCAGCTCCACGGGCCAGAAGAACTTCTCGGCGCCCCCGGCCGCGCCCCCTGTCCAGTGTCCGCCCTCCACCTCCTGGCAGCCACAGAGCCACCCGCGCCAGGGCCACGGCACCTCCCCCGTGGGGGACCACGGCTCCCTGGTGCGCATCCCGCCGCCGCCTGCCCACGAGCGGTCGCTGTCCGCCTACGGCGGGGGCAACCGCGCCAGCATGGAGTTCCTGCGGCAGGAGGACACCCCGGGCTGCAGGCCCCCCGAGGGGAACCTGCGGGACAGCGACACGTCCATCTCCATCCCGTCCGTGGACCACGAGGAGCTGGAGCGTTCCTTCAGCGGCTTCAGCATCTCCCAGTCCAAGGAGAACCTGGATGCTCTCAACAGCTGCTACGCGGCCGTGGCGCCTTGTGCCAAAGTCAGGCCCTACATTGCGGAGGGAGAGTCAGACACCGACTCCGACCTCTGTACCCCGTGCGGGCCCCCGCCACGCTCGGCCACCGGCGAGGGTCCCTTTGGTGACGTGGGCTGGGCCGGGCCCAGGAAGTGAGGCGGCGCTGGGCCAGTGGACCCGCCCGCGGCCCTCCTCAGCACGGTGCCTCCGAGGTTTTGAGGCGGGAACCCTCTGGGGCCCTTTTCTTACAGTAACTGAGTGTGGCGGGAAGGGTGGGCCCTGGAGGGGCCCATGTGGGCTGAAGGATGGGGGCTCCTGGCAGTGACCTTTTACAAAAGTTATTTTCCAACAGGGGCTGGAGGGCTGGGCAGGGCCCTGTGGCTCCAGGAGCAGCGTGCAGGAGCAAGGCTGCCCTGTCCACTCTGCTCAGGGCCGCGGCCGACATCAGCCCGGTGTGAGGAGGGGCGGGAGTGATGACGGGGTGTTGCCAGCGTGGCAACAGGCGGGGGGTTGTCTCAGCCGAGCCCAGGGGAGGCACAAAGGGCAGGCCTGTTCCCTGAGGACCTGCGCAAAGGGCGGGCCTGTTTGGTGAGGACCTGCGGCCTTGGGTCCCGGTGGGGTTTCCGGGCAGCTACAGGCGGGTGTGGCCGGCCGCTGTGCGTGGCCTCTGCCTTCACACCTGACCTGCCCGGCGGGCTTTCCTGTTCCCCACCTCAGGGGCGCCCAAATACAGAGCTATTGGTTGGCGTCTTCTCCCTGTACCTTCTGGGATCTGAGGGCTCTTTCCATGGAAGCCAGCCCCGAGGTGGAGACCTTCGCCTGCAGCCGAGGAGCGGGTGGGGCCTGGGAACCAAACTGGAGCCAGAGTGGACGTCCAGCCCTCTGGTCTTGGCCTCCAGAGGGAGGGCCTGGCTCACGGTGGGGCCAGGGAGCCGGCTCCAAAGGGTCTTCAAAAAGGGGGTCCTTGGGGGCTCCAGCTGCCTCGCCCTGGCCTTTCTGTGGGTGCGTGAGAGCCAGCAGCACCCCAGCCTTGGAGACCGGGGGGGCAGGACCCCAAGTCCTCCCCTCTCTCCTGACTGCCCTGGCCGGGTGCCGGCACTGCGAGACCCACCTGGTGAGCAGGCCTCACAGTTCTTAGCCAGGGCCCCACCTCGCCTGTGTCCCACCAGTGCCCCGACAGACCTGGGGCAGGGCTGGGCCATGATGCAGCGGGCCAGGATAGCCTCCACCGTCAGCACAGGGCCGCCCTCCCCGCCTTTCCGGAGGAAACCACTCCCACCTCAGCCCAGCTGTGCGCCCTCCCTAGCTCTCCTGCCCCCTGGAGCTGATGGCCCCTTCTCCACTGACCGATTCCTTAGCGGGGCCTCTTGGGGTCTCGGGCCTCGGGTGCACCGTCCCATGCCCGTCCTGTTGTGGGCACCGTGGCCCTTGGGGCAGGCGGCTCTAATGCGGGAGCGAGTCCCTAGCTCCAGACTTAAGAACCAGACCCCGGGAGCATCTGGCATTTGGCGTGACGGCGTCGCAGGCGGGCCTGGGCTCCCTGGAGAGTGGCCTCCCTGGGAGTGAGCAGGGCTGGGGTCGTGGGCGCAAATACTCCTGCAGAGCAAGTGCAGGGGAGTCCTGGGCCCGTTTCTCCTCCACCTGCGTTTTCAGTGCACTTGGCTTGGCTGGGAGGTCCTGAGGCCCTGAGGCCAGCAGGGGAACCAGTCCTGAGGGAGAGGACTTTGAAAGCAGCATTTGAGGGTCGTACGCCCCTGGCTGGTGGGGGTCCTGGCGCTCAGGGTGTTCGGGGAGCCATGTCTGGCGTCCATTGTGGGGAGCTGCTGCCCTGGCCTCTCTGCCTACCCCCAGCCCGGCCAGGGCACTCCCAGGCCCTGTCGCCATTGAGGTGCCTCCGCTGGGCTGTCTCCTCACCCCTCCCTGTGCTGGAGCCTGTCCCAAAAAGGTGCCAACTGGGAGGCCTCGGAAGCCACTGTCCAGGCTCCCACTGCCTGTCTGCTCTGTTCCCAAAGGCAGCGTGTGTGGCCTCGGGCCCTGCGGTGGCATGAAGCATCCCTTCTGGTGTGGGCATCGCTACGTGTTTTGGGGGCAGCGTTTCACGGCGGTGCCCTTGCTGTCTCCCTTGGGCTGGCTCGAGCCTGGGGTCCATGTCCCTTTGCCGTCCCGTCATGGGGCAGGGAATCCATAGCGGGGCCCACAGGCAGGGGTATGAGTGCGTCCCACCCAACGCAGCACCAGCCCCGGCCACCGCTCCCCGTGTCCCCAGTTCCGTCTCAGCTACCTGGACTCCAGGACCCTGGAGAAGGGAGACCTGGCAGTGGAGGGAGGCTGTGCTGTGTGTCCCCCTGCAGGTGTGACCCCGCCTGCTCTTTCCTCCCCCGCCAGGTGTGGCCCCGCCTGCTCTTTCCTCCCCCACCAGTATGGCCCCACCTGCTCTTTCCTCCCCCCCCAAGGTGTGGCCCCACCTGTTCTTTCCTCCCCTGCCGAGGTGTGACCCCACCTGCTCTTTCCTCCCTCCCAGTATGGCCCCACCTGCTCTTTCCTCCCCCGAGGTGAGGCCCCGCCTGCTCTTTCCTCCCATGGGGCCGCTGAGGCATGAGCACCTGGGCACAGGTTGGGGCTCTGCAGGATGAGGAAGACAGGCCAATCCCTTCCCTCCCAGAAGCTGGCCGCCCAGCAGGAGGGACTGAGGCCAGACTCATGTCCAGCAAGGAACGTGTGGTGTGTCCCCTGGGAAGTCTCTGGGCCCTGGGAAGAGGGAAGGTGCACGTCCTGGGATGGTTGCGGGGCCCTGTTTTGGGAGACAAAGGGGTAGAGGGTCTGTCTTGGGCCCCCCCAGACTCTAGCCTGAGCAGTGCAGCCACCTACTGCCCCACCTCAGAGAAGTGCAGCGGGAAGGAGGCTGGAGGTGGTGCGGCGCTGCCTCGGGTGTCTGCGTGAATGAGCGTGGCCAAGGACCAGTGCCACCTCATGGCAAAGAGCTCCCGCAGTGTTTGTTAGAGTGCACATCCCTACGTGCCCACTGGCACACACACGTGCTCACATACATGTCCGCATACAGGCGTACACATGCACGCTTGCACACATGCACACAGACCACATAGCACACATGTGCACTGACCACACCTGTATAGACCATGCACAGTACACATACGTGCATACACATGCCTGCATACAGGCATACACATGCACGCTTACATGTACACGTGCACAGATCACACACATGCACACACGTGTAGCTCACACACAGTATACACATACACAAGTGCACAGACCACACACAGCACTAACACATGCACACACAAAGTGCATAGGCCACACAGCACATGCACACAGGTGCACAGACCACACAGCACACACAAGTGCACAGAGCACACTGCACACATGCACACACACACGCGTGCATGCACACTCCTCGCACTTCCAGCCTTGGAGCCCTTCTGTCTCTGGTCTTTCTCTTTGACCCTGCTGAGTGTAAGCTGCCTGGGGAGGGGCTACAAGGAGTAATTGTGGCTTTAGGGGTCGTGGTGATGCTGGAATGTCAAGCGCCGTCGTGGGGTATCCGACTGTCCGGGCTCCTGGTCCGCAGTGGCAGAGCGCCAGGCAGAGCCCAATCAGGGTCTCGTGCTGCCCTTCCCTCCCACAGCCTGGCAGCCATCCAGAGGAGGGGCTCTACCAGATGCCAAGGTGCCCCGGTGTCTGTATGGGTGTCCGGTTGGGTCCTGTGTTTGGTCTGCCCTGGAGGTGCTGGGCCCTCCTGGGATGGGTGGCTCAGCCTCGAATCCCAGGCCCCAGCCCAGGCAGGTGCTGCTGCCTGTTGTGGTTTCCTGGCCCAGCTTCTCCTTCTCCCTCTGCATAAAATCACAGTCCGTGAGTCTTCCAGCTGCCACCACGGCTGGGACACGCTGGGGGAGGGCTCCTCCCATGCCTCCTGCACACAGCCGTCTGAGCAGGGCAGGTGCCCAACACCCCCCACCGGAGGACACGCTGCCCCTCAGCGATGCCCCTACCTTTTGGGGGGCCTCGTCTCAAGCCCCCCCTTGGAGGCTGAAATCACCCCAGGCACTGTGAGGGCTTCTCCAGGGGGCACCCTTTGAGCTGTGGGTCTGATCACCCCAAGTCCCGCCCGGAGGAGAGGCACAGCCAGGGCGTGTGGTTTAATGTTTGCCCCCTTCGGGGCTGGAGGTCTCAGTGTTTCTAGATTCCAGACCCTGCTGCCAGAGAGACCTGCTGCCGGAGAGAAGGGGAGGAGGACTCCAGCTGGGCTCGGTCCCCCACAGTCAGGGACCCCCATAAAGGACACCCCCTTCTCTCTAGAAAGAGCTGGGCTCTCAGCTATTTCTAGTTGCTTCCCAGAAGCCGAGGAGCAGAAGGAGCTGTGAGAGCTTTGCAGAAACGCCCTTGTCCCCGCCCTCCTGAGCTATGAATGCCGTACAGAGCAGAGGCTGGGGCATTGGCAAGATCACAGGTTGATGCTGCACAGCCCCATTGACACAAACCCTCAAAGCAGACGTGAGAGGGACGGTTCACAAAGCTCGGACCTGCCGTGGAGGGTGCCCGGCAGACGTGGCGTGAGAGGGACGGCTCACGAGGCTTGGACCTGCTGTGGAGGGTGCCCAGCAGACGTGGTGTGAGAGGAACGGCTCACGAGACTTGGACCTGGTGGAGGGTGCCCAGCAGACGTGGTGTGAGAGGGACGGCTCACAGGGCTTGGACCTGCCATGGAGGGTGCCCGGCAGACGTGGTGTGAGAGGGATGGTTCACAGGGCTTGGACCTGCCATGGAGGGTGCCCGGCAGATGTGGTGGGAGAGAGATGGCTCATGAGGCTTGGACCTGCCGTGGAGGGTGCCCAGCAGACGTGGTATGAGAGGGATGGCTCACGAGGCTTGGACCTGGTGGAGGGTGCCCGGCAGACGTGTGAGAGGGACGGTTCACAAGGCTTGGACCTGCCATGGAGGGTGCCCAGCAGACGTGGTGTGAGAGGGACAGCTCACGAGGCTTGGACCTGCTGTGGAGGGTGCCCAGCAGGGGGCTGAGCTCTGAGGGGTGGGTGCTCAGTGCACGGGTGCCCCCAGTGTCCTCTGATCCTGTCCGGTGCCTCCCCCAACCCCCACACCCATGCAGAACTCCCAGGTCACATGCACGTATGTCCAGGGCATGGGGGTGGCGTGAAGAGGCCTGGTCAGGGCCTTTAGGGGCTGCAGGACGGAATGGCCGCCTGGGGAGCCTGTGTGGCTGTGCCGGGCAGCCATCCTGCATTCCCACCCAGCGCGCAGTCTCCACCTCGGCCCCAGCAAAGCGCTAAGCAGCCGGAGAGACAGCCAGGGCGGCTTCCTGAAGGATGTGGGATGGTGGACTCCGGGGTCGAGGGAATACGCAGGTTCCTGTCCCTCCGGGAGACCTAGAGAAGCTGCACACCCAGGAGCTTTCCATGACCCGGGAGCATGAGTGAATGGGGGTTCCAGTTTGCTGAACTTTGCCGTCTTGTAAGGGTGGGGGCTGACGGCCGACCCTGGGAGGAGGTGACATCGCCGGGGGAGGTTGTGGGCAACGGTGGAGGAGGAGAGACGGGAGGGGACCATTTGGGATGGAGGGGCCTCTTCAGAGTTTTAAAAGGCGTTTGTGGGGTGGAGTTGAGTGTGCTCTGGGCTTGGACACTTGCCGTGGTGCCCCTGGCTGGCCGAGGAGACTGGCTCTGGCCAGGGGCCCCGTCCTGAGAGGTCCTCAGCGTCTGACTCTCGGCCAGGCGCCAGCAAGGAGGGGCCGGTCCCCGGGGCTACCAGGCAGGCACGTGCACATCGCCATCGCCACACGCCAACTCCGCCTGGGTTTTACAAAGTCGTTGCCTTAATGCATGTGGACAGGAACTCCCTGAGGTCGCCCCATGCCCCCTGGCTGTGCCAGGTACGGACGCCCTGGACCCTGCGAACAGGTGGGGCGGGCGAGGGGCCCAAGGGACGGGCTCCAGAGACACGCGCAGGGCAGGAGGGGTCTCACGGAGGGGTCTCGCACTGAGGCGCCCAGAGCTGGTGGTCCCGCTGGACGCCATCCCTCTGCCCGGGATCCACACGGCCCACGTGTGCCCGCCATGCCCGCGCCCCACGCCATTGCAGTCTGCCATCCTCTGGCCGTGACGGTGGCTGCAGCTTCCCCATTTGCGCCGTTGCCTCTGGCTGTCTGCACTTTTGTTCATGCTCCAAAGAACATTTCATAATGCCTTCAGTACCGACGTACACTTCTGACCATTTTGTATGTGTCCTTGTGCCGTAGTGACCAGGCCTTTTTTTGGTGGATGTGTTACCCCGCACACTTCAATCTCAACTTTGTGCACCGTCCATTTTCTAGGGATAGACGCCCAGGGAATGAACTCTAGTTTTCTAACAGATTAGCTGAGATATTAACTTACTCACACGGACAGGTTGATGCCAGAGCCGTAAGAATGCGCCAGTGCGGGTTTGCGGGGGACTTCGGGTGTGGGGTCCTGCGGCCGCGATGGCCGTGGAAGGTTCTGGGGATCCCTGCTGCCACGGGGACGAGTTCGGACGCCAGGTGGACCTGTGCACTCAGTAAAACGCAGTGATTCAACCTGGACGGTGTGTGGCCTCCTCACTCCCACTGTCTCTGGGCGGCCGGTCTGAGGGCCGGGGACTTCTGGTCGATGCTGGGGCTGAGTCGGGTGCGGTGCTGTGGACCGGGTGTGGGGACGGATGGTCCCTCTCCTCAGGGCACGAACGAGCTGGGGTGTTGTGAAACAGTGGGGCTGGGGGCCACAGTGAGTGAGGAGCAGGGGCGGCTGGGTCCTAGGGCTCTGGCCAGAGGAGGGGCCGCTGTGGGGCTGCTGTGGTCCCTGGGCTCTCTCTTGGGGCGCCGAGCTCTCCCTCCCCTCTGAGGCCTGCAGCCACCCAGAAAGATGCTGGGGCCTGGGCCTGCCGCTGGGGCACCTGTGGTCCATCAGCTCGCCCGGGCAGGATCGCCGGTCACCATGTGTCCACTTGGGTACCTCCTGTTGTTGGCCTGGCCCCCGTCTGCTTGTCTGTCTCCCTGCCCCCACTCCCTGCCCAAATCTTCCTCTGCTCATCTCTGGCCTCTGGACAAGCCCTCCTGTTCCCCACGCTCGCTGAGGCCCTCAGCTGGGGGGCTCCGTGGCGATCTTGACATCCTACCTGGCTGGCCAGGTGACGAGCGCCCTGTAGGGTGATTTATACCCCCACACAGGGTGCAGGTGTCCATCCACGTTGCCCCCTTCCTGCCGTGATCCCGAGTTCCATGAGGGCTGCTGGGCGCTTCCCCACACCTGCGGGTTCACTCACAAAGGGGCATTTGCAGGAGCCCCCGAATGCTCCAGTCTGAAGGGGACACGGGGACAGAGGCACGTGTGAGGGTCTGAGAAGGGCTAGAGGGGGCCATGGTCAACGTGGTGATGGGAAGCATGGTGGGGGGCCCATCTGCCCAAAGGGTCTCCAGGGGAACTCAAGAGTCCCCTGTCCAGGGCCAGCCAGAGAGTGCGGAGCCCCACCATGAGCTGGGCCTGCAGGGGTCTCACTGGGGATGGACCCCACGCTCCCCTCTCGGGACGGACCCCACAGCCCCCTCCAGGGACAGACCCCACGGCCCCCTCCAAGGATGGACCCCACACCCCTCCAGGGATGGACCCCACGGCCCCCTCCAGGGACAGACCCCACACCCCCCAGCTGGTGGCCAAGCCTAGGAAGCCTGCCTGGTTGCAGGGCTCACCCAGAGGAGAACCCCATGGGCACCCGCTCCTCCCCGTGGGCACCCGCTCCTCCCTGTGGGCACCCACTCCTCCCCGTGGGCACCCACTACACCTGGCAGCCGAGGCCCTGAAAGGCCCACCCGACCTGCACCCTGGGCGGGAACTGCTCGGCTAAACCTACAGCTGAGTTGAGACAACCTGGCTTTGCCCCACAGGGAGGCCACGGCCGCAGCTCTGGGCACACCACGGAGGTGCATGCGTTAGTCCCCGTCCCTCTGTGTGTGCCCTTCCGCGAGCAAGGCGGGTGAAGCTGGACAGGCACACAGATCCCAGGCTCTCTAGGCCTGGCTCCTGGCTCCTGGGTGGGGGCTCCTGTGGGGCCGAACCGGGAGGGGCCGTTCCATGGCTTCAGTCGGCTGTAGCCTGGACTCTGTCCTGGCCTGGTGGCCTCGGGCTGTCCAGTCCCCCTGGCCCGCTCCTTGCCTGCCCTCTGCTGAGGCCACAGCAGCCACCTGGACACCAGCACCCCTGGTATGCAGGGGTTGGCCAGCACCTGGAGGCCCAAGGACACGTGGGATTAGAATTGTGACCTAAATTCTCAGAATTGGCTCTGCCCCTGATTATGACAGGCCTGAAAACAGGCCCAGAGACATTGCAGCAGGTGGCTGCACGAATTCACTCATTCACTCATTCATTCACTCATTCATCATTCACCAAACAGGCGCTCGCCCCAAGACCTCCCACAGACTGAGTCCAACAGGAGCCTGGGCTCACGGAGCCTGAAGCCCAGACCCAGCGCAGGAATTACAGAATTCAACAGGTCACCGCCTGCTGCTCCGGAGAGGGACAGGCGAACAGAAACGCCTGCTCAAGACTCGGGGCACTTGTGCTGGGAGGAGGGCGCTAGGGACGTGCGGGGCCCCCCAGGGCAGCTGCCCCGGGCCATTGCTGGGCTGTGCACGGATGGTGACTGGGGGAGGGCACAGTGGGGCAGAGCTTCACGCCGCTGTCCCTAGGGGCATCCATCGCCAACGAGGACAGGGCCAGGGCGGGTCATCTCTCCATCAGCCCGAGGTGGCGGGTGGGTGCCCGGCTGGCGCCCTTCAGCCAGCGTCCCTCCAGCCTGGCACTGCTCAGCAGGGTGCTCTGGAAGACCTCTCTTGACCATCCTGGCTAGCTTCGGGGCCCATTCCTGACGGAGGAGCAGAGGGCAGCTGGTGTGGGCCCCTCAGAACTGGAGCTGTGGGAGGACCCGGAGCTCGCCATGCACACCCAGCATCCCATGGTGACCCAGTTTTGGCTCTGGGTCTGAATGGGCTTCCCAGGGCACGTTAACTTGGACTGGGAGGGCAAACTGGCTTCCGGGAAGTTCCGATGCCTGGGAGGAGACCGTGGCTGGAGCTGGGGGCCCGCCGCCAGACAGGGTGGGGGGCAGGATGAGCACTTGAGGGAGGGTGCTCTGGGTGCAGGGCTGAGTCCTACTTAACAAACACACCTGGCCATGGGACAGCTGTGGAAAGAAAGGCAGGAACAAGCGTGGTGAGCGCGTGCAGACGCGGGAGCCCAGCGCTGCTGATGGGGAGGTGACATGGCGCAGCCGCTGCAGAGAACACACAGGCAGCGGCTCCTCCAAACATTCCGCATAAAATTACCAGACGACCCAGCAACCCCACGTCGGGGCACAGGCCCCCAACACCTGAACGCGGGGTCTGGCCGAGACGTGCACACCCAGGTAGGCAGCAGCGTCATTCACGAGAGGCAGAGGCAGCCCAGGAGGATGAGCCAGCGTGGTCCATCTGTGCCATGGAATTTACTCAGCCTCAGGAGGAGAGAAATCCTGACACAGGCCACAACACTGACAACCTTGAGGACATTTTACAAAGTGAAATAAGCCGGTCGCAAAAGGGCAAACACTGTACAATTCTACCTGTAGGATGTATTAGAGTAGCCGGATTCAGATTCAGAGAGACGGATGGTAGGACGATTCCACCTCTAGGAGGTGTTAGAGTAGCCGGGTTCAGAGACGGATGGTAGGAGGTGGGTGCCAGGGGCTGGGAAGGAGAAATGGGGGTGAGTGTTTAATGGGGGCAGAGTCTCAGTTTGGGAAGATGAAAGTCCTGGAGATGGACGGTGGCAAAGTTCACACAACAGTGGGAATGTGCTGTACTTAAACCACTGAACTTCATGCTTTAAATGGTGATGATGGTACATTTTATGCTGTGTATTTCACAATTTAAACAAACGACAAGGGCAGAGCCCTCTTCCTCCTGGGCTGGGTCTTGGCCAGCAGAGGGGACCTTGACAAGCCCATGGTCATCTCCTTGGGGCCCAAAACTGGGCTTAGCAGCTATAAGAACTTTGTCAGTTTTGAGCATACTGAGGCCTGGGCGCTGGGCCGGGGATTCCAGGGCTCCCTCATCCTTCATGGCCTGGAGGTCTTGGAATCACCTTCTGGCACTTCCCAGATGGCCTCATCCTGTGTCCAGTGTGGACATGCCAGCACAGCCCCGCTCCAGCCCCTGTCCCGGTCAGCTCCTGCTCCTCACTCTCTGCCCCTCCATCACCTTCCACACCCGGGAGCTGACCCCACACAGCCCTGCGCCTGGTCCACACCCTCCTCGCCTCCTTCCCCTGGCTCTGGGGCGGTACCACTGTGCTGTAGGAAGGGCCCACAGCATCAACCTGCTGGTTTGAAGAATTGGAAACTGAGGCCCAAAAGTAGAACAAGGGGGCCCAGGGAAATAGCCAGTCTGTGGGCAGAACCCGGAGTCTGGCCGCCCGCGGTCCCCACTCCTGGCAGGACTCAGAACCACCAGGTCACCAGGGGTCCCTGAGGGGCAGACAACAGGCACCTCTCACCTTCCAGCACCCACCTGCCCCAACCACCAACCTCAGATGTCCACACCACTGAGAGACCCAGGTGCTCTCAAAGGCGGAACAGGAGTTCACTGAGGAGGAGCCCCTAAGACACACACCAGTTGTAAGCACCTGGATCTTCTCAGACCAACCCACAAGCTGCCGGTTTAAGGATTCTAACCGGAAGCTTCTTCCGTGTGTACAGAGCTGGGCTTCCGCACTTGCTCCTGTGAGCTTGTCTGTCCAGGACCTCCTGCAGCCCCTCCACCCGGCCAGGCCCGCACCTCCTCCTGCAGCCCCTCCCCTCCACTGGGCCCGCACCTCCTCCTGCAGCCCCGGCCGCCTCCTCCCTCATGGCTGCTGCCCGCGGACCCCCCAACTGTGGTGCTCCTTGCCCTGAAGTCTGCATGGCCCACGGGAAAATCCCAGCAGCACTGGGACCCTCCGAGGGCGGCTCTCTATGCCATCCCCATACCTGCCTTCTTCCCTCTCTACTCTCTTCTAGAACCTTCCTGAACTTCCTGGCCCCTCCCAGTCCACCTCCAGCCCCGCCTCCTCCTTGGAGCCCCCCAGTTACCCTGAACCAGTGCCCCCTACACCGCCCCCCGTCCCCTGCCTGGAGCTGCGTCCTGCGGGTGTTGGTTCTGTTTCCATCCGCTCCCCCTCCTTCCCTCCAGCCGGGGCCATGTCCCCAGGCTTGGGGATTCTCTGACAGTGACCACCGGAAAGTCCCAGCACCCAAGCTTGGCTGAGTCCTTGGGAGCCCTACCCGGCTGCAGCCGTGTCTGCTTTAATAAAATGCAAAACACTTCATTTCTTTTTCAATTTAAAAGGAAAATGGTTCATCTCAAGAGTTCATCTCAGGAGACAAGGACTGTGCCGAGTGTCGCCTCCTGCCTGGAGTGACCCTGGGCGGGGACCCCTGGGTCTGCCGTCAGCCAGCAGAGAGAGGGAGCTGCACCAGCCTCTCACATGAGCAGGAGCACCTATGGAGCACCTGCTGCATGCAGTGGGGGCAGGGAAAGAGGTGAGGCCGCACCTGCTGGAGGGGGACTGAAGGGCGAGCAGGGTCTGGGGGTGGCTCTGAGGGTGGAGAGCACACGGCGCCCGGTCTCTCCGCAATGCCATCCTTCGTGGCCCTGGATGTGCTCCCTGCCTCGGATGTCACCTCGTGCCTCTCTGCGTGCCGGGTTGGTCCCTGCAGCCTCATGAGGAGTGGTCGCTTGGCCTCGGTTTGGCCTGCACTGTCCTCCGGCCTCACGTGGCCTTGTCTTCACACCCAGCGTGGTCATGTCTTGGGAGCCCGTCACCCACGCACGCCTCAGGGTGGAGCCCCCGCCTGGACTCAGGACCCCGGGCACCACACCCAGGCGGTGGCCCCAGACCCTCCCCTGTCCAAACAGGAGATCTCTCATAATGCAGCCAGGTGGTGTCCGGGGGACTGAGGCCCACCAGCGCCTCCGCCTTTTCCCGGCCTGATGGCGAATTCTGGTGCTGCTTCCTCAGCCTTGGCTCAGATGCCATCCTGCCGCTGCAGGATTTGCCTTCTGCTCTGCATCCTGGCTCTGTCATCAGCAGCCCTGGTCTCAAGGGGAGGCCCCCTGGGCGCACCAGCTCCCGCGTGTCTCAGAGGCTATGCAGACAAGAGTCCCTGGACTGGGCTGTGTTTGCTGGGGCTCCTTCCCTCCAGCGACGAGTCCCCAGATCATCTCCCGGGTGTGCCTCAGTTCTCAAAGGTCCTGGCAGCCCCTCTGCGCCAGGCAGTGGCCGCACGCCAGCAGCCTCCTCCCACAGCCCAGGAGCTGGAGGAAACAGCTCAGCCAAGCCGCGCCACCAGCTAGAGCCGGGACTCCCTCCTTGACATTCAGAGCTGCTAAGTTTTCCTGCGCACGGTTGGTTTGACATTTGCATTGGAATGGATTTATGTTAACTTCCTCCCTGCTGCTGGCCGGAGACCAAATCCTGCTGGTTGCTCAGGCAGTGATCCCCGGATGGGCCACCTGCCTCATTGCCTGCCCTGCCAGAGGGAGGCTCTGGGACCTGAGACCACCCAGGCGCAGACTTGGTGCTGTGTAGCTCATGGAGCGGCCCCGCCTCTGCTCCCACCGAGCCCTCCAGCCCCCTTGTCTTGGAAGGACGCAGCTCCCCTTCCTGGCCCTCCCCCAACCCCAAGTCCTCGCCCAAGCGCTGCTTCCTCTATGAAGCTTCCCTGAGCGGCCCTCTTGGAGGGTCACTGTTCCCTGGCAAATTCTGACCACACCTGGCTCCTCCATCATTTCATGGACGCAGCCCTGGTCAGCTCCACTTGGGTCGGGGCTGACGTGGCTCATTCCCTTGCACCCCAGCACAGCGCAGGACAGGCTATTCAGCTGGTGTCCAGTCCGCCTGTGCTGTATGCTCCCTGCAGCCGGGAGCAGCCACCACGCATCCATCCACCCTTCCGTCCTCCCTGAGGGCTGGCACTGCCTCCCGGATCCTGCCGCGTACACAGCAGGTGCAGAATGGGTGCTCGCTAACTCCATGGGACGACGGGGTGTCAAACCTGCAGCCACCAGCTTCTGACGGGAGATTTGCTGAGAGCCTGCAAGTCCCACGGGCCTACTGGGGGGCTGTGCACAGAGAGCCTAGGGGGCCATGGCCCAGCCCTGGCACTCCCCGCCCACAGCAATTATTGCCCCAGGAGCCAGGCCCAGCCTGCACCTCCACACCGGCCCTGCTCCTTCCTCCTCTAGGTCCAGGCCCCAGGAGCCAGGCCCAGCCTGCGCCCCCACACCGGCCCTGCTCCTTCCTCCTCTGGGCCCAGGCCCCAGGAGCCAGGCCCAGCCTGCGCCCCCACACCGGCCCTGCTCCTTCCTCCTCTAGGTCCAGGCCCCAGGAGCCAGGCCCAGCCTGCGCCCCCACACCGGCCCTGCTCCTTCCTCCTCTGGGCCCAGGCCCCAGGAGCTGGGCCCAGGCCCCAGGAGCCAGGCCCAGCCTGCGCCCCCACAATGGCCCTGCTCCTTCCTCCTCTAGGCCCAGGCGCCCGCCTGACACATGTCCACCATGTTCACCTTGCCTGTGTCACACATGAGAAGACTGAGACTCAGTGAGGGCCCAGCAGAGCGGGTGGAGCTGGTCAGCCCGGCTGTGCCCTGACATGTGGGGGTGGGGGGTGTGGAATCCTAATGAGGGAAAAGGAGTCGGGCTGGCAGGACAGAGGGAAGGCAAAAAGAAGAAGCAAAGAAGCTTTAAGTCTGCCCTTCTTCACTGTCCAGGACACACAGCCCTCCTGAAGAAATAACTCACAATCTTCCTGTGCCCGGCTATTGCCAGACCCTTGGCTGATAGGAGAATGGATGTTAGCTGACTGCAACCTTGGCGTTATCAGTACTGCCTGTGGCCCTCTCCAGCACACAGCACAGGCGCCGTCCTATAACATCCCCAGCAAGCCCTCATTTCTTTGCAGTGGCTCCTCCCTTGCTGACCTGCCCCTTGCTTCGGCTCCTCCCTTGCTGACCTGCCCCTTGCTTCGGCTCCTCCCTTGCTGACCTGCCCCTTGCTTCGGCTCCTCCCTTGCTGACCTGCCCCTTGCTTCGGCTCCTCCCTTGCTGACCTGCCCGTTGCTTCTGTGCTATGCACATTTTCTACTTTCTCTAATAAATCTGCCTTTCTTTACCTACAACTGTTTTGGTAAATTCTTTTTATGGCCCACACAACACCAGCCCCAGATGGTCACTACCCAAGATGGGGTCACTTCCTGCCATAGGTGAATGGGTGAGGTCCCAGGATCCAGCACAGGCCAGCGTGGCTGGAGAGTGTGTGTGTGGAGGCAGGTGCTTCCGCAACCCTGTGCCTTCTCAGGGGTGGCGGGCTTTGCCTGGGCTGCCCTGAGGAGCGCTGAATCTGAGGAGGGCAGAGTGAGGGGAGCATGGAGGAGCCCCTGTAGGGGTTTGGGAGGAGCCACAGGCCCCAGTGCCCCCCAGCCCCTGCTCAGCCCTCAAGATGTAGCCAGGAGGTGGAGGTCTGTGGGCCACACCTGTGTTCTTCCTTCTGTGCTTGTGAGACCCCCACCCTCCACAGTGCAGGCTAGGCCAGAGGGAACCTGAGGGGCCTCTTTAAGTGGCAGGCTGGGTGCTGTGGCCTCCGTGGGGATGTGGGCGCTGCTCAGAGGACTGTCTGTCTGCCCGGGGACCAACCTGGACCTTCCCCTCAGACGGGTCCTGCCAGGACTCTGAGGCCAGGAAACCTGGTCTGCATATACTGTGGGGGCCCCTGGTGTAGTGAAAATGGACAAACAGCACCCAGGAGTTAGAAGGTGAGATGCAGGCAAATGTTCACGTAGAAGAAACGGGTGTGGCAAACTAACGTCTCCAGCGGCAGCCACATGGGTGTATCCCATGTGCTACCCCCACAGTGGGACCTTGCCTTCCCTCCACTGGGAGGTGGGGTCTCCATTTCCTCCCCTTGGGCCCGGGGGCCCAGGTTAGAAGGCACAGGAGTGACACTGCCTGACTCCAAGGCCAGGCCAGGATCCATAGGGCTGCTTCTGCATGGTTGTTTCTCAGGATGCCAACTCCTGGAATCCAGACACCATGCTGTGAGGAAGCCCAGAGGCCACATGGCCATGTGTGTGTCCTGGTCAACAGTTCCAGCTCAGGCCTCTGTCACAGCCTGTACTAGCCCCCGATGCGTGAGTGAATGAGTGCCTTCAAGGCTTATGGCAGAGGCCCTGCACGTTGGGAGTGGAGATCGGCTGCGTGCCGTCCGACTCCTGAGCTGCAGAAACTGAGACGATAAATGGTTATCATTATTTTTAAGCCACTATGTTTTAGCACAATTTGTTACTCAGCAACAGATACACAACGACTCCTCTTTCCTGAACCTGATTGTGTAACACTGGCATTACCCCTTCCTTATATGTCTGTTCGAACTTCCCAGTGGGTTACTCTTTCCTTACACGTTTGTTAGAATTTACCAGTGGAACCATAGGAGCCTAAAATTTTCTTTTTTGAAAGGCTTTTAACTACAAATTCAATTTATTTAATAGGCATAGGACTACCTCGGAAGAGTTTTGGTAGTTTGTGTCTTTCAAGGAATTAGTCCACTTAAGTTGTTGAACCTGGGTGTAGAGTTGTCCCTAGTATTTTTTTATTGTTCCTTTAATAACTAGTATTGAGAGTGAGGTCCCCCTCTTTTGTTCCTGATATAATTTGCATCTTCTTTTTGCAACCGTCTCACTCTGTTGCCCAGGCTGGAGTGCAATGGTGTGATCTCAGCTCACTGCAACCTCTGTCTCCCGGGTCCAAGCGATTCTCCTGCCTCAGCCTCCCGAGTAGCTGCGGTCACAGGTGCCTGCCACCACGTCCGGCTAATTTTTGTATTTTTAGTAGAGACGAGGTTACACCATGTTGGTCAGGCTGGTCTTGAACTCCTGGCCTCAAGTGATCCCCCTGTCTTGGCCTCCCTCAGTGCTGGGATTACAGGCGTGAGCCACCTTGTCCAGCCTTCTTCTTTCTTTTTTTTTTTATTGCTCAGTCTGTCTAAGGTTTATCAATTTTATTTTTTCAAAGAACCAGATTTTGGTTTGGTTGACTTTGTTTTCAATTTCATTGATTTTTTCTGTAATCTTTATTACTTCCTTCCTTCTGCTTTCTTTACGTTTAATTTTCTCTTCATCTTTAGTTTCTTTAGGTAGAAGTTTGGGTTACTTATTTGAAATATTTCTTCTTTTTCTAATAATTTAATACTATAAATTTTCCTCTAAGCACAGCTTTACCTACCTACCACAAATTTTGATGTTATTCTTTACATTTTCATTTCAGTTCAAAATATTTTCAAATTTTTCTTGAGACTTGCTCTTTCATGGATTATTTTAGAGTGTGCTATTCAATTTCCAAATATTTGTGAGACTTCACACATATCGTTATTTAATTCTAGTTTAATTTCTTTATGTTCTAAGACCATACTTTGTATGATTTCTATTCTTTTAAATTTTAAAGTTTGTTTTATGGTCAGAATATAGGCTATCTTGGTGAATCTCCATGTGCATCTGAGAGGAAGGTGCTGCTGGGTCTCTGTGTGTTATTTTGTTTTATACATGTCAGTTAGTTCCAATTAGTTGAGGTTGTTAAGGTCATGTGTATTGTGACTGATATTCTTTTCTTCTTCTTCTTCTTCTTTTTTTTTTTTTGAGTCTCGCTCTGTCTTCCAGGCTGGAGTGCAGTGGCACCATCTGAGCTCACTGCAACCTCTGCCTCCTGGGTTCAAGCGATTCCCCTGCCTCAGCCTCCCGAGTAGCTGGGATCACAGGTGCCCACCACCACACCTGGCTAATTTTTTGTATTTAATAGAGATGGGGTTTCACCATGTTGGCCAAGATGTTACTGATTTTCTACCTAAGTGTTCCATCAGTGACTGCTGGGGGAGTGCTGACGTTTCCAGCTATAACTGTGGATTTCCCAGGTTCTCCTTTTAATTCTCTCAGTGTTTACTTCATGTATTTTGAGACTCTGTTATGAGCTGACTACACATTTAGGATGGTTATGTCTTCTTGGAGAACTGACCTTTTTATCATGAGGTAAGTGTTCCTCTTTATCCCTGATAATATCCTTTGTTCTGAAGCTACTTATTCTGATGTTAACAGAGTTACTCCAGGTTTCTTTGGCTTAGTGTTTATATAGTGTATCTTTTTCCATCTTTCAGCTTTTTACCTATCTTTGTCTTTATACTGAAGGTGACTTTTTTTCACACACCATAGTTAGATATTGTTTCCTAAAATCCAATCCGACAATCTATTTTTAACTGGTGCTTTTAGTTCACTCACATTTATAGTGATTATTGATATGGTTGGATTAAAATCCACCATCTTGCTAGCTATTTTGTATTTGTTCCATTTGGCTCGGTTTCTTCTTGCCTCTTTTTTTTTTTTTAATCTTCTCTTGGAGTAATTGAACAGTCTCAGGTCCTCCTTCACATCCTTTGCAATATTGGGAATTATTGCATATTTTACATTTATAGGTGCTATAAACACAAAATACTTTGCTTCTGTTTTTTGCTTTAGACAGTTAATTATATTTTAGAGCAAGTAAAAGTAAGAAAAAGTAAACTTTATTTTGAATTATTTTACTCAATTTCCAACACTCTTCATTGCTTTGTGTAGAGCCAAGCTGCTGCCTCTGCCCGAAGAATTCCTTCAGCATTTCTTGTCGAGTAGATCTGAGGGCCACGCGTTCCCTCGGGTTTTGTTTGCCAGAGAAAGACTGAATCCTTCAGATTTGGTGGATAGTTTTACTGGCGAATGAATTCTGGGTTGACAGTTTTGTTTTGTTTCTCAGTAATTTAAAGGTGTTACTCCATTGTCTGCTTCCTTGAGTGATTTATGACAAGAAGTCAGCTGTGATTCTTAGATCCTGTTCCTCTATAGATATTGTGTCCCCACCACACCCGCACTCCCAGGCCAATGGATGCCTCCAGGAGTTCTACTTTGCCTTTGGCTTTCTTTTTTTCTTTTTTTGAGATGGAGTCTGGCTCTGTCACCCAGGCTGGAGTGCAGTGGTGAAATCTCAGCTCACTGCAGCCTCTGCCTCCTGGGTTCAAGCAATTCTCGTGCCTCAGCCTCCTGAGTAGCTGGGATTACAGGCGTGCACCACCACATCAGGCTAATTTTTGTCTTTTTAGTAGATGGGGTTTTGCCATGTTGGGCAGGCTGGTCTCGAACTCCTGACCTCAAGTGATCCACCCTCCTCGGCCTCCCAAAGTGCTGGGATTACAGGTGTGAGCCACTGCGCCAGGGCTACCTTTGCCTTTAGTTTTCAAAAGTTTGAATTTGATATGCCTAGGGGCAGTTATTTTTGGTATTTGCCCTACTTAGTGTTAAGTTTTTTAGATGTGTGGCTTAGTGCTTGTCATTAATTTTGAAAAAGATACAGCCATTATTCTCCAAATGGCTCTTCCCTATTTTCTCTTTTCCTTCTGTTCTTGGATGCTCTGCCTTCCCCTCCCTGCTGTGTGTACATGTGCGTGTGTGTGTGTGTGTGGGCATGCACGTGTGTGCACGTGTATGTGTGTGTGTGTGCATGCGCCTGTGTATGTGTGTGGGCACGTATGTGCTTGTGCATGTGTGTGATTAGCGTGTTTGCGTGTGTGGGCATGCACGTGCATGTGCATATGTGTGTGTGGGGGCGTGTGTGTGCGCGTGTGTGTGTGTACGTGTGTGTGCATGTGTGTGTGGGCATGCACGTGTTTGTGCTTGTATGTGCATACATGTGTGGGTGGGTGTGTGCACGTGCGTGTGTGTGCCTGTTTGTGCACGTGTGCATGTATGCGCATCGGGTCTTGCACGTGCACCTGTGACTGTGCATATGCATGCATATGTATGTTTGTGCACGTTTGTACATGTGCGTGCATGTGTGTGCGTACGTACGTGTGTGCATGTGTGGGCGTGCACGTGCATGGTGTGTACTTGTGTGTGCATGCACATATGTATTTGTGTGTGGACATGCACATATATGTGGGTGTGTGGATATGTGTGCATGTGCATGTGTGGGCATGCACATGCATGTGCATATATGCGTGTGTGGGCGTGCATGTGTGTATGCATGTGTGTGGGCGTGCACATGCATGTGCATATATGTGCGTGTGTGGGTGTGCATGTGTGTGCCTGTGTGTGCATATGTGTGTGCGTGTGTGGGCATGCACGTGCGTGTGCGGGTGTGCATGTGCGTGTGCATGTGTGTGCACAAGTTTGTGCATGTGTGGTGTGCATGTGAGTGCATGTTTGTGCATGTGTGGGTGTGCGTGTGTGGGCGTGCACGTGCGTGCATGTGTGTGTGTTGGTTATTAGGTATTGATCTATTCTCATGTTCACTGACCCTTTCCTCCACTGTGTTGCGTCTACTGCCCCATCAAAAGCATTTTTCATCTCTGTAGCCTGGTTTGACGTCTTTCCATCTGGTTCTTTCTTATCGTTTCCATCTCCCTGAGGAAATTACTCATCTCATCTTGTACATCGTCTACGTTTTCCGTTAGAGCCCTTAACATACTACTCAAGGTTATTTAAGTTCCCTGCCTGATAGTCCCAACATCAGTGTCATGCCCAATTCTGGTTTAGATGATTATTTTGCCTCTTGGGAGTGTGTTTGTTCCTGCTTTTCACATGTCTTATAATTTTTTACAGGAAGGCAGGCATTTTGTGGAGGAAAGTAGATATTGCCATGAGCGGCTTTATGCTTGGTGATGACCTGCCCTTCCTTCTCTAGGTCTTTGGTGTGGAGGTTTTATCAATGAAGTCAGGACTTGGACTTGGTTTGAGGTTGTTTCTATGGTTATCTTCTGTGTTTAGGGGATAGGCCGTGTGCCAGGTGTTTTCTCAATGGCTTTTCCTTGGCTTTGTGTCTTTTCTTGGTTTCACACCCAGGGAGAATGCTTCTCTTTCAGCTCTTCCAGTTTTATTTTCATGGAGCCCTTGTTAGTCTTGCGTGAAAGGGTGGAGAATGTTTCTGGCTCCATCTCAGGCAGGCACTGTGTCCTCGGGTCTCGGGGTGTGGCCTCCGCGAGCGCGCCGGTTCCTTCGCAGCCACGGAGCTGAGCCAAGCGTTTTCCATCCTGTTCCCCAGGGCCAGGGCTTCTCCATTCTCGCTTCCTCTCGTTCAACCGCAGCGTCCTGGGGTGACGGTTTCTGCGCTCTTCCCTCTGCAAGTGAGTCTTGTGCTTCACAGGAGGGTGAGGAGATGGTGCTGTCTGGCGGTGGCTTCCATTCCCCTCACCCGCTAGTGCCAGAGGGAAGATTTCTTGTAATTTTCCACGACCTTTCCTGTGAGCCCCTGGTGGGCCCTGCAAAAGGCAGACCCTCCACGCCCATGTCTTCATGGAGGTTCCCAGGGTCAGACTGGCCTCACGTAGACTTTAGAATGTGCCAACATTTAGCCGGATCTTCTTCCTGGCTTATTCAGCATCCAGCAGTGTGTGCCAGGCAACCAAAGGCTCGGGTCCTGTGTCTTGCATCCAGAGCCTGGTCACTGTATCTCCACAGATTTGGAATGAGTGGTTGGCTGAGAGCTGAGCTTTCTGATAAGTTCCAGAAGGTGCGCATTTCCAGGCTTTCCCATGTTTCCTTCATTGTAAGCATGGGCGTGATGGTCTTTTCAACTCTCTTCATTGAGCCCAGGCTGGAAGGCTTGTCTTCGTTTGTGAAGGATAGTTTTGCTGGGTATAGAATTCTAGGTCGACTTTTAAGGCTATTGCTCCAAAACCTTTCTGCTCACGTTGTTTCTGAGGATGAACCTGCTGTTGTCCTTTATTCTCCTCTGTCTAAAGTGTCTATTTTTTTTTCCTGGCTGCTTTATTGATTACCTTTCCTGACTTTGCCAGATTTCCCTTTTCCACTAATTTTGAACAATTTAATGATGATGCATCTCTGCGTGGTTTTCATCATCTGTGTCTTGTACTTGGGGTGATTGAACTTGGCTTTGTGGGCTTGTTGTTTTCATAAAATTTGGAATATTTGGGGACATGTTTTTTCAAATATTTTTTCTGTCTCTCCTCCTTTGGGCACAGCAATTACATATATATTTGCCCACTTTATGTTGTCTCACTGATCATTGATGGTCTTTTAATTTCTTAAAAATTCTTTTGTCCCCGTGTTTCACTGTGGACCTTTTCTATTGCTGGAACTTCCCTCCTCTTTTCTTCTGCAGCTTCCATCTGCCATCGATCCTGCACAGTGTGTTCGTGTCTCAGGTACCTTGGTTTTCGTCTCTGGAAGTTATACTTTATATTTGGATCTTTTCTATATTTTCCATGTCTCTACTTAACTTTTTGCATAAATTAAACACAGTTCTGATAACTTTTTTTTGTTGTTTTGAGACGGAGTCTCACTTTGTTGCCCAGGCTGGAGTGCAGTGGTGTGATGTTGGCTCACTCCAACCTTTGCCTCCCGGGTTCAAGCGATTCTCCTGCCTCAGCCTCCTGAGTAGCTGGGATCACAGGCGCCTGCCACCATACCTGGCTAATTTTTTGTATTTTTAGTAGAGACAGGGTTTTGCGATGTTGGGCAGGCTAGTCTCTAACTTGTGACCTCAAGTGATCCACCCACCTTGGCCTCCCAAAGTGCTGGGATTACAGGGATGAGCCACCACACCCAACCTCTGATAACATTTGAAATATCCTTGTCTATTACCTCTACATCTACATCAGTTTGGGGTCAGTTTCAATCAATTGATTTGGGGGCCACGTTTTTCTATTTCTGTGCATGCCTGGTAATCTTTGATTTAATGCCATAAGTTGTGAATTTTAATTCACAATAATTTGGTTAGTCCTGGTTTTTGACATTTGTTATGGGGTGATGTGTTACTCACAATAATTTGATTTTAGGGGTTTTTGTGTTTCAGGTTTGTTCATCCTAATTATTCCCCAGCTGAGACTGCCCAGCGTCTCCCTTCTGAGTTCTCCCCCAACAATCCCATGGATTTCGAGGTTTTCCAGGCTGGCTGGGAAAGAGGCCCTCTCCCGGCCCTGTGGGAACACGGGGTTGCTCCTCGGACTCCTCTAGATGGGCCTTTTCCTGGCCTGGGCCGCGTCCGCCCAGGGTGTGCAGAGGAGATCCCAGAGGCTCCGTGTCGGAGCAGCTCCCTTCTCTCCCTCTCTACCAGGCACCTTGGCTTCCTCAGACTCCGAGGTCGGTCCCGTCAACCCAGGACTGCACCAGGAAGAAGCTGCAGCAGCTGGAGGGCTCGTCCTCTTGGGGGCTGTGGAGCTCTGCTGCCGACGTCCCAGGCCTCTAACACTGTGGCTGCAGATATTCCGTCTGTTGTTGTCCAGGCAGGAGGTGACCCTGGCCCTATTACTGCATGTCGGCCCCAAAGCCTTTCTGAATCACGGTGACATCCTTGTCCCGCACATGGCCGCCTCTATCTCCCTGCCCCGGGCCTTCGCTCATCCAAGTTCAGCCCCAGAATGCCCACCCCACCCACCTCTCAGAATTCCACCTGTTACGGGGTATCCCGGAGACCCAGTGGGTTTGTTCTTGATGTGGCTGCCACTGAGAGCCACCGAGAGTGTAGGGATGGGTGGTGGGGGGTGGAGGTGACGAAAGGAGTGGGGGTGAGGTTGGGGTTGGGGTTGGGGGGGTGGCGGTAGAGGGTTCCCTGGAAACAGGCCTCCTTTCCATGGTGGTGCCTACGATGTAGCCTCTGTGAGTTTTGGGGGGTTTGGACACTGGGGGAGGACGGTGCATGGAGTGGGGTCAGGGTTGCAGCCTGGGCGGCACTGGCTTGCTCTTCTCTGCACCTCTCGGCTGTGGGCCCTGCCTGTAGTGGTCCGTGAGGATGAAGGCCCAGTGAGCTTTCCTGGGCTATTGTCTTCCTGCTCCCAAAAAGTCCTGACCATCCTGGGGAGCCAGGCTCCCCAGCTCCCAGCCGCCAGGAGGCCGACTCAGGCCCAGCACTGCAAGGACGCTGAGGCTCGGACAGGTGCCTGGGTGGTTGGTGGGGCCCAGTGACTCCTAGGCCCTATCCCCGAGCTCTCTCCGCATCCCAGTCCCCTGAGTGATCCTGGCTGCCGGAGTCGGTGGGAGCACCTTTCCCACCTCCAACCCCAGCAGGTGGTGCGAGGGGAGGTGTGAGACAGAGACTTTCTCATTCTAATTCTGTGCATAACTCTTTATTTGACATGGTTACAGGCATCATGCATTCGTTTTGCAATTAAAAAAACCCAGACAAGTAAGTCAATGATTTTACTGCTAAGGAAACAAAACACAATAAAAAGAAGCGAGGCAGAGCTGGCTGGTGATAAACTGGCCCATGTGGTGGAACCGAAGCCCCCGGGCCAGGCAGCAGCCTTGAAAATAAAGTTCCCGCGGTTTGTGATCGGACACCCCCCAGCCACGCATCCTGGGAAACTGCTGGGGGCAGGGCTGGCCATGACCTCAGCAGGTGGATCTGAAGGGGCCACTTGGCTGCTGAGGATGTGAAAGTGAATTTTATTTTCTTCAGGTTCCGGAGGCAAGAAATGGCCTGGTAAATATTTTTTGTGCCTTTAAAAAAAATATTCAGGCTGGGCGTGGTGGCTCACACCTGTCATCCCAGCACTTTGGGAGACCGAGGCGGGCGGATCACTTGAGGTCAGGAGTTTCAGACCAGCCTGGCCAACGTGGTGAAACCCTGTTTTGACTAAACATGCAAAAAATTAGCCAGGCGCGGTGGCGGGTGCCTGCAGTCCCAGCTACTTGGGAGGCTGAGGCAGGAGAATCACTTGAACCTGGGAGATGGAGGCTGCAGTGAGCTGAGATTGCACCATTGCCCTCCATCCTGGGCTACAGAGTGAACTTGATCTCAAAATAAAAAAAAAAAAAAAATCAGCCGAGAGAAGCCTTTCCAAGTCAGATGCCCTGTGTGGACGGACAGGTAGTGCTGTGGAAACCCGCTGGCCAGTCAGGTGGGGAGAGCCCCGGGCTGAGTCCTGCCTCTCGCCTGCTTGCTGCCAGCGCCAGGAGGAAGGGTTCCCAGCGCTATTCTGGGCAGCTGAGGACCAGGTCTGCCATTGGCCAGGAGAAACCCAATGGGGTACAGCCCCAGCCCTAAGGGAAGGAGGGAGACTGGGCCAGGGAGGGTGAGACCTGCTTGTGGGAGGGGTGGGGCTGGTGACAGTCCACACAGGGATGGTGGGGCGGGGGCTGGGGTCCAGCTGGCACCAGGTGCAGAAGGGTTTACCCACACATGGGTCTAGGGGGTCCTCAGAACCCCTCATGGACACGGGTTGGGGAGATTACCAACCCCTTCAGCGGGTTGGCCAAGACCTCCCTGGGGGTAAAATGGGTGGGGAGATTCCTGGTCCTGCCCAGGCCCTCTGCCCTGATGCCACCCGAAGGAGTTCACCCTACTCCAGAGGCTGTAGGGCCAGGACCACTGGGGACTTGAGCCAGCCATGAAAGAGTCTAGGTCCCCAGATGGACCACCCCCATCTTGATAAGGACAGAAAGTCCCCCCTTTTCTGGTTTATCATCCTCTCTTTCCACCTCCCCGCCCCCAGCTCTCTCCATCGACACCGTCCCCAGCATGGACCTAGATGGGGTCCTTACACCTGGGGGTGCTGGTGACCCCATTTTACAGATGACGAGACTATGGTCAGGACCAAATGGCAGAGTCAGAGTTCATAACCTGATGCGTGACCCCGGGGTCCTCACCACCCAGCGGCAGCGCCCCCAGCCCCCGCTGGTGCTGCGACACTTCCAGCACCGCCCAGCAGGTGGTGCTGCAGGGACAGCTTCTGGGGCCCGGCTCTCCGGCTCTGCACTGGGGGCTTGGAGCTGGGGTCAGGGTCTCCCTCCAGCCTGCGGTTAACGGCGACTGCAGCTGCGGTATCAGGGAAGGCCGAGCATCCAGAGGCCAGTGGAAAAACCATCTTGCCACGGAGTCTGTTTCCTCCTGAACTGGAAACGGATTTCAGGTAAACAGTGTTGAGTCCGGGCCCAGCAGAGCAGTCACTGCACCTTCTGGGTCTCGGGTTCCCAGTTCCCTCCCCCGGAGCCGCCGTCTTCCCTGGTCCCTCTGGACAGGTCAAGCGCCCTGTAGGGAAAGCGGTCGGCCCCACACTCCTGAAGCCCCCTCCACGCTCCCCTCTGCCTGGGAAGGCTCCGTCTCCGCCCTGACTCAAGAGGAGGCAGGAGTGGCCTCGGAGACAAACAGCCCCTTCGCCAACTCCCCAGCCAAAAATATACACAGGCAGGAGCGCGGTTACCAGCACAGCCTGAGAGCAGGAGGAAGGGCCTGCAGGCCACAAGGGCCCCCGAGCCACACAGGAGGTGAGGGACGGTGCCTGTCATACCCTTCTCTTTCTCCGAGCCAAAGCGGCCCTCTGCGTGAGGGCAGTGGCAGACCTTGGATCCTGAGTTCACATCTGTGCCTCCCTACTTTTCTTTCTCCTCTGATGGAAGTCGGGACACCAGGGGAATGAGGGGGACCCCCAGACTCACATGATGTTGCCCCTAGCTCTGGGGAACCCGTGAGAATGGCATTTCACACCCAAGCGGCCACCAGGCTTCGGTTCCCATGAGCTCCTATTTTAACCTCCTTCTCCCAGAAGGCAGAGGTCTTCAGCACAGGCAGAGCTACCTCTGGTGCAGGGCTGGGCACACCGCAGAGGCCAGGTGCCTGTGAGGCTGGGGAGCCGGCCCTGGAGTTGGAATGAGCAGGTTCTGGAGGCTGAGGGGGCTAGTGTAGGAGGCTGAGGGGGCTGGGGGAGGCTGAGAAAGCTCATCTTGGCAGTTGAATGATCTCGTCTTGGGAGAAGGCAACATCATAGGGGCTTTTAGGGTGCCACAGGGGGCAGCACCCAGGCCTCGGCCTTTGGGTGGGAGGGTGGGATCCCTCCGCCTTTGGGCGCCTCCCTCCCGCCTCTGCTGGAAGGCTTCTCCCTTTGTCACGGGACCCTTGGGCTGTTGCTTTTCCTGCTGGAAGCCTCTGTGGCCGGTGGCACCTTTGCCAAGGTTTGCTGGGGCCCTCTGGGCTCATTCCGCCCACTCGGCCCAGGAGGTTGGGCTTGGCTCATGCTACCCGCGTGGACCCCACACCTGCCGAGGGCTAGCCAGGCGCAGAGCGGTGTGTGAGCGAGTGAGCGTGGGGTCCAGGCACTATGCACAGCCAGGCATGCCGGCTGCGGCAGGGAGGACAGCTCCACATGCCGGCTCCCTGTGAGGCTGGCGCTGGACCAGGCAGACCACAAGTGGCTTCCACAGCTGGCACCAGGGAACGTGGTGGTGCCTGGAAGCTTGGAGGTACCAGGAACTGCAGAGCCCCAAAGATGGCGTCACAGCCCTGGCTCTAGGAGCTCCTTGGTCTGGGCTCCCCGAAGGGCCGCAGCTCTTCTCTCCTCTCTTCTCTCCCTCTCATCACCCACAGCATGGCGAGCAAGGGGGGTGTCTCAACCCTGTCTGTCATGGCTCTTTCAGCCCTGCCATTTGGGCCCCACATTCTTGTTCCACACCAGGAAGAATGAGGTACGTGGACACGTGGGGGGGTGACCGGGTGAAGGGGAGCTTCACTGAACAGCTCAGAGGCGACCCGCAGTGGGTCACTCCTCTAAGCAAGCAGGTGACCCATTGTCATCTGGAGTCTGGCTGAGTCTGGGTTTTTATGGGCTTCAGAGGGGAGGAAGTGCATGCTGATTGGTCCGTGGGTGGTCATGCATGCTGATTGGTCCATGGGTGGTCATGCATGCTGATTGGTCCGTGGGTGGTCATGCATGCTGATTGGTCCATGGGTGGTCATGCATGCTGATTGGTCCGTGGGTGGTCATGCATGCCGATTGGTCCATGGGTGGTCATGGGTGGGCCCAGAAAAAGTATCACAAGTTCTCACTGTGGTCCACAGAACTGGCAGCCCTGGCCTGAAGATGAGGCTTCACTGGGACCCCCCGCTTTCCACCCAGGAGCCCATCTGCCCCCTGCCACCATTAACCTGCTCTCCACGGTGCCCACGGTGCCCAGACTGTTTGTGCTGAAGGCTGCCTGCAGGCCCACACTGACCTGCCCTTAGTGTCCCTCAGCCTCCCTCCCATGCTTGTCAGCGCCCAAAGTCTGAAGGGGGGCCAGGGCAGCAGAGGCTGGTGTGTCAGTGCTGCCCCAAGGGTGAGTACACCCAGGCGGGCTGTGACAGTGCCTGGGCTCAGCCTCAACTTTGCCCTGAAATCAGAGCAGGCACTGGGAGCAGGGAGAGGCCAGGCAGCGGGGGCAGGGGCTTCCTGGACCTCCGAGAGTGCAGAGATGCCTGGGTCTGCAGCCACAGCTGGGCCCCCACCCTGTCAACTCAGAAGTGGGTGGAGCTTCCACCTGTTCCCAGCTCCCACCAGCTCCACAGAGCGCACAGCCCCGGCTACACCTCCCCGACGGCAGCCAGCATCATGGCAGCCCATTCCAGACAGGCCGCCGCTGCTATCACCTTCACCGTTGGGTGATCCAGTCTGGTTACATGCTGGCCTCTCCCTCCCCCTGCCTTCGACACAATCAAGGGAACAGATCATGGAAAAAATGCAGAAGGAGCCTGAGTGGACACTGGACGTGTGGGTTTGAGTCTAATTTTTGAGCAGATGAAGAAAGGCCCCTCCTTTTCTTTGAAAATTGAAGCTGGAATAACACAGAGTATCCAACAGCAGATCCGTGTGGAGGGCCAGCTGTGAGCAAATTTCAGTGTGGACACAGCACAGTGCAGGCACAGCCCTAAAGGAGGGTACCACGCAGCGGGGGTGAATGGGGGGCCCCGGAGCACAAAGCGGAGGGTGGTTTTGGGAGGCTGGAGTTGCTGTTTTGTGTGCACGCACCCCCTTCCCCCACTCCCTGTGTCTTCCACCTCAGACTGTCCCCCACTCCCTTCCCTGGGTGACCCTCAGAGCTGCTCATCCTGGGGAGCAGGTAAAGTCAGCACCTTGGATAGCTCTGTCACACAGAGGAGGCCAGGCCTTGAGCAAGGCCCCCTGGCTTCAGCTCCTAACAGCTTCCACTCCTACAAGCGTGCAGCTTCGGGTCAGAGCCCCGCGACCCCACAGCCCACCCAGAAGACGTCCTCGTGGCACGGCTGTCCCATTGCACTTTGCCAAGTGTTGGCTGGAAGGTGGTGGGAGAGGAGTGACAGTTTGATGAAGAATGAATGAATTAATTAATTAAGGCACAGGGTAATAGAGGCTGGCCAGGCCCGGTCCCCGTTCCTTATTTCCTAATGCAGATAAATTCCAGTAATTTCTGTGGGGTGAGAAATGGGCATCAGAAATAATGGTTTTACTATCAAAAATTGAAACATAGTGCCTGTGTGTATCTGAAACAATACTCGTTGTTCAGATGTCTCTGGGGCAAGAACAGCTCGATGCCGAGGGAGGAGGCTTTTTCGATTCCCGCACTGCGAGGTACTCAGCAGCGATGAAGCCCCCAGGGCTGGGCCACAGCTGTGCCATCACACCCCCGGCCCCGGGGCTGACCCTTTGCTGACGTCAGCTCACCAGTGCCAGCTCAGCTTCCCTGCAATGCCCTTGATATTTACAAGGTAGATGCTAGAAGCCCGGGATGCTTTGCTGTTGGGAGGGAAACGCCTGCCAGACGGAGTAAACCAGCTGCTCCGGAATTCTCACCAGCACTGGGAGGGTTGGTGTTGCTGCTCAGCACGGGGGCTCAGAAGCCCTCCCCACGCCCCCATTATCCTCAGCTTCCCCAGGCTCCATCCAGCAGGAGGGAGCAGACGGTGGGCCCTGCCTCCTGGCCTTGAGACCAGAAGACGGCCCAGGGTTTGAAGCAGGTGAAAGTCTGAGCTACTTCTGCAAGTGCAGCCTTTGTTCCAAGGAAGCAGGGCTGCCCCGCACCCCGGTGTGCAGGGGGGCAGCTGGCTTTTCCCGTCTGCAGAGCTCCGTCTCCCCAGGAGGGGCGTCCTGTCTCGGGCCAGCATGACCGCCGTCTCCCTGCTGCTGAAGGGGAGGGCCCCCTTTCTGTGGGCCTTGGCCTCTGTCTGTCAAATGACGGTAAGACGCAATCGGGGTGCATGAGCTATGGTCCAGAGAATGGCATGGGAGGGAGCTGGCTCACCTGCCCCCCAGGCTGGCTTAGGGTCATGGTTCACCCGTCCACTCTGCACCCTGTGAATGATTCAAGTCAAGGCCGTGCCTTCAAAGAGCTCACGGCCTCATGAAATGTGACCCACAGAGGCACGTGCAGGTTGCTATGGAAACACACACAGGCTATTCGGGGTGGGGGATGGGCCCGGAGGGTCTCGCCGGGGATGAAGTGTTGAAAGATGAATGAGTTTTCCTCTCAGAGCCGGGGAGGTGGCGGTGCGGTGGGAGGCGTGTGCTCCGGAAGCTGGAGGAGACCCCACACTCCAGATGCATCAACCTGCCGCCCCGCAAAGCTCGTTTATTTAGAAACGTCTCGGCAAAGCCAACCGTGGGATGGAAGCCTTTCCCTCTTCTCCCTGATCTGGATGTGCAGAGGCGAAGCCACTACCGTGACTGGCTGCTGATGCTCCCTCCGGACGCACCCGTCCCTGGTGCAGCTCCGAGCTGGAGGGGCCTGGGTGCCCCCGGCTGTCACCCCAGACCAAGGGCCAAAGAACTGAGCTCCCCAGATGAGCCAAATGGGGGCTCCCTCTGTCCCCACCCCCCAAGGAGGGATGGCGGGGGAACCCAGGTCCTCGGCCCCGGTGGTCGCCCGGGGGCTCTGCGGTGGGTCCACCAGCTCCCCTGCTGTGTCTACACCCAGAGCCTTTATTTCTCCCAGGCAAAGCCACTCGCCAGCCCACCCAGGTCGGGGAGGTCCACGGCGAGGGGCTTTCCCCTGGTGGAGCTCCTCAGCGGCCCTTCTACCAGAGTGGCTGGGGGCAGAGCTGTGCCCCTGGCATCCCCAGGTTGAGGTGTCCTCAGAGCAGGCGCCTGACAGCCTGTAGACCGTGACCCTGGGGGCTGCACGGAGAGGGGTCTCCCAGAGGCCTTGGCACCGAGCCCAGGCAGGGGCACCCTGGATGTGAGCTGCTGATGCACCTGCCACAGGCACTTTGTTTGCTTGGCCTCTGAACTGTGAGTCAAGGGTGAAAACAGGAACCTCTCTTCCAGGGAAACTGTCCTGAGGGGTCCAGGCTGTGTGGCCTCTGCCCAGACTGCTGACCCAAGCTGGTGCCGACGAGCCTGCAAAGGCCAGCAGCTCCCATGCAGGCCCTTGTGTACTTTCAGGGTGGGGAACCGCACCTCATACCTCCGCTCCTGGGCTCCCCCCGACCTCAACACCCCCACTCTGGTGTGGGAAAGCAGTGAGGAGGGAGGGGCATCCCCGGGCACCCCCGGCTTCCTCTGCAGCAGGGACTGGGCAGCCGTCATGGGAAGTTCCCTTTGTCTGGCTGCTTTGAACTCTTTTCCAAGGAAAACCTATTCGTGTTTTACCCACGGAATTAAAAAATCATTAAAAGAAAAGTGTACGAAGAGAAAAATCAGTGAACCTGGGAGTATCTTCTCCCCAAAAATGGTTGAGTTATCACTTGTTGCTGAGAAAATTAACAAAAGATCTGAGTTACGGACATGAGCAGAGCGGGCAGTTTCTGAACGGTGCTTCCTGGAATCTGGGGTTCCTGGGAAATGCCTCGGAGTCTGCGCAGGGGGCTGGGGCTGGAGTGCAGGGCTGGTGGGGGGTGTGGGACTGGTGGGGGTACAGGGCTGGTGGGGGTGTGGGGGTGGTGGGGTGGGATACAGGGCTGACTGGAGGATACAGGGGTGATGGGGTTGCAGGGTTGGTGGGGGTGCAAGGGTGGTGGGGCATAGGGCGGGTTGGGGGTGCAGAGGTGGTAGGCGGTGGGGTACAGTGCTGGTGGGATACAGGGCTGCTGGGGTGCAGGGATGGTGGGGTTCAGGGATTGTGGGGTGCAGAGCTGGTGGGGTGTGGGGTGCAGAGCTGGTGGGGTGTGGGGTGCAGGGCTCATGGGGGGTGGGGTGCAGGGCTGCTGGGGTATAGGGCTGATGGGGTACAAGGCTGATGGGGTAGAGGGCTGATGGGGTACAGGGCTGATGGGGTATAGGGCTGGTGGGGTGCAGGGTTGATGGGGTGCACGACTGATGGGGTGCAGGGCTGCTGGGATGCAGGGATGGTAGGGGTGGGGTGCAGAGCTGGTGGCCGGTGGGGTGCAATGCTGGTGGGAAGTGGGGTGCAGGGCTGATGGGGTACAGGGCTGATGGGGTGCAGGGCTGGTGGGGTGCAGGGCTGATGGGGTACAGGGCTGCTGGGGTGCAGGGCTGGTGGAGTTCAGGCCGGTGGATCTGACTCAGAGCCACCAAAACCTCAACCAAGGCCTCTCTGCTTTTTTTCTTCTAAATGGTTCTGTCATGTAAACTTTTTTTGAAGACGAGTTCTGTGGATAGAACAAGGTTAGAAACGCCACCTGACAGAGCGGCCTGCAATGCCCATCACTGTCCTGGAGCCAGACAGGTGGAGGAGAGACCTCAGGGCTGGGCCGGGTCAGCTGACTCCAGAGTGGACACCAGGTGAGTCCCAAACCTTAGGTGAGGGTGAGCCCTGTCCAACCCTGGGACGCATCCTGGGGGCTAGGGAAGCCGTGACCTTATGCCCTTGTCATGTGCTGCTGAGATGGCACCTCTGGTGAGACGCTGGGCACTGTCTCTAGGGGTGCAGGGAGTGGGGGAGCCTGGGAGCTGTCTCCAGGGGCGCAGGGAGGTGGTGGGGCCCTGACTGCCCCCCACCTGCCCACCTCCTCCCTAGAGGTTGCATCCAGCCAGTATGGCTTGCACAGAGAGCCTGTTAAAATCGTGCATCTCTTTGAGGGGAAGTATCTCTGCCCCATCAGCCTGGTGGGAGGTGGAACGCCGCCCATGCCTCCGGAGTCCGAAGGAGATACAGGACCCGACCATGGTGACTGCCTGGGCTCAGCCTCCCAGGCGTCTCTGTGGGAGAGAGAAAAGAGTTCCTGCGGGCACTGGGGGTGTTGCAGCTAACTAAGCCAGAAGCCAAAGTGCAGCCACCTTAATTAGCAGTTTCCCCAGTGTGGAGGTTGTTCATTAACCGGAAGTTTGATGCGTAAGGGGCGAGGGCGCTGGAGGCAGGGATGAGTGAGCTGTCTGCCTGAGCCTGCTACTCTGAGACCCTCCTCCCTCCATCCCGAGCCAGTGTCCTGCCAGGGTGTTGCCCCGACTGCTCCCTTCCCCTCAGGTGTGTGGCCTGACAATCCATCGGCCCCTCATTTCCAGGCAATGCCCAGGGAGGGGACTCCTGGAAGAAGCCGGCCTCTTGACTTAGGGTTAAATGTCCTCTGGTTTGAAGACACAAGAGTCTGCATTTGCCCAATACTTGGGGTTCTCAGCTTTTCTCCAACCTGGTCATCACAGAGTGACCAGCATTGGCCTGGCAATGGTGCCTTCACATGGGAGCGAAAAGGACCAGCCTGAGGTGAGGAGGATGGGTCCTGTGTCCCCACTCTCCCCTGAGCCCGGGGCGTTGCAGTGGCCTTGACCTTCAGCCCTGGGCTTCTTCCTACCCGAGTCCCCGGCAGTGTCCCTCAGCCCAGCCCGGCCCGTTCAGCCTTTGTCTGGGGCCAGTCACTGAGGGTGGCTTCCCCGGGACGTCCCGGGCTCCCTTGAAGGAGCTGCTCTCAGCGCGATTCTGCGGACGGATGGCGGCATCTGTGCTGAGCCCTCCACTGTCTTGGGCTCTTCTAATATCACACTGAGCACTGGGCGTTGTTCGTCCCACTCTACGGATGAGAAAGTCGGGGCTCATGTAGGTGGAGGAAACTGCCTGAGCACCAGAACCCGGGGAGGCGCCGAGGCTGGACCGAGCCCACCCTGGCTGTGCCTGTGCCGAGCTGAGCCTGCTGTGGCTGTGTTGCTGCACATTTACCAGGCAGGGACTCAGTTTCCCCTGGGGTACAACTGAGGGCTGGGCTGGGGGATCACAAAGAGGGAGGCAGCACGAGGTGCTTGTGGGGGCTCTGGGCTGCACGTTCCAGCAGGAGCAGGGGCGACGGCCCACGTCTCTGAACAGGCTCTTTTAGTGGTGCTGGGCGGGACCCGGGTGTGCCCCTCCCGTGGGCCAGAGCGACTCTAGGGCCCAGGCCTGGACTCTTGGGCTGCAGGTGAGAGCCAGGCGGCGGGGCAGGGAGTCAGAGGCAGAGGCAGGGGCGAGGCAGCTCCTCCCGGCTGCACCCCGAGACACTGGAGGAAGCTGTCTCTGAGCTCTTCCTCCTGCTGTCCAGACCAGGCGCTGAAATCAAAGACAGAACTGATACTGACCACAAAACCTCTCAGAGCCACTTCATTGGAGAAGATTAGGGTCAGGCAGCTGCGGGCAGCTCACAGCCGGCACGGGGCTTCCCTCTGGGAGGCTGGGATTTGATCTCCCTGTGCAGGATTTTCCATAGGAAGAGTCAGTCCCGTGCGCCTCCTTTAAGCCTTAACCAAAGCGGGGTTCCTCCATCAGGCCTGCGGGGGCCCAAGGCCCCCAGCTGTTGCCCGTGTGCACACCTGGAACCACGTCTAAGTCCTTGCCGTCCAGAGGCCTTTTCTCACCACCCACGCTCATCCTCAGCCCTTCCTGCCTTCAGCCATGCCCGAGGCTCTGCCCTGGGTAATAGGTCTGCCCTGGGTGGAGGCGCTGCCCTAGGTGGTGGGTCTGCACTGGGTGGCGGGTCTGGAGTGGCCAAGGCAGGTGCGGCCCTCCTGGGCCCTTCAGTCGGCTGGGGCGAGAGTTAACCAACAGTCTCCATGGCGGGGAACAGGAGGGACCTGTCCCGTGAGAGGGGAGTCAGGGAGGACTCTTGGGAAGATGGCCTTTCATTCAAGGCCTGAATGAGAATCAGCCAGATGTGCTGGGGCCAGGCAGGTGGGGACGAGTGCGCGGGGGGGGGCTCAGCATCTTCTAGAACCAACCACACACCTGCAAGAGAGAAGACAGGGTAGACCCCTGCGGCCCCCTGGGGCTGAGACGGCTTTAGGATGGTACTCCAGTTGCCCCCATCCTTTCCCGAGACCCTCCTGGACCTGAGCTCCGGGATGCAGGAGCGGTGAGTCTGCCTTGCTTTGGTTTTCTGTGGGACTGGCGGCACGTCCAGAAGACGTTTGCTGCGTTTAATGAGACTGGGGACAGGACAGTGGCCCTGGGCATTTAATGGGGCTGGGGACAGGCCAGTGGCCCTGGGCGTTTAATGGGGCTGGGGACAGGACAGTGGCCCTGGGCGTTTAATGGGGCTGGGGACAGGACAGTGGCCCTGGGCGTTTAATGGGGCTGGGGACAGGACAGTGGCCCTGGGCGTTTAATGGGGCTGGGGACAGGACAGTGGCCCTGGGCGTTTAATGGGGCTGGGGACAGGACAGTGGCCCTGGGCATTTAATGGGGCTGGGGACAGGACAGTGGCCCTGGGCGTTTAATGGGGCTGGGGACAGGACAGTGGCCCTGGGCGTTTAATGGGGCTGGGGACAGGACAGTGGCCCTGGGCGTTTAATGGGGCTGGGGACAGGACAGTGGCCCTGGGCGTTTAATGGGGCTGGGGACAGGACAGTGGCCCTGGGCGTTTAATGGGGCTGGGGACAGGACAGTGGCCCTGGGCTCTGAGGTCCCTGCAGACCTGCTGCATGGCCAGGTCTCAACTTTGGTCTCTGCACCTCAAAACAAGGGTGTTGACACAGGGTCTCTGCGACCTGTGGCAGCCCCGGTGTTCCGTCCTTGTCCTCACGGGACTCAGAGCCTCCCTCCACGAGATGCTGCTGGGCTCACCTGTCCTGGTGGTTTTCCTGAGCCAGGAATAGAGTCTTCACCTGACCTAACCTGAGGCCATGCCCAGGCCACTCTGAAGTGAGATCCGACGGCCTGGGGAGGTTCAGGGGCTCATAGGTGGCTGCGCCCAACCCTGCCACACTTCTCCTGGACCTATCAGAGGTGCATGCTGTGGTCAGTGCCTGGAGACAGAGCAGCTCCAGGCCACCCACCCTTCCGGTCTGAAGCGTCTCACCCCACACAAGGCCCCAGCACCACAAGCCCATTCTCCCCGTTCCTTGGAGCAGACCCTGGTGGCAGCATCTACAGGGGGGTCCCAGGCAGCCTCACCGCAGGCACCACGGAGGCACGGAAGAGCTGCCTTGCGCCAGCACAGGGCACGCAGGGACGTCTGGGTGCCCCGGCTGGCAGCCACTCTCCCCGCAGGCAGGGTCTAGTGTATCCGTGTGCGATGTCTGTGATTGGGCTTTGTGCTGGGAGCGTAATGAGGAGCCTCCCCGGCCTCCCCAGACCCCGTCGCTGATGGGGGAAGGACACGTGGCCATCATAACACATACATCACCAAACGTGGGCTTCCAGCGCGGAGGAAGCAAATTAAACGCTGCAAACGAGCGTCAGGGTAATTATCCCCACCAGGGCTGGGACAGGGTCCAGGCCTCCCTGAGAACGGGGCAGACGCATGTTGAGCGCTTAAGAGACGGGGAACTGGGGCAAAGGTGCTGGTGCCACAACAGCCCAGACACAGAGGAGGGTCGAGGCCGCCCCACACCCCCATCTGCTGCGAGGAAGAGAACGATTTGGAGAGGAGCTGAAAGTCAAGTGAGTGCAGCCCATGAGGGGAAGCTCGTTGGTTTAATTCCAGATGGTTAGGAGGCTCAGAGACACCATCGGAGCCGTGAATATTCATGAGCCGGCAGCCTTGCCCAGGTAGCCGAGGCCTGGCTGGTGGCTGCGTTGGCTCCGCTCATTTTTGAAACGACACAGCACTTCTGGATTGGAGACGTGATGAGCTATTTGTAGACATGTCCTTGTTGATAAGGAAACGGCACTGGTTGACAGAACTCTCCACCCTCCGGCGCGGCTGGGCTCTTCTCCCGGGGGTGGGGCGGGGGCATTGGGGGCCCGGGTTTGGGGAATGGGGCATCAAGAAGCTGTGAGGGTAGAGAAGGGCCCTGGGCTGGGTCAGGCTGAAATGGGTCCGTCTCCCCAGCCCTTGGCTCTGTCATCATGGGAGTAACAGAATAATAATGTCACCCCATATGCTCGTGACAATCCATCTGGTATGACAAATGTTAGAACACGCTGGAAGCTGACAAGGGCTTCGTGCTGCAAACGACCCCTGCCCCCCAAAGCTATGCTCAGAAGCCCAAGGCAGGTGGGGCCTGAGCTGTCCCTCCTGCTCAGGGGGCAAAGTCCCGTGAGGGCAAGCTGGCACTCACCCACCCACCAAGGACCCAGGCCGGCTCACAGGGACCTGTCCAGCTGGGTCCCAATCGTTACACTCCTCCACCTCCTCCCAAAGGCACCTTCACCCAGGCCTGGCTCTGGGCTCCCTGTAGGGGGCTAAGTGTCCAGCGTCCCCTTCCTGTAAGGAAGGAGACCAGGCTGCCGGGAGGCTCGCTGTGGGCCCCCAGCTGGGGCCAGGGCATGAGGGGACTCTGGCGTGGGGCACACTTGTGGCGGTGCTGGCCCCACACGAGTCCAGGAGGGTGGGTGGGGCTGGGAATGAGGAGGGGTTGGCTGAGGTGTGGTCTTGGTCTTGACTTGAGTGCTGGGGAGGGCAGGGCTGAGGAGGGACAGGTGGGAGGAGGCACTGCGTGGAGGAAGAACTGAGCTCCTGGAGAACTGGGTGCACCGCTCAGCAGGCGGGCAGGGTCCCAGACTCGGCATTGACACTGCCCCGGGAGGGCAGGCCTGGCAGCAGGCGTTCAGGTGTCCTGCACTCGGCCACGTGTGACTGAGCGGTGCCCCGGTTTCCCGACATTACAAGAGGTGCCCGAGTTGCAGGCTGCAAGTTCCCCACCCGGCCTCAGAAGCCTGGGGTACCCGGTGCTGGGAGGCAGAGCCTGAGGATGCCCAAGGACCCCTAGCGGCTGTGGGGATGAAGCCCACCCTCTGCCCCCACTTTCAGAGGAATGTGCTGATGTGAAAATCCAATTGCCTGGCAAAGGAAACCTCTCCCTCTGAAATTAGCCCCTGGGCCTGGGGACCTGAGTCCCCATAACCACAGGCTGAAAAAGGCAGTGCTGTGGGGGTCCCACCCCCAGATCCAGGGATAACAACATGGAGAGGCTGAGGCTGCGGACGTGTGGGCCACCCCCCTCTGCACAGGACCCTCCCAGGCAGAAGAGCTGGGCAGGGGATGTTGGGGTAAATGAGAGAGGCCCTGGGTCCGGGTGGGCAGGGTGAGCAGAGGGTGAGGCCGCCTGTCAGCAGGTGACTGTCACACTCATGCTTGTGAAAACATGCTCCTGTGCACACACATGCCCCATGCACACGTGCACACACCCTGTTTGTGCATATACAAGCCCTGTGTACACACGCCCCATGCACACATACACACTGCACACACATCCTGTGCGCACATACACACGGCACATCTCATGAAGCATGTACCACCTGCACACACACACCCTGTATACATATACATCTCATGAAACAGTCCATGCACACACACACGTCTGTGCACACGTACCCTGTGCATGCATCTACAAGCCTGGTGCACCCACACCCTGCACACATACATCTCACACACACACACATCCTGCACACACACATCCCACGTACACACATCCCACAGACACATATCCCACGTACACGCATCCCACACACACACATCCCATGTACACACATCCCGTGTACACACAGGAAAATGATCCCTGCTTTGTGCCTCCAGGCCTGCAGCCATTCTGCTTTGGTGGAGAGGCCAGGACTGTCCAGGGCTTCCTCACCTGCTGCAAGACCTCAGCCAGTTCAGGCCCCAGCAAGACCCTCTCCACTTGCAGGAGCCAGGCGGCCATCTTGGTCCCTTGGCTCATTCTCAGCAGCTGGGAGACACCTGCTGACACAGTTCACTTTGGCTGAGGGGGAGGGAGACCCCACGTTGCTGCCTTTTCCAGCTGGTGTTTGTGGGACACGGGTCCCCAGGAATTGTTCCGGAAAGTCTGGCAGGGAGTGTCCAGCATGGCCCGTGTGGCTCCCCAGGGAATCTTTGATCTTAACAAGGTTTGGGTGGTCTCAGCAGGGTGGGGAGGAGAAGAAAGCCCACTCAGGGTGCTGGTCCAGGGGTCGCTTCTCTGACAGTTCCCCCCGCTGTTCCCTGGGACGGGGGCCTTCTGGAGTTTGCAGCACCCTCCCTCGGTTAGAGACAGCCCTGCTCTCAAAGCCTCAGAGCCGGGACAAGCAACCCAAATTTTATGGGTGGGGAGGCTGGGCTAAGATGGGTGGGAGGACTTGCCCAGGGTCCTGAACCTGGAGGGGGCAGAATCAGGCCTAGGCCTGGATCTCCTGACTCGAGGTCCCGTGGCTCACACATACCCCAGAAAGTGGGGCCCTGATATGCCCGGGGAGGCTGAGGTGGGCTCGGGGTACATGCCCTAGGGAGGAGGGGCAGCCAGAGGGCAGGGTGTGAGGGCCACAGTGTGGTGTGATGAAACCTACATGGGAGCCCAGGGCTGCCCCCAAGAGCTGGCCCAGGGCTCAGGCCCTCGCTGTGCATCAGAATCTCATGGGAGCTTCTACGGGCCCAGAGGGGCCAGGCTCCAGGGGTCTCGTGGACACTGGGGAAAGCCACATCCACAACTGCAGGGGTCTCCTCTCTACTGGGGGTCTGGCTGGGGAACACGGGAGAGGGCAAGGTGACCTGGAGGTGCAGGAGGAGGAAGAGAATTCCCAGGACTCGGCACTCTCCTTGGAGGGGTCACTGGATCCGCAGCAGGTCTTGACGGTCACCTGAGGTCCGTCCGCAGCTCTGGGGCAACGTGCAGAAGCGTCCGGAGCCTTCACCCACCCTCCCCACCCCTGACCCCAGGGAAGCTGTGGCCCTTGTTCCTCCCCGGCTGGAGCCGCCACTGTCCTTTCTGGATGCAGAGGTGGCCTTGGAAGGTGCAGGCTGGATGTCATTAGCAGGCGGCCAGCTGGCTGGGACAAAGGGCTTTTCTGTGTCAGTGACCTGTCGGGACGTAATTCCTCACAAAGAGCCGAGATGCGCTCCCTCTCCCGATGCCTGCCCAGAGCTCGCTGCTCAGGGCTGGGAGTGTCCTCTGGATTGGGAGGGGGGTGCTGGGGGGAGCCTAGGGCTAAACCCTGAGTGGGATTCCCGGCCCCTGATGTGGTGTGAACCGATGGCCCACGGCCCCCGGGGCTTGCCCCCTCCCCTGGCTGCACCACATCTGGCCTGGCCTCCGGGCCTGTCTGGACCCTGAAGCCACTGAACCGTGACCCTCAGATGTCAGCACAAGGGCTCCCCTGAGAGTGCAGGAGAACTCCTGGGTGGCTTCAGCGAGGACCCAGGAGCCTGCACGACCCCCTCTCCATCCTCACAACGGCCCAGTGACTCGGGGCCAGCACTGTCCCCACAGCTGAGGAAACCAAGGCCCAGAGAAAAAGATGATTTGCCTGAGGTCCCCTGGCAGCAGGGGCACAGCCAGAGTTCAAACCTTCAGCTTGCTGCCAACCTTCCCACTGCACGGTCTCTGGGCCATCCGCGAGACTTGGAGGCAGACCTGGGTGCCCGATCATTCTCATTCATCGCTGCAGTTTCACTAAGAGGCTGGAGACTTCCTCTGGAGCGTGCTTATAGTGAATTAACTACTCAGCAGAGAGGCAGGGAGTGTGGAGGGAGGGCCAGAAGCACTTAGAGCCACAAAACCGGAGCCAATGGGAGATCAGTAACTGTCTACAAAGAGCCTGGCAGGCGTCACAGGGCAGGACCCAGCCCCCAGGAAGCCCAGGTGTGGCGGAGCCCCTGAGAGCTTGAGGAGCCCCACTCAGAGGGCTCAGGGGAGAGGGGAGTTGCAGACAGCCCCGGCCCTGAGCCAGAGACACCCTGTGAGCCAGGACACCTGTGGCAGCTGCTGGAGCCGGTGGCAGACCCTCAGGCCTGAGCTGTGGACGTCAAGGACATCCCCACAGGAGGAAATCCACTGTGGCCCCAGGCTCTGACCTTGACCGTGACCCCAGGCCCCGACCTTGACCGGGACCCCAGGCCCCGACCTTGACCGCGACCCCAGGCCCCGACCTTGACTGTGGCCCCAGGTCCTGACCTTGGCTCGGCTTGGTCTCTGCTTCGTGTCTTTGGTCCAGAAGGTGGGGATGAGCTGCTGGCTTCTTGGTGGTGAGGGGCCTTGGCTTCCGGTGCTGCCATTCACTCCTCCCCAACAAGGAAGACCTTTGGCGATTTTCAGGTTGTGATGCGTGGAAGGAATCAGGCCTCTCAGCCAACCTTTCCGTCTCCCACTATCACCCCAGCGGCTGTGCCCTACATCTTTTCAGCAAAGGCAGCTTCAGCAGGGCCCGGGATGGAAGCAGCTGCAGGTGGGGAAAGAGGGGGTGTGAGGAGAACATGTTGCCCCTTTGGCAATCCGGGCCCGATTCCCATGTTTCTCTTACACTTAACGGTCTTCAAAACCTGTGCTGAACAAAACGGACAAAGACAGGGGCTCAAAGATCTCTTCTCTCAGCCCGAGGGAAAGCACTCTCTGTTCCCTGCAAGGCAGAGCACCAGGAGAGGGCAGGGAGCACCAGGAGAGGGCAGGGAGCACCAGGAGAGGGCAGGGAGCACTAGGAGAGGGCAGGGAGCACTAGGAGAGGGCAGGGAGCACCAGGAGAGGGCAGGGAGCACTAGGAGAGGGCAGGGAGCACCAGGAGAGGGCAGGGAGCTGGGAGCGCAGCCGAGGGCAGGGAGTTGAGAGCACAGCCGGGGGCAGGGAGCCAGGCCTGGGGATGCAGTGGGGAGCACCTGGGCTCTGGTGAGGCTCCAGGAGGCCACTCTCATCCATGGGGTGCTCATGTCTGTGAAGGGGCAGGTGACACTGCTCACTTGTGTGGCCTCTTCGTTTTCCCGCCTCAGAGGAACGGGGTCGGAGGGACGCAGGCCAGACTCAGGTGAGCAGCAAAGCATGGGGCTCAGGCCCCACAGAAGGGGTGCGAGTGACTTGGCCCCACAGAGGGGCTGAGCCCAGGCCCGACTCTCCTGATAGCCCCAGAAGGAACAGCAGCCGGGACTCCCGCAGGGCCGGGTGCACTCTGTCTCCAGGGGGGGCCCCATGGCAGGGCTGGCAGGGAGGGGTGCTTGGGGGCCACCAGGCGGTGAGCATGACCCCCGGGTCCACGGGAGGGCGAGGAGGCCTTCCCAGACTCACGGAGGCTACAGGACAGAGTTACTCTCCGCCCGTCCTGGTGGATGACAGGGAAGTCAATGTGGTGAGAACTGACAGCATTGAGTCTCCGGGGCCCCAGCGTTTCTGCTCCCACCTGTCCTGAACCCTCCTCAGTCCTCTCCTGGGCCCCGTGACTCCTTGCAGACATGGGTCCTCACTCCAGGGAGGGGTGAGGTGGCCGCTGGTGACAGGCCTGCTCTGGGCCAACCCTCCCTTAGCCCTTGGACAGGCATCCGTCCATCTGTCCACGTGGTCACTGTGGCCCAAGAGCCAGGCTTCGCCTGCCAAGCCCAGACCTGCCCTCAAGGACTGGCACTGTTGGCAGGTGGGGGACAGGGGAGGCCAGCAGAGAGCAGACGCATGACGTTTGGTGTGAAGAGTGCCAGGAAGACAGTCGGGCAGAGCAGGTGGGGGAGTGCTGCCCTTCCCCGGGCTTCCCCTTTCTCTCAGGGGTGCTGGGTGGGACAGAGTTTCCACAGAGCACGGTAGGGATGGGCGAGGCCCAGCTGCAGGAGGGGGAGGCCCTTGGGGGGGATGGGAGCACAGGCAGGGCCCCCTGTCCATGGGCTGAGCCCACAGCGCGTCCCAGCACTGGGACCTGGGGCTGGATGCCTCCTGCCTCCCACAGCCATCTCCTTGGGTGCGGCTCAGGCTCAGCTGGTGCCCCGCAATGCTCACCTTTACTACAAACCCTCGGTTACCATGGGCAGGTAGACAGCAGTGAGGGAGAGAGAAAAATCACCCCCAGAGCCGTGCTCCCAGGGGAGCTGCTTTGCACCGTAGCCAGTGGCAGCCTGGAGTTGGTGGTGACATGGGGAGGGTGGGGGGCAGGGGCTGGTGTCTGCAAGGGCCTGGTTGTGTCCCCCAGGGTGGGGGGCGGGGGCTGGTGTCTGCAAGGGCCTGGTAGTGTCCCCCAACCTACCCGCAAGCCCCCTAGGGCGGCTCAGGCCACAGAAAAGCTGTGCCCCCAAATCTGGTCTCACTGGACTTTGAATCCAGAGTTTTTGTTTCCTTTGAAGCAGCAATTTCAGGAGCAGCAGAGGCAAGGGCCAGGATGTGGAGTAGGAATCTAATTCAGCCTCGGTGATTACTGGGTTCCCACAACCAGCGCTCTCCAGCGGGCGCAGGTGGGAGGGAGGGGCTGTGCAAATTAATGAGTTAGACCTGATTAATCTTGCTGCATTAGCAAATCCAAAGGGAAAGCCAGTGAGGTTGGACAGATGTGTGTGAGCGTGTGCACTCGGCCGCAGGGCTGTGTCACCAGAGCCCCGGGCGTCCAGCTGACCCGGCCTGGCCCCTGGCTCCGGGAGAGACAGGCCTGCTGGCCCTGGCTGAGCTCTCAGAGTGAACTCACCTGCAGGAATCCACCAGGGAGAGCCGCCGGCTTGAGACCGCTTGACCCTGTGGAAGCCTGGGCCTGTTTTGTTAGAAAAGTGAGGAGGAGACAGAAAAGGCAAAGCTGGCTTAGTCTCAGAGCCTCTGCTAGGCTCCTGCCGAGGCCCACGGCCTCTTCCCCTGCACCAACGGGGGACAAATTCCAGCCCCTGCCCCAGGCCAGGACACCAGGTTCGGGCTGAGCCCTGGCTGCGGTGGGGAACCCTGACCCTCCACATCAGCCCTGGGCCAAGTGGCTCTAAGCTGACATTTCTCCGGGCACTCTGGGGCCGCCTGCATCAGAGCTGCCAGCAATGGCTGGTGGAAGCCACAGATTTGGAGGCCTCACCCCAGACTGAACAGTCTCTGAGGGTGGAGCTCCAGAATCTGGAGTTAAACAAACGCCCCCACGCACGGCTGAGTGGACACCCGTGGCCCTTCAGGGATTCACCCAGCTCACCACACGCCCCCCGCTCTGCTGTGACCCCAGATAATCTCCACAGGAGGCCTCGATTTTAACAAGTCCAGGGGGAAACCATGAGCCCAAGTGCAGGAGCAGGGGTGTCCTCTTCCCAAAGAGGTCTTTGGTTTGCCACGGGAGGGTGAGGCACCCACGAGGGTGTGGAACCCACGAGTGGACATCACTTTATCAGCAGAAGAGCCCCGTTTCGGCCAGCTGCCAAGTCAGAGAAACGATAACCCCGTGTCACAGGGGCTCCAGCAGGGACCGCAGCACGGCTGGCCTCTCCACTCACAAAAGAATGTGGATTTGGCTCTGCCAATGGCATTTGCTCTGCGACACCACAGGCAGGGGCTTCTCACCAAGGTGGGGCCTGAACCAAAGGGCAGAGGCCAGTCTATACCATGCGGGAACCGCTGGCCTTGCCACCTCTCTGTCCCCTTCCTAAGCAGAGAGCCTCATGGGCTGTGCCGCAGGGAGCGGGGGTGGGGTTCTGTGAGTGGGTCAGAGGTCAGAGGTCAGCAGGCTGCCCTCACGGGGCCTCGGGGGACTTTGCTCTTCTCCCCTCCCTGTGTTTACCAGCTGCTTGCTCAGCCCAAATATCCATCCAGCTTGGAACCTTCTAGTTCCTGGCACAGAACTGGCCCATGGAGGGGCTTCATGTAGGCCAGAAGGACCAGGGTCTTGCACTGCCCAGGGGCTTGGGAAGAGCAAGGAGAGGAGGAGGAGGAGAGGGAATCCTTCCTTGGGGGACTTCAGTCTGCCTAGGGAAACAGGCCCTTGAAACCATCGAGGGTTGGATCTGCAGGGTGGTCTGAGGGAGAGCCGTCAGCAGGGTGGGTGGCAGACACCCATGGCTCCAGGAAAGAGTTCAGGAAAGTAGACCTGGGATCTCCCAGGAGGCTGTCCCAGTGAGGGCACGTCAGCCCAAAACTACATCTGAGGCCAGCAGGAGGCCGGGGTGCAGACCCTAAAGCCAGATGGCCTGGGTTGGAATCCCAGTACTGACTGTGAGCTTCGGCAAGTCGCTCGGCCTCTCCGCACCTGTGTTATCTCTTTGGTAACGTAGGGACAATTGAAGAGGCCACCTCAAGGGGGCCGTGGAAGTGCAGGGGGTCCCTGCATCCAGCTTGCTTGGACCAGCATGTGGGAAGGCCACAGAAGCAGGGCAGGTGTTGTCGCTGGACCAGGCAATTCAGGAGGGCAGTGTCGTCGTTGGACCAGCCACTGTGCAGCGGCTGTGTGTTCTGAAAGCTCTAATTGTAGGCACTGCCCACAGAGCGGACAGACAGCTCTGGCCAGTGAGGAAGAGCTCCTGCCCGTCCCAAAGCAGGTGTATGAGGAGCCATGAGCTCAACCTGGAACCAGAGGTGGGCAGGGAGGGGGGAGAGGGGTGGGCAGGAGCAGTGGCTGCTCAGGGAAGCTGGGGGGAGGAGGAGAAGGAAGGTAGGGGGTAGGGACAGGGGAGATGGGAGAGCGATGGGAGGGGCAGGAGCTGTAGGGCTCCAGAGGCCTGTGCTGGAGAGGGGGTTGCTGCAGGGAACTCCTGACGGAGCCCCCTCGCCCGACCAGCAGCCTTGCAGCCTTGGAGGGAGGGGCGTGAATGCGGAGGGTCACCGGACCTCTCCAGCCCCTTCTGCTCTGCCTTCCATTACCGACGACGGAAATCTCCGTTTTCGGGGGCTGTGTCCCAGCTGCAGAGCCTGAGGCTGGGCCAGGGGCGCGGCTACAGGGATGGCCGGGTCTGATGTTTCTGCAGAGCCTCGCCCTCTCCTCCTGCACACGAGATTCAGCCGCACAAGGCGCCCCTCCTCCAACGCACCTGCTGCTCTGTGGGCGGCCACCTCGGCACCCACCTGAGGGCGGGGCCCCTCCCTGGGGACCGTGCGCCTGGGCTCCCCTCTGGACGCCTCTTGGGTCTCTGCGGAGGTACCAGGGAAGGCGGGGGCTGCAGGCGGACAGAGAGTCCTGAACGGCTCGCTGGGGAACAAGACCAGAGACGCGATTTTCAGGCTGCAGACACCGGCTGGCGCGATGGAGTAACCCAGATGTGCTAGGGGTGCCCCTCCTTGCGCCGGATCCCCTAGATGTGCCCCCCACCCCTGCAGGCAGGGAGCGGGCGCCCAGGCTGGAGATGTGGGGAGGGAGGTCAGACTGACTCCGGGACCCCCCAGTCGCACTCAGTGACCCCGGGGTCCCCGTCCCCGGCTCAGGCACGTCTCGAACCCCAGGAGAACAAGGAAACTTTACCCCCGCCCGGGGCCCAGCGCAGCCTCCCCGTCCCCCTGGGCGCGCGGTCCATCCCTGCTCATTCTCCCTGGCCCTTGCTCCCTCCTCCCTTTTCACTCTCCGTTCCCTCCCCCTCCCCTGCTCCCCCTCCTCCCCCCTCCCCTGCTCCCCCTCCCAGCCGGCTGAGGCGGGCAGGGCCGGGCGGGGCCGCGCCACGGAGCCCACAGCCCGGCGCTCCCTGCCGCGCCGCCGCCGCACCGCGCCCCACAGGAGAAGACGAACCGGGCCCGGCGGCCGAAGCGGCCCGCGAGGCGCGGGAGGCATGAAGTTGGGCGCGCACGGGCCTCGAAGCGGCGGGGAGCCGGGAGCCGCCCGCATCTAGAGCCCGCGAGGTGCGTGCGCCATGGAGCTAGGGGGCCCCGGAGCGCCGCGGCTGCTGCCGCCGCTGCTGCTGCTTCTGGGGACCGGCCTCCTGCGCGGTAAGTTACGGGGCGCGGGATGGGCCCCCTTTCGCCCGCGTTCGGATGGCCTGGGACCCCCAGAGCCAGAGGGAGGCAGGCTCCTGACTGCGGTCCCAAGCCGCGGGTGCGCGCGACTGGGCGACCGCGAGGCTCCCCATCCCCAGCCGCACAGGCTGCGCTCGCACCCGGGCTGAGCCAGGCGAGGAGGGAGTTGACCGCCGGCGAATGCGGAGGGCTGGGAAAGGGGCTTTCCGCGGGGTGTGGGGGGTTCCGCTGCTATTTCAGGGCTGGCCCCAAAAGCTCGAACTTGAGCAGAGGTGGGGCCACCTTCGCCCTTCCCCCATCCATCCAGCTAAATTTCCCTGAAGACCCCCATGCCTGCTTCCTCCGGTTTAGGGGATCAGAGGGGTGGCCTCTGCCCTTGGCGGCCGCCACCCACCTTTTCTGCAGGAAGGACAAGGTCGCGGGTGGGGACTCTGGGCTGGGAGTCAAGGCTCCCAGGGGTGTAGAACTGACCCCTCCCCCTCCCCGAGTCCTGTCTGCGCTCTCAGGCCAGCGGGACCCACCAGGGAGGTGGAGGTCTCCCCCTCCGCCCAGACCCGCCCCTTATGGCAGCGCCCAGGACAGGCGGGGAATGCCTCAGATCCTGGGGCCCCGGACCTGGAGCACAGATGGACCTAGGGCTGTGCTCCTCCAGAGCGACTCATCAGGGGCGTTCTGGGTCTGCCCAACAGCACGGGCAGGCTGGGGTGCGGAGGGGGCTGGCACCTCGTTGGGGTCTGCATCTGAAACACTCCTCGGGCATCAGGGGATTGATGAACCAGGGGAGGTTCCGTAGGAAGCGGGCGCTTGTGGGGGCCCGATCCTCCTTCCCCTTCCTCCCTCTTCCTGCCTGGGCTGGCCCCGCTGCCCTGTACTCCCTCCTTTGCTGCTGTTACCCCCGAGTGTCCTCTGACTCGCCAGCTGCTAGAGACACAGCCCTTCCCTGGAAGTCAGTGTGACAGGAGACCCAAAGCAGTCCTCGGCCCATCCGCCGCCTGGTTTTGTGGTGCGGTCAAGGTGCTGGGAAGGCCTCCGTGGGCTGAGGGGCCTGGGAAGCTTCCCCGAGGAAATCACAATTACACCCAGGGGTGGGAGAGAGCCGGAGGCCAAGAGAGGTCAGCGCACGCCACGCCCGGCACACACACACACACACACACACACACACACAGCACACGCCCGGCACACACACACACACAGAGCGCACGCCCGGCACACACACAGGTCCTGGGGTGGGAAGGGCTCATGTGAGGAGCTGAAAGGAAGTGGACGTGCTGGGCAGGGGGCTGGGGCAGCCTGGAGAGCTCCTGGACAGCTCCCGGCTCCTGTCCCGCCTGCACCTGAGCCACTGGCCTGCCTCTCCCCGCAGCCAGCAGCCATGTGGAGACCCGGGCCCACGCCGAGGAGCGGCTCCTGAAGAAACTCTTCTCCGGTTACAACAAGTGGTCCCGACCCGTGGCCAACATCTCGGACGTGGTCCTCGTCCGCTTCGGCCTGTCCATCGCTCAGCTCATTGACGTGGTAGGTGAGGGCGTGGCCATCGTGCACTGTGACTGAGGTCGCCCTGCAAGGAGCACAGGGGTCTGGGTGGGCAGAGGGGACACAGCCATCAACACTCCCCGTGGCTGTGAGTGTCCGGCCCGGGCTGGTACGTCAGAACGACAGCCACCAGCTCTGCCCCGCCTGAGCCCCAGCCAAGGGTTGATTCAGAGCGTCCCAGCCAGGCCCTGCCCTTTCCTCCCCCTTGACGTGGGAACACTCCAAGTGGCCAGGTTCTCAGTACAGAGCCCAGGCACCTTCGGAAGCAAAGAACAGCAAAGGCCTTGCTTGGGGGTGGCGGGGCACGCTGTGACCTCGGAGCAACAGGGACAACCGGCCGGGGCAGGGGCCGGGGCAGGAGCAGGCACTGTGGTGTCCCGGCAGCACCCCAACCTTAGCTGGCCCCAGAGGCCCCTCACCCACAGATCTGGAATGTGGGGTTTGGGGGAGTCTTGGGCGAAGTCTGTTTGTCTGAAGATATGTTCTTTCTGGTGGGGGGCCCAAGAAGGCTGCTGGGAGGAAGCCTACTGGTCCAGCCAGGCCCCTGCAGCGTGGGCCAGTGCACATGGAGCCCCAAGGCAGGATAGGAACCAGGAGGCTTCGAGGCTGAGAGAACTGAGCTGCGGGAGGCTCGGCCTTGTGCTCGGTTGAGATGCTTGGTTACCTACCCAGGCCTGAGCCAGACTGTCTGGGGGTCTCGGCGGCCCTGGAGGGGCCGGGTAAGGGGCAGCAGAGACATTTCCACGTTTCCCAGCCAGGCTCAGCCACTCCAAATGGGGTGAGACCATCCCTCAGGGTACCTGGCTGGGTGGGGGTGCATAGCCTGGGGGCTGCCACCATGGAGGAGGGCAGGTTGGGCAGGCCATGGTCTCTGGGAGCTGGCCCACTTGCGAGTGGGCAGCCAATGGCCAGCTGAGCTGCAGGGGCTCGTCTTCCACACTGAAGTCCGCCAGCTCCAGCCCTGCTGCCAAATCCCAGCTCGCTGGTCCAGGGAGGGCACCCCCACATGGGGAGGCATTTGTATGCTGTAGAGGCCCAGCCCACACCTTGCCAGGATGCCAAGCCTGGGTCTGCCGCTGAGGGAGGAGCCACCGGGTTGCGGGAGAATTTCCTCTCTTTGGGAGGCTGGTGCCGTGCGTGTTGGGTAACCCTGGGCCTGGGGCCTGTGAAACGGGGTGAGAGCTGCTTCACTATCCCAGGCTGAGTGGGCCACACCCCAGGGGCTTTTGGGAGGTGTGGGGAGCTGCAGCCACATTCCCGCGGACAGGCTGCTCAGTGGTGGCAGTTGCCCATGCAGGGCAGCGCATGGAGACTCCAGTCAGCCAGCCCCGTCCAGGGTTGGCCACCCAGACCTCCAGCCTCAGTGTCCTGGAGCTGCCCTTGAGTGGCTCCTGTGGAGTGTCCCTGGCGGAGGCCCAGCCAGAAGACAATGCGGGTTGCACAGGCTTGGCAAGCCTGCTGAGGTTTGCAAACACGGCTGCAAAGTGATAGCTGGCAGAGGCGGCCGCTGGCAGCTGCCCAAGGCTCTGGGTCTGCCACCCCCCACCTGGCTGCCTACCTGAGCTTCTCAGGGCTCAATCCATGGCTCCCTACGCCACCACAGAGTCCCCAGTTTGCCCAGGAGACATTGAGGCCTGGAGCACACCCAGAACCAAGACTCCCAGAGCTGCCCACCCCTCTCTCCACCCTGCAGCCGACTAAGGACTTACACGAACATGCACACGTGGGTGCTGACGCTCCTGGGTGCCCAAGGCCGAGGGCCACGTGTGCACGGAAGGGGCTGCCTGATGCTCCTGGGTGCTGGCCTAAGGCTGAGGACCACGTGTATGTGGAAGGGGCTGCCTTGTGTCTGGCCCACTCTGCCCGTCCCACCAGGGGCTGGGGATTCACCTGTGCCCCCTTTGCGGGCTCGGATACTTGTTATAGGTGCCATCACCAGGGTCTGTCCTGGAGGGGAGGGCTTGTGAGCTGCACGTGTGAGCTCAGGCCCCAGGACTGGCTGCAGAGGAGGGTCTGGAAGACCCAGTGCTTTTCCAACCAGCCCAGGCCAGTGCTGAGTGGTGGTGAAATGTGCAGTGTTGACCTGCCCTCCAGCTTCAAGGGCGACTGAGAATGACGGCTGCAAGGGGGTAGGGCACGACACTGGGCAGGAGGGCCAGGCCTGGCCACGTGAAGCTGGTTCTGAGGACCCTGGAGCTTCCTCAGACACACGGGATGAGGTCCTGAGGGGATGAGGTCCTGTGGGGAGATATGGCCCTGCACGGAGACATGGTCTGTGGGGACGTGGTCTGTGGGACGTGGTCCTGTGGGGACATGGTCAGTGGAGATGTGGTCCTGTGGGTTGTGGTCCTGTGGGAATGTGGTCCTGTGGAGACGTGGTCCTGTGGGGACACGGTCCGTGGAGACGTGGTCCTGTGGGAATGTGGTCCTGTGGGGATGTGGTTCTGTGGGGACGTGGTCCGTGGAGATGTGGTCCTGTGGGTTGTGGTCCTGTGGGGACGTGGTTCTGTGGGGATGTGGTCCATGGAGATGTGGTCGGTGGGGACGTGGTCCTGTGGGGATGTGGAAGGAGGTGGGTGGGGTGGGTCGGAAGGGGCTGGGGTGAGTGGCCCAGCTGCACACAGTGACCTTGAGTGACAGGTCCCACCTGCTCAGGTCATGAGGCACAGTCCTGGAGGGGCCACCCTGGCCAGCAGTGGAACCCACTTATGTGCCAGGGGCAGCTTTGCTGGCTGTGTGTGCCCACATGGGGGCCTTGTCTGCAGAGGGGCTGCCCCCAAGGGCCGGGAGGGAGCAAGGCAGGTGGGCAGAAGGAGGCTCCCCATGCCCGCCACACCTGTCCTTAGCTGGGGAAGCCTGTGAGGCCGCCGACTCCTCTCCAGTTTCCTGCTGGAGATGTTTGTGGCCTTGTCCCCACATCCCTAGGTCCCCTCAGAGTCCCCATCCTGGGCTCGGCTGCCTCCAGGGACGGGGCACTCACCCCCTCCACAGGTCGCCCGTCCACCATATCTTGCCCTGGCCGTGTCCTTGTGCCAGTGGCTGTAGATGAGGAAACCTAGGGCCAGAGAAAGACACCAAGGGGTCACTGGCCCCCTTCCTCTCTCGGTGCCCTAGGATGAGAAGAACCAGATGATGACCACGAACGTATGGGTGAAGCAGGTGAGTGGGAGGGCACTGCCCTGCCCCACCCCTGCCCTCCCCCACACCCCTCACCCTGCTGCCCTGTCCTGGCCCTGCCCCACCCTGGCCCTGCCCCACCCCTGCCCTCCCTCACACCCCTCACCCTGCTGCCCCACCCTGGCCCTGTCCCGCCCCTGCCCTCCCTCACACCCCTCACCCTGCTGCCCTGCCCTGGCCCTGCCCCTGCCCCACCCTGGCCCTGTCCCGCCCCTGCCCTCCCCCACACCCCTCACCCTGCAGCCTCCCCCCGCCCCACCTCATCCAGGAGTGGCACGACTACAAGCTGCGCTGGGACCCAGCTGACTATGAGAATGTCACCTCCATCCGCATCCCCTCCGAGCTCATCTGGCGGCCGGACATCGTCCTCTACAACAAGTGAGTCCTCTACAACAAGTGAGTCCTCTACAGGGCCTTGGTGGGCAGGAGTGGCCAGGGCCTGCCCCTGCCCAGACAGGGAGCTCCACCAAGGCCCAGCCTGGCCCAGCGGGGCCTATGCCAGCCCCATGCATGCCAGCCCAGGCCCAGGAAGGAAGAAGCAGGAGCAATGGAGAAATTGGTGTGGGTTGAGGAGGGAAGGGTCCCCCCAGGCCAGCAAAGAGGCTGAGGGCATCCCTGGGTCTCAGCACTGGAGCGTCAGAGCCGGAGGGGCCTGAGAGTGGCTATGGCACCTGGACACAGTGTCCCTGCCTGGACCAGTCCTGAGGCCTGGGGGCTGGCTCCTGACCCGCGACGTCTTTGCCCCCACCCTTGACAGCTGCAGGAGAGCCCTTTTGGGCAGGAGTGCTTTTCGCCATCAGACCCCATCCTGGCCTTTCTGGGAGAATAGTGTGGACTGCAGGGTGCCCTGGAGAGGGGTGAGGAAGCCCCAGATGGTTCTCATGCCACTAGGGCCTCTGCTTTCTCTGCATACTCACGCTCTGCCCAGGACATGTCACGCCAGGTCCCCAGCAAACAAACAAAGCCTCGGGCTGGGCCAAGCCCATGTCAGGCTCCTAGGAGGCCAAGATGAAGTCTGGTCATGGAAACGGGTTTTCTGTGCCTGGAAGCCAGGGCAGCGTTGCCACGGATTGGCCGTGGCAGATGGTGGCCTCCGGAGGCTGCTGTCCTCTAACTTGTCCTTCCTGCAGATCTGTGCCGAGGGCCCTGCGCCCGGCAGCCAGCGCTCTCTGAGCTGAGTCCTCCAGGGATGATCTCTGGCCACAGGCTCAGGGTCTGGGTGTGGCAGGGTCACAGCTCCCACAAACAAAGCAAATGGAAGCTCTTCCTCCTCTCCCGTCCCAGCCATCTGCCCACAGCCCTTTCCAGGCCCCAGGGCACCCGCCTGACCTACAAACCCTGCTGTATGATTAAGAACGATTGGGCTCCTCTTCCAACTCAATTGATTCCAGTAATGGCAGCGGGAAGGGCCTCCGGCAGTGGGAGGGCCGGACGCTTTTCCAGAGTGCATTGGGGAGGTGGTCAGTGGTGAGTGGGCAGCGGGTGGTCTTCCCTTAGGACAGACTCCCTGCCCCCTGCAAGCCACCCAGCCACCTAGCTCCCCGCCACCAGGACCATGCACCGAATCCGCCTGTGTGACTCGCATGGACACATTTCAGGGAGAAGTGGAAACGCCCAGGATGGGCCGGGCAGAGAAGCCGCTCTGGGTGCCTGTGCACAGCCCTCCAGGAATGCAGCCCCCAGGAACGAAGCCTCTGAGGACCACAGCCCCCACTGTGACCTCAAACCCCCAGGACCACAGCCCCCCGAGTACTGCAGCCCCCCCCACTTCCACAGCCTCACCAGGACCACGGCCCTCCAAAGACTGCAGCCCCCACCAGGTTCACAGCTCCCCCAGGACCACAGTTCCTCTAGGACCACAGCCCCCTAGGACCACAGGCCCCCAGGACCACATTCCCTGCCAGGACCACAGTCCTCCCAGGACTTCATCCCACCCTAGGGCTACAGTGCCTCCTGCAGAACTGCAGCCCCCACAAGGATCACAGTTCTTGCCTGACCACAGCCCCCTAGGACTACAACACCCCTAGGACAGCAGCTCCCCCCCAGGACCACAGCCCCCTAGGACCACAGCCCCCCAGGACTACAGCCCCCCAGGACCACAGCCCCATTTAGGACCACAGCCCCCTAGGACCACAGCCCCCCAGGACCACAGCCCCCCCAGGACCACAGCCCCCCAGGACCACAGGCCCCCAGGACCACATTCCCTGCCAGGACCACAGTCCTCCCAGGACTTCATCCCACCCTAGGGCTACAGTGCCTCCTGCAGAACTGCAGCCCCCACAAGGATCACAGTTCTTGCCTGACCACAGCCCCCTAGGACTACAACACCCCTAGGACCGCAGCCCCCCCGCCAGGACCACAGCCCCCCAGGACCACAGACCTCCCAGGACCGCAGCCCCCCCGAGGGTCACAGCCCCCTAGGACCACAGCCCCCCAGGACCACAGCCCCCCAGGACCACAGCCCGCTAGGACCACAGTCCCCCCAGAACCACAGCCCCCCCGAGGGTCACAGCCCCCTAGAACCACAGCCCCTCCAGGACCACAGCCCCCTCTAGGACCATAGCCCCCTAGGACCGCAGCCCCCTAGGACTACAGCCCCCCAGGACCACAGCCTCCTAGGACCACAGCCCCCCCAGGACCGCAGCCCCCCCAGGACCACAGCCTCCTAGGACTGCAGCCCTCCCAGGACCACAGCCCCCTAGGACTACAGCCCCTCCAGGACCACAGCCCCCTCTAGGACCACAGCCCCCTAGGACTGCAGTCCCCCCAGGACCGCAGCCCCCCCAGGACCACAGCCCCTCCAGGACCATGGCCCCCTCTAGGACCACAGCCCCCCAGGACCGCAGCCCCCCCTAGGACCACAGCCCCCCCAGGACCACAGCCCCCCTAGGACCACAGCCCCCTAGGACCACAGCTCAGGAGAGCAGGGATTGCTGCCACCCCATGTTCTCCTGTGTCTCCTCCTCACCATGGCCTGTGGGATGTAGTGGGGTGACCCCAGTTTTCTCTTTGGGGCTGGGATTGTCACCGAGGCTCTCTCCGGACAGGACCCAGGGTTCCTGGAGTGGCCGCTGGTGCTGGGTCTGCTCCCGCTGAGGAGGCCTGTTTCTGGGGCAGCAGGTGGCTGTGGCTGGTGGCCGGCCAGGCTGCAGGGTGGGAGGCCTCGGCCCTTCTCTGGGATTTGGCCACCCCCAGTTGGGGGCCCTGCTGTCCACTTGGGGCAGGTGCCCAGAAATCCCTGACCTGGACTGGGGTCGGGGTGGAGGGGACAGAGGGTCTCACGCCAGCCTGTGGGCCCTGGAGCAGGAACCTGGACCTGCTGGACTGGGCGGCTCCTCAGACCCTGTCTGCTCCCAGGGTGCAGCTTTATGGTGCGAGTCCAGAGCCGGCTCACGGCCGGGTGGTTCAGCCCAAACGGGGTTCTCCTCAAAGGCTCCCCAGAGGGCGGCTGGAGCCAGGGGTGGGCGGGGCAGGGAGCAGCAGTGATGCAGCCCAGGGGTGCTGTGGGACCTGGGGGCTGGGGGACCTGGCCCTGACCTTGTCCCGTTTCCTGTGGCGCGGGCAGAGGACCCTGGGGGAGGGGGGCCCTGCCCAGAGTGGCGCAGACCTGCACTGTTCCCTGAGCATGGCCCTGGCGTTCCCTGTAGAGTGTGTGCTGAACAGAGTAGTCACCCGCTTGCCATATGAGAATCTTTTAATTTGTGCCTCAGAAGGTGGAGGGCGTTGGTTTTTGGAGAGATGGGCTGGGGAGAGGGAGCAAACTTGAGCCTGATTCCACCCAGACTGACTTGGTGGTAAAGCCCCGCCCCCCGCTGGAGGGACGCTCGGGAGCCAGGCTGTGCTGGGCCGGAGCCGCATTGAGATGCAGCTGGTGGCTCTTGCTGGGTCTCCCTCCCTCTGCAGCTGAGCGGCAGCCCAGCCGGCGGTGTTGGCTCAGGACCAGTTCAGGGGGGCAGAGGCTCAGCACCGACTGAGACCGTGGGGGGCCAGGTCTCCACGACCTGGAGGGCAGAGCTCCAGCAGTGGCGGCTCCACAAAGGGAGGGTCCCTGAGGGTTGGGAGGGAGGTTGAGGTGCAGGTCCAGCCCTGGGACTCGGGGGCAGGCACAGAGGAAGCTCAGGGAACAGTCGCCAGCTCTGCCCAAGTACCTGGAGAGGCCCTGGCCTTTGAGCAGGCTCTCAGGGAATGAGGCAGAGGAGGGATGGGCAGGGGTCCAGGCAGCTTGGCAGAGGTGGAGCAGGAGGTGTGTGGCTGGGCAGCCGCTCCCCCCGACGCGTCGTGCCCCAGCGCCCTCCACAGAGCTGAGCCTGGCCCCATGCCTGCCAACGCTGGGGATTTAATGGGGCCTCAGGCTTCCCATTGGTGGGGACTTCTGTGGGTGGGGGTGGAGGGTCGGCTGCTGCCCCCGTGAGCCTGGCTGCCTCAGCCCTGAATGTGCTCCTGCAGTGCGTCCCACCCAGCCAGCCGCTGTCTATGGAACCAGGGGCTGGGGCTGGGAGCTCTGCCTACCGGGAGGAGTTCAAGGGACATCAGCCCCTCGCTCCATTGCTCTGTTGCCCACCTGGGCCTGTGGACAGAACACCCACGTCCCCCAAGGCAAAAGAGAGTCCAGAGCCAGTGGCTCAGACGTGGCCCTGGAACTGGGCAGTGCGTATGCAGCCCCACTGCATTGGCCCTGGGTGGCCAGAACACCTGTCCTTGCCTCTGTGGCCCCTGGTGTCCTCATGCTCACACACTGGGAGGTGGCCTCCAAGTCCTTGGGGTTAACGGCAGAAGCTGGGTGAGGAATTCCCATGGTGGCCCGGGGTGCTGCTTGGAGGGGCGGGGACATAGGGATGCCGTGTGTCCCAGGAGGTGACGCTGGGAGACTAGCCCCATCCATGCGCCACTCATGGATAAGGGTAATCACCAGCAGCAGTGATTATGTGTGTCAGGCACTCGTAGGTCCCTTCCCGTTCTCTGAACCACGTGCTACGCCCAGCTCAGGGATGATAAACTGAGGTGCACGAGTAGGTGAGAAGACGAACAGTGTACCCGGGCAAGGCCGCCAGCCCTTTTGTGCTCCTGTGACGTGAGAATGCCTCTGTGTGTGGACGTGGACGTGGACGTGGACGTGGGTGTGGATGTGGGCGTGGACGTGGACGTGGGTGTGGATGTGGGCGTGGGACATGGATGTGGGCGTGGACGTGGATGTGGGCGTGGACGTGGATGTGGGCGTGGATGTGGGTGTGGGTGTGGACGTGGGCATGGGTGTGGCAGTGGGCGTGGGTGTGGACGTGGGCATGGATGTGGGGGTCTCACACCCTTCGCTCTCTTCCTGCCCAGTGCTGACGGGGACTTCGCGGTCACCCACCTGACCAAGGCCCACCTGTTCCATGACGGGCGGGTGCAGTGGACTCCCCCGGCCATTTACAAGAGCTCCTGCAGCATCGACGTCACCTTCTTCCCCTTCGACCAGCAGAACTGCACCATGAAATTCGGCTCCTGGACCTACGACAAGGCCAAGATCGACCTGGTGAACATGCACAGCCGCGTGGACCAGCTGGACTTCTGGGAGAGTGGCGAGTGGGTCATCGTGGATGCCGTGGGCACCTACAACACCAGGAAGTACGAGTGCTGTGCCGAGATCTACCCGGACATCACCTATGCCTTCGTCATCCGGCGGCTGCCGCTCTTCTACACCATCAACCTCATCATCCCCTGCCTGCTCATCTCCTGCCTCACCGTGCTGGTCTTCTACCTGCCCTCCGAGTGTGGCGAGAAGATCACGCTGTGCATCTCCGTGCTGCTGTCGCTCACCGTCTTCCTGCTGCTCATCACCGAGATCATCCCGTCCACCTCACTGGTCATCCCACTCATCGGCGAGTACCTGCTGTTCACCATGATCTTCGTCACCCTGTCCATCGTCATCACGGTCTTCGTGCTCAACGTGCACCACCGCTCGCCACGCACGCACACCATGCCCACCTGGGTACGCAGGGTCTTCCTGGACATCGTGCCACGCCTGCTCCTCATGAAGCGGCCGTCCGTGGTCAAGGACAATTGCCGGCGGCTCATCGAGTCCATGCATAAGATGGCCAGTGCCCCGCGCTTCTGGCCCGAGCCAGAAGGGGAGCCCCCTGCCACGAGCGGCACCCAGAGCCTGCACCCGCCCTCACCGTCCTTCTGTGTCCCCCTGGATGTGCCGGCTGAGCCTGGGCCTTCCTGCAAGTCACCCTCCGACCAGCTCCCTCCTCAGCAGCCCCTGGAAGCTGAGAAAGCCAGCCCCCACCCCTCGCCTGGACCCTGCCGCCCGCCCCACGGCACCCAGGCACCAGGGCTGGCCAAAGCCAGGTCCCTCAGCGTCCAGCACATGTCCAGCCCTGGCGAAGCGGTGGAAGGCGGCGTCCGGTGCCGGTCTCGGAGCATCCAGTACTGTGTTCCCCGAGACGATGCCGCCCCCGAGGCAGATGGCCAGGCTGCCGGCGCCCTGGCCTCTCGCAACACCCACTCGGCTGAGCTCCCACCCCCAGACCAGCCCTCTCCGTGCAAATGCACATGCAAGAAGGAGCCCTCTTCGGTGTCCCCGAGCGCCACGGTCAAGACCCGCAGCACCAAAGCGCCGCCCCCGCACCTGCCCCTGTCGCCGGCCCTGACCCGGGCGGTGGAGGGCGTCCAGTACATTGCAGACCACCTGAAGGCCGAAGACACAGACTTCTCGGTAAGTCCCGCCCATGGCTGTGTTGGGCGCCTCTGACCCAGACGGAACCGGCGGACGCCCTTTCTTCCTGGTGTGTAATCCAGGAGCCGGGCCCAGGCCTCAGGCTGCTTCGCTTTGGGGTGCAGGGCGTGGCCCCTGCTGCAGCAGCCTCTTCCCAAGCCTGCTATGTGGCCGCAGGTCCCAGGCTGAGCGGGGCAGGGGGCCCCGAGTGGCTGGCACAGGGTGGATCCCGGTGCCGTCTCTGGCTTTGGGACACAGTGGGCCTCGGCGGACGGCACGGTGAGGGGCCACAGGCAGCGTCCTTCCAGCACAGAACGGGGGCGCTCTGGGAACTCCTGCCCAGCAATGGCCAAGTCCCCAGAACGCAACGAGGCACTGCCAAGGCCCTTTCTCCAGAGTGCGCCTGTGCCTGCCCCGCGGGCCTCCCCGGGGCCCCTCCGTATCTGGGGCCTGGATGTAGGGGGCTCAGAGAAGATGGGATGGGATGGGCTGGTGGCAGGAGGACGGAGCTGGGACAGGGACACAGCTCCAAGACCATCAGCCCCACACGGCCAAGCTGGGGACAGGTGGGAGAGCCAGGGGCTGGGGGCAGAACGCTGGTCCCACGGCTAAGGCCCCCCGGGGCCCGGGGCCAGCCCACCTACCCTCACCCTCCAGCGCCAGGCACTGGCCGCACAGAGGCCCCAGGAGCCACAGTTTCTGCTAAGTGGCAGCCATGTCCGTGTTACCCGTGGCTGTGCAGTCTCCTACCCATTCCATGCAGGAGAGGCTGGGGCTGAGCCAGCTTTGCCTGACCCCAGCACCAGGTAGCTTCCCTGTTTCCTTCTGCAGACATTTACTGCCTGTCACATGGGGGGAGGCACAGGGGCCAGGGTCCACGGACAGGATAATGGGGCGGGACGGGTGGGGCACACAGGTGGCCGGGGGTCTCGGCCTCGGCTGTGCAGCCCATGACGTCCACAGCGGCAATTCGGCATCTGTCCTGTCCATCCACCTGCTGTCGCCGGCACCTCCTGGCTCTTGTCCCGGTGCCAGGGCCTGGTGCCCTCAGTGGGCCACCTCCGTCTGAAGGGGCCACCTCTGCCAGGACCCCAGAGCGCCATCCTCGATGGTTTATTCGGACGCATCTGGTGCCTGCCCCCACTAGCTGAGCGAGCCCCAAAGCGAGGGGCCCGTGCTCCATACCCATGAAAAGTGAGGGAGTTGCTCGCCCCACACAGCCACCCCACTGAATCCCAAGAAGCTGCAAAACCTCCTGCAGGTTCCAGAACATTCTGGGGTCACGAGAGCAGCCTGGAGAAGCATCGGGATCCTGCTTTGCTGCCAGCTCTTGAAGCGAGAGGCAGCTGTGCCCGGGCTGTGCCACCGTGGGGTCAGATGCATTTAGGTGTTTGATCAAAGCGGTCCTGAAGCTGGCAGTGGGTCTGAGCTCGGCGGTCGCGCGCCCTGGGCCCCTCCAGCAGCCTTCTCGGGCCGATTGCTGCCGCTGCCTGACCTGGTTCTGGGCTTGTGGGGAGCAGAGCTGACTTCACAGCAGCCACCTCGGGGACAAAGGGAAGGCTTTGGTCTGCGGCTGCGTTTCATCTTCAGGGTGGATGGAACGCGGCACACAGAACCCAGGGAACTAAAGGCACATAGGAAAGGGCGAGAGGGCGGCCGCGTCCCCGCCCCCAGAGCCGAGGCCTGGGCAGGACTTTATTTATAAGTGACCCCGTTTGCCTTCAGGCTTCCCGTAGATAAATGCGGCCGTTTTGGTTCAGTTTAACACCATCAGGAGACCCGGGATTGCTATAAACAATCAGAGCAGGAGGCGGCACTGTCCCCACAGTGTGCCCAGGCCCCCGCGGCACATCCCTCCCATCCCTCAGCATCCACAGGCCTGGGACCCAGGACACCCTCACGGCCGGGCCCAGAGGCAGCTCATCAGCTTGGGGGTTGTCTCAGGTCCTACACGGCAGAGCCAGAGACGCGGGACGGGGGAGCCGGGGCGAGGGCAGTGGCCAGCGGCATGAGTGCCTTGGGCTGCACACAGCGGCTGTCTCGAGAGTGGCTTCCCGACTCCAGGCCTGACCAGGCCACTGCCTCTGCCCTCCCTAGGCCTCTGCTCCTGGGGGTCACCCGGGGGAGGTCCGCCCTGCATCAGCCCCAGGAGTGTGGGGTTAGAAGCCGGACCTGGAGCCGGAACCCGCTGTCCCCGTTCAGATATGTAACCGCAGCCGCCCCTGAAGGCCTCAGTGTGAAAACGAGACAGGCCAGGGGAGGCTCGAGTGAGAGACTGCAGATGGCGGCAGCTCTGCGGGCTCCATGTGTGCTGCTTTCGTCCGCCCTCTGTGCGCCCACCGGGCCACATTTGCCCATCTGCAAAACGGGGAGGGGGATGGGCCCTCCCAGCGCTGGTGAGCTGAGAGCAGACCGCTCACGGGGTGCCTGAGCCCCCCTCCCCCGTGCCCCCTTCCCGGAGCACAGGCCGCCTGCTGAGAAGTGGGGGCACACAGGGCATAGTGCAGAGCTTGTCTCCACAAGGGGGTCTGCCCAGCCAGAATTCCCAGGGTTGCAAGGTCCTCCTGCCCCATACCATGGTGATGATGCCCCCCGCAGAGCACTGGCTGTCCCGTGCACCCCAATTCCTCCCCTCGGTGCAGCTGTGTGCCGCGTGCACCAGCAGCAATGGCTGCCTCGGGTGGAAGGTGGGAGGTGGAGAAGCTGTTGCCGGCGGCGCCGGGGTCCTGAGGGCTGTCCCCGCTGGCGGCGGCCGGGCCGTGCTGGAGTGACGGCGTCTGTGCTTGCAGGTGAAGGAGGACTGGAAGTACGTGGCCATGGTCATCGACCGCATCTTCCTCTGGATGTTCATCATCGTCTGCCTGCTGGGGACGGTGGGCCTCTTCCTGCCGCCCTGGCTGGCTGGCATGATCTAGGAAGGGACCGGGAGCCTGCGTGGCCTGGGGCTGCCGTGCACGGGGCCAGCATCCATGCGGCCGGCCTGGGGCCGGGCTGGCTTCTCCCTGGACTCTGTGGGGCCACACGTTTGCCAAATTTTCCTTCCTGTTCTGTGTCTGCTGTAAGACGGCCTTGGACGGGGACACGGCCTCTGGGGAGACCGAGTGTGGAGCTGCTTCCAGTTGGACTGTGGCCTCAGGAGGCAGTGGCTTGGAGCAGAGGTGGGGGTCGGCGCCTTCTACCTGCAGGACTCGGGCTAAGTCCAGTTCAAGAGTCTCCTGAGCTCCCCTGCAGATGGAACTCACTCCTCCCAGTCTCTCAGCAGATCTGGTGATGGTCCCGACCGCCCCAAGGGGCCCTTGAAGGGAGTTCACGCCCCTTCAGCCCCAAGCGCCCCGTCTTCTGGAGGCCCGGCCGCCTCTCCCACCCACCGTGTCCTGCGCCTGTGTGGGCTTCAACTTCTCCCCCAGGGTCCTTGAGCCTCTCGGGCCCCATGAGGGTGAGCCAGCAGCGCTCCAATCTGCTTCGCTAGGAGAGGGTCCAGGCAGGGATTGTGTTTGGTTGTGTTTTGGGTAAGTTAGTGAGAACTCAAGTCTTGTGCCTAAGGAGCCTTGGAGAACAGAGTTTTGTGGAGCTGGTTCCGCGTGGGGAGAATCGGGAGGCCCACGCGGGACCAGCTCTCCCCTGCGCAGGCCCTCCGCGGGGGACAGGAACACCCAGCCCCAGCGAGTCTGGAGACCAGGACTCTGCCTTCCAGGCGTAGGGCCAGGGCTCTGGCAGGTGGCCAGGGCTCCACGGGGGCCTAGTGGCTTCAGCCCCTGGGGTACTTCTGTGTTGTGATTCCCCGGAGCTGGGAAGGTCCCGAATGGAGTCCAGACCTGGGCCCTGGTTCCCCCAGGACCCTGAGGGTTTCCACCTTGGCGCGCAGCCCGGGAGATCCGCCCTGGGCTCTGGGTTCGGGAAGAAGGACTTCCTGCTACAGTAGCTGTGGGGAGCTGGTGGGGGCATCCTTGAGGACCTCCACCTGGGAGATGCTGGGACCCTCGGGGCAGGAAGTCCCTGAGAAGCCTCATGGGAGTCAGGGAGCCCTGGGGTTTCCACACAGGCCCATGCCCTCCGTCCTGGCAGGGCAGGCAGAGCTCAGCACAGCCTCACCCCTGCAGGCGGTATCCAGAGGTGAGGGAGGCCTGAAATGTTTCCAGGCATGACCCTGGAGCCCGGCAGTGCACCCCCTAAAGATGGCGCACCCGGCAGCCCCCCAGTGTCCCCAGGGGCACACTTCCCCTTGGGATGGGCACAGGCTGCCCCACCCCTCCATGATTCCAAGGGCCCAGAGGGGCGGGGCCAGGATGGCGTGTCCCCTGCCTGTGAGTGACATCGGTTCAGGAGGAGACAGTCAGGAAGCCTCCTGCTGAGTGGTCCACATTCTGCTGCCCCCAGACCCCATCCAGCCAGGGGTGGGGATGGGGTTGGGCTCTGCGTCCCACTGAGTCTCATTCCTCTGTCCCCGAGCCGAGCTCTCCTGGGCCAGGGTCTCGTCAGGAGGTGCCTGAGAGCAGAATGAATAATTGAGGTTAGGAACCCGGCATGCCGAGTGCCCCAGAAATGCCGCTGTGTCCCCGCGGGCAGTGACGTGAGTGGGGAGGAGACTCAGGCCCACATTGCCCACACCTGCCTCTGAACTGCTGCTGGTCACCCCCACCCCCGGGTGCCTGTGACCGGGGTCCTGAGGCTGGGGCTTTTGTGCCAGGAGTGGGTGGGACACAGAGACCCCCGTGCCAAATCCTGGGCATCCCCAGCCCCCTGGCCCCTCCCACATCCCCCGTGTATTCAGGACCCCATCTGCTGAGCTCTGACCTGCCCCCGCTCTGCCATCAGCCCCTGCTGCTCCTCGGCCAGAGCTCCCAGGACGCAGGGAGACCCTGGGAGAGTGAGGTCATCCCGGGGCCATGGAAGCTGGCAGGAGACACTGGTCTCAGAGGAGGGATAGAGACGCAGATTTCAGATGTAAGAAGCCCGATCCACATTGCATAAGTGGACCCAGCTGCCAGATGTGTGGGCAGCTGCAGGGAGTGGCCCGGGGTGCTGGGCCCAGCTGTGGTTGTTCTTTTCTGGGTCAGGAGTGACTGCGGAGTGGCTGGGACGCTCCTGCCGGGGGACCCTCCTGCCGGGGGTGGCCGCTTGCCTGGGGGAAGACCCCTTTCCCTTTCTTTTTTTTTTTGAGGCTCAAAAAAAAAATCCAAATAAAGCACCATATTCCCACCACGCCAAATTAACCTTGACAACAATGTTGGCGTATTTGCGTCCAGTGCTGTTTTTATTAATTAAGGTAAAATTTACATATGGTGAGATGCATGCTCTTCAGTGGAGACCCAGCCCCTAGAAGGTCCCTCCAGCCCTTCCTGTCGGCGTCCCTCCCCATCTGTGGCTCTGACTTAAGCACCGTGGATTGACCTCTCCGGCTCACGACCTTCGAGGAGTCAGAATCCTGCAGTTGGAGCCTTTGATGTCTGGCTTCTTCATCCTATGACTTAGAGCTTCATCCGTGCTGTTGTGTGTGTCCGTAGCTCCTTGCTGTCTGTTCCTTCGTTTTTAATTGTGAGCAGTGTTCTTCTGTCTGAATAAACTAAGACGCAGTTTGTCCATCACCTGTTAGTGGACTTTGCTTGCAGCTGTCGGTGATTAGGAATGGAGGTGCCGGTGTGTGCATGGCACTCTATCCGTTATGCATGTTTATTTTCTGCATCTGTTAATGTTTTAACATCTTTCAGACCCAGGACTGCTCCTCCTAGGGCCAGTTAGTTCCCGGGGGTGGACAGCTTGCCTAGAACCCACCTTGCCAGGGCTGTGACCCCCGACCCCCTATCAAAGTCTCACACTAAGCCAACGTTTCCCCGCCCTGTGCCAGGCACCAGGCAGCGGGAGACACTGCTGCAGCTCGAAGCCTGCCGGGGCGCCGGCCCCTCTGCGGCTGCTTGCGCCATCCTGCCCCCTCCTTCCCAGGGGAGGCCCCAGTGAAGGCCCTGGCCAGGGCTTCCCAGCCCCTTCTGCCTCCGGACCGGCCTGGGTGCTTCCCGTGTGGCCCGGCCTGGGGCGACGTGGCCCTCCTCTCAGGAAGCGTGGTAATCTCTCAATGGCTGGCCTCCGGAGTTGTCACTCAGGCTCCCTTGTAAGTTAAGGCCGGGCCCAGGACACTCTAGGGCACGCAGCTGCTGTGGGACTGCTGGGTTAGGTGTCCCCTGGAGCAGAGGCGGCTTCGGATTTCTAAAGTGGCTGAGTCCTTTCACCTTGCACCAGAAATGCTGGATCAGGCGCAGCACACACAGCACCTGGGGATGCAAGCCCGGCCAGCCCCATGGACCAAGCCCCGCCGACCGTGTGGCCCGCCGAGCCCAGGTGCGGCCGCCCGGCTTCTGCAGGCAATGTCTGCCAAGCCCTGGAATGTGCTCCCAGTGTGTGCACAGACTTCAATGAATAAAACGCACCGTCACCACGTGTGCCGTGCTTTGCATTTTCTATTCAAGTGTCTTCTATTTCAGTCTGTAGGAAAGGCTGGATGCAACCCACAAAACTGATTTCTTGACCCACGGTTGGAAGCTCGCTGCTTAGGACGGAACACCTGGTAGTGGGATTGTCAGGGGTTTGCACTGGGTTTTAGGAGATAATGCCAACGTGTCTTCCACGTGACTGTGCCGTTTACACTCCCTGTCTGCAGACAGGCGCTCCCGCTGCGCTAATCCGAGCTGGCATTTCTTGGCATTTGCCTGCCTCGCGGGGTAAGGTACACAGCGTGCGTATGAATCCTCAGCGGCATGACAAGGCATTTTCTTTCACAGACTGAAGAATATTCGCATAGAGCCGGCACCCAGGAATCCCCTGCCCAGCCCGGCCGGCCACGACCCGCCCGAGGTCACCCAACACCTCTGCCCCGCGTTGCCTGGCCCTGGGTTCTGTGCGTGGCCGCGCCAGGCGTGCCCTTCTGTCGGCTCCCGATCCCGGGTCATTGCTCGCTGCGCGGCCACTGTGCTGCGGGCTCCGCCGCGTGGCTCCACCATCTTATTTACCCGTCGCCAGCTCGGGGCTGCTGTGAACAGACTTTGGCAGGGAGGCTGACCCAGGAGCTCCCGCTCTGCCGTGGGAAGGAAGGGTGCGTGGTCGGCTCAATGAGCTGCTGACGAAGGGTTTGCCAACGTGGTTGCATCGACGTTACCTCCTCTCAGGGCTCCGATTCTCCCCCCTGTACCAAGGGTTCTTAAGTTTTGCCAGTCTGGTGGGAATACAGTTCTCTCTGTGTTTTAAATTGCATTTCTCTAGTTACTTGAGTTGGGGCATCTTCTCACACGTTTATCGGCTGTTCACGTTTCTTCTATGACGTGCCTATTTTGTCAGGTTTTTGAATCTCTGTTTTGTATTTCTAACTGAATTCCTCTGGAGTCAGCAAAGTATTCCATTTAATTTCAGTGCTTTCAAATCCTTCACGCTTGTTATCGGGTTCAGCATATGGTCTGTCCTCATCAGGGTTCCACGCAGCCTTGAAAAGAAGACATCTTTCGGCTCTGTTTCAGGGAACATTCTAGAAATGCCCGCCAGGTCCCGCCTACTGAGGTGTCCTTCAGGCCTTCTACACCCGGGCCAGTGTTCTGTCTACACGGTGTAGGAGGTTTCAGAGGGGAGCTGAAGTCACCAAGGAGAACCGTGGCTTTGCCCCTTCTCGCAGGCGTGCTGGCATTTGCTTCGTGTATTTGGAAGCTCTGTTAGGTTGCATTCAGGGTTGCTGTGTTCTCGCGAGGGGGCACCTGCTCACTATGTAACGGCCTCTCTATCCCTCGTACCGTGCCACTCTCTCAAGTCTCCTTTCTCATCATCACGTAAACGCTCCGGCCGTCTTTTGAGAGTTGTTGGTAGATCCCTTTCCAGTCTCTCCTTTTCACTTTGCTGCTCCATTTGATTACATATAAGGAAGGTTTCCTGCAGACAACACGTAAGCACCATCCTAGTCAGACACAGAACGTTTCCCTCACCCAGAGAGCTCCTTCGTGTCCTGTGTAGCTAAAACCCTCTGCGCTCCAGGAAACCGCTGATGTGATTCCCAGCTCTGTGGATCATTTCTGTTATGTTCTAGAACTTCATGTAGGTGGAACAGGTGCGTTTGTGGATAGCCTCTGTCATGCAGCATGGCGTTTGGAGTTGTTGATGAACAGTCAAACTCTGTAAAATATTTGAAGAGATTTATTCTGAGCCAAATCTGAGTGACCATGGCCCATGACATAGCCCTCAGGAGGTCCTGAGGACACGTGCCCGAGGTGGTGGGGCGCAGCTTGGTTTTATGGATTTTAGGGAGGCGTGAGACATCAATCAATACGTTTAAGAAATACATCGGTTTGGTTCAGAAAGGTGGGACAGTTCAAAGTGAATTCAAACATTTTCTGGTTGACAATTGGTTGAGTTTGTCTGAAGACCTGGCATCCATGGAAAGGAATGTTCAGGTTGAGATAAAGGATTGTGGAGACCAAGTTTGATTGGTGCAGAGGAAGCTCTCAGATAGCAGACTTCAGAGACAGCAGGTTGTGAAATGTTTCTTATTGGACCTAAAAGGGTGCCTGGCTCTTAGTTGATTATCTCCTGGATCTGGAAAGGAAGGAAAACAAAGGGGAAGGGGATTCTCTATAGAATGTCGGTTTTTCCCGCGAGAAACTTTGCAGGGCAATTTCAAGGTATGGCAAGGAAATATATTTTGGCGTAAAACATTTTTTTTTTCCTTGTCTCATAATGTTACACCAGAGTGAGACTGGGAAGTAAGTCACGATATATAGGGTCAAATAAAACACATCTGGTGAGAATGGATAGTTTGTAGGGCATGACTCCCCAGACACTTTTGATAGGAATTTGGGCAAGATAGGAAATCAGAACTTAGTCCTTGTGGTATTCACCCAAGCTGTTGAATGTACGTAATTCACTCCTCTTTATGGATATGATGTAGTTCGTTCATCTGTGTGGATATGATGTAATTCACTCGTCTTTATGGATATGACATACTTCACTCATCTTTGTGGATATGATGTAATTCATTCATCTGTGTGGATATGACGTAATTCACTCGTCTTTGTGGATATGATGTAATTCATTCATCTGTGTGGATATGACGTAATTCACTCGTCTTTGTGGATATGATATAATTCATTTATCTGTGTGGATATGATGCAATTCATTCATCTGTATGGATATGATGTAATTCACTCGTCTTTGTGGATATGATGTAATTCACTCATCTTGTGGATATGACGTAATTCACTCGTATTTGTGGATATGATGTAATTCATTCATCTGTGTGGATATGACGTAATTCACTCATCTTTGTGGATATGATATAATTCATTCATCTGTGTGGATATGATGCAATTCATTCATCTGTGTGGATATGATGTAATTCACTCATCTTTGTGGATATGATGTAATTCATTCATCTTGTGGATATGACGTAATTCACTCGTCTTTGTGGATATGATGTAATTCATTCATCTGTGTGGATATGATGTAATTCATTCATCTGTGTGGATATGATGTAATTCACTCATCTTGTGGATATGACGTAATTCACTCGTCTTTGTGGATATGATGTAATTCACTCATCTTGTGGATATGACGTAATTCACTCGTCTTTGTGGATATGATGTAATTCACTCGTCTTTGTGGATATGATGTAATTCATCTGTGTGGATATGATGTAATTCATTCATCTGTGTGGATATGACGTAATTCACTCGTCTTTGTGGATATGATGTAATTCATTCATCTGTGTGGATATGATGTAATTCACTCGTCTTTATGGATATGACATACTTCACTCATCTTTGTGGATATGATGTAATTCATTCATCTGTGTGGCTATGACATAATTCACTCATCTTTGTGGATATGATATAATTCATTCATCTGTGTGGATATGATGCAATTCATTCATCTGTGTGGATATGATGTAATTCATTCATCTGTGTGGATATGATGTAATTCATTCATCTGTGTGGATATGATGTAATTCACTCGTCTTTGTGGATATGATGCAATTCATTCCTCTGTGTGGATATGATGTAATTCACTCATCTTTGTGGATAGGACGTAATTTACTTGTCTTTGTGGATATGATGTAATTCACTCATCTTTGTGAATATGATGTAATTCATTCATCTGTTTGGATATGACGTAATTCACTCGTCTTTGTGGATATGATGTAATTCATTCATCTGTGTGGATATGATGTAGTTCACTCATCTTTGTGGATATGACCTAATTCACTCGTCTTTGTGGATATGACCTAATTCACTCATCTTTGTGGATATGACGTAATTCATTCATCTGTGTGGATATGATGTAATTCACTCGTCTTTATGGATTTGCTGCAATTTGTTGAGTAATCAATGCACATGTGGATTGTTTCCAGTTTGGACTTGCTCTGATTAAAGTGACTGTGAACACTCATGTGCAGGCTTCGTGCAGACACCTGCTTTCATTGCTTTGGGGCAAATACCTGGTAGAATTGCTGGGGGCATAGGATAGTTGTACTTTTCTGTTTTTGTTTGTTTTTAGACGGAGTCTCGCTCTGATGCCAGGCTGGAGGGCAATGGTGCGATCTTGGCTCATTGCAACCTCCGCCTCCGGAGTTCAAGTGCTTCTCCTGCCTCAGCCTCCTGAGTAGCTGGGACTACAGGCACACACCACCACGCCCAGCTAATTTTTGTATTTTTAGTAGAGACGAAGTCTCACCATGTTGGCCAGGCTGGTCTCGATCTCTTGACCTCATGTGATCCACCCGCCTCAGCCTCCCAAGGTACTGGGATTACAGGCGTGATCCACCGTGCCCAGCCTGTACTTTTCTCTTTGTAAGGAGCCCCGACGTTGTTTTCCAGGGTGGCTGGAGCATCCACACGCCCCGACATCCTCACCAGCACCCAGTGTCTTAGCTGTTGCAGTGACTGTGATTTTCATATGTGCCTCCCTGATGATGGTGATGTTGACCATTTTAGGTGCTTACGAGCCACTTGTATGTCTTCTTTTTGTGAAGGATCTGTTGAAATATTTTGCCCATTGTTTTATCAGATTGTCTGCTTTTACTGAGTTGTAGGAATTTTGTGTACATTCTGGATGTAAAACCTCCATCCAGGACTTGTGGTCAGAGTAGGTCCTCTCTGCCTCTGACAGCCCTCATTCACTTAATGGTGTCTTTTGAAGAAAAGCTTTGAATTTTGACAAAGTGTCATTTTTTCCTTCTGTTTGTTTTAATGGTTAGTGCTTCGTGTGTCCTGTTTGAGAAGCCTTTGCCTACTCCGAGGCTGTAAATGTGATCTTCCGTTTTTTCCTTTTGGAAAGTGTAGTTCTGGTTTTGGTGTTTAGGTGAGAGTCTTTGAATTAACTGTTGTGTCTGGTGTGAGATAAGGGTGGAGGCTCATTGTCTGAGCACCATTCCCGTGGACGTGGCTGGAGACTGTCGCGAGCGTGTTACCCAGCTCTGTGGCTGTTACTGGCCCAGGACTGCTCCATCACGGCTGGAAGCAGAAAGCTGCATGTCATCTTTAAATGCCATTTGGAGAATTCATCCTTCGATCAGTGAAAGGTATTGCAGTTTCTACTACAGCGGGATATATTTAGGCCAACTCTGTGGTTTGTTGTTGTTGTGGAAATACGTTCCATCCCTTCTGTGGGAGAAAACTGGTATAGTCAGCTGCTCTGGAAGCTACACATTCCCTGGTGACTGCTCCTGACTCAAAACAAGCATTTATGTTTTTCAAGAGCTTAGTATATTGACCTGAAAAATGCCTCCCACCTCCAAAGAAAACAAGTACCCCAGCGTGCCTTCAGGAATTCTGGCCTCCCACACACCAGCCACACTGGAATAACCTAGAATTTCAGCTCTGGATTGCCACAGACATGATTTGTCTGGGGTGAAGGGTTTGATTATTTGGTCCATAGGGAACTTTACTAAGTTTTACACTTACTGTGGGATTTTCCCAGGTATCTGGTGTAATTTCTGATCATTTTCCTTTTTTTGCAGAATACTTCCTCCAGTGGTATTTTCAGAGACGATCTTGTGTGTGACTCCTTCTGACAGTCTCAGGGATTCAGAATGTATTTTTGTCTCATTCATTTAAGTGATAATTCTGTAGATATGAAACGCGAGCATGTTTTCTTGAACCCTGTGGAGCCACCGTCCCAGCGTCTCCTCTGCTGGCCCCTGGTTCTTCTGTAGTCTGGGCTGCAGGTTTTCCCCGGAAAGATTTCTATTTTTTTTCTTTTAACTGTGTGTCATCCCAGCAAATGGGGCTATGCTAATCTTCTCTGTATCGTTCCAATTTTAGGATATGTACTGAAGATTTTTAAAAGACTGTTTTTCACCGTCATCATTATGTACTGCATTATATATGGCATTGAGGAACCTAAGGGTACATTTAAAAATTTATTCCATTTGACGTTCTAGGCCCTTTTAATCTGAGATCTTAAATCTTTCTCTAATGCACAAATCTTCAGAAAACCCAGTTATTTCAACCTTTCCCCCTCCTCTTGCTGTTTCTTTCCTCGTAGAGCCCCCATGGTGTGGGTGCTAACACTTACATTTTCTGTTTCCTTTTTATCTTTTCCCAAAGCCTCCCGGGAGACGTCTCAGACCTGATCTTACAGCTCCGCTTTTAACATTTCTCTTTTTATGTTTTATACACATCATATTCCTAGTTGGTTTTCCTTTATACCTATAATTCTGGCGTCATGTTACCGATATCCCTCCTTGCCTCTTTAAGAGATTACAATTTTAAAAAATTAATAGATCAAAGAGAACAAACATGAATTCTTCTCTGCCTGGTACAGATTCTCCGGTTTGTCTCTCCCAATGCTTTTGATCTCAGATACCCCACCTTCCCTTGTGAATACGTCCCCTCAACATGGATAACAGCGCTGTGCATGCACAAATGTGTGAGTACGTGTGTGTATGGGTGTGTGTTTGCAAATGCATGCCTCGTGTGTGTGTGTACGGATTTGGGGAGGAGACAGTCCATTGTCATGTAATGGTTTCTTGTGGGCTACTGTCACACACGCGTGCATGCACACGCACACACGTGCACAGTGCACGCAGACACGCACACAAACGTGCACGCACACGCACGCACACACGTGCATGCAGACACGCACACACGCAGATACGTGCATGCACACACACGCACACACATGCATGCAGACACGCACACACATGCACGCAGACACACGCACACACGTGCACACACAGGGTGGCCTGAGTCGTCCCCAGGGTTTCTCCGTTTCTGTGTTCAGATCCTGGATTTGTCGGGCTCCCTCCCCAGTCCTGGCGTCTCACCAGGCAGGAGCCTCTGTTAGTGGCCATCTTGTTTCCAGGAGTCTGTGGGGACTCTTCTGGAAATGCGGATGTCTGAACGCCCATTTCACCTGGGCCTGCAGATCTGTTGGCGTAAAATGGGTCAGAGGGCTCTGGTTTTCAGCCTTGTCTTCATCCATGGTTTTGTCCTCTCTGCCCCAGCACTGTGGTGGCCCTCTCGTTTCTCTGGCCAGGTGCACTTCACTGAGCCCTCCGGGACGTGGGGGCCACCTTCCCCACCCCGTGGCTGGCCCAGGGCTGGCCCCACTCTCCCTTTCCCCTCTTGCCTCAGGAAGGAGCCAGAAAAGGTTCTACTCTTGCAGCTCAGCTTGGCCGTGAGACCGACGTCTGGCCACAGGGATGTAGCTGACAGTGGCAAGGACACCTTTGGAATGTGCCCTTCAAGGTTCCGAGCCTGCCCTTCTCCCTCCTCTTCTTCCTGTTGTTGGAATGTGACCCGATTCCGGGCCAGCCTTTCTCCTCCCTCCTCTTCTTCCTGTTGTTGGAATATGACCCAACAGTGGAAACAAGGGCAGTGTCCTGTGTGGAGGATGCAGAGCCAGGTGAGGGAAAGAGGCCTCCCCGTGCCTCTGAGAATGTCACTTCCACACTGCGAGAGCCACTCTTATCCTGTTATTATTGTTACTTGAAGCCACATCGAGCCCTACACGGCGCGTTTAGTCACTCTGTGGGAGGTGGTAACGTGTTCAGCTAAAACGTCTGTTTTCTGGACAAGGAGAGTTGCAGTCTTTGTCCTTAGGTACAAGCAGAAGTCTCCAAGTGGGACTCCTGTTAACACTGGTGCTCTTCACCCAGAGGACTCCCGCCCCTTCCGCCAAGTGAGGTGTAGCTCCTGGAGCAGCAGCAGTCATCTTGTGATGAAGGGCAGCTACATGCCAAGGACAGCCAAACAGGCTGGGATCCGCCATCTTGTGGTGAAGGGCTGGGATCCGCCATCTTGTGGTGAAGGGCTGGGATCCGCCATCTTGTGGTGAAGGGCTGGGATCCGCCATCTTGTGGTGAAGGGTGGGGATCCGCCATCTTGTGATGAAGGGCTGGGATCCGCCATCTTGTGATGAAGGGTGGGGATCCGCTATCTTGTGATGAAGGGCTGGGATCTGCCACCTTCTGATGAAGGGCAGCTACATGCCAAGGATGGCCAAACAGCCTGGGGTCTGCCATCTTGTGATAAAGGGCTGAGATCCGCCATCCTGTGATGAAGGGCAGCTACATGCCAAGGACGGCCAAACAGGCTGGGATCTGCCATCTTGTGATGAAGGGCTGGGATCTGCCATCTTGTGATGAAGGGCTGGGATCCGCCATCTTGTGATGAAGGGCAGGGATCCGCTATCTTGTGATGAAGGGCTGGGATCTGCCATCTTCTGATGAAGGGCAGCTACATGCCAAGGACGGCCAAACAGCCCAGGATTCCCTCAATGTCCATTCCTGCCCACAGGACTTTACGTGTGATGGCAAAAACTGATTTAGGGAAGCCAATGGCAATCAGGTTTTAATTAAATACAGGCAAACACAGTACTAATGAATGCACACTGCTTCAGGGTTTATTTTCTACTATTTAAAATTGTTTGAGTTGGAATCTTCCCTAAAAACTGTGTTTAAGGGCCGGTGAGGTGACTCACACCTGTAATCCCACCACTTTGGGAGGCCAAGGAGGGTGGATCGTTTGAGCTCAGAAGTTCAAGACCAGCCTGGGTAACACGGCAACACCCTGTCTCTATTTAAAAAAATACAAAAAACATTAGCCAAGCGTGGTGGCGCACGCCTGTGGTTCCTGCTACTCAGAAGACCGGAGCAGGAGGACCACTTGAGCCCAGGGTGGCACAGAGGTTGCATTGAGCCGAGATCATGCCACTGTACTCCAGCCTGGGTGACAGAGCAAGACCTTGTCTCAAAAAACAAGAAAACAAAACAAAGCACTGTATTTACAGCTATAAATTGCCCTCTAGGTACCACTGCAGCTGCAGCACAGAGATTCTGACGTGGCGCTGCATCCATCATTATTTGGTTACAAGTATCTTCACGTTTCCTTTTTTCTCTTTAACCCATGAATTACTGTGGAGTCATGGGTGTGTCTTTTAGCTTCTAGAGGCATTCTTTAGCTTGTTATCATTGGTTGTTTTTCCAGTTTCATCAGTGAGTGAGTGAGTTCTGAACAGCAGGATCCTTTGGAATGTAAGGTTTCTTATGGCCCAGTTCATGGTTAGTGTGTGGATATTCCACACATGAGAGGAGAGTGTTTCTCCACTGGGCAAGGAGTTCTGTACTTACCATCAGATCACGATGGGGGGCTGTATTATGACATCGTCTCTGTGCTGGGGCTCAAGTCCAAATGTTCCACGCCCTTCCCCAAGAAATGCACTGAATCTACAGACACTGGCTTCCCCCACCATCTGCCCTGGTGTGAGTCCACGTGTCCCAGCTCTCCCGTCCCCACTGCCCTGGTCCTTGGTAGATGAAGAGGCTGGCAGCCATACGTCGCCCCCCAGGTGCAGATGGCATCGGGGCAGGCTCCTCTACAGCTGGGGTTGGGTTTCCTCAGCTTCCATTTCTGACACTGCCTGGGCCAGAGCCATCCTCTGTGGGTGGACACGCCTCACCTGCTGGTCCTGCGGGCACAGCACCCCCTGCCTCCTGCTACACATTCCTCCCAGGCCTGCACGCACCCGCCTTCCTGGGCGCTGTGCCCACCCCTCCCTCTGAGCTCATCACTGAGCCGTTCTTCCCAGCTCCCCACCTTGCAGGTGGCTCTCAGAGGGGCTGTGAAGGCCTGGAGCTTCCAAGGTCGCTCTTGGGGCCTCAGGCAGAGCCACTCGGCACTGCCTGCAGACCTAGGGAGGGCAGGTCAGATACGCATGGCTGCACGCCCCTTACAGTCCACACAGCCACACCACCCTGTGACCCCAGCGTGAGCCCCGTGATTCCATGACCTTCCCACAACCCCCATGACCCCAGCGGCCTGAGCTGAGCGTCAGATCAGCCTTGCGTCACACCACCTCGGTGGCTGGCCTGAGCTGAACATCCCCGGCTGCATGGGCACGGGGGTGACTGGGGGCAGCACCTAAGGCCATGAGCTCTGGGCCAAGACCAAGCACCTCCCTGCATTTCCTCCCGGAGCCCCCACACTGCGTAGGGCTGAAGCTGTGCTGCCTCTGGGGGTGGAGAGGGGACCGAGGCCCACTACAGAGGGGCCTCTGGAGGGGAGAGCTGTGGCCGTAAAGGCAGGAGGGGAGGCATTGCCAGAAACCCAGCGCTCTGGCCAGGAGCGTGAGCCCCGGCTCAGTCCCTGGGGGCTCCTAAAAGGACCCAGAGGGATGCGGTGGAGTCGGGGCTGATGGGAGACGTGCAGGTCGGCTGGGTCTCGGGGAGGCTGCCTTCCTGCAAACAGGAGCCAGGCCGGTTTGGTGCATCCGGAGGCTGCTCTCAGCTCCCTTGCCATCCTCACCTTTGATTCGTACTCAGCTCCACTGCACAGGCTGGGGCGGGTGGGGCCTCAGGGACCAGTCCCTAAGCTGCCTGGGCACCAGCTGGCCGCTGCCTTTGCTGTGCCATTTTAATTGGCCTCCAGCATAAAGTCAGTTTCCCGAAGACAGCCGGACTCCCCTTTTGAGGCTGAGCATCACTGGTGTCACACCAGCGTGGCGGGGGTAGGGCAGCTGAGGGGGTGGTGGGGATTAGAGCCACCCTGGTTCCCCCCGGCCAGGCTGCCTCCTCCTGGCTGCCAATGTGGTCTCAGCCACCCAGTGCCCAGTCCCTTCATCAAATTGGAGAGCCCCAGGAGAGGGGCTCCTTTGGAAGGCTCTGGATGCCCTGTGGGCTCTGGGCTTGATTCTAGCCCCACTCCTGCCTCATGACAAAGCCTGCTCACTCCACTGCTCAAAGAGCCTTCTCAGTTCAGCTGGGGACATGTAATTCCCCGCCCTGGAGAAACCAAGTGAGAGCAACCAAGCTGTTTTGCTGGTCACACAATCTGAAGCAACTCAGCTCCCCAACAGAAGCCAAGTGACCTAGGTGTCCTCCCTGCAGGACGGAGGGGCTGGCTTGGGCTGCTGCTCTCAACAACTGTGTCTGATACCTGCACTGAAGGCTATAACTCTGCCCCAGATGCTGCTTTACCTGCACCTACTTTGGCCACATGCTCTCCTTGTCCCTCAGTGCAAAATCTGTCTCGATGCCACGTGACTTCTTCGACGTCTGATTTGTCCACAGACTTTGGGAATTTTCAGTGGTCTGTTTCTGTTCTCATGCTGCAGTGGGAGCTGGCATTTGGGGCTGCTTCCTGGCCTCAGTCAGGGCTGTGGCTCCTGTGGGTGCAGGCGCTCTCTCCCATCCTGCTGACCCTGCCTATGACTCTCTATTTGGTCTCCAGGTCTGGTCAGTTCCTGGAACAGTTGAATCATAGATGAAGTGTTTGCCCTGAAGCTGTTTTGCGCTCACCTCTTTGGGGTATGCTTTGGTGCACGCAATGCTGCACTGGTGATCTTGGTGGGTTTTCCTTCTGTCAATATCAAGGGTCTCTCTTTGTTCCTTTTTAATACTTTTCATTCTCTCCTCAATGATATGGCTTCCCTCTTCATTTCTGGCACCTTTCTTGCTTAGCTGCCTAAGTGGTAACAGTGGACTAGTTACTGAATATTTGTTTGGAAAGGAAGTAGAAGTTCCCACATCACCCCCACGGGCCACAAGGCCCAGAAGCCCAGGTGTGTGTTCTGAGCTTGCCCCCATGCTGTTTGGGCCACAGTGGGGATAAGGCAGGAAGTCCAGGCTCACACAGCGTCTGTGATGGTTGGGAGAGACCTGGGCAGAGGTGCTGAGGAGCGCACAGGCCAGAAGCCTGCTGAGGGATGACCTTGCTCTGAGACCCTAAGGACCAGGGGCTGATGGTGCCAAGTCTCAAAGCAATGTCCCTGCACAAGGAACTCAGCACAGGGCTGGGTGGGTGAGGGGTGGCCATTCACACACAGGATCTGAACTCCTTCTTGGGCTGGGGACAGAGGGGACGATGAGGCAGGCAGGGACCTGCCTGTGCCCAGATGTGAAGGTGCTGGGGCCGGGGTGGGAGTGCTGTTCTGAGGGAGGAGCCATCGTGCAGGTGACTGGTGGGCCAGCAGTGGAACCATCTGTTGCCTGCGTGAGGCGCAGAGAGAGGCGGGCCCACAGGGCCCTGGCCAGGCTTAGATGAGGCCCAGAGAAAGGGGCGGGGCATGTTGTTGAGCCTGTTTTAGAGCTACTGAGACGGCCACAGGGCACTGCTGCCCTCCTGAACCCGATTCGCCATCAGCCCAGCCCCTCCCCTTCCCCACTGCGGCTGAAGCTGCAGGGCCTCAAGGTGGGGTGCACAGAGCCAGGGTGGGGGACACTCTCCCAGGAAATGACTCCCGCCTCGCTTGGCTGGGTGAGCACTCAGGGGTTTATCTGAACTTGGAAATGCTACAGAGCCAAGAGTATGGGGTGGGCCTTGGCCGAGGCCGCTGCTTCCCTCTCCTTCCACCTGCAGGCTCTTCCTGAGCTTTTCTCCTGGCTTCTCCAGGATGTGGTCGCTCTCGGTGTCCAGACAAACCCAGGGAGGAAGGCTCAGCGTTCCTCGGGGCAGTGCAGAAAATGTCCTGGCAGGAGAGAAGGGAGGACAGATGTGAGAGGCCGAAGACAGCTGGACACCGGCTCAGGGCCAGCGCCTGGCACTGTGGCCACCCTGAGAGCCCGCATCCTGGGTCTCTGCACACTGCGTCCAGCAGGGCCGTGAGTGGGCAGAGCCATGGGCAGGGCCGTAAGTGGGCAGGATTGCGGGCAGGGCCGTGGGTGGGGTCATTCTCTGACGGGTCTGTGGAGGAGAAGCAAGGCTGCTTGTTCTTAGCCCTGGGCTCTGACCTGATTCTTGGGCATCTCAGGCAGCTGCCCTCTTGCCCCAGCCTTACCAGGAGCCCCTGGGTCTCCTGCCTGTGCTCCTCAGCCCTCCTAGCCCCTGCCGAGTCCCCTAGCTCAAAGGTGCCGGCCCCTCATGGGCCCCAGGTCACACACCCTGCGCCACGCTCTGGCCCCTGAAGCTACTTGAGGCCGGAGTTGTGCTGTACCCACCACCTGCTCCTGGGACCCTGTCCCCACACCTGCTGCTGGGACCAGCCCCTCAGCTAAGTTTGCACACAGGGTCCGCCTGCCCAGCGCTTCCTGAGGAAGGCAGAGGTTACCTGGTGCTACTATGGCCCCCACCCTGCCTCTCTCATCGACATACCCAGGGCCTCACAGGCCCCTCCTGGGACTCCTGTGAGCTTTCCCACACTTGGACCAGGTGCCCACTGAGCAAACACCTGAGCTCCACTCTCCCTGCTGCGCTAACCCTGGTCAGGGCCTCCTCCGCCCCAGCACGCAACTCTGCATCCCACGAGGTGCAGCAGACTCCCAGCACGCCAATCCATCTCCGGAACCCCACGTCCTGTGACCCCACGCCCTGTGACCCCACACCCTGTGACCCCACATTCCTGTTGCCCCTACGGGGTCCATAGTTGACCCTACTTTCCCCAGGGCCACCTCGCCTGCCTCTGCTGGGCCTTGTGCTCCCAGCACCCCACCCTGGACAGCATGAGGCCCCACCCGTTGGCCCCTCAGGAGCTCCTCCTTCCTGGATGCCCTCAGCCTTGGCAGATAGATGCAGGCAGCAGGGGCTCACCTGTCACTCCCAGAGGCCCTGGGTGCTAGCCCCCTGCTGCCCAGGGCTGCCCATCTGACCAACAGCTCCAGGCTCCCCTGCGAGGAAAGGGAGGGCATGTGAGGACGGAGCAATGCAGTGGCTTGGGGCCCTGTTCTGACGGGGACAGAGGGTGTCAGGGCCCCTCCCTGGGCACAGGCAGCAGGTCTGGTCCTTAGATGGGAGTCTGAGATCTAGGGGCAGCAGCGTGCCAGGTCCCCGTGCTCCACACAGGCGCCTCCTGGGCTCCATGACAGTTCTGGGGGGGCATGGCCAGGTGGGAAGGCGTCAGGTGGGGGCCCTGTGATAGTGCCTGTCACCCTCATCTAGACAGGTGGGTGCAGAGGGGGCCGTTTATTCTGAGTAGTGATGTACCCCTCATCTGCCAGGCTGCAACCAGGCCACTGTGGGCAGCTTCCAAGCCGGGGGCAGGGGTTCCCACAGCCCACGGGGCTCCCCCCAGGTTGCCCCCAGTTTCCTGAGACGTCTGTGGGATGAGGGGTGGGATTCAGCCGATGCCCGAACAGAGCAGAGATGCCCCCGCTGCTGCCCCGGCCAGTGCAGAACTCAGTCCTCGTCTGGCTGGGTCATCCCCCGTCTGTTCTCCCCGTGGACGCCCCTCTCCAGCTCCAGCTCCCCGAATCAGCCTCTCCTCCATCTCAGCGTCCAAGTCATGACCCACCGCTGCTGCCTCAGAGGAGGAGGAGCACCAACAAGGTCACGGGAGCCTGCGACTGTGCGCTGGGTGGGGAGAGGCGGAGGAAGCAGCAGCCAGGAGGATAAGAGGGCGGGAGTGGGGAGGACAAGGAGGACAGGAGGGCGGGAGGGCGGGAGGAAGGATGGGAGGTAGGCTGGGCTCTCCTGTGTGGCCCTAAGCAGGCAGCTCATGTTTCCTGAAGACTGGGGAAGAGGTCATCTTGAGGGCCCTGGAAGGCCAGGCCGAGGCTGACCTCTTTGCCATGACTGGCTTTGTGTGGGCTCAGGGAAGCCCCGTGTCCTCACCCCAGCACCCCAGAGGCTGGACAGTGGCATCTCCAGCAGGAGCTGCTGTGCTGACACAGATTGAAGCCCCAGCCCCAGGACCAGGGGACAACCGGCGCCCCCACCGGCCACAACTCCCTCCCCAAGAGCCAGGAGCCCAGTACCTCTGCCCTCAAGGTGGCGGCCACCACGCCCCCATTCTCCAGGAACCAGGGCCTTGCTGCGGGTGCCAGGGGACCCCAGGGGCTCAGTGCCCGGCTCCAGCTTCTGCTCCAAGATGGGCATGGGGGGCCTGGTGTTCTCGTGGAAGGAGTCGAACTTTGACACGTGTGCTGTGGGGAGGAGGGGTGTCAGCAGGACACAGTGGGGACCCGGGGATGCGAGGCCTGTGCAGGCCACGCCAGGACACCTGGCCCAGGTGTGCTAACGATGGGTGAAGGCGGCCTCCCTCGGCCTGGCCAGTGTGAGGACAGACAGGTGTGGTAGGCACAGGTGCAGGGCTGCTGGCCTCACTCACTCTGAATGGCAGACTCACAGGCCTGGCTCACAAGCTGGTAGAGGGTGGCAAGGGACTGCGGCTCGCCCTGGAAGGGAAGGTGGTGCAGCTTTGGGACCCGTGTGGCAGGTGCCTTCCCAGGAGATCCCAAGTGAGCCAAAGATCTCAGCCTCACTTACCTTCTCTCCTCGTTCCCCTTTGGGCCCTGGCAGTCCCTGATGAGGAGGGGAAGAGAAAAGAAGTCAGCAGAGATGGCCTGAGACCACACGTGACAAGTGTGAGATGGCCCTGAGGTGGATCCTCACTCAGGCAGCCTGATAGCCACAGTGGCGGTGTGAAAGCCCCATCCCAAATTCCCAGATCCTAGGAGCCTGTGGTCCTCGCCTGCACCCGAGAGCAGGCATGTGAGAGGCTCGGTTCTGCAGCAGAGTCCTGAGTGGGGCTGGAACTTGTGCCACAAAGGACTTGCCTCTGGCTGTAGATTTTGTGCTAGGGGAGATGGCGGGTGTGGGACACTGCCCAGAGAACAGACCCCTCCCGGGCCCCGGGCCCGGGTCAGGCCTGTGCTGGCACTTCCCTGCCGTCTTCTGTCTTCTTCCACCTCCCCAGCTCCTTGGTGAACCTGGAGCCCACCTAAGGGGGGGCCCATGGAGCTGCTGAAGGCCAAGGCATCCCCCAGGGGACACTACACCCCCATCTCCCACGTCTGTCCCCCTACCCTCCATGGAGCCTGCCGCCCCACCACCTCCCCTCCACCACGTCTGTCCTGGGTGGGGTTGGGAGAGGTGCAGAACCAGCCCTTAGCTACACTCTCTTGTACTAGCACCAACACCAAGCTCCCAGCTCAGAACAGGCCTCCAACAACAAATGGGAAGTCCCTGAGTGGTCAATAGGAAGTCCCTGGGTGGTCAATAGGAAGTCCCTGAGTGGCCAACAGGAAGTCTCTGAGCGGTCAACAGGAAGTCCCCGGGCCGTCAACAGGAAGTCCCTGAGTGGTAAACACAAGTCCCTGGGCAGTCAACAGAAAGTCCCTGAGTGGTAAACAGGAAGTCCCTGGCAGTCAACAGGAAGTCCCTGGGAGAGCGACAGGAAGTCCTTGGGTGGTCAACAGGAAGTCCATGGGCTGTCACCAGGAAGTCCCTAGGGGGGTCAACAGGAAGTTCCAGGCCAGTAAACAGGAAGCTGTCAACAGGAAGTCTGTGGGCTGTCAACAGGAAGTCCCTAGGTGGTCAGTAGGAAGTCCCTGAGCTGTCAGTAGGAAGTCCCTGAGTGGTTGCATGTGGGGCTTGCACCCTTCGCTCCCCCACCTTTGGTTGGCTGGTGGGTGTTGGAAATGCACTTACTGTGGGCCCCACGGTCCCTGGAGGTCCTCGCTCTCCACTAGTGCCCCTGGCCCCTGCCATGCCCTGGAACCCCTGCATAGACACAGAAGTCAGGGTTTGGCTTGGGCCCCCAGCAAATCTGCTCCCACTTCAGCCCTGGTTCCCAGATGTCCCAGGGGCCCCCTGACCTGACAAGGGCGGTGGATGCCTGGCTGGCCCCAGCCTCCTTCAGGCCATTCCTCCGGCAGGTGGTGCCTCCCCTGCCTCCAGGCCCTGGCTCCCCATGCCCTGCACCCCTCCTCCAGCACTGTCAGCACGCTGCTCTAAACGTCCCCAGCTGTGCCAGCTGCTCCAGTGTGACTGCAAGTTGGGCTTCCCCTAAAGTGGCGCTTGCAGGGAGGCAACCTGGCCTGCCCAGCACTCAGCCCGAGGCCGATGCCAGGAGACCCCCCTCCAAGGTCTCCCAGGAACTGAGTCCTCAGCACAGAGCCCTCACTTGGGAGCATGCAGTGCTCCTGGGCAGACGCTCACCCACCCACAGGGCCCTGCAGAAAGTTCCAGCAGAAGTGAGGCCCTCCCAGGCACTTCCTGGGGTAACCTAGGGGTGGCAGCTGGTGTTCAGACTGGCCTCTGCCTGACCCCTGGAACACAGGAACCCTGGGTGGGGGTCGGGGTCATGGGAGGTCGGTGCCTACCCTGGGGCCAGGGGGTCCAGGCAGGCCAGCAGTTCCCTCCAGGCCTCTCATTCCCTGATGGCAAAGGAAGGCGCAAGCTGGGTGGGGTTTGTACCTGTACCCAGCCCTCCCATGGTGACAGCCCCCCAGCAGCACCCAACACACCCTGTAACCCAAGCAGCAAAGGTGAGGCAGCTGAGGCTGCCAGGCTCCTACCCAGCCACTCCCCCACCCACCCTGCCTCAGTGACAGCTCCTGCCTGGGGTGGGCTGGAGCTCTCCAGCCTTCTGGCCAGGCCACAGGCTGAAGGGGGTGGTGCAGCAGGTGAGGCAGGAGCCCAGGAGAAAGCACCTCCCCCTCCCTACCCCACAGCCTCCATCTCCAAGGCCCCCCGTCCCCAGGCCAGTCTCTACCACCCTGACAGAACCCTCCAAGCCCAGAGCCGGCACCTTTGGTCCCTGGAGGCCAACTCTCCCGGGGATGCCCTGGTGGCCGGGGTGGCCCTGGGAGAGAACAGAGGGGCCGGCCAGGCAGGGGCCAGGGTCACATCCAGAGGTGGCCCTGCCTGTGAGGCCTCACCCCCAACCCCTGTGCCCCCCAGGCACTCCCCATCTCCATCCCTGTCCTTCCCCCACCCCCACCAACCCCTGTGGCCCCCTGGCCCCAGCCACACTACCTGCAAGCCTGGAAGCCCATGGTCTCCCTTCTCTCCTTTGACCCCTGGTGGACCCTGGAGGGGGAAGATGGGCTGGACAGCGAAGCGGAGGGGGCACAGGGCAGGAGGGCAGGGAAGGAGTGACACCTACCACAGGCCCCTGGACTGCACGGCCCTGGGTCCCCGGCGAGCCCTGCTGGCCTCCAGGACCTTCTGGTCCCATCTGTCCGGGTGGCCCGGGCTCTCCCTGGAGACACAGGCAGCGGGTAGGGCCTGACAAGGTCACGCTTGCCACCCCTCCTGTGGCCCCTCTGGGTCACAGCCAGCCCTCCCAGCCCTCTGGGCATTCAGACCCAGACCGACATGGAGACACCTCCATTAAAGGAGCAGGGGCAGCCCCAGCACCCTCACTGCTCACCCTGGGAGGGTCTGGGAGAACCCACAGCAGGGGTCTGCAGAGCTAGAGAATGGCAGAGCCAAGCCTGTGAAGCCAGTTCCAACCAACCTCACCCCCAGCCCTCCCCTGCCCAACTCTGGGTTCTAACGGGGTGTGGGGGGCGCTGCAGAAATCACCGAGGAAAAGCCAGAGACCCCCACAGGCCAACTGTATGGAAGAGACAGAAAACTTTCTTAAGCCCTGGACCCCAAAACACTAGACTCAGGTTTTATGGGAAATCCAACCCTGTGGGGCAGAGGACACTGCTGCTATTTAAACTCAAATTATCTTTTGAACAAAGCAAACTGAGGTTCCAAACACTATAAAGAAAACTGTGACAGTCTTATTTAGAAGCATCAGTGCGAAATCCAAAACAAAATGTCAGCAAGCTGAGCTCTGCAGCACATGGCATGGATAACGAGAATTCAGCGACCACGTCAGATTTTCGACGGATGCAGCAATCATCCAGTATTTAGGGATATCCTACAATTAATAGCTCCAAGACGCACAGTCATTTCATTATGTCCATAACAGCACTAGAGCTTGTTTAATGTGCATTCTTGGTGTTTTAAATCTAATAAAAGAAGAGTGGATGGACTTCACTACCACATGACAAAATGCACCTGTCTCCGCTTCCAGGACAGCACTTTAATGGTCAAATGCTAGAAGCACTTCTGTTAGGCCAAGAAGAAAATGAGAGTATCTGCTACTGCCACTGTTCTCTGACAAAATTCTGGAGTATTCACCAACACCATTAGACAAGAAAAAGAAATTTGAGTGATCAAGACTGAAAAGCCGAAGGTGAAGTGTTTATTTGCAGGTGATGTCACTGTAAACCTGGAAAATCCAAGAAAACCACAAAGAAGATAATTGAGAAAGAAAACTGGGTACAAAAGTCATACACAGCGGTCACGGCCAGTGTGAAAATAATGAGGTAGAAGCTGTAATGAGAGAAAACACCTCACTTATAATAGCAACAAAAAAGAGGACATACGTAGGGATGAAGGAGAACCGAGTGGGTCTGTAGGAAGAGACCATCCCCACACTGTACTGAGGGCCACAACAGGCCCTGTGAACAAAAGGCAGGATGGCTGTGTTTTTGGATGAGAAGATTCAACATCATGAAGACATCATCTGTTCCCGAGTATATCTATAAAGCGAATGCAGTTCCAGTAAAAACACCAACTGAATTGTTTAGGTTAAACGGATAAGTCGATTCTACAGTTCACTGAACAATGAAATAAGCAAAGAGAGCCAGGAAAATTCTGGGGGAATAATACAAAAGAGGACCAGCCCATCTGGCATCGACATCTTAAAGAAATCTGTAATAATTTAAGCAGCACAGCCCTCGCCTGTGAACAACAGACACATCAACGGGACAGACTGGAGCATCTGAAAAACCCCAAAATACACAGGGGCCTTAGGACAGCACGAGAGCCAGGGCGTTCAACTTCTGCAAGGGGCTGGCTGTGTAATGAACGACTCAGGCGACCAGGGGTGGTCTGTGAAGAGGTGAAGCTGGAGTCCTCCCCGTCCTCTGTCCTCCCCAGTGCTGTAACAAAATCAGCTCTAGACGAATCCACCTGGGAGTGTCGAAAAGTGCCTGGAAGCACCAGGAGGAACCAGGAGGAGGCGCGATTTCTACTCTCGGAATAAGAAAGATCTTTTAAAACAGGATACAAAATTCAGAAGCCATAGAACAGAGCAGTAACATGGACTACGTAAAAGTTATTTTAAAATCTGTATGGAAACGCACGTCGCAAACAAGGTCAAAAGACAAGAAAATGCCAAACGCAGTCAAAACTCACATCACAGACACAGGGCTGGTTCCAGCAAGTAAAAAGCGTGCCCACAAATTATTAAGAAAAAAGAACGGTGGAGAAGAAGTCAGAGGACATCTCCAGCAAGAAAATATTGGCAACTTTCAAAGGGCATTCACGCTGCTTGGAAGAGAAATGCATTTTCATCTATCAGACGCGGCTCCCAAAGCAGCCAGGAATGCAAGATGGGGGTGGGAGGTCACCGCTGGCTCGTCGCGGGGGAGCGCCTCGCACGGCTCTGCCGGGCCAGTGTGGGGACATCCACCCCAAAGCACAGGGGCGTGTGCCCTTCCACCCAGCGACTGTCCTAGGGACTCTGTGCCTGAGATGTGCTCTGAGGCTCCAGCACAACCGCAGACAAAGGGAATATGGCAGCGCAGGTGCAAAAGGACAGCCCCGCCAGAGCCAGGCGCACGTCTTTGCTCACGGGGATGTGGAACTCGCTGGAAGGCTGCCGGGGGAGAGGTGGGTGTCGGGGTCGGGAGGAGGGCGGCCTTGCTGCATGCCGACCACGCCTTCGGCATCTGTGTCACGCTTGTGCAGTACCGTGGTTTAGGTAAATGTTTAGAATCGAGCCTGGAGGGCGGCCCTTTGGCGCCTGGGGTGGGGGGCTGCTGCCATCGCTGGGCGCGCTGTCTTCAACATCCCTCTCCGCAGAACCAGAACCTCCGCCCCCGAAACACCTCCCTGCACGCCGCGCATGCGCTGAGCCTAGAGACATCTGAAAATACTCTGTGGGCCTAAGCTCCTGGGCCCAGCCCGGCACACAGAAGGCATCTGGCTCATGCCTGCCCCATGGAAATCAAGGGCGGCCTTCAGGGCCAATAGGACAGGTGGCCTCACCTCCCCAAGCCTCAGATTCCCCTGCTGGGCCATGGGGTTCATCCTCCCTATCTGGGTGAAAAGGGGACTTGCACCATAACCAGGCCTGGGCCAGGCGCCCTGCAGGCACATGGGGGAGGCCAGCCTAAACCCCCTGGACTCCTGGGGTGCTGGGGTCCCTGCCTGTCTGCAGCTTGGGGAGACCCCACCCTGCCTAGGGAAGCTGCGTGCAGCTCCCTGCACTCTCAGGAATGCACTGGGAGGGGTGTTCTCTTCTGGTAGGTACGATCCAGGCCCCTCACCTCCCAGGGCTCCCCAAAACTTACCCTGGGCCCTGGGAAGCCCTGCTCTCCTGGGGTGCCATTCCTCCCAGGGAGGCCCTGCAGAGGCACAAACAGGGCTAAGCCCCCAGAACTACCCAACCAAGGTAGAGGAGCAAAGACCAGCCCCTGAGCCCCATGCCTGGCCCACCCTGAGCCCCATGCCCCACCCAGCCCCAGACTGTCCACTGCTGTCAAGGGGAAGAGAAGGGGTTTCCAGGGCAAGGACGCACTAGCCCATCCTTCCCTCTCATAGTCAGGCAGTTCTGGGTTCAAACCCCGGCCCCCTGAGTAGACAAGGCTGTGGACACTGAGCTCAGAGAGAGTGTGCTTGACCGGTCCCAGAGCCAGCTCTGGAAGCCCCAGCCGTCACCTGTGGGGCGCTGGAACCTTGGGGTGAGCAGAGGCAGCTGCAGCCATGGCAGGTCCAAGGACCTCTCAGGACCCACCCCATGGCAGGGGTCCAGGCCTGGAGGGCCGCCTCCCTGAGGCCTGGGTAGAGGGCCCGTATAGCTCCTGCTGCAGGTGAGCTAGGCTGCCAGCACCCAGGACAGTGGCCGTCCAAGTGGCTGTGACTCACAGCCGGCCCACGTCACACCCTGTGGCCACAGCACAGTTCTGGATCCCAGTTGCGCCTGGATCCGTCCCAAGCCTCACACTTCAGAAACACTGGATTCCACGCCAGAGGAGGGTTCGTGGGGGAGGCCCAGCCTGGGGGAAGGAAGGAGCTGCGCCTGGCCCCCCTTCCCAACCCTGACAGTGAGAATCACTGGATTCCGCACTAGAGGAGGGTTCGCAGGGGAGGCCCAGCCTGGGGGAAGGAAGGGGCTGGGCCAGGCCTCTGTCTCCTGGCCCAGGGCGGGCACAGCAGGGAAGAGGCTCATGAAATACATCCCAACTCTGCGGCAGGACGGGGGCATGGACCGGGGCGGGAGGGCCTGGGTTACACATCCACCAGTGGCAGCAATACATTGGCCAGTGTTCCCTGGTCACCCCAAGGAGACGCCACTGGACTCACTGGGGGTCCTTGAGGTCCTGGGGGCCCAGGGGTCTCTGAGGAACAGGAACAGGCAGACACGAAGGCGGGGCAGGTCTCTCCATCCCTCTGGAAGAAGAGAGACCCTGCCCATTAGAGAGACCCTCTCCCTGGCTCTTGCCTGACCCTAGAGCTGAGATTAGCCAATGACACCTGGGCTCCAGGGAGACTTCCAGACCCGCACCTGGGAGGCAGGGGCGAAGGTCAGGGGCCCAAGTGCATAGTGGGCAGGTCCAGGACTCAGGCCACTGAGCCCCTGTGTGTCCAGCCGGCCCTGGGTTCCCACCCTGCCACGCTGTCCGCATGAGCCCCAGGACAGAATGGTGCCTTCTCCCTCCCTCTCTCCCGTCTGGGCCCCCAGTATGGCCAAGCCCAGCACAGGGTATACAGAGGAGTCACTGAGGATGAGAGGGGCTCTCTGGCCTGGCCACGTGCCCCTTCCTGACTCATCTGCACCTGGCTGGGCCCACAGAGGTGGGCATGGCCCTGAGTGCAGCCAGGGGTTCCCAGCCTGCCCCAGGGCCTCCAGGACTCTCTGTCCAGCCCCTCTGGGCTCATCCACTGGCCCTGAGGCTGCCTCCTCTGAAAGCCTTCCCTGATCTCTCCCAGCACGGTGACAATCTGGACAGGCCAACTGACCCCAGGCACTGTGACCCTCAGTGGGCACTTGCCCTAACTTGCTTCGTGGAACAGGGGCAAGGGACGGGGCACACCGAGGCAGGGAGCTCACAGCACCGGTCCTCATCGGCCCAGGTGTCACTGCACACGATCTGCAGCATCTGGAGCTGAAACTGCAACGCAGGGGAGCCGGCTCAGCCCCGGGGCTCAGAGAGGCTGCCAGCCCCCACCAGCGTGGCCCAGCAGGTGGGCAGGGCCCAACTCACCGCGGCCGAACTGCTCCGGGGGCCCCTGGCCTTGGCCAGCCTCCCCAGCGTGACGAAGCCCGCAGCGGGTGGGCTGCCCATCTCCCCAAGGGGCCGCTCAGCCACCTTCCGGCAGTCCACATAGAGCCTGACCTTGGAGCGGCCCACAGCCACGTGCACCTGTGAGACGGCACGGGAGGTTCTCCACAGCCCAGGCGGGGCCGGTGCCCACCTGAGCCCCCAAGGCCAGGCCAGGGCTGGGGAGTAACACCCATCCCTGGGACCTGGGGTCAGGAACCTGACCTCACCTCAGGTTTCGGGGGACCCTGGGAGAACCCCCCCTTGCTGGGCCTCGGCTTCCCCTCTGTAAAATGGACCAAATGGCACCTGCTGCAGGAGCCTCCCGGGGTCTGTGGGTCCCAAAGAGATGGGCTGGGAGGCTCTTCAACTCCAATTAAGATGGAAGAGCTGGGGTAGAGGAACAGAGCCCCAGGTCAATGTTCCCTCCCAAGGAAGGTCCTGCTCTCCTAGGGAGAGGAGTTGGCATCCGGCAGGTCCCTGTGGGGCTGGGCTGCCCCAGAGCTGGGGGAACGGGGGAGAGGGGCGCGAGCTGCACCAGGACCTTGTGGAAGCTCCCGAAGAAAATCTTCCTCACTTCCTGCGGGTCGAAGGTGGCCTCCTGCAAGGCAGCCCTGGGGTCACGGTGGAAGTAGGTCAGGGACTTCTTCCCGGCTGCCAGGGAAGGGGTGGAGCAGGTGAGAACGGGCTGCAACCAGCCGGGCCTATACCTTGAGCAGGGCGGCCCCCACGACAGGACAGGAGCAGCCCTGAGGGTGCCAAGCTGGAGGTGACCCTCAATGTGGCCCACAGCCCCCTGCCCGGGACACCTGCCTCCCACCCAGAGGGTGCTGAGGGCCTGGCCTGGAGGCTGGACTTCCTCTGAAGGCCTCCCAGGGCTCTGGGGCCTCCCTGCCCCTACTCCTCCTGACTGCTGGGGGCGACGCGGGGCCCACGTCACCATCCAGCAGAACCCCAAGGAGGGGCTGGAAGTCCTCGGCTGTCATCTGCCACAGCGCGAAGGCCTCACGGGGTGTCTCGGGAAGTAGGCGCACAAGGAAGACGATGGTGTGCTCTGGAGGTAGGGGGGCTGGGTAGACGTCACTGTGGGGGTTGGGGGAGGGAGAGGCACATGAGCAGACCCAAGGGCAGCCAAACCTGGCAGAACGATCCGCTCGCCCAGCCCCAGCCCCAGTGCCAGTCCCTGAGGCTGCTCTGAGGGTCATGGTGGACCCCTGCACCCGCACACCCTTCCCAGCTGTAGACTGAGCGTGGAGGCCGCTGGCTCCCTAGGAGCCCAGACTGGTGGTTCCACAGAGCTGAGGGTCTATGAGGCCACACTGGGGCCTCCCTGCCTTGGTTTCCCCATGAGTAACATGGGGTACATAAAGGACAGAATCCCTCCCATTGAATGAGGAGGATTCAACAGAAGTACTTGGAGGCGCCAGGCCCAGGGCCATCCCAGGTCACATCCCAGATGACCCCAGCAAGGGCTCACCAAGACCCGTGCTCCCGGGGCCCGTGAGGGTGAGGGGTGCCGGCCCAGGACACCCCACAGGGGAGTCTCAGGATCACTACTGAAAGGCAGCTCTGCTCTCGGGAGCAGCTCCCCCGACTCACACTCATTGGCACCGCCCAGTGGGTCCTGGCCAGTGCCCAGCCAGACACCCTGAGGGGTGGGACCAGGGTCTTGGTCCCCTAATGTTCCAGGAAGCAGGGTCTCGGGCCTCTGATAGAATCGGGGTCCAGGGAGCAGGGTCTCGGGCCCCTGATAGAATTGGGGTCCCAATGGCCGTAGCCTCCTATCTGTCTTCCATTCACTCTTAGGATGCCCAGCCACCTTCCTGCCATCCCGAGAGCAGACTGGTCTGGGGCCTGGGCACCTGTGATGCCACCTCAGGAGCCTCCCGACCCCACACAGCAGGAGCCCTCCTCTTTTGGTGTGGCAACCCTCACGGGGGTCCACCCTGGGTGGCCGCACCTGGAGAACCATCTGCCCCCACTTCTCAGGCTGTGAGCTCTGGAAGGGCAAACAGGCATGGGAAGTGCCTGCTCATGCCACAAGGCTGGGAGGAGCCCTCATTTGAGAACAGGGACTCATGGAAACAGCCACCCTGTGGAGGCTGCCTGGTCCCAGGAGGGTTTGCTTGAGAGCAGAGAGGTTGGGGAGGCACCCAGGAGGCCTTGAAGCTGCCTCGGGCTGCAGGCGATCAGAGCTCCCACCTCACCCACCCGTAAGAACACCCAGCTCAGTACGTGCACCTGAGGCCACCGAGGAAGAGGAGAGGGGGGCGGGGGGCGTCTACACCACCTGAGGCCATGGAGGAAGAGGGCTCTGCAGCCTGCTGCCCAGAGAGGAGGGCAGAGGGCAACTATACCACCCTGAAGAGAAACTGCCATGGGGGCGGAGCACAGGGGGCATGTGCAGCAAGACTGGGGGGAGGGAGAGGATGGTGAGGGAAGCCGGGGAACAGTCATCGAGTTCAGCCACGAAGACACCGTGGTGACCAGGGGGCCAGGGCCGAGCATAGCACATGGGCCGGCGGCTGTGTGGGGACAAAACAGGCTGGGAGAGACATTCCTAAGCCCCAACAGTGCTAGGTGAGCTTTTAAATATATATATTTCTATAATTTTAAAATCTCTGTTACAGAATATAACTCTCCTTTGTAACTTCTTTTTTTTTTTTTTTTTTTTTAAGGGACGGAGTATTGCTCTGGTGCCCAGGCTGGACTACAGTGGCACAATCCTGGCTCACTGCAGCCTCCGTCTCCTGAGACAGACATGCTCCCACCTCAGCCTCCCGAGTAGCTGGGAATACAGGTGCCTGCCACCGCACCCAGCTAAGTTTGTTTGTTTATTTGTAGAGATGGGGTCTTGCTGCATTGTCCAGGCTGGTTTCAACCTCCTGGACTTAGCCTCCCCAGTAGCTGGGACTGCAGGTGTGCACCACCACACCTGGCTTCCGCCTTTATCATCAACCATTTTAACTTAAACTGTCATGCAGCTTATATCACAGTTCAGGGTCACGATGAACAACTGTTCTCTGTAAATAAGGGAGGGTGGTCATGAGATATCAGGAATTGTCCCAAATCTCATGCAAAGCTATTTGAGTGATCGCTTCCTCTAAATCCGGCTACTGGCAGTTTGGCCCATCGCCTCAGGTCAGTCTGGGGCTCCTGCGTGTTTGATCAGCCCTCAGCTCACATGGGAAATAGATCCATACTTGGTTGCCAAAATATGCCAAGGGGCTGGCCTCACTCTGCCCATGGAGATTTTATTAATTTGTAAAATGTGAATTTCTGAAGTGTGAGTACTGGGGTGAGTCAGCCGTTTGCTGACATAGCAGCGCTGCCCTGTCCCACAGCCTCCAGGAGGTCTCCGGCCCATGCCCGCCCCCCCACCATGTCCTCCTAATCTTCAGCGGCCCCAGCCTGGGCTTCCAGCTCCACCCCAGCCCTTGCCCTCACACCTGACCCGTCTTGTCAGCTGGGCGTCCTTGAAGAGCGTGAAGGTCGGGGTCCCACCGAAGGCAGAGGGCTCCATGGCCACGCCCCGGATGGACGCATAAGCCTTTTCCACCAGGCTGAAGGCCACCATCAGGTCAAACCCTGGGGAAGATGGTGGGGGAAGGGGCACCGAGGGACCCTCAGAGATGGCAGGGGAGGGAGGAAGGGGCAGGAGCGGGGACTCAAGAGGGACCCAGGGGCTGCAGTGCGGTGGGAGGGAGGGGTGACGGAGCGGCGTGGGTGGGAAGTCAGCACAGGGGCTGGGGGGTGGGCAGGGGTCTGCTTCAGGCCCTGGGCTGGGCATCGCCCCCCACCCCTCCCCAGGGGAATCCAACACACTGGGAGGGGCCGCTCCCCAGGCCACCATGGTAAATCACTGGGCCAAATGCCCAGCTTCGGAGACCCAGAGATGGACAAGGTGGACGCCCAGCCCCCGATCATGAGCCCCAACTCCCACCTCTCGCCCCTGCCCCCCAGCAAGCCCACTGCACCGCGTCCCCCGCCCGCCCAGGGTCGTTTTCCCTCTGAGGAAGACTCTGTCAGTGAGTTCCCCTTTGCTGGCACACAGCGTGGCCAGCTCGCTCCATCCACCCTGCCTGGGGGCCTGCGATGACCCCATTCCCTGGCGAGCCCCACCGCGCAGAGCCGCAGGTGCCAGCCACCACCCTCGAAGCCCCAGCTCCTTTCCAGCACTAATTGGTACAAAGTGAAGGGCGAAATCCCATTCACACTGCAGCTTATCAGCGCTGCCAGCAGGCACCGGGCAGGAGGCGGCAGAGGCCGCAGCCCCTTCCAAGGCCTGTTTCAAGTAGGCAGTCCCTGCCTTCCCACCATCTCCACCTCTCAGCCCCTCTCTGGGGAGGGCCTCACTCTCAGGCAACTCGAATGAGAACCCCGGGCTCAGCACTTGAAACCCCCAGCTCCAGTCAGCAGAGACCCTGGAATGGGGCTGGAAAGGACCCAGCGCCCCCAGCGCTGCCTGGGCTCTGCCGGTTCCTGGCCCTGACCTTACATAACCTTCGGCTCCCTCAGTGAGAAGCAGGAATAACCACCGCCCAGCCAGCCACAGGGACGTCTGTGGAGGCACAAACCCGCCCAAACATCCTCCAACTGCACCACCACTGGGTCCCAGGTCACGACACCCTTGGCCCCCACGCCCAGGAAGAGCCCGAGAGACTGTGGGTGGGCAGGCAGGGGAGGGCATGCAGGACCCACCTGGGAGGGAGCCGTCAGGGCGGAGGGCTGGGCAGGCTGCTGAGAGGAGACAGGGTCAGTGTGAGTGGGAGCGGCCCAGCCTCCAACGCCTGACAGACCGCTGGGGAGGGGCCACTTCATGGACGATGCCCCAGCCTGTGCTCCATCTGTATAGGTGGGACTGTGCTATGTCCCATCTGCCACCCACAAGGCCTGTGGTCCCCACGCCTCCCAGAAAAGGAAGGGAACAGGGATGGTCCCTGCCCCTCTGGATCTCACTGAGTGAAGCAGCTGCCCCCAAGACAGCCCAGTGGGCCCCGGGTCGTACCAGGCATCTCACTGGGTGTGATACCCTTCGAGGGTACTGGTCACCCAGGAGTGCCCTGAACTGGCAGGGCCAGGGAGATGCCTGGTGTGTGGGCAGGCTGGGGGCACACGTGTCCTGGGGGCCAGGGAGATGCCTGGTGTGCGGGCAGGCTGGGGACACACGTGTCCTGGGGCCAGGGAGATGCCTGGTGTGAGGAGAGGCTGGGGACACGCATGTCCTGGGGGCCAGGGAGATGCCTGGTGTGCGGGCAGGCTGGGGGCACGCGTGTCCTGGGGTCCAGGGAGATGCCTGGTGTGCGGGCAGGCTGGGGGCACGCGTGTCCTGGGGGCCAGGGAGATGCCTGGTGTGCGGGCAGGCTGGGGGCATGCGTGTCCTGGGGGCCCAGGGACTTGGGTTTGCTCCATGGCAGGTGCTCGGAACCCTTCATGGGCAGAGAAGGCAGGAAGGAGCACTCCTGATGGGAGGAGCAGCTCTCCCCTCCCATGGGAAGGCTGCCTCGCCGGGGAAGCTGTCCAGGCAGTGAGGACCCCGTCCCCAAGGGCGTGCAAGCCAAGACTGGAAGACCCCACAATGGGAAGCCCAGAGGGAAGCTGGAAGGTTGGGATGGATGCCTCTCAGAGCCCTCGCCCTGGACCTGTGGTTCTCCAGGAAAACCAGCAAGAGACAAAAAACCAGCAACAGCAGCTCCCACCGTGGAAGACCCCAGGCAAGTGTGACCACGTCCTTGTCCCTGGAGAATCCAGGTGGGGCCAGCCTGGAACCAGTCATCTCCAGCCACCCAGGACCCCTGCCTGCCTGTGACCCCTGGGGTCAACTAGGTCTGGGGTTGGCTGGGTCTGGGGTTGGATGAGTCTGGAGCTGGCAGGGTCTGGGGTCTAGGGCCCGGCTGGGGCTGGGTCTACCTGGGTCTGGGGTCTTGGTGCCCACTCACCTGTCTGGCCCGTGGCAGACACAGCCTCACTCCTGCCTGCTGCATAGATAGCTGAGACCAGGACCCTGTACTTCGTGGCTGCCTGCAGGTCGGGCAGTGTCACGTGGCTCCTGGCTCCTGGCACAGAGACCTAGGAGAAGGGAGGGTGCCTGGTCCCCACTTCCTGGGCAACTTTGCTCGTCCACGCGGCTCAGCTGCCTCCCTCTGCGTCCCGCCATGGCAGAGCTGCCACCCTTCGCAGACAGTGTGGCCATACCCCTTCCAGGAGGCCCCACGAGGTGGGGCAGCCTCAGGCTCTACCAAGACTCACGGATTTCTCGGGTCCCAAGCCAGAGGCGGGGGCGTAGGTGAGCCAGTAATGGAGCACGCGGCCAAGCGGGGGCGTCCAGCTGACCTGCAGGCTGTCGGGGGTCTCCGAGGCCAGGGCCAGGTTGGAGGGTGGGCTCCTGCTCACCGTGGCTGGCCGAGAGCATGGGTTGTGTGGGGCTCAGGCCCCTCCAGAAAGGAGGCACCCGGTGGCCAGAGGACCAGCTGCCCAGCCCCTACCCTGCTCTGCGTAATGCCTCCACCACATCATGCCACACCCCTACCACAGCCCGCATCACCCCCCTGGCACAACCACACCACACCCCTGCCACTGCCCACACCGCACCCCACCACACCCACACCACGCCACCTGCCAGGGCCCTCACCATACCCCCAACCAGGGCTGCTGCCTGGGCTGCCCTGCGGGACACTAGGTGGTTTGTGCACTCGGCCACTGGGGGAACACCTATACCCGTGTGAGCTCAAGGAAGTGCTGCAGACTCCAACGACCAGGCCCAGTGATCAGGGCTCTGGAGCCAGCAGTTCTGGGAGTCTAGGGTCCTGGGCCTGTGCAGCGGGTGAGTCAGGGATCCCCTGGGCCATCCCTGCCCCACACCCAGCAGAGGGGAAGTGGAGGGGCACCTACAGGGGGTATAGCGGAGGGACACAGGGTCACTGCGGGCCCCGTCCCTGTAGTAGGCCAAGATGGTGACGTCGTACTCTGTGTGCCTCCCTAGGCCAGGCAGGACGGCCGTGCCGAGGTTCCCTGGGACAGAGATCTAGGGAGAGGAGAGCCCCAGGGGTCACCGGGTGCAGTGGGGTCCTCAGGTTGGGGGGCCGGGCAGTGAGGCATCCCTGGGAGACAGGGTGGGCGCACATATGGCTCTGAGCCCTAGACTTTGGCTTCAGGACTAGGGGCCCACGGGGGGCCCCTCGGAAGGACAAACCCACCCCTGCCCACCTCGTGAGCCTTCCCCTCTCCCAGGGGCGTCCACGTGATCTGGTAGACAAGCACGCCAGACGGGGCTGCGGCCACCCACGCCAGCTGGACTGCATCCCCTGGCAGCTCCGTCATGGACAGCTGGCTTGGGCTGGGAGCTTTCTCTGAAGGAAGTGGAGACACAGGCTGGGGGTGTAGCCCCTGAGCCTGGGCACCTCAGAGGAGGGGCAGCCACACCCAGGAGCACCCTATACCCCCATCCATCACACCCGTCCGGGTGCCCATCCCCACCTGGCTCAGCACTGACCCAGGGCAGGCTCCCAAAACACTTGATGTGAACTGTCTAGCAGGGCAGAAGGACACAGAAACCCTGCTGGACCCCCAGCCCCAGCCTCTCCCCACTCACTGGTGGTCACCCGGCCAGTCAGCGTAGAGGAGCCACCCCCAGGGTAGAGGCAGGTGACACGGACAGTGTAGGTGGTGGAGGAAGAGAGAGGCCCCAGCGTGGCCGAGGTGGCGTTCCCAGGAGCCTCTGTCTGCAGCAGGTGGGAGGGCGACATGGCAGGCCCAGCTGGTGCCTGGAGCCCTTGCTGGGGTGGAGAATCAGGCCCAGCACCTGCAGCCAGGACTACCCCACGACCCCCCAGAAACGGGGAAAATGGGCTTGTCCTGAGGGATGGGAGGGCAACAGAACTGCAGGACGGCTGGGGTGGGCCTCCCCAGCCTGGTTCCCCCCAGACCCCACACCCACATCTGCCCCCACACCAGGTGCCCCCGCTGTGCCTCGTGGCCGCTGTGGTTTTGAATGTGTTATCTGATGGTTGGCTCCACCCCATGCCTGCCAGACAGGGCCCTGTGGTCCCTCAAGACACTCGGGCCCCCGGAGGGCTCTGCTCTCACCTGCCCCGAGTGTCCACCCTCGCTGGACACATAGGTGACCCTGACCAGGCGCACAGGCCTCGGGGCACCCTCCCAGAACACTCGTGCCGCGTCGTGGCTCACGTCTGAGAAGCCCAGGTGTCTCGGGGGGGCCAGGGTGGCTGCAAAGCACAGCAGAGCCTCAAGGCCAGCACGCGGCCTCCATGGCAGGGGCAAGGGTGGGCAGTGGCTGGGACCGAGGGGGCCTGAGGTCTCCCATGCCATGGAAGGCTGAGGAACAAGATGGGGCACCCGCCTGTGGGCAGGCAGCCGGGGTTGGAGCACTCACGGGTCCTGGCACGGATGCCCCGGGCCTCGCTGCCCTCAGGGCCTCGCAGGCTCTGCACCGAGACCTCATAGTCCCTGCCAGGTTCCAGGCCATCCAGCAGCACCTCGGGCCGCCCGACCTGCACCTGCAGAGACATGACGTCCCAGGCCAGCCCCCACTCGCTCTGCCCCACTCCTCTGCCTCCCCCGCCACCCCCCGGCCCAGCTCACCTCTCGCTCCTCCTCTTCACCCTTGGGGGAAGCAGGAGAACATCGCACCAGGTAGTGGGTGGCCCCGGCCGAGGGCTGCCAGGTGAGGTGGACGGTTCTGGGCGTCACTGCGGCCAGGGTCAGCGCCCGGGGCGGAGGCAGAGGTGCTGGGGGGCCATGCAGGGACACTTTAGGAAGGAGCCCACACAGAGATCACACCCACGCACGGGGCACCCTCACACCAGAGTGGGTGGGCACGGCCACCGCCTGGCAGGTGCACAGGATTCAAAGTGGCACTTCCCAGGCTTCACCTTGGGCCAAGGTTTGTGGCTCCAGCTCTGGGGACACAAGGCCACCCCACAGTTTTGTCTAAGGCCATCTGCCTTGAGGTCATGGGAGGAATGTGGCCTCCGGGGGGTGAAAAGGGCTTTGGGAAACACCCAGACACAAAAGTCTGCACTGTGTGATTCCACCTGCAGGAAACGTCTGGGACAGGCACATCCAGAGACAGAAGGTGGCTTGGGGTGGCTGGGGGGGCGGGTGCTTAGGGGTGCAGGGTTCCTCTGGGGGGATGAAAATGATCTAACATGAACTGTGGCCATGGGTGACAGCTCTGAATATACCAAAGCCACTGGAGTTGTACACTTTAAATGGGCAGGTTGTATGGTGTGTAAATTACATCTCAACAAGGCTATTACAGACGGGCTCATGGCAGTCCCTGGGGGTCCAAGAACCCAGCGAGCTAAGCCACGTGCTGGAGGCCAAGCAGGGGGGAGCTCCATGAACACTGTGGACAAGCAGCATAATGGGCTGTGATTACAGTTGAGGTGATGACACCAACGGTATAGCTGGTGTTCAGAAGAGAACACCCAGGGTCAGAGGGGCCCAGTGACTCGGCCTTGGTCACACAGCAAGCTGGGGATGGTGCCAACTGTGGGTGGTTAAGATCCAGAGCTGCTCGCTATGCTGCCCTGGGGTGTCAGGCTCCAAGGGACAGCCGTGAGTGGGGCCTCCCACCCAGAACCTGGCCGCTGCCTCTGCCCCACCTACCTGTGGTCACCAGGCCCCGCAGGCCTTCGCCAACCCCGCCCTCATAGATGGGGAACACGGAGACCAGGTACTCTGTGCGGGAGGCCAGGTTGTGCAGCTCCGTGGAGGCGGCGGGTCCCTCCACCACCACCTGGAACAGAGTGGGCAAGGACGGAGCCAGGAAGGGGGGTGCCGGGGGATGGGGAGCAGGACAGGAACTCCGTCAGCTGGAGTGTGAGCTCAGCTGGGGCCCGCAGGGTGCCCCACTTCCCACAGGCCTGGGCTCCCTGTACCTACGACAGAGCAGTGCCAGGCCCACCACAATTATCCATCGATCGATCAATCAAAGGGAGAAGGCGCTCTGAGTCTGACCCTAACCCCAGCACCCTCGGAACGCCCCCTGCTCTGCCCTCCTCGGCCACTAAAATGCACTCATCCCAGGCTGCCTCCCAGACGCAGCTCCCCAGTGAGTCCCTGGGCTGTCAGCCCCTCGACACCCCCTTCTCAGCCTGGACCCAGTTATTTGTGGGCCTTTATTCCTGCCCTCCCTTTGGCTTATCAGATCTCACTACGGCTGAGGACCGGCTCGGGGAGCCCTGTATACCGGCCCCCTCACCTCCCTGGGGGTGCCACCTCTAGAGGCTCGCCAAACGATCAGATACTTGAGGGGGTGCCGGGGGGCTGGAGTCCAGGACAGGCGGATGCTGGAGGAGGTCACCTGGCTCAGGACCAGGCTGGTGGGGGCAGGGAGGGTGTCCAGGGCTGGAGCCGCTGCTGCTGGAGTAGCGGGAGTGGGGGGCAGGTGGTCACTGCACGGGCAGCTGTGTCCACGCTCCCCCTGGTGGCCACTCACAGGAGGGACAGGAAAGCTGCTCCCCAGCCCTTCTGTGGACAGATGTAAGGGGGTGCTGCAGACCCCCTCAGAGCCACAGGAGCCGGCCTCAGGTACCACACGGGAGCCACAGCGTCCCCCCAACCCTTTGCCCAAAGCAGCCGGGGGGGCTGCAGCCTGTGCGGGTGACCCTGCCCCTCACCTGGGCCCTGCCGCGGGCTCCCACCCTGGAGCCTCTGGCAGATGAGACGGCTGAGCAGGCCAGCCAGCGCGCCGAGCTGCAGGAAGTCCAGCACGCTGTGGACGGTGATGTCCCTCGGCGGGGACGCCAGGAGCCTCAGCTCAGCCTCATCGGCGTTCTTCACACCTGCTCGTGAGGAGGGAGGTGGGGTTGGCCTGCACTGGGGTCACCCGACGGGGCCACCTGCGGTGGGGGTCTCCATGGAGACTGGGTCAGGAGTAAAGAGGCCTATGGGCTGTACTCGGCCCACCTGCCACCCACATGCTGGGCCAGGCGCTCCCGAGGGGTTGGGGGCATCAAGGAAGGGTCTGTGCTCCTGGGACTCCTGCCTCGAAATCTGGGGTTTCCTCCCCACAGGACAGAGTTGATTCGCCTGTGAGTCCCAGGCCCTGGAGGATGCCAGGAAGCTCCTTGCCAGGGCACAGCAGGCGGGAGTCACCAGGCACAGGGATGGTGGCCAGAGGGGGCAGCTGGAGCTGCTCAGTGAATATCTCACCAGGGAAGTTCACGCCACAGGGGGAGGGTTGGGGTGGTTCCACGGAGGGCACCAAACACCAGGCGATTGGAAAGGAGCAGCCCGCCTGTGCCATCGCCTCTGAGTGCCAGGCGGTGCCTGGCTCTGCGTGCAGCTCCGTGCCGCAGATGTGGAAGCTGGGGCTCAGGGACCAGGTGCCCAATGCAAGCTCCCTGCTGCGACCCTAAACCCACCCGGCGGTGAGACTCCAGGGCCGGGGGAGCCGCATGGTGCTCACCCACAGCGAAGACGTTCACGCCCAGGTCCTTGAGGACACGGGCAGCAGTGTGCACATCGTCCTGGGACTTGCCGTCCGTCACCAGAATCACCACCTTGGCTGCCTCTGGACGGAGGCCAGCCGCCGGCTGCAGGTTCTGCCCCAGCACGTGGGTCAGGGCAAGGCCTTGGGAGCAGCAGGAATAAAGTGACAGGCAGCTGCCAGCATCCCCTCCTGGTGCTCGGCTGGCAGCAACCGGACAGCAGAGATGCTCCTCTCCTTCCCTTGTGGGGTATCAGGAGGCCCCGCAGCAGCCCAAGGGAGCAGGGAGGGTCTACCTGTTGAAGGGCCCCAAGTTCCCCAGCCAGACCCTACCTGCAAGGTGAGCACCCAGACTGGGCCGGGTGTGGACCCAGCCAGAGCTGCTAATGTGGAACAGAGGAGCCACGCGCTGGACACAGGCCCTCGTTTTCATCAAAGGTAAACAAGGGGGTGACTCTGCCCTCTATAAAGGTGTGAACAGGGCTCAGGTCCACACCACTTGGAGCTCGATTTACACACAAGCTTTCGGGATCTGGGAGGGCGGCAGAAGGAGGTCCGCCCTCAGGACAGAGGGAGGGGCAGGCCTGGGCCGTACCTGTGAACGTGTTCCCCCCCTTGTAGCGGAGGCGGCGCACAGCTGCCAGCACCTGTTCCTTGGTGCTGAGGGAGTTCAGGTCCCACTCAGTCTGAGCATCCCCGCTGTACTGAGTCAGGCCTGGGGAGCAGGGGCATGGCCACGGGCTGAGTTTCCAATGCTGAGATGCCCAGGGAGCTTGGCACAAGGCCACACCTGAGAGCTGCACGTGCCTCTGTGGGGTCACCTGGCCACAGTAGCCAGTCCCCAGGGAGAGGACGCTTGCAGAGCCAGGGCCTCCACACGGAGGGGTCCCCAGAACACCCCATGTGGAGCAGGCGTCCCACCCCACAAGGTGAGAGCCCTGGCTGGTACGGGGACCCCCACAGGTCACAGCCTCCTCTGGCAGAGCTGTGGGGACCACACCCGGGTGGGGCAGGAGGCGGGCCGGGCCAGCACCCACCTACTTGGACCTTATCCGGCCCGATTTCAAAGGGTGCGATGACACTGGCCAGGAAGTCCTTGACCTGCTGGAAGTGACTGTGGCCAATGCTCCAGGACCCGTCCACCAGGAAGACCATGTCAGCAGGCACGGGGGGCAGGCAGCGGAACTGGGGGCCGGCTGGGGCGGTGGGAGCGGGTCAGGTGCTAGGTGAGGCCCATCCCTGGTCCAAGGCCCCCAGATCACCTACCCCGGGGCTCCAGCCACAAGAGTGAGGCAGGCTGGGCCAGGTTTCAGGGGAAAGGACTCCAAGGCCCTCAGGCCTCACCGGACTAGACAGCCCCACACCGGCACGGCTGCACATCGAGCCACCGCTAATGTGAGGCAGCCTGGTGCTCGGGCACCTCTGCCCTCCACGGCTGCATGCAGCTGCCCGCCCAGACATCAGGCCCAGAAGCCCACCAGGTGCAAACCAGGCAAGGAGGGGAGGGTGGGCACCACAAAGAGCCCCAGCAGAGCCGCCGTGAGCACCGCAGCGCGGCGCTGTGGAGGCAAAGCCGCCATCCCCGGTCTGGCGCTCCCCGGGGTTTTGCAGGAGCAGTGCCTGGTGAGGCGGGCCCCAGAGCCAGGGCCAGACCCCCGGGGAGATGCCTGAACGAGGCCAGCAGCCATCACGGTGGAGCCCCCCGTGGGGCGACCGAAGAGGCCCAGCTGCCCTGAGGCCTGCATGGGTGGGGACACTCCCCTGGGGGAGCCCAAGTCCAGGGGACCCAGCAGAGCCCAGCACCCTGAGGGGAGGACAGCAGCGGACCCGAGGACCCTCTGGAGGGGATATGCCCAAGTCTGAGGAGAACACTTCCTTCAGTTCCAAGTCTGACGGGGGAGGTAGAATCCTGCTTCTGAGGACCCCAGTCTGATGGAGGAGACAAAGCCAGGCCCTCCCAGTTCTATGGGGAAGCCCAGCCCTGCCTACGGGGGCCTTATGGGCAGACACAGTGCACTGCCCCCGTCTGTGCCCACCCCTTACCTGGCTTCTCTTCTGTCCTGGTGTGGCTCTACCTCTCCACGCCTGGGGCCGGCTGGGCAGGGCCCTCCCTCCAGGGCCCCCGGACCAGCTCTGCTCCTGATCCCACTCCTGGGGGAGCATGACCCACCCCTCTCACCACCCCCTAGACCCAGGCTGGAGGTTCCCAAAGGGGTCAGAGGTAGTGGGACCACCTGCTCCCAGTGGCCTGGCTTGAGTGAACCTGGGAACATGGCAACTTTAAGTTAAAGCCAGAGACCGTGTGGTCAGACACGAGGAAGAACTTCCCGGCCTCGTGGTCAGAGACCGTGTGGTCAGACACGAGGAAGAACTTCCCGGCCTCGTGGTCAGAGACCGTGTGGTCAGACACGAGGAAGAACTTCCCGGCCTCGTGGTCAGAGACCGTGTGGTCAGACACGAGGAAGAACTTCCCGGCCTCGTGGTCAGAGACCGTGTGGTCAGACACGAGGAAGAACTTCCTGGCCTCGTGGTCAGAGACCGTGTGGTCAGACACGAGGAAGAACTTCCTGGCCTCATGGTGGGAAATGTGGGAAACCAAAGGTCACTCCCTCCCCGGAGACTTACTCTCTCTCCACTCTGACCCACCAGGAGTGCGCGGATCCTGGCTTGGTGTGAAGGCAACTTGGGGCTCAGAAGCCTGCTCAGGGTCTGGGCTCCCCGTGTGGGAGGGGGTGGGCTCCGGGGCTCCAGAGCCGAGGGGCCTCTGGCTGCTCCTGTCCAGGGAGCTACTCTTCAGATCCTCAACTGCAGGGAGACACAAAGAGCCATCAGGGTGGGAGTGGAGGGCCTGGTCCACTGGGGCAGCTGCACATACACCCCTTCAAGGGCGCATCTGTGGGTGCTGAGGGCCCAGGAGCCTGGGAGGCATGCAAAGATGTCAGGGGCAAGGCAGCCTTGCTGGTGAGTCGGGACTTGAACCTGCCCCTAGCACAGCCCAGAACTGCTTCACACATACCCACCCCTGGGGCTGGAACGCAGCCTGGAGGAGGGTGGGACCCCAGCCCAGAGGAGGGTGGGACCCGGCCTGGAGGAGTGGGTACCCAGCTGGCAGACGGTGGACTTACTCACAAACTCCCTCCGAGCTAGCAGGAAGCGCCCAGAGCCAGTGAGCTCGAAGATCTGCAAGGTGTAGCCCTTGGAGGGGCTCAGGCCCCCCACTGTGGCCTTAGGGGTCTTGGTGGTCAGTATCACCTCCTGTTCCGAGTCCCCTGGGTAGGGGTGGGGAGAGCTTTAGAGGCCAAGGTGCACACGTGTGTGCATCTGTCACGGCGGGGAGTGAAACCCTCTTGGCTCCTCCTCCCCACCCCAGCTGCTCCCCTTGAAGCCAGAGAGACAGAAAGGGAGAGGGTCTGATGGAAGGGACATGGGCTCCTGGGTAATAATGTGACAGAGAATGGGGGTCTTGGGGCGGTGAAAAGAAGATGTCACTTACTAAACCCCCCTAGAGGAATCCGCCGCATGGTGAGGTGAGAAGCCATCAACCCTCAGAGATACTGTCAAGGTATGAAGACAGGGCTGCCCAGGGAGGGGATGACGACCCGAGGGGCCAGGTCCAAGAAGGAAGAGTCCGGGGCCAGGGCCCTGCCCACTCCCACAGGCTCCTACCCTATGGGCTGCACGGACCGACCAGCCGCAAGTATTTTCTGCTGTGTGACTCCATGATTCTAAAGTTAGGTCTGGATTTCAAGTGTGAAAAGCAAACAAATGATTCCAAAGGGGACACTGCCATATTCTCAGAGGAAAGAGCAAGAAGAAATGGCCTTGAAAGAGCACTCAGGAGGCAGCAGTCAGACCTGGAGAGGCACTGTGAGCACTGGGTGATTCTCTGGGTCTCAAGTGCTAAGGCAAGGGAGAAAAGGGCAAGAAATCCACACTTGCACACCTCGAGGGAGGGAGGGAGGGAGGAACCCACACCTGCGCACCTGCAGGGAGAAGAGGAGGGAGGAACCCACACCTGCACACCTGGAGGGAGGAAGGGAGGGAGGAACCCACATCTGCGCAGCTGGAGGGAGGAAGGGAGGGAGGAACCCACACGTGCACACCTGGAGGGAGGAAGGGAGGGAGGAGCCAGCACCTGCACACCTGGAGGGAGGAAGGGAGGGAGGAACCCACACCTGCGCACCTGCAGGGAGAAGAGGAGGGAGGAACCCACACCTGCACACCTGGAGGGAGGAAGGGAGGGAGGAACCCACACCTGCACACCTGGAGGGAGGAAGGGAGGGAGGAACCCACACCTGCACACCTGGAGGGAGGAAGGGAGGGAGGAACCCACACCTGCGCACCTGCAGGGAGAAGAGGAGGGAGGAACCCACACCTGCACACCTGGAGGGAGGAAGGGAGGGAGGAACCCACACCTGCGCACCTGGAGGGAGGAAGGGAGGGAGGAACCCACACGTGCACACCTGGAGGGAGGAAGGGAGGGAGGAACCCACACATGCACACCTGGAGGGAGGAAGGGAGGGAGGAACCCACACCTGCACACCTGGAGGGAGAAGAGGAGGGAGGAACCCACACCTGCACACCTGGAGGGAGAAGAGGAGGGAGGAGCCCACACCTGCACACTGGGAGGGAGGAAGAGAGGGAGGAACCCACACCTGCACACCTGGAGGGAGGAAGGGAGGGAGGAACCCACACCTGCGCACCTGCAGGGAGAAGAGGAGGGAGGAACCCACACCTGCACACCTGCAGGGAGAAGAGGAGGGAGGAACCCACACCTGCACACCTGCAGGGAGAAGAGGAGGGTGGAACCCACACCTGCACACCTGGAGGGAGGAAGGGAGGGAGGAGCCAGCACCTGCACACCTGGAGGGAGGGAGGGAGGAAGGGAGGGAGGAACCCACACCTGCACACCTGGAAAGAAAAGGGACACCATCCTCCCTGTGCAGTGAGTGGCTCCCCACAGCCCTACCCAGCCCCGCGCCAGGGAGTGACCAGCCAGGGAGGACCCTCTGTTCTTGGCTGAGCAAATGGGAGGCAGGGGTGTTGTCATTACCATCAACAGCTAACTGTTATTGAGTTTTCACTGTGTGCCTGGCAGTATCCTAAGCATTTCACAGGTATCAAGCCTCATAATCTTCACAACTCCATTACACCCATTTTATAGATAGGAAAACTGAGGCACAAAGGACCAATCACACAGCTACTCCGCAGTAGAAGTGGGATAGAAGCCCAGGTCTGTCATATTCCCAAGGCTTCCTGCACAAACACGTGATTAACAAGCAATGACAATAATGAAAAAGTTTTATGACATTTAATATAAATATAGAATTTTAAAAGCCGGGCATGCCTGTAATCCCATCTACTTGGGAGGCTGAGGTGGCAGAATCACTTGAGCCCAGGAGTTTGAGTCCAGCCTGGGCAGTATAGTGAGACCCCATTTCAAAAATCAATAAATAAACACAAGTGCTTGAAAATGGGATAAATATTATTGTGATGTTCTAAGGTCCTAGCGTTGCCTGGGGACAGCTGAGACAACCATTATGTATATCATATGCTGATAAATCAAGGCTGTATGTTGTGGTCGCTAGTGTGGTTACTTGAAGGGTAAAAGAATATAGAATCACCAAGTTGATGGCATCAGGGAATAATCACCCCATACCTACTGAACAATCTTAACTTCACAAGACACACCAGACATTATGTACCGCCAGCTGTGGTAACGCAGGAGTTACACAGCACCACTGATAAAGAATTCTTGTTAACAAATATAATCAAACTTGAGTCTGACCAAACTTCCAGGATGTAACTGCCAGTCTATGGGAGACAGGGTGGAGAGACGAAGGAGCGAGCTAAACGGCTCCCCAAAGATGCCACTGGCAAGAGAAGAAAGTGGGAAGTTCGACAGAACAATCTTGTTTCTTCTTCTACAAATAAATGTCAAGGAAAAGGGAGAGGGGGAAACTGCTTTAGATTAAAAATTGCTTAAGACACAGGAACCAAACACAGTGTGTAGACTCTGTTCACACCCCAATTCAGACAAATCAATTGTAAAAGACATGCATCAAGACCAGGCGCGGTGACTCACGCCTGGAATCCCAGCACTTTGGGAGGCCGAGGCAGGTGGATCACCTGAGGTCAGGAGTTCGAGACCAGCCTGGCCAACACAGTGAAACCCCGTCTCTACTAAAAGTACAAAAATTAGCTGGGCGTGGTGGCACGTGCCTGTAATCCCAGCTACTCAGGAGGCTGAGGCAGGAGAACTGCTTGAACCTGGAAGCAGGAGGCTTCAGTGAGCCAAGATCATGCCACTGCACTCCAGCCTGAGTGACAGAGTGAGATTCCATCTCAATAATTAATTAATTAATAAAAGACATGCATCAAGTTAGAAAACTCTACACAACTAAATATTCCATGATAGTACTGAAACATTTTAAATTTGGGAGCTGCTCATGGTATTGGGGTTATGATTGAGTCTTTTAGAGAAACATATTGAAATATTTATAGACAGGATTATATAATGCCTGGGATTTGCTTTAAGATAATATAGAATGTAGAGGGGGGTTGAGGAGAGGGACATAAAACAATATTGGCCGCACGCTGATAATTGCTGAAAGCTGCATCATGAAAACATGAGGTTTCATTATACTATGGTCTCTTCTTTTGCCTGTGTTTAAATTTTTCCATTGAAAAATCAGTTCAAACAAAGACAAGAAAGCGGAGAATAAAAACTTATAACAAGTGTAATAAAAAGGGAAGATTATAGATATAAACTCAAATGTATCATTAATTTCATTAAATATAAATGGAAAAAATCTTTTAATAAAAAGACAAAGACTGTCACACTGGGTGAAAACAATACCCAATTATATGCTGCTTAGAAGACACATCTAAAATGAAAGGCTGGAGAAAGATTAACAGTAAAAGAAGGAGAAAGGAGATTTAATGCAAACACTACCTGGTGAAGCAATAGTACCATCACAAGTAAGATGTAAGGAAAAAAACAGCACTAGAGAGATAATGAAGAGCATTTCAAAATGAAAAAGGGTCAACCTACCAGGAAGATACAATCATTCTAAGTTTGTATGTACCCAATAACAGAGCCTCATGCATAAAGCAAAGAACAGTAAGACAACCACAAGAAAGACACATCTACAATTAGAATGGAGATTTGAAATACTTTTTTCAGTAACAGCATAAGTAGACCCCAAACATAGTAACTATATAAAAAATCTGAAAAATAAGGTAAATGACTTAATTAGAACATTAGAAAACTCTACCCAACAACTGCAAATTGCATATATTTTCAAAGTCACATGGAACATTGACCAAATTGATCATATGCTGGACCATAAAGCGAGGTACTTTTTTTTTGAGACGGAGTCTTGCTCTGTCACCCAGACTGGAGTGCAGTGGTGCCATCTCGGCTCACTGCAACCTCCACCTCCCAGGTTCAAGCGATTCTCCTGCCTCAGCCTCCCGAGTAGCTGGGATTACAGGTGTGTGCCACCACGCCCAGCTAATTTTTGTATGTTTAGTAGAGACGGGGTTTTGCCATGTTGGACAGGGTGGTCTCAAACTCCTGTCCTCAAGTGATCTGCCCACCTTGGCCTCCCAAAGAGCTGGGATTATAGGCGTGAGCCACCACGCCCGGCCAGCAAGGTACTTTCCAAAGGACTGAAAGCATATTGTACATTTCTGGCCACAATGCAATGAAGGAAGAAATCCAAAACAAAAAATAAGTAGAAAATCCCCCATGTTTTAAAACTGAGAAACACACTTCTAAGTAGCCTATGGGTCAAATAAAAATATCGTAACAAAAATTAGATATTTTTACCTGAATGATAATGAAAATTCTACATATCAAAATGCAGCTATAGCTACTGCTTAGAAGAAAATTCAATAGTTTTAACTTTATATCTTGTAAAAGGGCAGAAAATCAATGAACTTAAGCATCCATCTTAAGTTAGAGCAGAAAATTAAACACAGAGTAAAAGAAATAGAAACAACAATAAAAAATAAACAAAATCAACGACAGACCAACCAAGCCAAAATGTGTTTTATTAAAAGACTAATAAAGTAAATAAACTTCCAGACTGCCTTTTGAAAGCAGAGAGAAGATTCAATCAATAACGGGAATGAAAAGGGTGCTATAACTATAGAGTCTATGGGGTAATATGAAAAACATTATGCCAACTAATCAGGAAATTTATATAAAATACAAATTCCTGTTTAAAAAACTAACTTACCAAAACTGACCAAAAAAATTAGAAAATCTGAGTAGTCCTATGTCTGTTAAGGAAATTGAATCAATTATGTGAAGTATTTACACACATACACACACACCACAAGCCCAGAAGTCAGTACCAGTGAATTCTAGCAAACATTTAAGGAAAAAAATACCACCAACATTACACAAACTCTTCCAGAAAACAGAATAAGAGGAATCCTTCCCCACCTCATCTTATGAGGTATAAAGCTGATACCAAACTTTAAAAGGACTTTATAAGAAAGGGTAGTTATTGGCCAATATTCCCTCATGAATATAAGTATAAAAATCTTAAATGAAATATTTGCAAATTGATTTAATAACATATAAAAGGGGATAGGCCAGGTACAGTGGCTCACCCCTGTAATCCCAGTGCTTTGGGAGGTCAAGGTGAGAAGACTGCTTGAGGCCAGGAGATGGAGGCTGCAGTGAGCTATGACTGTGCCACTGCACTGTGCACTCCAGCCCGGGTGACAGAGTGAGACCCTGTCTCTTAAGGTATACATATATATATACACACACACACACACGTACATATATATATACACACAACGTATATATGTATACACACACACGTATATATACATATATATGTATATATGTATATATTATGTTTAATATTTAAAAAATCAATCACTGTAGTTTACTACATTAATCAAATAAAGGAGAAAATAACCACCTCACTGAAGAAAAAGTTTGGAAAAAATAATGCATTCTCTTGACAAAAACTCAGCCTTACGTAGGAACAGCACAGGACTGAACCTGATAAGGTCCATCTATCTGGAAAAGGCAAAACAGAAAACAGCTCAGTGGTTACGGGCACTGGGCTAAGGGCTGACCTTGGGGTAACAGAACTGTTCTCTACATCAATTGTGATAGCGGCTACAGGATTGAATTCATGTGATAAATACAAATCACAGACCTCTTCTCAAAAGGGTGAAGATTTCTGCACGTAAATTACAGCTCCACAAAGAAACACAGGATACCACTGAACACCCACCAGAGTAGCTCCAGTCAGGCTGCCAAGCGTTGGTTGCCAAGGGTGTCATGCAACGGAAGCAATCATACAGTGTTGACGGGAGTATACACTGGCACGACCCCTTTGGAAAATAGTTCAACATTTTCTACTAACGTTGAAACTATGCACACACTGTGGCACTTCCACTCCTGGGTTTACACCCAGAACAGGCGCACGGACACCAGAAACACACGCGGGATCCCTCACACGGCGTCTACACAACAGCCAACCTGGACACAAGCCACATGTCCATCAATAGCAGAAGAGATCACACAGGGGAATACTATACAGCAAAGAAAATGGACGGCTGTTACACACCACGGGGCAAACCTCACAAAATGCCCACCAAAGACACAGACATGAGGGAGTCGCCATGGTGTGATTCCACTTAGAGAATGTTCTGAAACAGGCAAACTAGTCCATGCTGTTGGAGGCGGCCGTCCAGGGAGCAGGGGAGGGTGGACGTTGGCAAGGGCACCGGGGCACCCGGGACGGTCGTTTTCCACCCCAGGAGGGGTTTGAGTTGGCCACCCCACAGTGCTGATTCATACAGTTAGCATTTATGCCTGTGTGCTTTTCCATCTGAGTTTTGAAAAGCTTTAAAATTAGCACCCATTGTCAGGTTAGGACTGTTCCTGCTCTAGGAACAGGGTTCCCTGAAAAGGTGTCCTCAAGGCCCTGCTCCTGGAAACAAGGATTAACGCGTGGGGAGCAGGTGCTTCTGGGGTTCGCTGTGCGGAGTCCAGGCTGTTCTGAATGCCCCTGACGCATTGAGACTCGTTCTGAGGAGGGAGTCGTTTCTTTAAAAAATATGGACCGGGCATGGTGGTTCACGCCTGTAATCCCAGCACTGTGAGAGGCTGAGGGGGGCGGATCTCCTGAGCCCAGTTCAAGACCAGCCTGGGCAACATGGTGAAACCTCTTCTCCACAAAAAATACAAAAATTAGCCAGGAGTGGTGGCACGCACCTGTACTCCCAGCTACACAGGAGGCTGAGGTGGGAGGATCTCCTGAGCTCGGGAGATTGAGGCTGCGGGGAGCTGTGATCGCACCACTGCACTCCAGTCTGGGCAACACAGCAAGACCCTGCCTTTAAAAAAAATTAAAAATTGAAATTAAAAATCAAAAAAATTAAAAGTATGTACTGAATGCCTTCTGCAGGGGCTGCGTGCCAGGGACAGAGGAGCCCCATTCCCTCTTCCATGTCATATGTGACGGGGGAAAGGAATGTGGGTCAGCAGAGACCAAGGCCAGAGAGGTGCTGACACTAAGGGGCTGGTGGGAGGGATGCTGTGGGCCTGAGTGGTGGCTGCGGCCACCACACTGACTGTCCTCGGCACGTGCTAATGGGGAAGGGGGCCTGGGAGGGGCAGGTCCTCACCTGCCATGGGCTTCACCTGCACCAGGTAGCCGAGGCCGCTCCCCTCCGACTCTCTCCACTTCATCTGCAGCCGGTCCTCAGGCAGCACAGCCAGCCTCAGGAGACCGCTTGCTACAGAAACAGGACATAGTGGTCAGGACTGACCTGGCCTCCCCATCCACCTAATCAGCTGTGGGGGTACAGGCATCCTGCCCTCAGCATTTGGGAGGAACACAGTCCTATCCCGGGGGACCCCGAAGAGACAGAAGCCCACCCAGGGTGTCTGAGGCGGACTCAGCCCCACTTGGGGATACGAGGCCTCGCCTGGGCGCTGAGGAGAACCCGGCCCTCCCCGGGGTCCGCAGTCACAGGGCCACCCTGGTAGCTTTGGTGAGAGGGAGTCCAGTCCCACCCAGGGAGGCCCCAGCCTGGCTCTCCGGGGGTCCTCCCACCAGGAAGAGGCTCAGGCCCATGTCTGGGAGGACAGCAACCACCCCACTGATGATCGGAGGCCCCGAGCCAACACAGCAGCTGGCAACCTGCCCAGGGCCCTGAGCTGAGTCCCCTGAGCTGGGGCCCCTGGGCTGAGTCCCCGGGCTGGGTCCCCTGAGCTAAGTCCCCTGGGCTGGGGCCCCTGGGCTGAGTCCCCTGGGCTGGGTCCCCTGAGCTGAGTCCCCTGAGCTGGGTCCCCTGGGCTGGGTCCCCTGAGCTAAGTCCCCTGAGCTGGGGCCCCTGGGCTGAGTCCCCAGGCTGGGTCCCCTGAGCTAAGTCCCCTGGGCTGGGGCCCCTGGGCTGAGTCCCCTGGGCTGGGTCCCCAGGACAAGTGGCCATGCAGCTGCAGACCCCTAGCTGCCAAGGTCACTGCCAGGTGCACGTGCCGCCTCAGTGGGGAGTGTGGGTGCAGAATCCCACACTGGAAGTGTGTGCACATTGGCACGTGTGTGCACGTTGGTACATGTGTGCGTCCATGCCAAGACGAGGCTGCCTCCCGCGATGGGGGATGGGTGTCCAGGCCATCTGAGAGGAAGAGGGGGCGGCAGGGGCCTGGCCAACCTCCCAGGGCTCTGGAGAGGGTTGGTGCCCCCTGAAAGCTTCCGGGGCTCTGCAGTAGGGGCAGCTATTTTTGGAAAATGGGGACAGAGATGGGCTTCTTTGGGCTGCCCCCCGGAAAGCTGGGGCTCGGGGGGAAGAGCAGGGGCTGGGGGGCACTGGGGCAGACACAATGACCCATTCAGAGCAGGCAGCAGCTGGGCCGGGTCTCCGGATGGGGCTGAAAGGCAGGAATGTGTGGGGGATGAGGAGGGGGCTCTGAAGGCCAGCTGTGAGCAGGGCCCCTCCCGCAGCCCCTGCTTGTGAAGAGCCTTCTGTTGCTCCACTCTGCCTGAGAACGTCAGGGACCCCTTCCCCAGCTCCCTGCTGGAGGACAGCACTGTTGGGGCCTGAGCAGGGCACTGGGCAGACAGCGGCTGGTGGGAAGGGCCCCACCCAGGACCACGCTCCCCTCCCTGGACTGTGGCCGCACCCAGCCTGGGCCATCCTGGGAAGGGCTGCCCCAGCGTGTGGGCTCCCACCCGTCCTGGGCTGGACTCAGTGCCCCCAGCCCACCTGGCTGTCCTCAGGGACTCAATGGCCCCCGAAAGGCCCTTGTGAGGGGTGGCCCCATCATGCTGAATCCTGAACTAGATAGAACTAGATTTGCCTTCGCCTAAACTCAAGTTGTTTCTGTAGAAGCAACTTACTGATTTGGCTCAAATTGACAGTGCAAGCTTCTTTCAAACTGAAATCTCAGCCCCCACTGGCCCCAGGGCAGGGTTACCCTGTCTGAGCTGAGGGGACCAAGGCACCTGCTCATGCAATGGTCTGTTGCCTGTGTGCAGGGCAAACCTGGCACATCAGCATGGCAAGACAAGCCGTGAAACCCGGAAGGGTCTCAACAGGCGGCTCCACGCTACACCGGGGCTCCCGCATCTCACCCGCCCTTCTGCAATGGCAGCGGCACCTGGAGGCTCCCTCGCCCCGGCCTGTCAGGCCCTGGTGGGGGTGCTTTAAACGCACAGTAGAAGGGGGAGCTGCCTTTCACCCCAGCGGAACAAAACCATCGCTCAGTGGGAGCCCGGAACCTCCCAGGAGCTTGCAGGTGCCGGGAGGCGCCGCGTTGGCCCAGCCCAGGGACAAGTTTACAGCGTGGCCGAGGCCCCGGAGCCTTCTCCATAGACACGGAAATTCACCTTCCTAGAGTCAATCTAAACCCACATTTCTCAACAGGAGGAAGAAGCTGCTCAGACAGGTGAGCCCACAGCATCCTCTGCCATTTCCCTTTGCTGCCATGGGCGGTGCCCTACGTTACCCAAACGCCCCAACCAGTAGCAGCCAGACTGGAGGGGCCTTCTGAGGACGTGGTGCTGTCGCCCAGGGATGCGCACGGAGGGGGTGGTGCTGCGTGGAAATGCGAGTGCCGCACCGAGAGAAGCCAGAGGGCTATGTGCCCAAAACACCAGTGGGAGGCGGCGGTGGGAAGCAGGCAGGAGGGAAGGGAAGGCGGCTCCATCTTTACCCCAGCCTCCTGCTTCCTAGAGACTGCTCCGAAAGGTGTTCGTGGAATAACTCTCGGCCAAGCATTAATATAACAGAGAACTAAACCACAGAGATGTGCTCCCAAGGCGAGGCTGAAGGTTTGGCGGGAGCACACGCTCCCTCCCGTCTTGCCTTTGTTGTGGGAGCTGCTGTGAATTCAGCACGCATTCAACTTAGGAGGAAGACGGGGCTCAGGGGCGGAGGGCTCGTCCCGCGTGGGCACTGGTGGGGCAGGCGTGGCCTCGGGGCAAGCAGGGGCCCACTGCCAGTGTCCTTACCTTGAACTTGCTCTCTTCCCAGGGTGGCGCCCAGCCACAGCCAGAGGCAGAGGCCGAGGTGTGCAGGGTCTCCGGAGCTCATGGTGCTCGGGCTGTGGCAGGGAAGAGGCCATGCCCTTCAGCCGTCCCCCCGTCTGTCCTCTCCCTGACCACAACGCCAGAGCTTCTCCAAATCCTCGAGGGCCAGGCAGCCTGTCCCCACACCGGGCTCCACCCCTCACATGTGTGAGGACCAGAGGCCTGCAACCTGTTGTCTAGGGGATACCTCCCAGCTGCCTAAAACTCAAGGACCCAAGGCTAGAGCTGGGGCTGCCTCCCACTCCCACCCCACTCTTGGCATTTACACCACCGGGGGCTGCTCTGAGTGACAACAGGACCCCCAGCCCCCAGTTGTCCCCACGCCCAGTGCAGGGGTGGCTGGGACGGGCACGGGGCCTCCTGCTTGTGGGGCTCCCGAGGGCCACGGAGGGCTGAGGCAAGGGGCGAGCTCTCCAGGCAATGTCTGATTGCTGGACATGTGGAGTCCCTGTGGCCCCAGCCTCGCCCTGGAGGCGGAAGGGTCATCAGAGACCTGTGGAGGAGAGTGAGAGCTGCCTAGTAGGAGTGGGGAGCGGGTGGGTCTGGGGGACGCCAGCCGGGGGTGCAGGGTGTGTGTGCCACGGGCACACGGCTCTGAGGCCGAGACAGGGAGGCCGCCAGGGCCACTGGAGAGCTGAGTGGGCTACAAGGAGGACCAGAAAAAACCAGGCCCGGCCCACTCAAAGGGGCTGGGAGTGGAGGTTGGATTTGGGGTGCTCTGAGGAGCAGCTGAGGGGGACTCAGAGGCCAGGGTAACCCAGTGACCAGTGCCCAGAGGTGCCACTCGGAGAGGTGGGGAGCATGTCAGCTGCCAGGCCCGAGTCCTCCACCTGCCACCACGCCCAGGGCTGAAGAAGAAATGCCGGGGGTTCACTTGCACTCCGTTCCCCTGCACCCCCAGTCCCCTGCACCCCCAGTCCCCTGCACGCCCCCTCCCCCGCACTCCCCTCCCCCCGCACTCCCCCTCCCCTCACACTCCGCTCCCCTGCACTCCCGCTCCCCGAGACTGCTCATGCCAGCCCCTCACCCCACGCACCAACTCGGGCCTTCAGAAAGCAGACAGAGCACTCCCGGCAGGCCGGGCCCCTACCCCTCTGTGCTGAGCTGAGGGCATGGCTTGAGTGCAGGCCCTGGTTCTGTGAGCCCCAGCCTCCCACACAGTAGGGTTCTAGGGTCCTGAGTGACCCAGGCCCTCCCACCCCCTGCAGCCGAACAGAGACCCCCCCAATACACGCCCCCTCCCAGTGTGTGACCCCAGTATCCCCACCAGGGAATCTGCTCCTCTGCAAGGGAAAGGCCTCACCCGGCGGGAAAGCCACCGGCTTAAATCAGGGATTTCATGCCCGCCCGGCCGGCCAAGGGCAGTCAGGTAAGACCCAGGCATTGGAACAGGAGGCACCTGAGGGCTGGGCTCCCAAACTGATCACAGAGGCACCAGTGGGCAGCCCGAGTGCCCCCAAGTCCCTGGATCCTCCCACCCCAGAAACCTGGCTTGACTCAGTGGGACCCCTGCCAGGGCCACAGGCATCCAGCCTGAAGTGCAAGCCGCTCTCTGCTCGATGTGCACCCTCCTCGTTCCCCCACAGCCCTGGATGTTGTCTGAGACCCCCAGAAGGGAGCCCTTGGTGAGAGCTCAGGCAGCCCCGGGCTCCCACTGCCCCGGCCCCTCCTGGCCACACCCTGTGCGTGCTGGGCACCCCGGTCCTGTGGCTCACAGGGGCACTTGGCCTCTATCTAGACTTTTCTGAAAGTCAGTCACCCTCAGATCACAGGCTGAGTGGATCTCCTGGCAGCCCCTTATCCACCCAGCCTCAGGACCACAGGGAAGTCACCCACCTCCTCCTACTCCTGGGACCCCAGTCCTCTCTCCTGGGGTGTGCTGGTCCACTCTGGTCCTGCTGTGGCCACAGGAAGGCTGGAGCTTATGAAAGGCTTCTCCTCCACAGAAGTCACTGCCCCAGCCCACCCCCCGACCCACCCCTCGGCCTGCCTCTCTCTCCTCCCCTCCCTTTGCCCTCCACCCTTCCTGTCTGCCGCCCCGGGCATCTCTCCAAGAACGGGGACCACAAAGATCCCAGCACGAAGGACCCCACTGCACAGCAGGGCAGGGTCCCACCAGTGAGGAGGCAGGGGCTGCACGGCCCAACACTTTTACTCCTCACTCCCAGAGGGTCCATCCTGCAAGGAGGGGCTCACAGGGAAAGCCACTCAGATGCCAAGGCCGCCACGTGTGGGTGCTGGACACTAGGGATTCTGGCTGCCCACTGTGGGGAGCAGGCTGCAGTGGCACCTGGTCCCCCACCCATGTGGTCACCCTTCCCCTCCCCCAGTATGCCCTCCCAGCCCATCCTGAAGGCTGCCACCACCCAACCCACTTTGCAGACTGGTGCCGGTAACCAGAGCTTCAGCAGGTGCCCAGGCCTGGAAAACAGGCCCCTGACCCGACGGGACCCTGGGCTGCTCCCAACTGGACCAGCCCAACACTGGCCCTGCCCCTGCCCTGGCCCTGCCCCTGTCCCACCCGTGCTGTGACGTAAGGCCCCACCTAGGCAGCGCAGAGTCCCGTAGCACCTGCTGGCTATAAAGGGCCCACCGCTCACAGCTGTCCCTGCCCCGGGACTGCCTGGGAGATAACAGATGCACCCCAGCGGCCCTTGCCCAATGACTGGGTGGTGACGCAAGTGTGGGCATCCCGGCCTCACTGCACAGCCTCCTAAGACACTCACTGTCCACAGCTCAAGGTGGATCCGGCCGAGGCATCTGCCTCCCCGATAGACCCGAGTGCACCCAAATACGTGTCCCTACCTCTGTCTTTAAGGACCCCAGCCTAATACCACGCGTCGCATGGGTGCTTCAGGACCACTGGAGGCAGCTGTCGGCCTTGTGAGCCCAGTCCCCAAGTCCATGCCTCCTCTGCACTCAGGACAGTGCGAAAGGGCCAGCCCCCTCGAGGCCTCCCGACCCTGGGTTGCCTGAGGCCTGAGGGAGGATGAGCCTCTCCCGACCCTGCCTGCTGCTCTGGTAGCTGAAGAGAAACCACTTGGCCTGGCCCCAGGCTCAGCCTCCAGAGGCAAGAGATGAGCTGGAGGTGCTCGGTGAGAGGCCAGCGCTGGCACAGCGGCCACAGAGGAAGAGGTGACACCTGCTGGAGGCAAAGGCCCAGGCTGGATGCTGCGGAGGAGAGGGGCCAACCTCTCCACACCTCCCTGGATCCCTGGGCCACACCGATTCAGATTCAGGATACACCTCTTCATGAGCACCTCCTTTTTCTCGAGATGGAGTCTTGCTGTTGTCACCTGGGCTAGAGAACAATGCCGCAATCTCGGCTCACGGCAACCTCAGCCTCCCGGGTTCCAGCGATTCTCCTGCCTCGGCCTCATGAGTAGCTGAGATTACAGGCACCCACCACCACACCCAGCTAATTTTTGTATTTTTAGTAGAGATGGGGTTTCACCATGTTGGCCAGGCTGGTCTCAAACTCCCGACCTCAGGTGATCCACCCGCCTCGGCCTCCGACAGTGCTGGGATTACAGGTGTGAGCCACCACACCCCACCCATGGCCACCTCTTGCACAGCCCATCCACCAACTGGCTGTCCCGGAGGAGCAGCCTGAGAGATGGTGTCAGGTCGTCGCCGTGGCGGGCTCCCAGGGGGCCGGTGGTGCCTGCAGTCCTGGCCATGGCCAGAGGAGGGCGCCCAGGCTGGCAGACGGGCACCAGGCACCAGGCACCGGGCGCAGGGGTGCAGCCCCGGCTCACAGGCTCCTGGGAACAGGTATGTGCACCCACATCCCACACATGCAAGCCAGCGTCAGGGTCATCACAGACCAGGCAGTCAGGCACCCAGCACTCCTGGCTCATGAAATGTGAGCTCCACAAGGGCGGACCCGTCTGCCTGTTCACCCCGCCCCTGCTCCTGGACTCCTGACACCTCTGCAGCACCCCTCAGACCACGTGGCAGTGATCCGGCTCAGGCAGGGCCGGCGAGCTGCCGGGGTCACAAACGACAAAGGGACAGGACAGAACCTGGGTCGGCCACTGTCCTCTCCTCACCAGGGTACTGTGGCCTGAGGCCCCAACCCCACAGGAACCCCCCGCATGCTTGTGGCCAGTCACATATCACCCGGTTCCAGGTGGGATCCCAGGCCCACAGGTCCCAGAATTGGGGACATGGCCCCAGTGGCCTCCTGTGCAGCCTCCAGCCCCCGAGAAGCCTCAGTGCTCTGGGGACTGACCCCCAACCCCCGCCTGTGTTGGCTGGGTCAGAACAGAGCAGGGCCAGGCCCCACAGCCGTCAGCCTCACCCAGCCCCCTCTGTCGGCCAGCAATGAAGGCTCATGGGGCAGGGCTTGTCCCTGGAAGGCTCAACAGGGGGACAGCAATGCCAGCAGGCGCGATGAGTGGGTGGCCAGGGGAAACCCAGTGCACTTAGAAAAGTTTCGGGAAGGGCAGAAGCTGGCCTTGAGCATCCACTGGGTCACGCCAGTATCTGGGGACAGACAGCAGAGGCCGGCTCAAGGGAAGAGACGGGTGGCAGAAGGTGCCCAGCGTGGTCAGCCTGGACTCCTGGAGCCACGGTGGGGGTGGAACTGCATGCTGGAGGCCGGGAGCTGTGCAGCGTTACTGCCCATGCCCCACCAAGCTGGCCAGAGACCGAGACCAGGCTTCAGCCAAGAACGGACCCCAGGCCCACAAAGCCTGGCCGGGACCCGCCACTTTCGTCTTCCCCATCCGGCAGTTCTGACCTCAGCCCACCTGCCCTAAAGCGCTGCCCCAGAGCAGGATGACCCTTGGGAGCCACCCAGTTGAGACACAGAGACTCCAGGACCTCTGTGGGCCTCTCCTGGCTACAGCCACCCTCCTTGCCCTCCAACCCCAGCATCAGGTGGCACCTTGAGTTTCCTGGATACGGGCTGGGATCGTCCCCAGCATAGGGGGTGTTGAATCCCTGGGAGGGGCAGGAGCCCTCCTAGACACAAGCCCTGGTGCCATCCTCTACTACAGGAGCCACTGCCCACCTCCCCAGGCCAAGGGTCACTGGACCCCACCACAGTGTCTCGCTGGCCAGCCGGAGGCACATGCCAGGACCCCGTAAACTCTTCCCTGGCTGGGTCACCCAGCTGCCTGCTCCCCTACTCCCCAGAAGCTCTGGCTCAGATGGGGTGATGCCAGGGCCTCCCCAGGAGGGCTAGGTGGAGGGGGCCAGGAGCAGTGAGGGAGCCCGCCCACGATTCCTAGTGTCCCACCCCTGCCTTCCCGGGGGTCCCATGACCCTACTGGCACAGCACTGGAAGTGGCCCCTTGGGATGCATCCAGACATTCTGCATGTTCCCGTATGCTTTATTGGAATGCTGTCAGGTCCGCGCCTTCCACCTGGGCCCTCACACACAGCAAGGAGAGGCCCCAGCACCGGTCCCAGGCCCACCTGCCCGCACCTGCAGAAGGGAAAGGCCATCACCCTCCGTGGACGGGGTCTCGGCCACCACATCCACCTTCTGAAGGTGGCCCAGACACCTCCACGCTGCTGACTGCACTTCCCATCAAAAGGGACTCCCTGGGGCAGAGTGGGCCGTCCCCCTACCCCCGAGGAAGGCACCCTCCTGGGCGGGGACAGACCTTGGCTCCATGCTGCCAAGTCAAGGTGCTGGCGTGGAAACAGGCACATGTGGAACACCACATCCCACTGTCCAAGGTGGAGTCCACCCCTCCTCGGAGCACTCAGCCCACCAGGGTCCAAGCAGCCCTCGGGAGATACCACGCGGCCGCCCACGTCTCAGCTTGGAGAAAGACACTCAAAGACCCCCACGCTCAGCTCTCGGGGGCTGGCTTCCTGGGCCCTTTGTGCTGGCTGCTTTCCCGGTGGCTTCTCAGCACCTTGAGCCTCTGATGCCCCGCCTCTGACCTCAGGTCCAACTACAGCAGGTGGCTGCTTCGGTGATCAAATCCCTCCGTGGCAGCCAAGGACACCGGCCCTCCACACCAGCTACCAAGAGGGCTGGTGCCCACAGGGAGGACCGGGCGCCAGGAGGGCTCGCTGAAATCTCGGTCCCATCCTGTTCTGCAAGTGGCTGAGTCCCTAGGGTGGGACGAGCACAGGGGCTGAAGGGCCCAGGCTGCTCCAGGAGTGCTGCAGACGGCGACCGGGAAGTGGGGTGACCAGGGAGCATGGCCAAGGCCAGAGTGATGAGCATGGTGGCAGGGAGGAGAGCACCTCACGTACAAACTGCACGAGCTTCGGGCGCATGCATGGCTGGCCAAGACTGAGGGTCACACAGGGCAGACAAGGGAGACGAGTCACACGTGGCAGCACATCATCCAGTCCTCGGGGAGGTGAGGGTTGGCATGTGGCGGGCACCGGTGTGCAGGGCAGCCCCATCCTGGGGCTGGAGCTTCCCTAGACCCAGGCACCACGCACAGGCATCCCCTGCTCAGCTCCTGAACCCGGCCCCTCCTGCCTGGCCACGTCCGCTATCGCACCCTCCTGCATCAGGGCCGAGGGCCCACCCTGCGCTCCTTTTTCTTCCAGGGTGTTCCAGGATGGTCAAGTTCCAGCACTGAGAACAGCTCAGGTGTGGGTGTGGCTATTGTGGAGGCCGTGTCTGGTGAACCTGGTGAACTTGGTGGTGGGACGGTGCTGATGCAGGGGAGCCACAGAGGGTTACGACCGACGCGGGTCTGACAGCACAGGCCCAGGCAGGCGTGGACTCGGGAGCCGAGGGTGGTCGGATGGCAGCGTGAGCGCCAGTATCATTTCCAGCATTTCCATCTTTACCACTCCAGTCACTCTCTTCAAAAAGAAAGAACTAGAGCAAAACCAAAGTTAAATATCTCAACGAGAAGGGACACCTCACGTCGCTGACAGCTCGGCACGTGGCTGGTCCCAGGCCCCAGAGATACTGCGTAGTGAACTGGCCGCTGGAACGCAGTCACAGGCCTCTGTGCTGCAGCCCACCTCCCAGCAAGCCACGCAGAGCCCCGGCCTTGAGTCCAAGAATGCCCAGGGGAGTGTGGGACGGGACGGCCCCCACACAGGCTGGACAGCAAGCCGCCCCCACGCACCGAAGACTCCCCACGCGCAGGCGGCGCACACCCGGGTCTCCCTAGGGTCCTGCCTCCCGAGACGCTGTCCTCACACTGCAGTTGCTGATTCTTGGGTCAAATGGAAGGAGGAGGAACGACGAGGGCAGAGTGCAAACACGAAGTCGCCCGGGGGCGCTGGGGACGGGGGCGCAGTGGGCCCTACCAGTTCTGGTTGTCCCAGCCATCATCAGTGGGCACGGCCGGCGGCACTGCCTTCTTGGTGCCCTCCCCGCCCTCCCCGCCGTCGCTGTTGCTGTTCCTGTTGGTGGAGGCCGAGCCCCACACCTCCCAGCTGTCCGAGCTCCTCCTCTCGGTGGAGGTGTCCGCGCACGTCCAGCTGTCGCTGCTCGGGGACTTGCGGGTCTTGGTGGGCTCAGCACTTCCAAAGGTCTCCCAGAAGCTCTGGTCTATGTTGCTGTTTTGGAAGTGGTCCAGACCGCTGTTCTGATAACTGTGGCCCTCCGAGGGGCTTTTAAAGAGACAGAAGGGGGACTCTAAATGACTGTTACTCAGTCCACCACTGGGAATTCTGTGCCCCCGAGAGCTCTGCACCTGGACAGTGACCGCCTTCCCAGGCCAGCGCTCAGGGTCCACAGCAGCCCCACCAGGTGGGATCTGTTTCTCCCGCTTCAGAGCAGAGGAAACTGCTGGGGAGCTGGAGAACCAGGGCCCACTCTTTATCAACCACCCCAACTGGAGGACAGTTTTACAGAAAACTTCCTTTTCTACCAGCTCCAAACTGCTGCAATAAAACAGTGGTTTAGTCAAGTGGGGAGGGGCAGGGGCGCTTGGCCTCAAGCCGGGACACAGGCCCTCCCGAGCGACGCCCTCAGCTACGCTGGCCCCAGATCTGGCCCTGCCCTCTGTCCTCAGCTGCAATCACACCACTGAAAAACCACATACACAGAGGGAGAGAAGGGACATGGCGTCTGCAGGGAAAATTTGGGCCCACCTAGTGGGCAGTGCATCTGTGCCCACCAGGGCTGGCCTCTCAGTAGACAGCACAAGGCCAGGCCCGATGAGATCCCCGGTGGTTCCCCTGTTGGGGTCAGAGGCCGAGAACAGCAGCCAGCTTCCAGCAGAAGCGACTGGGGTGCCAAGCACTAAGGGCAGAGCTGGACATGGGGCCCAGGACAGGTCTCTGGGGCCCTAGCCTTCCTGTCCCCTGGCCCCCGACCTGCTCCATCCACCCAGAGTCTGGGAGACAGAGGAACAGCAGAGCAGCGCCAGCTCCTCCTACGTGGGGGCATATGGGTGAGACCCTCCCTCCCACCCTAGCCTGGGGAGCCCAGCTCCTGCAGGGTTCCAAAGAGCACACAGCAGGGCAGAGACAGGCAGGACAGGCCTCTGCAGCTGCAGAGCACTCGGAAAGCCTCCACAGTGCCCCCTCCCCAGCAAAGATGCCAGCCACCTCCCGGAGAGGCTCCACAGTGCCCCCTCCCCAGCAAGGATGCCAGCCACCTCCCGGAGAGCCTCCACAGTGCCCCTTCCCTCCCCAGCAAGGATGCCAGCCACCTCCTGGAGAGCCTGTAGGAGGAGTGGCCAAGGCAGGGGAGTGGGATGCAAGGCCCAGGAGGGGACACAGCATACCTGTCCAAGGGGCCCTCTGCTTTCCCCGAAAAAAAGGTGGTGACGTCCCGCCATCCCTTACTACCGACTCCCTGGACCTGGAAGGAGACGGGAAGAGAGGTTAGGCAGGCCCTGTCGCGGCACAGGCAGCTTCAGGAGGCCCCCACACGCAAGCCGGCACGCGCCGTCCCGCTGAGAAGACCCAGGCAAAATCCAGAAACAAGGGGTGCCTCGCACACACGTACAGACACAGACGCCCCGGCCACTCTGCAGCGGTGCCAGGTGTGTGCGGGACATGGCAGCGAGGACAGCCTCGTGCACAGACCTCAAGAGCTCCCACCACATGCTTGGGGGGGAGGAGCGAGGCCTGCTCTTCCCTCCCCGTCTGTCCGCAGAGCGCCTCATGCCAGGAAACAGGACAAAATGCACGCCCCAAATGGCCCGCAGAGCAGTGGGACTGATGGCAGCAAAGACGGCGCTGGCACTTACTTACCGAGGAAAAGGCCAGCAGCAGCAAGATAAGAGCAGAGGGAGAAGTGACAGTTAGTGGCTGACCGGGCCGCAGTGGGCCAAGTTGTTTCCATATCCCTCGGGCTGTCAGGCTGGGCAGCTCTCCTCCCGTCTCAGAGGACAGCGGCCACTGCCAAGCTGGGCTGAGGGCTGCACGGGGCACACCCTGCTCTCACGCCCAGGGCCGTGGAATATGGAGACTGGCTTCGACTGTGCCCGCGTATCTGGCAGGCTCCCTACCTTGGACGCCAACTGAGAGACCCCACTGGAGACATCATCAAAAATCTTTCCCTCCTTCACCTGCACGGATGAAGACAGCGGCATTAATGGGGGCGGGAGAGATGAAAGCTTAAAGCTTCAGGAGTGCAGGAATCCCCCGGGTGAGGGCATCCGAAATATCAGGGGCATGTGGATACCCATCAGGCTGAGCCCCAGAAAGTTCTACAGTGGCCCCAAAGGGATTCCAGCATCAAGAAACCATGTCACTGTGAGGCCTGGTGTCTGCAAACGTGGCCCCTGCCGGCCACTGCTGACAAATAGCAACGTGACCTAAGGACAGCCCACGCTGCCCCAGGTGGGTCTTCCCCACTTGTCCCAGTCAGGCCCCGAAGGAGGCAGGGAGCTGGCGGGGCTCTTGACCCCCTAGGATGGCAGGCATCATTCCCATACCAGAGCCTCCTCTGGGCACAGCTCCGCGGCCAGCTGTGGGGGTGAGGCAGAGGAACGGAGGTGGGCTGGGGGTGCTGGGCTCTGGGGCCAGCTGTAGGGGTGAGGCAGAGGAACGGAGGTGGGCTGGGGGTGCTGGGCTGGGGGCACTGCAAGGGAGGCCCTAGGCCAGGGGAAGGGACCAGCTGGGGGGTCCAAGAGGAGCCCAGGCCCCGAGGAGGACGCCTGTGCTGGAGAGGTGGGGTGTGAGGCTTGGCCTCGCTGAGTCCCAGCTGCTGGACAAACAATCCCCCTAACACCCCTGACACACCCACGTCCCCTGGAGTGAAGGGCTCCAGGCACAACCACCCGGAGCTGCCCGTTACCTTCTCCTGCGCAGGCTTGAGGACGTTCTCGTTCAGGCTGTGGCCCAGCTCGGACGCCTGTAGGAAGGGAAGTCACGTGAGCCCCACGACAGCTCCACCACGGGACACGGGTCGGCAGTGGCAGCACAGGCCAGCAAAGGGCAGCACGAGCTTCACCAGCAGGAGGGAAGGCAGCAGGATACAAGCGCAGGGAGCAGGAAACGGGGCTTTGCACACAACACCCGAAGGGCAGTAGGCCGCCACCTCTAGAAGGCGGAGACCGCGGCCCCCACCAATTCTTGCAGGAAGGTCCCCCTCCAGGGTCCTCCCTCACGCGCCACCATGCGGCCCTGCCGGGCCGGGCTGGTGGGAACAGGCCCTGTGGAGCCTGTGCCTGAGGCCAACGCCGGCTGCAGCCACCCCATGCTGACCTGCAACGCCTCTCCTTCCTCCCCAGGCAGGCACCGAGTCCCCCCTGGAGGGAAGAGGGCACGGAGGCTGGGGCCATAGGAAGAAGCTGCTGAGAAAGGAGCTCAGCCTCTCCTGATCCTGGGTCAGTGGAGTCGAGGCCACACGGCCACCTGGGGATGTGGTGTGAGGCCTCCTCTTCCCCCAAAGGCAGGGAGCAGCACGGATCAAAGGCCGGAAAGGGAAGAACTCGTCACAGAGCAAAGATCCTCCCCTTTGCACTGCGTTCAAGGGAGCGCAGGTGGCCAGGAAACCCTGCTCAGCAGCTCTGCGCCCAGTGCCCCCGCCCTCCCTCCAGCACCTCCCCGGCAGCAGGCCTGCGTTGGGGGTCTGTGTGTTTTGGAGATGGGGGTCTCATTTTTTTGCCCGGGGGGAGCGCAGTGGTACTGCGCAGGGGTGACAGGCACACACAGCCAAGCCTGATGCAGATCCTGGATCTTAAAGGAGAGCCACGGACCGAGGCCAGGGAGAGGGTCTGAGCGTGCGCACATGTGAGGTGACACAAGACAGTGGCAGCACGCAGGAGGGACAGAGGAAGCCAAGCACATTCTCGGCGGAGATGCGGGCGGCATGCACGAGCAGACACGGGCTTTACCGGCTCCGGCTGCTGCTTGTGACCCCAAAACTTTACCCGACAGCAAGAAGACAGGTGAGGAGAGAGCAAGGTGAGGGGCGGCATTAGTAACCAGCAGCGCCTTCGAACCCACCATGGGGTGCCGCAACACTAAGGCAGCACCGGGCAGGCTCTCAGCAACACAACCCTGGAGCAGCCGCTCCCTGCCCTGGAACTGACCACCACCTTCAGAAACTGCGCGAGCGACTGCACCTCAGGACCCTGGGAGGCCCACGAAAAAGCCAGATGGGCGTCCCTGCAGCTGGGGGTGGGCACGTGGGGAGACTCCCTCAGAGAGGAAGGGGTGATATGGGCCACGGGGGTGACGGATGGGCACCTCGTGAGAAAGGACACCCTCGCCCAGGGGGCAAAGGCGCGTCCTAGAGCCATGCACAGCTCCACGCCTGCAGTCCTGAGCTTTCATGGTGAGCCTCACATGGGTACTGCCTCCTGGGTGTGATTCTGAACCCGAGGACAGCCAGATCACAGCCCTGACCACCAAGTGGGAACCGCGGGGCCCCTACCCACATCCTAAAGAATAAAAAACATGCAAAGGCCTGAGGCCACACTGCCCCGACTGGGGGAAGCCCTGGCCAGAGCAAAGAGACGCTCCGTTGCCTCGAAGTGCAGACGCGTCCAGTGTGCCGCAGGCACAGCACCAACCACAGCGGCCCTTCTGGCTGAGCGGCCACCGCCAGCGTGGGCCATCTGCCAAGCCGGGCAGTCCTGCTCCCAACAAGGTGGCCGGCTGCAGTGGCCACACACCGGTACCAGCTACCAGTGAACAGGAAACGAGTTTGGCCCTGCAGGCCCTGAGTGGGTCCATGAGGCAGCCACCCGGGCATGAGGAGGGGAACAGCATGGCAGGAACACCCCCTTCTACGCTGGGACCCCTCAGCTCTGAGCATGTGGCCTGAGAAGAGGGAACCAGGCAGCTTCAGGTGCTGCACGTGACGTCAGACTCAGGATAGTTTCAGATGCACCAGGGTGCAGAAGCTTCTCCTCTGTTACCTTCTGACTCGCTTGGGATCCAAACTTTGTAGCCTAAAATGAAAAACAAAGACAAGGCTTGACAGACTTAACATGGGCTGCCAGGCATCCTTCCTCAGGGCCCACAGACTCAGGTCCAGGACTGTCTCTCAATGGCCCCCGGGCTGCCAGCGGCTCTGGGCGGGCCCTATAACTCTGAGATGCCCAGAAGAGCTGCAGCAGAGACTGGATTAGCACAAATGCTGGCCTCTCCCTAGAGGGAGGCCAGCTCGGTGTGCTATTGGGGTGAGGGCACACGTGAGCAGCGTGCAAGGCCAGGGAACAGCAGGGCCAACCCCATCCTCCAGACTTCAGGACAGGGCCGGGGCCTGCTGGAGCAGAAGACGGGCTGGGGAAGCCACACCAGCGCTATCTTCAATGGACAGTGCCACCGCCCCAGCCCCATCTACCCTGCTGTGGGGACGGCTCCATGCCCAGCACAGTCCAGGCACCTTGGTCACTTTAAAGCTCGGGGGGAGGAGAAAAGGCCCGGTCGTGACACTCTGGCTGGAAGGTACCTGGGCCTCCCCAGGCCGCAGCCCTCCCGTGCAGACGAGAAAACGGCGGCCCTGGCGGGAACCAGAAGCTGACGCTCGGCAAAGTCACGGGGCCGTGGGAGCTGGAGCGTGGACACCTGGCCTGCTGCCCCTTCCAGGGCCCTCCCAGGCCTTCCTCTCCCAGGGAAGACACGGGGCCAGAGTGACCACAGGGGCATGTGACAGGTGCGCGCTGTGACGGGGGAAGACACGGGGCCAGAGTGACCACAGGGGCATGTGACAGGTGAGCGCTGTGACGGGGGAAGACACGGGGCCAGGGTGACCACGGGGACATCTGACAGGTGCGCACCGTGACTTCCACTCACAAGAGCCCCACCCTAGGTGCCTTGGCTGCTTCTGCGGGCAGCTGCAGGCACCCAGCTGCCCCGCGCTGCCCTGCTCTGGGCTTCCCCTTCTCCTGTAACACCACAGCCCAGCCCCCGGGGGCCCATGCTCCATCCTGGTGTCAGGCCTGCTCTTGGGTCTCTGCCTCATGCTTCACTGTCTGCCCTGACGAAAGCCCCAAATCCTCCCCTCATTTCAGGCTGAGGAGCAGGCGAAAGAGAGAAATCGCTCTCAAAACACGACTTGAGCCCCAGAAGAAGCTCCAGGGCACAGGGTGCCGGAGACCTGCCCTGCTTGGATAGGGTGGAGTCTAGGAATCAATGGGGCTCACATCTCCCTCACTTTCATCAGGGCGGGACCCCTTTGCCAGCAGCTGGTCTGACACAGGAGCAGCTCCTGACAGCCTGGGCTGCTGTGTTCCTGCAGAACCTCCAAGGTCTCAGGACCACCCTGGCTGGTACTGCGTTGGCACAGCCCATGGTTACAGCACCCAGAAACCCTCTGTGTCCCACATCCCTTCTGCAGCTCCCAGAACCCCAGGCCAGCAGCAGCCAGTGTCCCGAGGGCCTGGTGGGGACGGTGGCATGGCAGGGGCAGTGACTTACGCCCTCCTTGGCTGCCGAGGCAAACCGGCTGGCTCCAGTGGTGAAGCTGCTCCAGCCCTGAGGGAGGCGACAAAGAGCAGCCACATCAGGACTGGGACCCAGGAACCCGGCGCTGAGCAGAGTATCTCAGCAAGGAAGAGGACCAAGGCAGAGGCTGCCCCAGGCCCCCGTCCCATCCTGACCCCACCGCGCCTGCTTCTCCAGGCTGCTGGAGGAGTGCAACTGGACCCAGGGCACAACAGAAACGCACCCTCTACCCCCACCTCGCCAACTGCAGTGCTCCCAACACAGCGCAAACCAGCCTCCCGTGGCTCCCACCACCCTCAAGAAGCAAGCCCACCCTGCAGGGCAGGACCCCTCCCCATGGCCGGCGCTCCCTCCTGCCTCCCTAGAGGAACAGGCAGAGGTGAGGCGTGTGGGGTCACGACCAGCGTAACCTGCTCTCCTTCATCTATGCTCAGGGTTTCCTTCTGAGCCTCTCAAGATAATTAAAGCTATTTAAAAAAATAAACGTCTCATTTCAATCACAACTCACCCTCTTCCTCCTAAAGGAAGTGCAAAGGGACCCTCACTTGAGAGATCACCAAGCTGAGCTGCCTTCCCCAGAGAGCAGCTTCCCAGCAAAAGGCAGCAGAAGGAAGGGCCACAAAAATGAAGCCCACACACAGGCTGGAAAAATGCGCTTTTCTTCCCTAAAGATGTAGCAATGACTGCAAGAGCTAGCAACCATGGCCGTCAGCGGCCAGAGGTGCAACCAGGCCACCCCGAGCGACTGGAAGCTCCACACACTTGGGGGCTCTTGCAGATGAAGACATCCGCTTTAAACCTGCTTATTTCCAGTTAACAGACTTTGAAGATCTTGTCATGCTAGTTATTAAAAAGCCCTTTCTGGCCAGGCATGGTGGCTCATGCCTGTAATACCAGAACTCTGGGAGGCTAAGCAACTTGAGAGGCCCAGGTGGGAGGATGGTTGAGCCCAGGGTTCCAGGCCACAGTGAGCTATGATTATGCCACTGTACTCCAGCCCTGGCAACAGAGCAAGACCCGTCTCCAAAAGAAACAAAAACAAAAAAACAAAAAACAAAATAAGCCCTTCCTTGGCTCTCAGCGCAAGCTCCCGTTTAAGCAGCCCCCGTGGCCAAAGGCTCAGGTTGCTGGTGTCACGGACAACAATGCTGCAATGAATAAAAATCTTTTTTTTTTTCTGAGATGGAGTCGGACTCTGTCGCCCAGGTCGGAGTGCAATGGTGCTGTCTCGGCTCTCTGCAACCTCCGCCTCCCGGGTTCAAGCAATTCTCCTGCCTCAGCTTCCTCAGTAGCTGGGGCTACAAGGCACATGCCACCCCGCCTGGCTAATTTTTATATTTTTTTAGTAGAGACGGGGTTTCGCCACATTGGCCAGGCTGGTCTCGAACTCCTGACCTCAGGTGATCCGCCCGCCTTGGCCTCCCAAAGTGCTGGGATTACAGGCGTGAGCCATCACACCTACAAAAATCATTTTTTAAAGATGGTAAAAATTTCCTTGGAAAAAGAAAGTGGAACAAAATGTATTCCCGTTAATAGCAAAATGGCAACAAGCCCAGGGTGTCATACTCTGAACATCTGACCTGGAGCTTCCAGGCATCCCCAGACCAGAAATGGCCCTGAGTGACCTCAGGCAGCACCCGAGCAACTTCCCAGCGCTGCCAGAGACCCAAGCACAGAGCCAGCTTCCCAATGCATGTAGCACTCCCCTCTGCAGAGAACCTGGCCAAGTGGCTGCCATCAGAGTCCTTGGGTTCCTTGGAAGAATGGCTGTTGTTAGATTTGAAATACACACATTTTGTGTTAGAAGTAAGTGATGGCCGGGCACGGTGGCTCACTCCTGTAATCCCAGCACTTTGGGAGGCCGAGGCGGACAGATCACCTGAAGTCAGGAGTTCGAAACCAACCTGGCCAACCTGGTGAAAACCCATCTCTACTAAAAATACAAAAATTAGCCTGACGTGATAGTAGGTGCCTATAATCCCAGCTACTCAGGAGGCTGAGGCAGGAGAATCACCTGAACCTGGGAGGCAGAGGTTGCAGTGAGCTGAGGTCGCACCACTGCCCTCCAGTCTGCAGCCTGGGCGACAAAGCAAGACTCCGTCTTAAAAAAAAAAAAAAAAAGGAAGTGATTGAATACATTTGGGATCTGAAAAATTTAAGCCACATTTTTGAAAGAAAACGTCGCTGAAGGTAAGGGAGGGGTCCTTAGATCAGAACAAGGCAAAGAGCACATGTTCCAGGACTGCCACACTGCCCACTATGGCCCGTCGTGCCCTCAGGGCGGGGTCTGCCCATGGGAGATGCTCTGCAGGGCCAAGTCCTCACCGAGTACAGGGAGGACATGGCGTTGTTGAGGAAGTCATCTTCTTTCTTCTGAGGCGGTGGCGTGTTCCCAAACCCCACGTAGCGATTCCCCTGGGCCCTGAAAACAAAGCGGACAAGAGGCCGAAGATGCTGGCATGAACCCTGCTCCTCCCGAGGGCGTGGGGCCCTGAACACAGGCAAGGCTGGGGCTCTGGGGGACGTGCCAACGTCCCCACGCACAGGACATGCACGCTGCCTCCTGTGGCAGCAGAGAGATGTGCTTTCTGATCATTTAAAAAGACCCTCCTGCCACATCACCACAGGGTCCCCAGCAAGTCCCCAAAGCCAGCCACAGAAGTACTAGAAGAAGGATCAAAACAACTTAATATGACAGCTTTGGGGATAAAAATTCATTTATAGGTCCAGCAGATTCCACGCAGAAAATGTGTTATGCTTTTCTTCTAAGTGTTAGCGCTTCTCTACACCCAAGACCCCCAATTCACACCTGGGCAGCTGGGGGTCACTGCAATACACCCAAGACCCCCAATTCACACCTGGGCAGCTGGGGGTCACTGCAATACATCTAAGACCCCCCAATTCACACCTGGGCTGGCTGGGGCTCACTGCAATACACCCAAGACCCCCAATTCACACTGGGCTGGCTGGGACTCACTGCAATCAGACCCTGCACCGCGCATGCCTGGGTCCCACACCCACTGCACATGGGAGGCCCCAAGGGAAGCAGCCCTACCCACCAGACTGAACCCTGTGGGCCTGGCCCACGCCAGGCGTCCCCAGCTCTCAAGTCCTTACCCTTGATAGGAGCCGAGGTCATCATTCAGCCAGTCTTCAAAAGCCTTGTCCGAGGAGGCGGTCACACTCTGCGGCTGGCCAGAGACTCTGAAACCGAGAATCGAAGGCTGGTAAGGCCAAAACTGGGTGAAGTCTGAGGTAACCCCAGAAGCACCCCCAGAACCATGTGGCCTACGTGGGCAGTGCCTTCACGTCACCCCTGAGAGCACCTGAGGCCAGGGTGGCCTTCAGCTCTGAGTGGCTGCTCGGGCTCAGGTGCTGAAACCCCAGCAATGCCAGCCTCATGGGCAACACGAGAGGCCTCCACAGTGGGCTCTGCACTCTCCCTGTTGGCAGGAGGCAGCGGGGAGAGGTGAGGCAAGAGGGCCGAGGGCCTGGAATCAAGCCGGAGTTGCCCGCAGTGCAAAGCCTTCCGTCAGAAGCACGTGGATGTGGCAGGACTACAGGGCTCCAGATGAGGTGGGGAGGCCTCGTGCTACCCAGTCACCCCACCCGGGACGTTCCTGCAGTGGGATGTGGGACGCATCCATGACGGGGTCAGTTCAAGGGTGCCAGGGCCAGTGCCACAGGCAGATGGGCAACTCTGGGGAAGGGCAGACAACACCCCCGTGAGCAGATGGAGATGTGAACTCCCACAGCGCCACGGCAGACACGGCTGTGTGCACACCTGGAAGGCGTGCGGAGCTTACCTGGGGCGCTATCTGAGACAGCTCTATGGGTGTCTAAATTTACTAAAAGCTTGTATTGTTTTGGCAATTTTAAAAAGCTGTTTTTCCCACTGACTTCTGGGAAAAGAGCTGTCACAACAGCAAAGAAGGGGAGAATTCTGTGGGAAACCCAATCTACTAAGTTCAGGACCCAGTGGAAACTGTACTAAGGCCCCACGAGGAGCAGCTACCGGTGCACCATGGACGGCAGCGTCCTGGGCTGAGGTGGGGTCCAGTTCTGGGCAGGTGATGACTCCAGAGACCACTCTCTGCCTTCGGCCAGAGCGACCACCTGACAAGGAGACACAGGGCATTCGAGAGCATAAAGGCGCCTGGCGATGCCCTCGGGCACCGTCGACTCCAGCGCACCCCCCACGGCCCGCCTGGAGCACCCACCACCCGCAGCCTCCTCCCGGCCCCCTCGACGGCCCCTGCTCAGGTGCACAGACCAGGTGTGGATGCGAGGCCAGGACTCACTTTACAATGAACAACAGTGCTGGGGAGCTCCTAGTTGGTGCAGCTCCAACTTCCAACACAGGGGGACCCACCTATTTGGCCTCCAGACTTCTTAGAAACACTGTGCCCAACATGTCACAGAGGCAATAAACGGTCACAGCTGCTTTCTCCCCTGGAGGCGGGGAAGGTCTGTCTCCCCCCGCAAGCCATTTGCCTCCCCTCTGGGCAGGAAGCCTCTGCTCCAGGGCGGCAAGTTGTGTGTGGCCCAGTGGGTGTGTCAGAACCAGCAGAAGAACCGACTCCAGAACCACTAAAGGCCACAGTCCAGCTGCCACAAACGGCAGGGCAGCCCCACACCATGGGCAAGAGTGAATCGGGCCCATCTCTACCTTATCCCTAAAGAGGGCCGCGGCTCTGCTGTTGTACTTCTCCTGCAAGGACCAGCAAGGATCGTAATCCTCCTGAGACTCCAGGAACTCTCGGAACTTAGCATTCCCACCAGCTTTCATCTTCTCAAGCTCAATGTCCTTCCACTTGTCCATAGTAACAGAGCGCACAAAGCTGGAAAGCAGAGGATCGAGCAGATCAACCAGCACCGGGGACACCCAGGGACACCCTCCACCCAGCATCGTCCTGAGAATTAGACACAGCAAGCAGCAGCCGCAGGGAGGCTGAGTGGCCAGCAGCTGGAACTCTGTGCCATGGCGTCACTAGAGTGGACACTGGCAATGCAATGGGAGGTGGCCCCCAAGCTTCCCTGGCGTCAGCACCTCTGGTGTCAGGAACAGATGCTGGGGTGGCCGCAGGCTCTCCGCAGAGCCAGAGCGGCAGGACACTGACCTGAGGTGAACCCCAAGCCCGCGGTGTCTCCCCGAGCACTCCAGGCAGATCCAGATGCCGTAGGTCACACTGACCCACTGAGGATTGAACGCGCCACACTCAAAACAAACCTGCAAAGGGGCCACAAGTGACTCACCAGGTGGCTCAGGGCAGAGCCCAGGGACCCCAAAGACCCGACAGGTGGCCTCAAGGAGCGAATGCAGAGGGCTGCCCAGGGTGGCCGGGGGTGTGGGTCAGGGCAAGGCGTGAGGGGAAAGAGCCTCCGTGTAATAAAATGTTCAGATGGGAAGACGAGGCGGACCTGTCCTTAGAGCGAGTGACCTGAGAAATGTGGAGGCGCCCCCACCCCCGACAGCCAGCACTGATGAGCGCCAGAAATGGCACCACTCTAAGAGCCGGCCACCCAGGCCACCAGCCAGCACAAGCCATGCACGTCCAGAGCCACGCCAACCACCATCCACTGCAGGAGGGTCCCAGAACTACAGGCTCAGAGTACAACTTCCCGGAACTCACTGACCCTGACCAAGCCTTAGGGCGGGGGGTGGGGGGCAGAGGCTTACGTTGTTCTCATCCTGCACCCTGACTTCTTTAAGAACCTTCCTGGTTCTTGGGCTGGCCATGATGCTGCAAAGGAGAAAAATAAACACTTTAAACTTACAAACAGGCTACTCTACAAAAAAGAAAATAACGTCTGTCCAAAAACACCACACAACAGAAAACCTGAGGGGCAATCTGTTGAGCTGCTTGGAAGCCCCGGTCACAGGACCACTCGCAGCAGGGGTCCGCAGGGACCACTTACTGAAGGATCTGTTCCCCATACCCCCAGGAGGCTCCCAGGCTGCGGCCAGGGCGATGATCAGGAAGACCATATCATTACTGCTGCCGCTTTGCTTAAGCTTATTCATCACCAAGACTGCACCAGTTATAAAAAGTCCTGTCTTCTAATGGTGAAATCCACAGCAAGGGGTAGTCTTTAAAAATACACACAGATTGGCTGCAAAATTCGATTTTCCACCTAAAAGGCGACACACCACACTTGGGCTGATCACTGCCAACGACAGGGAGCCCAGGGACTCTGCGCTCCACCCTCCCCACCACCTTCCCAACGCAGTGCAGGGAGGCTCCCGCCTGTGCCCCGCTGCCTGGAGTGTGTGGAAAGTCCAGCCTGCTGGGGGACCTGCAGTAGGTCCTTCTGGGGCCATTCTGAGGCATGGGGGCGACAGTGTGGCTGCTGCAGGACAAGGAGAGTGGCTTCAGACCATCAGCCCCCACCACAGTGACTCACGGGGACCCTACTGGGACAGCAGCAACAAGGTTTAGGGTGAAGAGAAAACCTATGGATGTCTCTGCAGCTCTCCTAGCTTCAGCAAAGTACAACTTCAACTGGTGGCCCATCTAATTCAGGACCAGGAAAATTGATATAGTTAAGATTCAAAGCCGGAGGAAGGGGTGGTACCAACCCCAGCGTCAAGGGGGAATGACCCAGTGGCCCTGCACACCACGCCACCGAGCAAACTGTAGAAGATAGTCCAGCCTGGAGGCAGCAGACCTGGATCCCTGCCAGCCCATGCCTCAGTGCGTTGTCTGAGGCTCATCCACCTCTCAATATGAATGGAGCCGTGTGCTGTTCCCTCTACCTCTCACTACACAGAGAACACGCTGAACTCTGTAAGCCATGGGAAGCTACACACGTGTGTACTGCTGACCTTCCCAGTGCCAGCCCTTCCCTCCTTCACTGTGTTTAAGAGGACTGTGTAGACCAGCTTTCCTATTCACAGTGTAGGCAGAGCTTTTAAAAAACAAAAAACAAAAACCTCTGTCTTATATTTCATTTCTAATCTTAAGTATCCAGAAATAAGATATTCACTGGGCGGGGGGGGGGGGGGGGGTCCCAACTCCACACGGCCAAAGTTTCTAAATTCTGAAGCCCATGACTCCTAGTATTGACCAGTGCCCACCTTAAACCTATTCAAAGTTAGGAAATAAACACCTGTTTTCTGCAGTTCATCAAAACAAAACCAAAAGTTCACCCTGGGCTCCCTTCTGCTCCATAATTCTGTGCCTTCTGTAAGAGTGTCCAGGAACCACAGATCATGAGGCAGACATCTGAATGCTCACTCCTGACCGCAGGACTTGGACCCCCAGCATGACTCATTCAGGCGGATACCGTCATCAAACTGAGCATCCACCTATACAGCCGACTGAGGATGGAATAGGGAAAACCTGTGGGGAGAGGTGCCCTGGCGGGGCAGGGAGCGGGACTGAGCTTACAAGGGCCTCGGGACACATTCTTGTCACAGCAGCCACTGAGGGCCCTGTGCAGAACCACGGCACATGCAGAAGCCACGGCCCACGGAGAGGAGGTGAGCCGCCAAAGCAGGACGAGACCAATCCTGGTCGCCATACTCGGTCCTGTACTCTTTCCATAGCACCACGTCTGCCCTCGGGGCTTATGTATTGGTCAACAGACACAGGCAAACAAAAGTCAGAACCATGAGGAGACGGCTGGAATTTCTAACTGTAAAACATACAGGATACTCACAGAACTACCGGAGGGAGAGAGTGTGTAAAAAGGAAAGGACTTGGCTTGGATTTAAGAGGAACTCCTCTACGTGACTATTTTGAATATTCAAGAGCCCTAGTTCCCTGAAATGTTAAAGTTAGTAACACGAAAGCAAATACCTCCTAACCTTCAAAAGTACAAATATAGTTTATCTTGAAAAATAACGCAAAAACTCTGAACGCTTGAAACCAAGATGTAAAAATATATCTCCTTCTTAGGACCCTCACTTCTTAGGGGGTGGAAGCCCCACCGGGCTTCAGAGGCCACCTGACTGGGATGTGTCCAGGCCGAGTCCTGGGTCCGAAGGAGCTCGGGAAAAGGGTGTTGAAGCGGACGGGGCAGGGTCCTGCTCGCGCCCCGGGAGGCGACGTGCGTGGGCAGGGACCCTCTGGACTCCCGTAACCGGTGGGAGATTCCAGATCCGGGGTGCGGGTGGAGGGCAGCTTCGTACGGAAGGGGGCACGAGGGGCGGGGGGCGGCACGGCGGAGGGGCGGCTGCAGCGGGGCGTCCGCGCGAGAAGGGCCCCGCCGCCCAGCGCCGAGGGAACTGGGGGAGGTCAGGGTGGGCGCCCCCAAGCTCTGGGGCAGCAGCCTCAGGGTGGAGCGGGGTCCGGGTGGAGGAGGCTGCGGCAGGGAGGTCCGCCCGCGAAGGCCGGGGACGACGCCGCGGCAGCCGGGGCCTCAGGCCGAGCCCGCGCCGCCGAGCCGCGCGCTTACCTGGAGGGAGGGGCGGGCAGGGCCGCCGGGGTCAGGCCAGGGCCGAGGTAGGGCCGCCGCACTGCAATGAGGATGCGCCCGGTCGCCCACCAGCCGCCACCAGCTTCCGGCTACGTTGCGCTTTGCAAGGTCTCACGGGAGCCGGCAAGGGCGGGACTTCCGCCTCAGGCCCCAGCCCCTGACGCGCGCACCCGCCCGGTCGCCATGGGGACGCGCAGCCACGCAGTCCAACTCCCACCCCGGGCCCCGGACCGCAGCTGGTCGTAGTGGCCGCGGAGGACGGCAGCTTTTGGGGGCCGGGCGGGAGAAGCGTCCGTTCATCCGCGGAACCAAGCTGAGGTGCTTCTGGGACGGCGCGTTCACCGGGGGCCGACAACGGGGGCGGGGCGGGTGGGGGCCTGGGGCGGGAGCTGCGGGGCTGGGACAGCCGGGCAGGAGGACGCAGGTAGGAGGACCGGGGGCCATGGAGGACCGGCAGGGGAGCGAGGTCTACGGGGCGGGGGCAGAGGGGCCAGGACAGCCGGGGACCGGCAGGGGGACTCGGGTAGGAGGACTGGGGCAGCGGGCGACAGGCAGGGAGGCGAGGGTCACAGGCAGTGGGCAGCAGGGGACCGGGGGACCGGCGCGGGGGTGGAGGGTTGCGTCCTGGGGCCCATGCTCCCGCCCTGGGGTCTGTCTCCCACCACCCGAGCCTTTGGGCCCTGGTGGGAGGCGGCGGGGTTGAGAGCGTCTGCGGGTCCCCACCCCTGCCACGCAGACGCCCCAGAGCGCAGGTGCGCCCTGGTGGGACCTGAGTCTGCACTAGGAAGGTACAAAGCTGAAAAAGCGATCACCTGTGGGAGGTTAATTGCAGGTCACTTTTTGTTTTGTTTTTACTTTGTACTTTTCTGTGCATTCCACGTATTCCTCCTTGATCTGGGTGACTTTCGAAATGATGGAGAATAAACATTTTTGAGATATAAGCTACACACCGCAAAGCGTCCAGTTCAATGAGTTTTGACAAATGCATACCCCCAGGTAACGTCTACCATAGTGAATTATAGAACATTTCCATCAGAGGCAGCCACTCTTCTGATTCCAGTATCCCCATATCTTAGTTTTGTCTGTTCTGGAATATCACACAAATAGAGTCGTGCAAAATACACTTTCGTGATGGCTTCTTTCCCTTTACGTGATATCTCGGAGATTCAGCCACGTTGTGCGTATCCGTAACTGCCGAGTAGTGTGCCATGGAAAACACGCCACATTCCTTCATTTATTCACACTTTGCACACTGGGGTGGTGTCTAAGTTTTGGCTAGTATGAATAAAGCTGTCTTGAAAGGTCTTTTTGTAGGCATATTTTTTCTTCCTCTTAGGTAATTACCTAGAAGTGAAATTTCTGGGTCCTGGGTAAGTGTGTATGGAACGTTATTAAAACATGCTAAGTGGTCGGGCGCAGTGGCTCATGCCTGTAATCCCAACACTTAGGAAGGCTGAGGCAGGTGGATCACCCGAGGTCAGGAGTTCAAGACCAGCCGGGCCAACATGGCGAAACCCCGTCTCTACTAAAAATACAAAAATTAGCTGGGCTTGGGGGTGCACGCCTGTAATCCCAGCTACTCGGGAGACTGAAGCAGGAGAATTGCTTGAACCCTGGAGGCAAAGGTTACAGTGAGCTGAGATCACTCCACTGCACTCCAGCCTGGGTGACAAAGTGAGACTGCATCTCTAAACAACAACAAAAAGATGGTAAGCATTTCACGCTTCCGCCAGTGATGTGTGAGGTCCAGCTGCTCTGCATCTCTGTCAACACTTGGTATTGTCAGTCTTTTGACGGCAGCAGGCCTTGTGGGTACAAAATGGTGTCTCAGTGCCATTTATTTGCCCTCAGGAGGGAGTCGCCAGTTCTTGCAGTAAGAAACCACTGGTGTGCACAAAAAGGAAAGGGCCAAGGTGACGTGCACAGGCACCAGCAGCATCTACACAAGTGGCAGTTGGAACAGTGTAGATTTCAGCACCGATCTCGTGGTCAGGACTGTGTGGGTACCATCAGTTCAGAGAGTGGGAGCCATGTGCTGGATTAGTCACAGTGGGCTGCCTGGAAGAGGCAGACTGTGAAGGTTGAGAAGCTGAAAAGGAGGAGAGGAAAAGGGAAGGCAGTCTTGGAAGGGGCACAGTTGGGGCCAACATCTGGCATTGGGTAACCAAACAGTCAGTGGAAGCTGAACTTGCAGTTTTCTGATTGTAAAGCAAGTAAGTCAGAGTGCTGTCTCATCAACCAGGCCCACCCGGACTCTGGGAGGTCTGGGGCTATCTCCACCCCCCAGAGCAAGGCCGCCCCAGTTCCTAAAGCTCAGATTAGAGGCATGGCCCTTCCAAAGACAGGGTAGCCTGCTGCCCCACAGCATCCACAGCAGCCTCGCCTCTCTCTGCAATCTCAAGGCTTGCAGAGGCCAACTCACAGAGGGGCCAAAGCTCGCTCACAGTGGTGGGATCTGGCAATGGAGTGGGGAATAGGGCGGAACCTGCAGCTGCCAATTGAAAACGTTCTATTTTCCCATCTAAAATATTTAGGTAATTTGTTTTTCTTCTGGAAGTGCCAGCAGTCCATTAATTTTCAGTTATAGTAATGTGATCGTCTCTGTGCTTTCCTCCCCGAGGCTCTTGAAGGTCTTGATGTGAATAAAATCAAACAGAATAATACAAAAACAGTGAAATGAGAACTTCCTAGTAAATGGCTGTGCAGAGCTGCCTGGGGCACAGGCAGGTGAGCAGGAACGAAGCTGCTGTGAGCCAGGCAGGAGTCCAGGTCACCTGTGAAGTTGTGGGACCTGCAGCAAAGCACTGCCTTTCCCCAGACTCAGGTCATCCATCTGTGGAACAAGGTCTCCAATTTCCCTTTCAAGCCAGAGGCCTACACTGGCTGAGCACTTGCCAGAATTTCAGCCCTGGGCTCGATGAGGAAGAGCATATTTAAACCGCGCAACCGTGCACTCCGATGTGAACCCATTGTTCAGATGAGGAAACCGAGGCACAGTACAATTCAATAATTTGCCCAAAGTGAAAAAGATGGTAAGTGGTGGTGTGAAGGTTTGCACCCAGTCTTCGGAATAGAAGGGGAGGGTCTGTGGAGCCAGCTGTCCGCTGGGCCAGGACCAGGTGGGCCCTGGGATGGGGAGATACAGCGTCAGTTGCAGGGGTGAGAACCACAGAGGTTTCATTCTAAACACAAGGAACAGAGAAAGTGGGCAGGGCCTTGAGCACAGGTCCTCTGTGACCCTGTATGGGCCTCACAGCCAGTCAGCCTGGTCTACAGGGTCCAGCCAGCTCCCAGCAGGGGTGGCAGAGCCTGAGGAACAGCTAGAGCTACCCAATGCTGGGGTGTGTACACACATGTATGTGCAATGTGTGTATATGTGCATGTGTGTGTATGCGTACATTTGTACTGCATGTATGGGTACATGCCTTCAGGCTCATCAGCTTAGGGTCACCATACTGGGTCAGTTATGGGGCATCCCCAAGGGCAGCCACCCTCCTAGGGCTTCCTTGCAAGGCAGGTCCCACTGCATCCACACCTTGCACAACTGTCAGGGCAGGGGCTAAGGCTATGGAGAGACATGCCCAAAGTCCCACAGTGGGTGGCAGCAGCACACAGATGGGGCTCCAGGCCACCCCCACCCCAGAGGCTCCGGGCCAGCCTTGCTGGAATGCCTCCAGCATAGCCAGAGGGTCGGGGCCCCTGCGCGGTCAAAGCACCCTCCCACTCCAGCAATTTGTGCAGCTCTTGGGAAGCCCTGTTGTCTCGTCTAAGGAGTGGCCTGGACCCTCCTGCATGGCAGAACCAATGGGCATCTTGAAATGACTTTTAGTCTCGTCAACTGTCCAGGGCTCCAGGCCCCCATGAGAGGCACATCTGGCCGTAGCGTCACCAGAGCCCTTAGTCTCCCCCGGACTCGGAGCTCACCTTGAAAACTGAGGCTTAGCCCGTTCATTCCTGTGGCTCAGCCCAGCACACATGGCCATGCATGTGGCTGAGAGCCCCTCCCAGCTCAGCTCCTCCCATCCTGCATTCCACCCACCTTTCTCCAGGGAGCACGCCTGAATGTCGGCGTTCCTGTAAATTCCCACGTTGAAATCCTAACCGCCAGTGTGCTGGTTTCAGGAGGTGAGGCCTTTGGGAGGTGATGAGGGGTCAAAGGCAGAGCCCTCATGAATGGGATGAGTGCCCTCATAAAAGGGGCCCCAGAGAGACCCGACGCCTTTCCCATGTGAGGACACAGAGAGGAGGTGCCGGCTCTTGGGCACAGACCCTCGCCCAGCCCAGAATATCCCCATGCCTTGATCTTGGACTTCCGGCCTCCAGAACTGTGAGAAATGAATTTCTGTTGCTCACAAGCCACACAGTCTGGTGGATTTTCTTACAGCAGCCTGAGCAGATTAAGACAAGCACCTCCCAAAGAATCACTGGCACAGCAATCCCTGTCTTCAGCCTCCAGGGAACCTGACCTACGACAGCAGCCCTCCCAGCTGGCATTCCGGCTGCCATGTGCTGTGATGGGTGCCAGCACCTCTTAGTTTGGGTGAAGGGGAGAGGCCAGCAGCATAGCAAAGGGGAAATCCTTCTGGATCGTCGCCTCTCTCTCTCCAACCCTCTCCATCACCAGCATCAACCTGCAAGTCAGGTCACCTTGAGCCAAAGCCAGAAAGCCCCACACTCGCTGGGCTGCTCCATGCTCAGGCTGTTCCCTGCTCAGCGCTCCACACTTCATGGTAGAGTCCCCTGAAGTTCTCCTGCCCAGAAGTTCCTTCTTTCTGCCCAGACCTCGCTCAGCACCATCATCCTAGGAATAAAATCCCAGGAATAAACTCATCATTCCAGGCCTCCTAGGAACTTGGGTTCTGGTCTTGTCTCTGCCCCGCCCTCTCGTGCAGCTGCTGGGGGCCTCCAGCCCCTGCTCACTCACCCACGCCCTCTGCACCCTCCACTTGAGAGAATTCTGGTCATTCCCCTGGCCCTGCCCTGCCCCGTTGTCTGGGAGTTGCTGGAGGGTTGGCTCATCCCCTCGCCCTCTCCCTGTCTCTTGGTGTGTCCGGCCAGGGCTCACACAGAGGCAGCTCCAGGGAAATTCCTGTAGCTCAACTGCTGGGTCCTGCATTGCCACCACAGTCACAGCCAGCTTGAGCGGTGACGGGGGGAAGAAGTGAGGCAGGGGAGCTGACTCGCAGGTGGGGCTTTCAGGAAGGAGGCATTCTACAACCCCAGGGCACCATGGGGGTGCCCCTTGGAGGCTTGAAAGCCCCTTTGGTCCTGGGCAGGACCTCCAGAGGGAGCACGGCCAGCAGTTTGGGGTGGACCTGCCCAGATCTTGTCTTCTGCATAAACAGGCACACGGCCTGGGCTTCCCTGCTACTCACACCTTGATTGGTGGCTTTCTTGCGTCCCCTCTATAGCAGAGGCTTGTTCATCTTAACCACTGAGGTCTCTTACGTTCTCTAACTGGCCTCTGATTGGAAGACAGGACTCTCCTGTCACAATCATCATTACTTTGTTTTACCTTCGATGTTGCACTGGACATCTTTGTGCGGTGACCTCTCTCTGTTTGTGCGAGTATTTCCACAACATAGACCTCTAGAGGTGGAAGTGCCAGGTAAGTTCTGGGAGATTCCACCAAATTGTCCTCCAAACCCCTGTGCCAGATGCGCTGATGGGAGTGTGCCTGTTCCTTGCGTCCCCTCCCTGGCTGCCATTACCAAGGGGGCTGTCTCCGCCGGGCTCTAAGCACACGCGTCGCCATCGCTGTTTAATTTTCTCATCTTAATGGTGGTGAGGCCAAGCAAACACGGCCTGGCCATGGTGTGTCCTGTGGATGCCTGTGTTTTTCTCTGCCCATTTTTGTCTCCTGTTGATCATCTTCCACCACCAGGTCCTTCTGAAACAGCTTTGTCCTGTATCTGGAGAGAAGCACGTGAGGTTGGCCCGGGGCTGCCCACGACGGTGCCGCCTGGGTCCTGGAGAGAAGCGCGTGGGGTTGGCCCGGGGCTGCCCACGACGGTGCCGCCTGGGTCCTGGAGAGAAGCGCGTGGGGTTGGCCCGGGGCTGCCCACGACGGTGCCGCCTGGGTCCTGGAGAGAAGCGCGTGGGGTTGGCCCGGGGCTGCCCACGACGGTGCCGCCTGGGTCCTGGAGAGAAGCGCGTGGGGTTGGCCCGGGGCTGCCCACGACGGTGCCGCCTGGGTCCTGGAGAGAAGCGCGTGGGGTTAGTGCGGGGCTGCCCACGACGGTGCCGCCTGGGTCCTGGAGAGAAGCGCGTGGGGTTGGCCCGGGGCTGCCCACGACGGTGCTGCCTTGGTCCTGGCTTCTGGCCTGCTGCATGGTGGGACTCCACCTGGCTGGTTCCAGCCCCGTCTGCCCCCACTTCTGCTGCCTGTGCGTGGCGTCCAGAAGAACTGGGGCCCAGGACAGAAGGAAATGGGAAGAATGTCAGGGTGTGTAAGTCACCCAGAAGTACAAATGTTCCTCGAAAATGCTGAGCCGCTCTGTCCTGAGCTCCAAGAAACTTGCAGCTGTGCTGAATTACGTGTGGCCACAGCGGCTAAGGAGTCACAGCTAAGAATGTGCTGAGACCAGGCCAGCTTCTCAGATTGCAGAACTGGTAGCTCAGATCCTGGGGCTGTGACAGCTGGACCCGCAGGGTCCTCCTGCTTTGGACCCTCCCATGCGTATCTTAGCCAGGAATCTTTCCAGATTCTAGTTGCTAGAGGCAAAAATCTCAACCCCAAATGGCTTAGCAAAGGGAATGTATTGATTTGTGTGATGAAAATTCTAGAACAAAGTTCAATTTCAGGTGTGGCTTGATCCAGCAGCTCAGCACTATTGCTGAGAACCAGGATTCTCTGTGTATGTTTGCAGTTCCGTCTTCATCCTGAGACCCCAGGATGCTTCTGGCAGCTTCTAAGGCTGCAAGCTTCATGATTCGCCTCCAGCAAGAGAAAGTAGCCTTGCACCGGCATCCCAGCTGAAAGCTCACGCTCCACCCTGATGGGCCTAGCTGGGGTCATGTGTCCACTTCCAAACAATCACCGGCCAGGAGGATAGAATGTGCTGACTGGGTGCCCTGGGCTCCAAGCTCCAGCCCTGAGGCCCATGTGGACTCAGTTTCCCCAGACTGTGAGGACCCCTAGCAGAAGACCAAGGTGTTGGGCACGGAGGGCGAGGTATTGAGAGCCTTGCCTCAAACCGGTGCTGTGTGGCTGGGCTTCCATGGTCCCGAGGGACCGGGAAACTCTTCCTGTGTGATCGGAGTTGTTCCCATGTGTCCCCAGGCCCAGCCAGTTGCCGACAGCCAGAGCGGTACCAACACTGGTGACCGAGTGGTGGGCATTACCAGCTTCCCAAACTGGGATGCCTCTCTCCTGCAGGACGGGGCAGTGTGAGGGTCGGGGCAGGGAGGGTGGGGGGAGAGAAAGGACTGGGCTATGGGGGCACTGAGACATCTCCCCACCCCACCCCTGCCCAGGAAAGGGGGGCAGGGCTTGTGCAGAGGCATATAAACTGTAGGCCTGATTAGCAGTTTAAAATGTTGTTTCAGGCTGGGTGCCGTGGCTCACACCTGCAATCCCAGCACTTTGGGAGGCCGAGGCAGGGAGATCACCTGAGGTCAGGAGTTCGAGACCAGCTTGGCCAACATGATAAGACACTGTCTCTACCAAAAAAACAAAAATTAGCTAGGCATGGTGGTGGGTACCCATAATCCCAGGTACTCAGGAGGCTGAGGCAGGAGAGTTGCTTGAACCGGGGAGGTGGAGGTTGCAGTGAGCCAAGATCGAGATCGCACCAATGTACTCCAGCCTGGGCGACAGAGTGAGACTTCATCTAGAAAAATAAACTAAAAATAACATTGTTTCAATATTAAAACAACCTTAAGTACATTACAAAGTGAAATTCAAGTGCATTTTAAGGATGAAACAGGAGCTCTTGAAATCCCAGGTTCATATCAGGCAGCTCTAGCTGGGCCAGGTCTCAGAAATGAGATCTGTTTCTTTAGAGACTTTGAGGAATGCTCACTGGGTCCCCAACTCACATCTCTGTTTTGAGATGACTTTGCTAATTAGTCATCCAACACGGCCAGTGTCGATTCATTCAACATTGACATTTTTGAGCGTCTGCTGGTTCCAGGTTCTGCGCTGGGAGTATGTAGGGGGGCAGGCACAACTCGGAGTGTCCCCCTTCAAGGGATGATCAGACGGACGGCAGTGAGCGCCACAAAGAGCAGGCTTGTGGGCCCCAGTGCAGGCGTTGGCCCTGCCCTGGGCGCTGCGGGGTAGTGAGGAAGCAAGGGAAGCAAAGACCCGGCAGCAGGAAGACTCGGTGTTTTTTTGAGCCTGGAGAAGCCACATGCCTCCTCTCGTGTGCTGGAGACACAGGGACAGCTAGGCATGTGCCTGGCCCTGGAGTTCCCGAGCAGCACAGTCTAGAAGGCTCACAGCCGCCGTCCCCACTACAGCCAGCAGCCGAAGCAACCAGAAAATGCACAGGGGCATGGCAAGTGGACGGCCAGGTGTCCACGTCTTTAAGGACTGCGCAGCCACACAAACAAGCAGACCACTGCCACCAGGACACAGATGAGTCTCACGCCACACTGGACATGGTCTGGGCTGCGCCATCCACTTACATGGATCCCCCAGAACAGGCGAGACCCACCAGTGCTGGGCAGGGGCCGATGCCTGCTCTTGTCAAAGAAAACTGAATGCAGAGGTCATTGGTTTGGACGGAGCTCCTGCAGGAGGCCCAACAGACAAAACCAAAATGGAGTCACCCATGCTGTGGTTCCTAAGATCTGTATCTGACCGCCCCCACCCTTCCCAGAAATCAGGGAGAGATAGCAGCCGAATCCCCAAACAGGCCACCAGAAGCCAGCAAGAAGCCAACATGATAAGGAAGTCCCCTCTGCTTTAACCTTTGTTTTTTTTGAGACAGTCTCATTCTGTCCCCAGGCTGGAGTGCAGTGGCGTGATCTTGGCTCACTGCAACCTCCACCTCCTGGATTCAAGCGATTCTCCTGCCTCAGCCTCCTGAGTAACTGGGACTACAAGTGTGCACCACCACGCCCGCTAATTTTTGTATTTTTAGTAGAGACAGGGTTTCACCACGTTGGCCAGGATGGTCTCAATCTCCTGACCTCATGATCCGCCCATCTCGGCCTCCCAAAGTGCTGGCATTACAGGTGTGAGCCACCGCGCCCACCTTTTTTATTTTTTTTCTTTTGAGATAGAGTCTCACTCTGTCACCCAGGCTAGAGCACAGTGGTTCAATCTCAGCTCACTACAACCGCCGCCGCCCGGGTTCAGGCAATTCTCCTGCCTGTCTCCCGAGTAGCTGGGATTACAGGTGCCCACCACCACACCCGGCTAATTTTTGTATTTTTGGTAGAAACTGGGTTTCACCATGTTGGCCAGGCTGGTCTTGAACCACTGACCTCAGGTGATCTGCCCGCCTTGGCGTCCCAAAGTGCTGGGATTACAGGAGTGGGCTTTAATCCTCTGCTTTAACCTTTACAGGAAAAGTAACTCTGAAGTGACCAGCGCGCCTTTGGTTTCTGTCTACTTTCCTCGGGCCTCTTCTGTCTGTGAAACCGACCTCTGACCTCCCCTCGGCTCATGAGAGCGTTCGTTCTGTTTTATGGAAAGAGGTGTTGCCCGATTCTAGAGTAGCAAATAAAACACAACTAAGATCTTGAAACTAAATGTGTTGTTTTGTCTCTGACACTCCTTCTGGGGGAGAAGCACTGACTGGGGGCCAGCAGGAGGGGGTTTCAGGGGAGCAGGAGGGTCTGTGTGTGGCCCCGTGGGTGACTAGTGACGAGGTGCAGCTTACTGCCTGCACACAGGTGTCTCCTACTGAGGGCCCCCACCTGTCTGCAGGTGCGCCCTCTCTGTACTGCAGTCCAGGTGTCCTCTCTGCACCTGCAGTTCAGGCGTCCTATGCTGTTCGCTCCCACGCCGGGGTGAGGAGGCGCTGCCAGAGCCCCAACCCTGGGGACTGGGGGTCCCAGGACCTGGAATGAAACTCAGCCCTTCGACTTCTGAGCTGTGGGGTCACTCAGCACGTCCCCACCCCCGTCTCCTGAGGGTCACTCAGCGCGTCCCCACCCCCGTCTCCTGAGGGTCACTCAGCGCATCACCACCCCCGTCTCCTGAGGGTCACTCAGCGCGTCCCCACCCCCGTCTCCTGTAAGTCACTCAGCGCGTCCCCACCCCCGTCTCCTGTAAGTCACTCAGCGCGTCACCACCCCTGTCTCCTCATCTGCAGAATAGGAGAATGGATGGTCGCTTCCTCCAAGGGTTCTTGAAAAGTAAACGAGGTGATGGGAGGACGGTGGGGACGAAAGGAAGTCCCTTGAGGTGAAGGGAGGACGGTGGGGATGGAAGGAAGTCCCTCGAGGTGATGGGAGGACGGTGGGGACGGAAGGAAGTCCCTCGAGGTGAAGGGAGGACGGTGGGGACGGAAGGAAGTCCCTCGAGGTGACGGGAGGACGGTGGGGACGGAAGGAAGTCCCTCGAGGTGACGGGAGGACGGTGGGGAAGGACGTCCCTGCTACGGCTGCTGTGGGGGCTTCTTAGTGCAGGATGGGGCCTCCTGGGCTCTGGCAGGAAGAGGGAGGGGCAGAGACTGGGGAGGGGGCACTGGTGTGTCCTCCTCAAGCAAAATCAAACTAATGAGGGCAAGGAGAACGCGAGGCTGCCAGGCGCTTCCTGTGCTTCCAAAGCCAGGACGCGGCCGGGGGGCACTCCTGAGTCCTTCCTCACACTTCCTGCTCTGGTTTGAGTGACATCTCCTCCAAAATTTGTGTTGAAAGCGAGTCCCCCCCGCAACAGCATTTAGACCTGTGGCCTCTGGGAGAACGGGACGAGCACCTTGTGAATGGGATCCAGGGGAAGGGAGCACCCTCTCACCCTCCCACCTTGCACCATGTGAGGCCACGGCCTTCGTCCTCTCTGGAGGAAGCAGCAATCAGGCGCTTTCTGGAAGCAGAGAGCAGCCCTCACCAAGCAGCGACCCTGCTCCTGCCTCAGTGCTGGACTTCCAGCCTCCAGAAAAACCCAGTTCTTAAACACAACCCAGTCCAAGGCATTTGTTACAGCAACACAAACGGAGCGAGACGCTCCCCAAACACTGGATTCATGTGACATTTGGGAATCCTAACCCCATGTGGGGCCTCCATCAGGAGAGCCAGAGAGAGGAGAGGGAGAGAGAGGGAGGGAGGGGCGTGCGGCGCTGGCCTCCGGGGAGGGCAGACAGATCCACAGGCAGCAGCCTGGCTTTCCTTCTCTTTGATTTTTTTCGTTTGTTTAATGATCCGAATGCTTGAGCAAGAAACCCTGGCCTCGCCTGCCTCGGCCTTTTCTCTTTGATCCCTGAGTTGCTGAGATTAAAGATGAGGTCCCAAATGAGAGCTACCAAGATGTAGTCGAGCGGCTCCAGCCCCTGGGTTCCCACAGAGAGGGTCTGGGGAGATCCAGGGGAGGGGCTGGCTTGGGGCCTGGACTCAGGATCCAGGGGAGGGCCAGTGCGGGGCCTGGACTCAGTGAGGCCTCCGTCTCGTACTGTGTCGGGCTCAGGGCAGTGAGCCCTTCTCCTGCTGGGGGCTTCATGCAGAGAGTTGTGCCGGGGGGACCCAGGGGGCTCTTTGAGGGCTGGCAGCCAGTCCTGGGGCAGCCTCATCTGCAGCTGACCCTGCTGCCCCCTCGAGACGCACTGGCAGCACCTGCCACCCAGCTGGGTCTAGGCTGCGCTGGTCTGGTGTCCACGTTTACTCCTGGTGTCAGCCAGCAGCCACAGCCACAGCCCTAACCTGTACGCGGTGCACCCCGAAGCTGGTGCAGCCCATGCTCTGTGCTGGAAGAGCCCACACCTGCTCCAGGAAGCCCTGCAGAGGCCGTGGCTGCTGCTAGGCACTAAATGTCGGCTTGACACAGCCTGACGCAGAGCTGGGTTCTTTCTGCCCCCACTCCTCGGCTGTGTGGCCTTCCCGAGACTCAGCTTTCCCCTCTGAAGACAGGGGTCAGGCCACCTGCCTCAGGGGCCAGGGAGAGCACACAGGGCAGTGTGCTCGGTCCCGGCCGAGGCCGAGGGGTGCAGTCTGCATTGGCTGGGCTGTTCTTGCTGGTGGCATGGGGCCTGGGGAAGGATGGAGCCTAATGTAGGCTCGGGAGGAGGGACGGCAGGCCGGGATCCAGAGGTGTCTGCGGGGCGGCGATGGCTGTGGGGTGGGCGAGATGAGCCACACCAACCCTTGCCGTCAAAGCTTCCTCTGCACCCAGGTGATCCGAGCTCCCAACCAGTGCAGTAGAGTGGCTGTGGCTGCAATCCCCTAGCCCCAGCGCCCTGCTCCAAAAGCAGAGAGGCCAAGGCCCTCCCACAGATGGACGGAATGGCCAAGGCAGGAGCCCTGGGCCCACCGCGTGTCTCAGGAAGCACCCTCTCCCCTTACACTTATTTGCTCTCCTCTCGGCTGAGGCTCCCTCTTCATGAAGGGTGAGTGTTGCAGGGCAGACAGGCTCGGGGCCCAGCCAGGGGGCGGCTGCAGCCAGGGCCAGGGGCATTGCAAAGCACCAAGAACCGAGGACACACGGGCTCGGGGTCTCAGCTTCCTGCCGTCCGTCAGTAGAGCTGGGAGAGACACAGGCTGGGTCTCACCTGGCCAGAGGTGTGGAGGATGCAGAGACCTCTGACCGGACTGGCCACGCTCGCCGTCACACCCTGACGCCTGCGGCCACCCGTGCAACTGGAAGCTGAGGAGGCAGGTGCTGAGCCAGGTGGGTGTCAGACCGGGGACTCAGAATCCTGTGAGGCCTTCATTCAGTTCCCACCTGCTCCGCGTGGGAGACTTGGCTGAGGCAGAGGAGAAAGTCAGCAGACCCGCAGGAGGGCGTGTGCGAGGTGCACAGGGGGCTACTCTCTGGGGCATGAGACACCACCTGGGACTTCCCAGGCTCACAGCAGCCCCTGGGGAGAGAGGCCCCACATGTGCACACAAGAGCCATGGGGATCTTCTCCTTAAACAAGCTACGTGACTCTCCTGGGACAGGCCCACCCGCCCAGAGCTCCCACTGGGAAAGGACCCCTGACAGGAAGGACAGGAAAGCCCTGAGGCTGGTTCTGTGGTCGCCAGCAACAGGAGCCTGGAGGGAAGTCAGGAAAGGCGCAGGCTGGGGAGCAGGCTCGGTAAGACGGCCTGGAGGATGGGGGCTCCCCTCTGGGAGCTGCGGCCATGATCCTAGCTGCCCCTCTGCCCCCTCAGCCGAGGGCTTATAGTACCAGGGAGAGTCTGACGGCCACACTCAGGCGGAGGCCATGTCTCTACGGCCAGCCCGAGGACGTGGTTGATGCGTCCCCTGAGGTTGCACACACAGCCCGTGTGGCTGCACAGAAGCATCCGAGTGAGGGAGAGGCGGCACTGCCAATGGAAACCAGGGTGACTCAGTGACAGACGGCCCAGGAAGCTGAAGTGCCTCTGCCTCCGAGAATAAGAAGACAGGGTGGGAAACGGTATTTCTGGCGAAGAACAATTCCAAAATGGTGGTGGGGGGCAGGGTGTGTGCCGTCAGGGCTGGAAGTGGGGGGCTGCACTGCTCTGCGGGGAGCTGGCATCTGGGTGGGTCCTGAGTGTGGGAACGGAGTTCAAGGGGGTGGGGGATTGCGGGGAACAGGACCACGCGTACCGTGAGGGGCCAGGGAACAAGAATCTCACCCAGGAAGCCTGGGCTGAAGCCAGCTGGGAAGAAGCTGCGGCAACTCCCAGGCAGCTCCCAAGAAACCTCTGGGAAAACGCCCCACCCGAGGCAAGCATCCTGGGCTGCCCCTGAAGTCCAGCTCAGCCTGATTCCCACACTGGGAGTGCACACACGTGTTGCATTGTTGGGCAGGACGTTCCTTTCGGGAGGGAGAAGCTGGGACTGGAGAGACCCGGGCCAGGCTCTGAGCCAGAGAGGGGCCTCTCTGTGTGTCTGCAGTAAACTGGAAACCAACCAGCACCCTTTTTTTTCAAAGGAAGAACAGAGTCGACAACATTGCCTGTGGGCCTGGATGAAGGGGTCTGGCTGTGCTCTCTGTGGAGCCATGGGGATTGGCCTCTCCTTTTCCAGGAGTGTTTGTTGCAGTTGAAAGTTCTCCCGGTTTCATCTGAAACGGGGACAGGGGTGTTGTGACAACAGAGGGGCCTTTGCAGCCCCGCACAGGCTCTGCGGACAGCTCTGCCGGGAACCCAGGCCTGGGTTCCTCTTCCTTTCCTTTTCCTGTTGTCTCTGCCACAAGGAAGGTCTGCCCTGCGGGCGGGCTGGGGCTGCTGCAGGTGTGGGAGAGCAGCGACTGAATGGTGGCCCCCAAATCTAGGCCTGGCACAGTGGCTCACACCTGCAAACCCAGCATGTTGGGAGGCCAAGGCAGGAGAATTGCTTGAAGCCAGGAGTTTGGGGCAAGGTTCTTTGCAGATGTGATTAGGGATCTTGACATGAGAGCATGCTGGATTACATAGGTGGGCCCTAAATGGCATCACAAGCATCATAGCAAGTGACACACAGGAGAGGAGGAGGTCACGCAAAGGTGGAGGCAAAGACCAGAGCGATAACGCCCACAGGCTAAGGACGCTGGGAGCCACAGGAGCTGGGAGGGGCAGGAAGGACCCTCCCCAGAGCTTCGAAGGCAGTGCAACCCTGCCCATACCTGGATGTTAGATGTCTAGCCTCCACAACTGTGACGTAATAAACTTCCGTGGCTTCAAGCCGCTAGTTTATGGGAATTTGTTATGGCAGCCGCTAAAAATGAATACACTGGGTTTACTAAGAAAGAAAAAAGGAGAAGATGCACAAGGTCCTGGCCTGAACAAGCTGTCACTCTCCTGAGTTTCCCTGCCCTGGAGGCCTTTCCCAGCTTGCCAGTCCTCCCAGGAATGCATGGGCCCCACTCGGCCTGCGTTTGTGCTGACTGGGGTGGCTGTCCTTCCATTGCTGTCCTTCTCTGTCTTTCACTGTCCTCCTCTGTCCATCACTGTCCTCCACTGTCCATCACTGTCCTCCACTGTCCATCGCTGTCCTCCGCTGTCCATCACTGTCCTCCGCTGTCCATCACTGTCCATTACTGTCCATCACTGTCCTCCGCTGTCCATCACTGTCCTCCACTGTCCATCGCTGTCCTCCACTGTCCTCCACTGTCATCCGCTGTCCTCCACTGTCATCCGCTGTCCATCGCTGTCCTCCGCTGTCCATCGCTGTCCTCCGTTCTCCATCACTGTCCTCCACTGTCCATCACTGTCCTCCGCTGTCCATCACTGTCCTCCACTCTCCATCACTGTCCTCCTCTGTCCATCACTGTCCTCCGCTGTCCATCACTGTCCTCCGTTCTCCATCACTGTCCTCCGCTGTCCATCACTGTCCTCCGCTGTCCATCACTGTCCTCCGCTGTCCATCACTGTCCTCCGCTCGCCATCACTGTCCTCCGCTGTCCATCACTGTCCTCCGCTCTCCATCACTGTCCTCCGCTCGCCATCACTGTCCTCCGCTGTCCATCACTGTCCTCCACTGTCCATCACTGTCCTCCACTGTCCTCCATTGTCCATCACTGTCCTCTGCTCTCCATCACTGTCCTCCACTGTCCATCACTGTCCTCCGCTGCCCATCACTGTCCTCCGCTGTCCATCACTGTCCTCTGCTGTCCCTCACTGTCCTTTGCTGTCCATTACTGTCCATCACTGCCCTCTGCTATCCTCCACTGTCCTCCACTGTCCATCACTGCCCTCCACTGTCTGTTGCTGTTCATCACTGTCCTCCACTCTCTGTTGCTGTCTATCACTGCCCGTCACTGTCCATCACTGCCCTCCTCTGTCCATCACTGTCCTCCTCTGTCCATCACCTTCCATCACTGTCCGTCACTGTCCTTCACACCTCAGCAGGACCATCAGCTTTTACTCTCTGGAAACTGGGGGATATTTTCCTGCCTGGCTGCTCCAGCTCTGCCCAGAGTCCCCCAGGTGGGCAGGCCGTGGCATTCCAGCCCCCATTCCCCAGCCCCTTAAGCGACAGACCTGTTGGGAGCCTGAAGACAGCCCACCTGTCCTCAGGTGTGACTCACACTCACTGCAGTTTGCTGCTGCCCCAAAGTCCAGTTCCGGGCAAGGGTGGGGGCCTCCGACTAGGGTCTTCCCACATGGGATTCTGTGTAATGATGGAGACGTGCTGCCATTTCACTTTTAAAGCTGTCATTCTTAGGCAGAAGGAATTCGAACAAGAACGAGAGCAGATGAAGCGTCCGAGAAAACCTCACCACCCACAGCTGGCCAGGCCCCAACAACTGACCTGGGCCAAGTCACAACTGTGTCACCCGCGAACCAGGTGTGCAGACCGAACCCGCCTCTGGAGGCTGCTCTAACGTTCACGAGGCAACACTGCGCCTGGGGTCCCCGCGGCTGGCTGCTGCCGTCAGTGTGCACCAGGGCAGGTGGAGTGTGGGCTGTGCACGGCGTGGGACCTGTGCAGACCTGCTCTGCTGAACTCTCAAAGGGGCTGTCCTGACCCCTTCACCAGAACTCGTAACTTTGGAGCAGGGGATGCCCACGACGGCTCCTGGCTCTGACACTGGCTCCTGCAAGGGACACTAGAGCATCGTTGCATCCTCAGCAAGTGAAGTCTTTTGCTTTCAAGAGGAAGAGCAGGCAGCCTGGCAGGACAGAACTGCAAGGCGCACGCATGTCCAGGCAGCTTCCCCTGAGAGAGAAGGATCCACACACACAGGCAAGGCTGAGCAGGTGCCCCTCCCTCTCCCTCAGGACCTCAGCAGCCGGCTCCGGGCCTTCCTCTGCTTACGTGGCACTGGGCCTCTGCTTACCCGGCTCCTCTGCTTACGTGGCACCTTTGCGAATCACCTTCTAGGAGTCCACGTCCTTCCACCAATGGCTCCAAGTGCCTGGAGGAACCAGGGTTATGGGGGACGGGGATGGTACCGCTGTATTTAAAAATCAATGTCTTATATATCGTATAAATAAACATTAATTTTTTCACATCTTTTAAAAATCGGGATATAATCCTCACACCATAATAGTCACCCCTTTACAGTGTAGTGCTCAGTGGGCTGCAGTATATTCACAGAGCTGTGCAACCATCACCACCATCTGATTCCTGAATATTCTTATCTCCCCAGCACTGCAAACAACCTGACGCTCCCCCTCCCTCCACAACTGGCCACACCTTTGCTCTCTAACCTTTGGGGCTTGGAAGCTACCCCCTCACCCGCCCATGAGCCTGGACTACAGATCTGGGGTGGCTCCCCGCAGTGCAGAAAACCTGACCCTTGGTCTTCTGTTAACCCCTCCTGATCCCCGGGACTGTGGGACACACAACCAAAATTAGGAAGGCAAGAATCCTCAGTAATTCATAAAATCTCGAGTGGGGCAGGAATTCAGGTTGCCATGGGAAACCCATCTCAGGCTCCTCAGGCGGTGGGTGGCAGTCAGGGAGCCTGCCCTGCCACTGAGTAAAGACCAAGTGGCAGCCCTGGCCCGGCCACCTGCCCTGATCTCCCGCTGTTCTGCCCCCATGGGCTTTCCGACCGGCTGACACTCTGGCTCACTGTATCCACGTCCTGCTCCTCTCGGGCCTGGCTGGGACCCTTCCCTGCCTCCAGCGCAAGCTTCTTCCGGAAGCGCAGGCTTTACGGGGTTCAGCCCCATCCAGACCCCAGGACCTGCCCTGGGCAGCTGGGTCCTGCCTCCACCGTGCACAAGGCCTCAGGCTGTCCCAACCCGAGGCTCCCTAGGCCCCTCCCGCGCAGGCAGGAGGCCGGTCCAGGCAGTTGGAGCAGACCTGGCCTTCAGGTCTCAGCCTTCCAGCAGAGGAGCTCCCTGTGGGAGGTGGGCGAGCCCGGCTCACTCCCTCCTCCTGAGTCCTCGGCCCGCCCGCCCGTGGAGGGGACCTCTGAGCTCTGGACCCGGGTCCAGGACTTCTCCAAGCCAAGGAATCTCTGAGACTCTCAGAGAAAACGCCTCGCGGATGCGGGTCGCTCAGACCCCACACGGGGAAGGTTGATGGGGATCTCACGCCGGAGGGCGCACGGCGGGAGCAGGTGCTGGGCAGGTCATCCTGCAGGAGGGGGCGGACGCCGGTCATCCCTGCCGCGTCCAGGGCGGGCTCCCCTCAGCTGCAGGTCTGTCCTGGGGCCGCGGCGCCGCCCCTCGCTACCCGAGAGGCCGCGCCATCGCCCCTTTAAGAACGGTCCCCCTCTCCGGCCGGCGCGAAGCCCCCAGGGGCCGCAGGCGGGGGTGGGAGGGGAGACGCAGCGCAGCTGTTACCCGGGGCTGGGGCTGGGCCGGGGGTTGCGGGGAGGAGGGGGGAACGGGATGCGGAGGGGGCGGGGTCCAGGCTGCGGCGCGTGGGGAGCGGGCGGAGCGGGGGCGGGGGCCGAGCGCGGGGCACCCGGGGGCCTCCTGTATAGGCGGGCACCATGGGCTCCTGCTCCGGCCGCTGCGCGCTCGTCGTCCTCTGCGCTTTTCAGCTGGTGAGTGGCGACCCCTCCGCGAGCCTCCTGGAGCCCCCGGTGCCCGACCCACGGCGGCTGTGGGGTCCCGAAGCGTCCCTCCGCCCCGGGGCCCGTTCGCTGGGTCCCGCGCCAGCTCCGAGGGGGGATGCCTCGGACCCCGGGCTGCTACGGCCGAAGGTGGCGTCGCCTGCGGGGCGTGGGGAGTCGCGGCGCCGGGTCCCGTCCCCGGTGTGCGTGCGCGGGGGGCGGCCGCGGGTCCGGAGCGGCGGGGACAGGTGCGGGGCAGCGGCTGGATGGGCTGGCCGGACGGAAGCCTTCGGGCGGGGCCGCCTGGACCCCATCGCCTGGGGAGGCGTGTGTGGCCCCGGGTGCGCCCCCGGGTGCGCGCCTGTCTCTGTCTGTGCGAGCGTTTCCCGCAGCCGGCCCCGGGCGCCGAGTGAGCGGCCAAGTTCCGATTCTGAGATTCGGGTGGGGCGATGACGGAGGCTGTGCCTGCGAGTTTGCGAGTGTAGGGGGCGGGGGGTGAGAACGTCCTGCCCACCCGCGAGCAAACCGGCCCCGCCCGCCCCCGCCGCCCCCCATTCCGCCCGGCGTGGAGCTACGCGGAGGCGAGAAGGGGCTGGAGCCGATGCCCGGGGCGCAGCGCGGGCGTCTTCGGTGTCGGGATTGGTCGGGGCTCCCTCGGCCAAGTTTCCATTCTGCCCCGGAGTCCGAAGCTCCCTGGGACGCCTGGGGGGCGGATTCTTTCCCGGAGCCCGGTGCCCTCGGGGGAGGGGGCTAAACAAAGGCCTCGCCTGTCCAGGCTGGGGAAGCTGCTTTGCTTCGATGCTAATTGGCCCTGGGTCTCCCGTCTTAAAAAGGAAACGATGCTTTGTGGGCTGCGGAGCGCAGCTGGACCGCGCGCCCCCCTCCTCCTCTTGAAGCTAGAAGGGCCAGAAGGGGCTGTTTCAGAGTTTTGAGCAGCGAAACCCTCGGAGTCCGTGGCTGTGCAGCTTGGGTGTCCTGTGCTCGGCTTAGGGGCACAGGCTTGCGGGCGGACCTAGGGACGGCGGAGGCATCGTGTCCTTCCTGCAGGAAGGAAGGAGCTTCCGGCGCTTTCCTGGGAGGCTCGCTGGGGCCGCGGAGATAACCTGAGGTCCTGCAACAGGCTGGGGGCCCAAGGACCATCCCAGGCCTTGGAACAGTTGGTATCTTTCAGTGAGTGGCTCCTCAATGGCAGGAGTCCCTTAGGAGACTGGTGGGGAGGGGCTGGAAGCAGGAATGGGGAGAGCAAGGGTGGGCACTCGAAGACTCCAGTGCCCGTCGGATGACCTCATGAAGGACAGGCACCAGCCTGGACGGTACCCCAGTTTGGAGCATGGCCAGTGGCAGCTGGTGATGCATGAGCGTCAGGAAGTGAGGCTGCTTTGGGGGACACTAGTGACATTGGTTTCCATCTGTTGAAGGTGGTGTGAGGATGTGCTGGGGTTGATGGTGCTGGGGTTTGGGCAGGAGAAATGGGTGCTTCAGTCTCAGGTGCAGGGTGAGGCACGACTGTGCTGGTCGGATGTGACCTCAGGGTGCAGAGGGGCGGGTGGGGTCATGTTCCCGTTTCACCTCTGCGGTGGACAGTAGACAGATGGGCGCACATGCAGGCCCTTGGAAATTTGGTTGCAGCCAAGAGGGAAAGAGTCATCCTGGCTTGAGGGCCGCAGGGCTTCACTAGCAGACCTGGGGACTCTCCAGGGACTGGGCAGAGCCGTGTCCTCTCAGGGCCAGCCTCTGGGTCACTGCTGAACCGCAGCAGGGAGCTGTCAAAGGCCTTTTGTCCTGGCCGGGTTGGCAATCTGGCAGCCCACTGTGCCTCCTCTGCCTTGGGGAAGAAGAGTCCTTGACCACAGCTCTAGTCACTGCATGGGGGTAGGGGGCCCGGGAGGAAGGGCGGGGTTGTTGGATAGCCCCTTTTTTTTTTTGACAAGTGTGAGAATTTTGTGTTACCAAGCTACAGGACAAAGGGCCCAGGCATCTCTTCTGAGCGCCTTTCTCCCCAAAGAACAGTGTGAACTTTGCTGGCTCTGAGCCGGGCTGTGCTGCGTCCAATTCCCAGGCTCTGCCCTGCTGCATTGAGGAGACCCTGGGAGCCAAAGGCCCAGGAAGGGGTTTGGGGCTGGGTCCTGGCAGGGCCACCAGGGTCACCTGCTTCCATGGTGGCATGAGCCTCCCTGCTCATGCATGTCGCCACATGTCATGGAGCCCTGAGCCTCTGGGAGCCTTGGCTTCGAGATGAAAAAGACGCCCCCAGCCCCTCTGTGCTGCAGGGTCTCCATTCTGGAGCCAGACCTGAGGCTGCTCCTCAGGCCGAGACCCCTTAGCCGAGATGTGCAGCTTGTCCCAGCCGCCAGCCCAGACCTCACAGAACTGTGCCCGGCGTAGGCAAAGTGGGCCAGGGCAAGAACTGCTCCCCTTGGGGGGCTCGCTTACCTTCCCCCCGGGGCTCCGGCAGGGCAGACATCCCTCCTCGTAGGTTAGTGTCCTCCGGGCACGATGGGGAGGCCTGAGACTAAGAGTTTCGTGGGCGGCTAGCCACCCAGGTGCCCAGGCAAGAGACCAAGGGCACGAGATGTTCCAGTATAATAAAATATATAATACAACAATAGTTATACTAGATATAGGTCATAGACATGATTATATATGAATATCATTCATCATTAGTTTGTAGCAATTACTCTTTGTTCCCGTATTATAATAATCCTTGCTCTACAATCATAATCTAGGAAAAACCAGGCCATACAGAGATAGGAGCTGAGGGGACATAGTGAGAAGTGACCAGAAGACAAGTGTGAGCCTTCTGTCACGCCCAGACAGGGCCACCAGAGGGCTCCTTGGTCTAGCGGTGACACCAGCGTCTGGGAAGACGCCCGTTGCCAAGCGGACCGTGGTCTAGCGGTAGCCTCAGTGTCACGGAAAAACACCTGCTACTTAGCGGACTGGGAAAGGGAGTCTCCCTTTCCCCGGGGGAGTTTAGAGAAGACTCTACTCCTCCACCTCTTGTGGAGGACCTGACATCAGTCAGGCCCGCCCGCAGTTATCCGGAGGCCTAACCGTCTCCCTGTGATGCTGTGCTTCAGTGGTCACGCTCCTAGTCCGCCTTCATGTTCCATCCTGTGCACCTGGCTCTGCCTTCTAGATAACAGCAGCAAATTAGTGAAAGTACTGAAAGTCTCTGATAAGCAGAAATAATGGCGTAAGCTGTCTCTCTCTCTCTCTCTCCTCTCTCTCTGCCTCGGCTGCCAGGCAGGCAAGGGCCCCCTGGCCAGTGGACATGTGACCCACGTGACCTTACCTGTCATTGGAGATGACTCACACTCCTTACCCTGCCCTTTTGTCTTGTATCCAATAAATATCAGCACAGCCTGGCATTCAGGGCCACTACTGGTCTCTGCGTCTTGGTGGTAGTGGTCCCCCGGGCCCAGGTGTCTTTTGGCTGGGATGGGGGATGGGGGATGGAGTGGCTGGGGTGGGGGATAGGGCGGCTGGGGTGGGGGATGGGGTGGGTTCCACAGCATCTTCTCTTCTCTGGGTTGTGCTTCACCAGCACGTGGGAAGGAGCTGGTGACGGGTGGTGCCGAGTGCGCCAGTCCCTGCAGTTAGCGTCCTGGTCATGGCTTTGCTCAGGTTTTCTTGGTCTCCTAAATATAAAATACCAACTTTATATTCCTCAGGCACCTTTCCCTCCCCCCCTCATTGGTTCTCTCTCGGCCCTGTGTAGAGGGCAGTTCAACAGAGTCCTGTAATATCCTGAAGTGGAGGGGAGGCTGCCTGCCTGCCAGAGAGCAGCCTCACCAGCCCTGTCCCCAAGGCCGAGATGCAGGCAGCAGGCTGGGGCCTCGGCGTCCAGTACTCTTGTGAACCCGCGTCCGTCCCTCCCGGCCATCCGACCCCCCCGAGTGGCGTTTTCTGGGCTGTGTGTCTGTCACCTGGCCCCACAGTTCGTGATTTAGAGCAGCCCCTGGTGTTCCCATTCTCCAGATGAGGAAACTGGGGACAGAGGGGATGGGGCCTACTCAAGGGAGGAACGCTCACCGGGGACAGACGGTGACACACGGGGACACAAGGGGGCCTGTCAGGCTCATTTGGGGATTCTTCTTGGAAGAGCCAAGCACACAGTAGATGCTCAGTGCCTGCTCGGTGGTGGTCACAGAGCAGGAGTTACAGCCCTGGTGTCCTTCGTCAAACAAAGGTGTGGTGGGCGGGTGTGGGGAGGAAGTCCCTGCTGAGATCCTGTCACCTTGGCCCAGTACCTGGCTGGCGGGCCTGGGGCCTCCCTCGGGTCCACCCTTCATGGCGCCCGCCCTGCTCCTAGGTCGCCGCCCTGGAGAGGCAGGTGTTTGACTTCCTGGGCTACCAGTGGGCGCCCATCCTGGCCAACTTTGTCCACATCATCATCGTCATCCTGGGACTCTTCGGCACCATCCAGTACCGGCTGCGCTATGTCATGGTGGTGAGTCCTGGGCCCGGCCCTCTTTATGGGCAGGTGGGTTGAGGTGACCAGGATGGCGGCTCCCATGGCACCATCCTGGCATATTTTCCTGGACACCACTGAACACCCCACAAATGCCAACCCAGACCCCTGGGTTCAGACCTCTTTGCTGCCTGGACATCTAGAATTCTGGTTCGGACGGAGGGGCTTTTCCGAGGCTGCTTGAAGGAGCAGCTGCATATATTGGGGGGCCCCAGGCACTGAACGCCTTCACGAATTCATCCCCTCAGTAGCCAGGGATCTGGGTGCTGCCACGATCCCTGCTTTACAGATGGGAAATCAGGCACAGAATCACTGTCGGAAGCCCAGGGTGGGACCTGGACCCCAGCAGACCCCTGGCCATACTGTCCTTGCTGCATCCTCTGGAGAAGCTGAAAAAATGTTCAGAAAAATGTCTCTCTGCTCAGTCAGCATTTTCATTCAGTGCAGAACCAAATCATCGGTCCAGACCAGTAGTTTGCAGCTGACTTTTCCTGTAAAGGGCAGATGGTAAATACCTTAGGTGCTGTGGCCCGTGCAGTCCCAACGCAAAAGCAGCTGGGCTGTGTGTGCACAAATGGGTGTGGCTGTGTCCGCAAAACTTTATTTACAAAAGCAGCTGGCAGCTCTTTGGGGTGCTCTCTTGGGGGTGGCTTCTGGGGTGCTCTGCAGTGGAGGCCTGTGCTGTCCACGTGTAATGTCAGCCCGGTGAGGCGAGGACAGGTCACGGCAGCTCAGCCAGGGATGCTGTGTCCGTACGCCGACCTGCGCTGGGGCTCCCTTGAGCTGGCTGTCCCACCGCCTCATTCCCGGGGCACCCACGTGGGAAAGCTCTGAGACGTGTCCCAGGGTGGGCTTGGGGGACCCCTTTCTCCATGCTGTGCATCTGGGGGCCGCCAGACTCAGGAGCAGAGGCCGCCCCTCCTATGCGATCATGGGACCCCTTCCCCCGGGGGCTGGATGCAAGCAGGTGTGCCCGGGAGCTGTGTTCAGCTGCCGCCCCATCCTCTCCTCTCCCTAGTACACGCTGTGGGCAGCCGTCTGGGTCACCTGGAACGTCTTCATCATCTGCTTCTACCTGGAAGTCGGTGGCCTCTTAAAGGTGAGTGCAGACTGGGAGGCAGCGCGAGGTCCTTCCCTGGGGTCTGGGCCGGGCCCCTGGTAACACCCCCTGTGTTTGCTTTTCATCTGTCGTCTGAGGCAGGGGCTCAGTCTGTGCATGGCTCTGTCCCCAGCACCCAGAACAGCCCTGGTCTGTAGTTGGTAACTCAGTAAAGGTTTGGGGAAAGACCAGTGATTTGATTGGTGAAAGAAAGGCGTCTGTGGGTATTGGCAGGCGAGGGGGCTCCAGCTGGGGAAGAGGGGCCTCAGAGCAGGGGCAAACCCTGGCAGAGATCTGCAGGTGAATGGACACCACCCTCCTGGGGCCACGTGGGGTCCTTTGTCCCAGCCCGACCAACCCTCCAGGCTGGTAAAGCCTCGTGCCTCCTGCAATGCAGGGAACCAGGGGAAACGTGGGGGGAGGGGGTGGGAAAAGGCCATCGCTGAGCCGACCCTGACCGAGGCTGTTCAGGGGAAACAGGGTGGGGGCCATTGCTGAGCCCACCCTGACCGAGGCTGTTTCAGGCACTTTGCTTACAGCTCAGAGGGTGGTCCTAAAGCCAGGGTGGATGGATTTTGGTCTCCCCCAGGGGCTCTCTGCTCTGGCCAGTGTAGCACAGGTGGGCACTGGGGCAGGTGCCCAGCCAGGCAGACGGGCCCCCGCTTCCTGGAACCACACCTGGGGCTGCAGCCGGGAAGACTGTCCCGAGGCAGACACACGTCACATGGCAGCTTTGGCCAGCGACACGAGGAAGGGGCCCGGTGCCCCTGAGAGCGAGTTCTGGGGTCTGGGCAGGGAGGCCTTCCTGGAGGAGGAGGTGTGTGGGTCGAGGGCAGGCGCAGGAGCGGCTGGGAGGGCCTTGGTATTCCTTTCCCCACCATGGCTGGAGCCCTGGGGGCGGGGTGCAGTGGGAGGACAGGGGAGGTGAGAGGACAGGACCTCCCCTTGCCTCGGTGTGGTGGCGTCCCCGCAGGCTGCAGTGGGTGAGGCCGCCCACCTCCTGGTGCTAACCGGCCCTGCTCCTGCACCTCTCCCCTAGGACAGCGAGCTACTGACCTTCAGCCTCTCCCGGCATCGCTCCTGGTGGCGTGAGCGCTGGCCAGGCTGTCTGCATGAGGAGGTGCCAGCAGTGGGCCTCGGGGCCCCCCATGGCCAGGCCCTGGTGTCAGGTGCTGGCTGTGCCCTGGAGCCCAGCTATGTGGAGGCCCTACACAGTTGCCTGCAGATCCTGATCGCGGTGAGCGTGGGGAAGGGGGCCCCCGGGTGGGGATGGGTTGATGGGGGAGGGGACATGGAGCTGGGGGCTCATCTCCCTGAGGCGGGGCCAGCTGACCTGGCCTCAGGCGTGTCTCTGCCTTCCTCATCCCCCACCCTTGCTGGAGAGGTTAAGGTATCACGGGTGGGTCCCATGTGGCTGGCACCTCAGTGCCTCCTCTGCAAACCACCTCCCCCAGGCGGGGCCAACCCAGGCGCTTTCTCAAGTTGAGCGTGGTGTTTGCTGTGGGGAGTGGGAAGGAATCGGATCAGGCCGAGACACCCCGCCTCTGGCTTTGACGGCCCCAAGGAGGAGGGGCATGCATCTTCCTGACAAACCCATCCATGCGTGTCCCGCCTGTTCCCTCGGCTGCCCCGAGCCCATGCCGGTCACAGGAAGTGGACAGAGCCTGAGGCTGGGCTGGCAAGAAGCCCCTCAGCCTTGTCGGGAACCCTGGCGTATGCATCTGGCAAGGCTGGCGCCACGTGACCCAGGTCTGACCGGACAGGGATTCTGTGGCCCCGGGTGGCGCTGAGGAGCAGCTGTTGCTTGTGCGGGAACGGGACTCTGCCGTCCTCTCCGGCCCTGCACGGGTTGGTAGAGAACAGGGGCTACGATGCTGCTCCTGGTATGGCCACACGGCCACTTCCCCGCTGTGCCGCCTCTGTGAGCCTAACAACCTCCGTGTGCCTCAGCTCCCGCCTCTGTAAAATGCAGATGGTGTCAGTGCCTTCCTCGAAGTGCTCAGAAAGAGGCAAAAGCTGAGGCGGGTGTGTGGAGGGTGCTCGGTCAGCGTTTCACCTCAAGAGCTCCGGGGGCAGGGCCAATGTGACTGCAGCACGGCTGGTGCCGTCGCTGGAGGAACTTCTGACCGATCTCGAGGCTCCCTGGCTTTTCCTGGTGCGCACGGTGGTGTCGACGCAACACACCAGGTGGACCTGGGGCTTCCAGGAGCGAGGCTCCATGGCCGGCGGCTGGCGGTGGGAGCTGAATTCCAAATCTAAGGAGCCCGTGGCCTGAGCACACGTGACGGTGCGGGTGGCCTCGTGAGCTCCCGGGGCTCCTTCCTGGGCTCTGCTCTGGTCCTGCAGGAAATCAGGCCAGGAAGGTGCTGCCCCATAGCAAGGGGCCACAGACGCACCCTGCCAGCTCCAGTCGGGGCCTGTTTCTCCCACCAAAGCCAGTCAGCAAGGCACAGAGGGGGCCCCAATTGCCCCCAAAATGTGTGGAACCCAGGTGCCTGCCACTGGAGGAGAAAGAGCCAATTTCCCAAGTGTGCACATCAAAGCTCCTGAGATTAGGCTTTGTGAGGAGGCAACAGAAAAGAAGCTAGGCTGGGTGCGGTGGCTCACACCTGTAATCCCAGCACTTTGGGAGGCCGAGGCAGGCGGATCACGAGGTCAGGAGACTGAGACCATCCTGGCTAACACGGTGAAACCCTGTCTCTACTAAAAATACAAAACAATTAGCCGGGCGTGGTGGCGGGCGCCTGTAGTCCCAGCTCCTCGGGAGGCTGAAGCAGGAGAATGGCATGAACCCGGGAGGCAGAGCTTGCAGTGAGCAGAGATCACGCCACTGCACTCCAGCCTGGGTGACAGAGCGAGACTCTGTCTCAAAAAAAAAAAAAGGAAGCTTGAGGGGAATGAATGAAGAGTCTCTCGGAGGGGGCTGGCGTGCTATGGGAGCCGAGGCTGGAGGAGTGGGCACTCTGCATGGTTGGGGAGATGGGGCCTCCTGTTGGCTTTTATCCTGACTCCCAGGGATGGGAATTTCTTTGATAGGATGTAGTTTCTAAATTCCAGCCAGCTAGTCCTCGCTAGGATCTCGCCCCTGCTGTTTGCTTTGGAGGGTCTGGGAGAGGCTGGCGGCTTGGTTGGCCTCTGCCCAGCTGTGCTGGGGATGGAAATGGTGGTGGCAAGAGAGTCGTCTGACAAGGCCAGGCTCTGGGGGTTGGGGTGCGGGGCCTGCAGATCCCAGGCCTCCATGCAGCAGGGAGAGGGGAGAGCTTTGGGGTGGACCTGGGGCTGGAGCCAGGAGGATGGGCAGGAGGCGGTGGTGTGCAGGGCGGGGAGCATGGGGGTGTGGGACAGAGGTGGCCTGCAGGTCCCCAGGCAGGAGGGCACCGGCTGGAAGGGGCATCTTCCAATGGCTCCCCAAGCTCGGCTGCCTGTTCGGCGCCACGGCCAGCTCCGGGATGGGGGCGTCTTGGGCTCCTTTGGGGTGAGGAGGGGGACGAGCCGTGGAGGTTGCCCACCCTCACCGCTGCTCCCACCCTGGCCGTGGCATGGAACCAGAAATGGCCATTTGGGACAGCTTCTTGAGCTTGTCTCAATATCAAGGAGATAGGTCTGCCTGCTTGGTGGTAAGAGAGGTCTCCTGGCCCCTGACTGACCCCTAGAAAGGAGCTGGATTTCCAGGAAAGCAACCACCAACTTGCCTGTACCAGATGGGGTCGGGGGTCGGGGGGACGGAGCCCAAGCATGTCCAGCCCTGGGGCCTGGCCTGCGTGTCCTGTCTCCTCTCCTGGGCACGGTGGCCTTCACGGGGGGCTGTTGGGCCAAGTCTATGGAGGAAGAAACCAAGACCAGAAGATGAAGTGAATTTTTGGGGTCACCCGGCTGCTGAGTGGTTGGCCTGAGGTGCAACCAGGAAGGTTTCCTGCCTCGTTCCGGGGTCCCTCCAGTCACAGACCCACTGCCGCCTCCCTCGGTGTCTGTGGCCTGGAGTGCCCCTGGCCAGGCCCTCTCGCTCATGCTGTTGGTGTTTCTGGCTGCGGCAGCACTGCCCCCCCTTTGCCAGAGCCCTTTTTCCCTCAGTGGCCCTGGATGCAGGTGTCTGCGAGGTGTGTGGGGCTTTGCAGCGGCCTGCCCTCTGCCCTGGACTCCCAGTCCCTCCCCTCTCCCTGCCTGACCCCTGCCCCAAAGGCAGCAGCCAGCCCCCAACTCTGCCCGGAGTTGCCCGCTGGACCCCGAGTCCTCAGCCTGTCTCTCCTGCACTTTGCCGGGCTCAAAACCAGAATCCCAGATGGCTTGCTCCACAGAGGAGGAGGAACCCCTGGTGGCTGCTGGCTGGAGTGGGCTGGGGCCAAAGGCAAGAGGCCCGAGGGGACGCAGGGCTGGGACTGTGCTGGCCTGGGGTTCATCCAGCCTGGGCTTCTGTGTCCTCACCCCGCTCCCTGCAGCCACTCAGGCTGACCTGCTCATCTTCCCCACCCAATATCCATTATCCTCACCCACCTGCCCCCTACCCAGTTGAGTGGGGTGGGGTGGAAGGCAGGGGTGCGTCCGGAGCTTGAGAGCTGAGGATACCCACGGGTCAGCTCTCCCACTCCAAGTCACAGAGGAGGAACCTGAGGTCCAGGAGAGGCAGGGCCTTGGTGGTCAGGGGCGCTCCAGTGCTTCGGCCCACATCGCCTCAATGACACCCCACAGGCTCGCCTGGCCGCACTCACGCCCCTGCCTGTGGTGTCTTTCAGCTTCTGGGCTTTGTCTGTGGCTGCCAGGTGGTCAGCGTGTTTACGGAGGAAGAGGACAGCTGTGAGTATGGGGCCTCTGCAGGCAGTGGGGCGGGAGACGGCTACAGAGGTGGCAGCTCTGAGTCTGTCCCGTCTGGGGCAAGGCGAGAGACCTCCCCACTTGGAAGGGACCTCACGCCCAGCAGGGCCTTGCTCACGGCCGTAGGCCTGAGCGAGGACTCGCCACACACCAGGGAAGAGATTAGCAGAGGTCCTAGCCTGGGGGCTCCAGGGGTCAGCTGCCCCCCGGTCCAAGGACTCCTGTGCTTTGGGCTGGGCCTGCCCTCATGATCCCCGCAGTGGCCACGGGAGGAAGGTCTGAGCTCAGACTGCCCAGGTCCAGGCCGCTGCAGCCTCCAGGCAGATCGGAACCGGGCCCATGGCCAGGACGCTCACATCAGGCCCTCGGTGGCAGCCTGGACCCATCTGGGCAGGGTTTCATCTTCCCTTTGCTCGCCAGCCCGTCAGCTTTCCTGTGATTTGCAACACGAGTGGTCCACACTCAGGCGCCCTCGCTGGGTCCCCTCGTCCTGGTGTGGTCTCACAGGAAGACCCTGTGGAGAAGGATAGAGCCGGGTGGGGAAGGGCAGACGCCAAGCAGGGTCTGGGTGTGCCCAGGGGTCCTGGTTCCTATGGACAGAACTCTCCCTGGGGTCAGAATCCAGTTCAGAACCATCTGTCCCCAGGACTCCAGGGGCCATGGGGTCAGCAGTCCACGTGTCAAAGGGCACCCTACCCTCAGACCAGGCCTGATTCCAGAGGCGAGGAATGCCCTCAGAGCCTCGGTCCCCAGCGCCCAGCATCCCTCAGCCACTCTGCTGCTGATCCTAAACCATCACTCAGAGCTCAGCCAGCTTCCTGGGAGGAGGCAAACGACTGGTTCCATTCAAACATTTTAAGATGGGAACCCCATTTGAACCTGGGGTTCAAAATGCCTCGACTTTGCCCCGCAAGCCCCTGCTGCCTGCTGGCTGTGCAGACACAGTGTCAAGGAAGCCATCGGTCTGAACATGACGGAGGGCGGCGGGAGAGTGGGCGGAACACGGTGCAGCCCCTGCACAGGCTGGAGGACCCGGGCTGTCCTGACCCCACTGTCCCCCGAGGCCATCCCCACATAGGCCGAGGACCCGGGCTGTCCTACCCCTGCCGTCCCCCCAGGCCATGTCCCCGCACAGGCTGAAGATCCGGGCTGTCCCACCCCCACTGTCCCCCGATGCCGTCCCCGCACAGGCCGAGGACCCGGGTGTCCCACCCCCCCCGTCCCCCCAGGCCATGTTCCCTCTGCTGTCATGTCAGGGCTTTGGGCACTGTCTGTGCCCCCAGGGACCCCTTGGGCTTCTTTGTCTGGTTGGGCTTGTTTTCCACTCTGACATCTTTTCCATTGTGTAGGTTTTGTTTTATTTGGGTCTTGATTTCTTTCAGTTGATTTCATTGGTGGATTTGATCCATTTCCTCTCTACCATGTCAATGAAAAGCCATCCAGTCTCTTGTCCAAGCAGGTGTACTTGTAAGTATGGCTGGCAGAACCTGCTCTGCGGCCAGCCTGGCCAATCTGGCCCTCACAGCGAGAGGCTGCCTTCCTTGGGGGCCTCACCAGGCACCTGCCTGTCCGTTCTGCCATCCATCCGTCCATCCATCCACTCTCACTTTTCTAACATCTGCTTCATGCCAGGCTCTGGGGTGGTACTGGGGCTGCAGAGACCTAGGACCCAGTCCCAGCCCAGAAGCTCAGAGCCCAGCAGAGATGGAGACTGTGGGAGGGGGTTGGGTCCAGGAGTCGGCTCTGAGTCGGGGGCCGCAAGGGTGTCCTGAAGAGCCACTTCCCAGCAGGCGGCATGGGGGTGCTGTAGGGGTCTCTCTGTGGCAGGAGCTGGGGCCCTGGCTTCCTATCTGGCAGAACCAGACTTGTTTCTTGAAAGGCAGTGTCCACAGCTCTGCAAACCCCAGACTTTGGCATGGGGTGCCAGGGCTCCCACCTGGCCTCCTCTGAAACAGCTTTTGCCACACAGCCCGCCCCGTACACAATCCTAGTTTGGGGCTCAGAATAGGTGGCTGCACCGCCCCTGGGCTGCCCAGGCCCCCAGACACACCTGATGGCACGCCCCTGGGTAGCCCCTGGCTCTTCTCTCCTAAAAATGAGGGCTGTCCCGGCAGGGGCCGTTCAAGGTAGCAGGAGCCCAGCTCCCATGTCAGAGAACAGGGGAATAAAGACCTGGGAAGGGGTGGGGTCACACGCAGACCCTGAGCCAGGGACCCAGGCACACCCCTGGGTGAGCCCCCTCTCCACTCCCAGCCCCACAGGCCAGACCCCACTGAGATGTCAGCAAACAGGCACAAGACGCTGACCTGCCGGCACAGAGAGAGGCAGTGGGGGCTTTCCAGAGCCTCAGTCCCACCCATCTCCTTTCTGCCAAAGGCCTGAAGCCGTCCACTGCTTGGACTTTGTTCCATTTCAGGTTCTCCAAGGGGAGGGGGTGGCAGCCCCCAGTGGCTGCCCCAGCCCTGTTCCCCCAGGTGCTCTCTGACCTTGTCCCCACAGGCCTGCGTAAGTGAGGAAACAGCTGATCCTGCTCCTGTGGCCTCCAGCCTCAGCGACCGACCAGTGACAATGACAGGAGCTCCCAGGCCTTGGGACGCGCCCCCACCCAGCACCCCCCAGGCGGCCGGCAGCACCTGCCCTGGGTTCTAAGTACTGGACACCAGCCAGGGCGGCAGGGCAGTGCCACGGCTGGCTGCAGCGTCAAGAGAGTTTGTAATTTCCTTTCTCTTAAAAAAAAAAAAGAAAAGAAAACATACAAAAGAAAAGGCAAAACCCCACATGCCCACCTCCTCTGGCAACATGGGGGTCACAGCTCTGCCCCCAGGCTGTCGTCTCGTCGAGGAGCCCCTCCCTCAGGTGCCCACCTGGGGCTGCTGGACCCTCGGGCTGCAAGCACTGCTGCTGGGATGCAGCCTCCCCAGGAAGTCAATGTGAGGCCCGAGACCCCTCAAGCGGTGAGGGCCCCTGTTGAACATGGAGGGTTCCTAACCCCAAACTCGTGCCAGAAGAACCCCCACCCCACCCAGGAGCTGAGGCTGATGGAGCCCTAGGGTGGGGGCTGGGCTTGACCAGGAACAGCAGAGCCAGGCCCCAAGGCATAGGGCAGGGCACATGGTGGTGACGAGCAGGCAGTACTCTTGTAAAGGGGGCTCTTGGGCAAACAGTCCCAAAGGCTCCCCCAGGTATCATCAAGTTGGTAAATAAACAGGAACATGGCCCTCACCCACTCTGTGGAAGATGCCGAGCTTGGGGGACAGTCAGGGGTACAATCTCAGGTGGGGCCTGCGGCCTGCCCGTTCCAACAGTCCTTAAAATACTGGAGGATAAGCGCGAGGGGAAGGAGGTGAGGGGCCTGGAAGGGGGGTGTCTGCGGGAGTGGGGGAAGTTTGGGGAGCAGCCTGGAGCCAGCTGGACCTGGGCAGGTGCTGCCCTGCCAGCCTGGAGAGGTGGTGACCTGTGTCGGGTTGGGTGGGTGGGGAGGCAGCTCGTGGTCTGGAACAGGCTGCTGGGTACCTCCAGGGAAAACCCACTTTATTTCTATTCAGAAGCATCCAAACAGGTACAGTTAAGCCATCCCCCACGCCAAGCAAGGGCCTCCTTCTCCACCCTGGGCGGTGGTCGGGGAATCAGGGCTGGTCAGTGCTGGATGGACACCAGCTCTGCCATCCTCAGCAGGCCCAGAACACAGTCCAGAACAGGCAGAGAGGGGCAGGGAGCCCACTCTGCAGCCCACCTGGCCGGCCATGGCACCTAGAGGGAGAGGAGGGGTGGGTGAGTCAATGGCAACCGACGGGGCCCACCTAGCCAGGGGCCTCAGATCCCAGAGTTCCCTGCCCGACCACTTTGTCCCCTGCCAGATCTTCAGACACATCCCGGGGGTAACTACAGAGGCTCTGGGGAGCCCCGAGGCGGTCACAGCACCTGTCCCTCGGCCAGTATGGGGTATCCCACCCACTTCTCTAAGAACAGGTTCACACACCCCCTTCCCGTGCAGGTGTTCCCACCATGCCTTGGCCCCGGGTTGAAGCCAGGCCAGTGTCTCGCTTGTGTAAGCCCAACCTGGCCCACCCTGTTTCCCCAAACGCCTCCAAAGCCGGCTTTCCTTGACCACTGAGGAAAATCAAGGCTGAGAGGAGCCAGCAGGCGTCAGTTAATGCAGGCAGGCAGAGCTATGGTGGCCGCCAGGGCACGGTGCCCGAAGGACCAGGCCCCAACCTAAGCGTCAAGGGAGGTAGTAAGATTGATGGGCGCTATCAGCGGGACCTGGGAGCCGGGTAAAAACAAGCTGACGCTGCCACCCGGGAAGGGCCTGCATGGGTTCAGGAGGGCCGGGCACAGCCGGCTCAGGGCCCCCTCCGCAGGAGGGCTGGCTGCGCGTGGTGCTGGGGCGCTCACCTGGCCTAGGACAGGAAGGTGCGCACGCGGCTGCGGACGGGGGCTCTGCAGATGGGGCACAGCTGCAGGCCGGGGGCACACTCAGCACAGACCAGGTGGCCGCACGGCACAAAGACGATGGACACGGCGCGGTCCAGGCACACCTTGCACGTCCTCTCCTCCTGCAGCCGCCGCAGCTGCGCCTCCACATCCCTGGCTCCTGGGGGCTCAAGAACCCACCACGCCCTCTGGGCCTCGGCTGGACTGACCCCTCCTAGGAGGACAGGCCTGCGAAATGTCCCCACACCCTGGCCCCCACCCTCTATGGGCCATGGAAGGTCGGGGTCCCTCAGCCCTCCCCTGCCCCAGCCCTCACCCAGGGGGTCCCGGGCCTGCACCTGGCTCCTGGGCACTTTCAGACTGGACCTCTCTCCTGGGTGTGGGCAGCTCAGGGTACCCAGAGGCAGGGACTGTGGACAGTTAGGATAGACTTGAGGCCTAACTCCCAAGGAGAAAGCTGGGCCGGCCCAGATACAGGTCTGCAGCCTGTGGGGTCCAGTTCTGGCCGGGAGTGGAGGGGCTGCAGAGTATCCCCGCTCCCGACACTTCTTCCCACCCCTCCCACAGCATAACAGGATCCAGAGGCTTCCTGGAGGCGCCACCAGAGAGCCTGTCCCTTGTCCAATGCCCTCTGCACATCCTGCCCATCTGGCAGTAGCTGCAGATGCTGTGTGCTGGGCACTGTTGGGGGTGGTATGGCGACAGGCAATGGGCTGTGCCCAAGGGGTAAGCTGGGAGAGAAGCAGAATGGGGCCTGGCACTGGGGGAGGCCCCTGCCGCCCCGCCCCCACCCTCACATGGCACAGCCCCCTGAAGCCAACCCAGGCAGCAGCGTCACACCCTGTCACGTGCCCGTCACTCTCCCTGCTGTCTGGGAGGGTGGGGACACCCAGTGGCCTTGGCCAAGCACAGGCTGCAGGCGCACAAGGAGTCAGCAGGGGTGGTGTCAGCTCTCACCGGAGGGGGCCACAGGGGCTGCGTCTTCCGGTTCTTCCCACGGGTCCTGGAAGGAGCCAGAGACCATCAGGCCTTGGGGAAATAGGAGGGGCAGGACCCCACTGCCACCCGGAGCCCCGAGGAGAGGTGGCGCTCACCCAGGAGCCCAGCAGCTGGGAGTGAGTCTCCTGCACACTGTGGACAAAGTCTCTTCCTTTTGACCGGAGCAGGAACTGACAGCTGCAGATGCCCCAGAGATGTAGGTTGGGGTTCAGGGCCCCCACTGTCTGCTTCAAGCCCTTGGATCCCCGGGGGTCAGGGTTGGGCCCCCTCCTCCCGCCACCCTGCAGTGCCCGTGGGCATGGGCGAGGAGGGCTGCTGTGGAGACGCCTCCATGGGGCTTCAGGGTAGTCCCATGGGAGAGGCATTTCTGCCCCCAGCAGCCCTTCCGAAAAGGGGCCCTCACAGGAAAAGTGGGTACCTGCCGGCCAGAAGCACCTCCCACAGAAGGGCCTCCCCAGTGCCCTGTGGGGCCAGGGAGGCAAAGCAGGCCTGGTGTTGGGTCGACAGAGCCGTTGGGGGCCCACCCCCTACCCATGATCAGACCCGGGGCCCCGCAGGGGCAGCCGGTACCTGGGGAACCACTTGGCATGCTCCGTCCAGGGGTCGTCCCCGCGCTTCCAGCTCTGCAGGCCCCCATAGCAGAAGAAGCACCTCACCTTGTCCTGATGGCCTGGGGTGCGGAGAGATGCTGGCCCCAGCCAAGTCCCACCCAGTCCCCGGGCCCCCGGTGTGTCCTTCCAAGGCTATGAGAGCTTCAGCTGGAGGGGAGCTCCCAGGTGGCAAGAAGGAGGAGGGGGTGGGCAGGGGGCTTGGTGGGGGATGTCACTTGTACCTCATTAGCATCAAAGGTGAAAAGGGGACAAGGGTGACTGGGGTGCCGGCCAGGATGGGCGAGAATGTTCAGGAAAGGACTGAGCTGGCATTTGCATTGTTCCCAGAGTGAGCAGTGGGGGCCCCCCAGGGCTTGGTACATCTATAGCCCTGGGGCTTCAGGAGCCAGAAGGGCCCCTCCCCAGGTCTCTGCTTCCCCAAGATGGATTCCCAGTGAGAAGAAGAAGGGAGGCTGCCCTAGAAGGCCAGTCTGGGGCCAGGCTTGCTTTTAGGAACTCATGCCTCCCTTTGGGGGTGGGGGACCCGTCATCTCTCTACCTCCTGGCGACCCCGTCCCCTCATCGGCATCCATGCGATACGTCACCTGCCACTGACATCACAGGTTTGGGCTGCATCGGGCACTGGACCTCTACCAGCCCCAAAGACCCCGGCTCTGCACCTGCCATGCCTCTTGCCTGGCCTTTGCCTCCTGAGCCTTGGACTTCCAGGGAGGTGGGTGAGCTGGGCCTGCCCCTTCACGCCACGGCTTCTGACTGTCCCAGCCACTGTCCCCCCGACCAGCTGTCTTAAGTTGGTCCAGCCTTACCAGGATGGTGCCCCGCCAGAGCCCACTGCTGACAATGACCATGGCTGTGCCAGTATTTGTAAAGCCCTCGGTGGGCCCTGCTGCCCTGTCCTTCAGCCAGGAAGTGGCAGAGCTGGGACCTGAACTCAGGTCTGACCACATGGTCTGCAGCTGTAGGGCAGAGGAGCAGGCCCGGGCCAAGACTAGGATAGGTACTCCGGGGACTTGATTCAGTTGGGGAAGACCAGACAGTAGCTGCAGGTTGGGGCCTGGAGAAATTCCCCACAGGCTGAGCATCCAGGACCTTCTGGCTGACCACTGCCTGCCTTGGTCACCCTGATCCTGTTCTTTAAACATCTCCTCTCCCTGTGCAGAACAGCAGCGGGGAAGGTGAGGGCCCCAGGCAATGTCAGCCCCACCCACTTCTATCACAAAGGGGTACTTGTGCACCAAGCTGGCGGCCTCCACAGCTGAGACCCTCAGACTGTGGCCAGAGGCAGCCCCTCCTCACATCCCACGGTCTGAAACACTCAGCCAGCAGAGACTCCGGGGGAGGGTGTCAGGCACGAGCCCATGGGCACTGGAGGGGCTTGCAGGACCACTGCTCCGTCATCAGGCCAGACCCTTCCTGTTGGGGGATGGATGCTACGGAGGAGGCAGAGCCCTGGGCTGGAAGGGTCCAGAATCGTGCCCAGGCCCACGGCAGGAAGGCCCCCCCGCCCGGGACTGACCTGTGTGGAAGAAGCCGGCAGCAGCCAGCAGCTCGGGTGGCACCTCAGCAGTCAGCGGCCAGTCATAGAAGGAGGCCAGACGCAACTCCTCAGAGCCCATGCCGGGGAAGGCAGGCCCCCTGGACAAGGTGGCCCCGGCGCCCTCCTCCTCTTCCTCCTCTGTCAGGGGCCGCAGCTGGCCCAGGATCTGCCCATCCACGTGGTCCCAGGCTCTGCAGGTGTCCAGGCCTAGGACAGGGCTGCCCAGAGAGCGGGGTCCACAGCGCTCCTGCGTGGGACCATCACCGGCTGCCCAGTGGCTCGGCTGTGGTCCACGGTGCAGGCACTTGGCACTGTCTTTAGGTCCCATGGAGGGAACACTGGCTCTGACCAGGTTTGCAGCAGAAATGGGGGCTGATGGCCAATCTCAGAATATGCCCAGCTGGCCCTTCTGGAGCTCCTGACCCCCGGGGCCCACCCTGGGGACAGCAGGGATAGGCACAGGCCTGCCACCAGACACCCTGGGAGGGGAGTATCCCAGGGCCCACAGCTTTCTGGAAGTGGCCAGGGTGGCCTCTGGGGTCACATGCTCTGTGCAGCGGGGGCGTGTCACGGGGCCCCTGGCAGGGTTGCGGATGCCGCTGACTGCACGTGGGCAGGCCACGTCTCTCTGAACAAGACGGGAAGGAACTGAGCATGGAGACCCCTCCCCAGGCTGGTGTCTGCCCCAGGGCTGTGGGGGAGGGGTTGGGGAGCTGGAGATGATGGCTCCAAGGTCAGGCGCCCAGGGCAGCCTCCGGAAGCAGAGAAGGCTCAAGGAAGGACATGTGAGCTGTGCTGCCTGTGCAGGCAGGGGCCGTGACCTCCCACCTTGCGGGGGTGACTCTAGCCTCACAGGGGCCTAGGGCTGCGTCACGCAGAGCAGGGAGGCAGGTCACCCGGCTGTTCTCTGAAACATCCCTCTGCCCCAAGGGGCCTCTGCAGGTCTGGGAGCAGCTCTTGTCCTCAGGCCAGGAAGATCAGAGCAAAAAGAAGGGCCCGAGCTGCCCTCACCTCCCGCTCCCCCTTCCCCCATCTCCCTCCACCTCCCTCCATACCAGCCTCCCCAGGTAGCCAAGGGAGAGGCTCTGATGCCCCCAAAAGAGGAGTACTCAGTGTTGGCACTGGAATCGGAGTTCCTGAGGTCTGCTGTGACCCTGGCTGCCGGTCCAAGCTCCACACTGTGCCACACTGCCAAACCCCACAGTGAGGGAACAGGGAGGAGGACTTAACCCCAGAGAAGCCAGGGGCAGAACAGGAACCCCAGGGACACCTGGGCGGGACAAAAAGGACAGCTGGATGGGGCCCAGACTTCGACACCCCCCAACCCCCGACTGAGCCCTCAACCCCAGCAAACCCAGCTCATCCACCCGGCTGGCCCTAAAAGCCCCCTGTCATCCTTCAGCCACTCTCCCCTGCTGTTCCGTCCTGGATGGGAGCGTGCAGGCTCACAGAGTTTGGAAGAATAAAGAGGAGTCGCACGCTGCAGGGCCGCTGGTTGCCACGGGGAGCGCAGGTGGGCAGGAGAGGGTTAGCTGCAGTGAAAACCGTCCCTGAGCTCACCTGGAAGCCTGGCCCGTTCTCTTCCCACTGCTGAGCCGCATAGACCCAGCTGCTGCCCACCACACTTTCACACCTGCCCCCCGACCCCCACTCACGGCGGGGGCTGGGGCTGCACCCGCCCTCCCAGGAGGCCTCTGGTGACTGTTCTGGTCATACTCAGGCCAGTGTTGCCAGGCCCCAGCGAGACCCCCAACCCTTTCCTATGCAAGGCCCAGAGCCACCTGGTTTCCTGCAGAAATCAAAGTGAAGGGTGTGGCTGGAAACCCCTCCCAGGCTCTTAAGGCCTCTGGGGTGTCTGCAGGCCCTGCTGAGGATAGAGCCCAGAAGCCAGGGCTGCAGGGCGCAGAGGGAGAGGCAGCAGGAAGCTCAGGGGCATAGGAGGGGAGGGCTGTCGGGAAAGGGCCTGAGGGCCAGCAAAGGAGTTAGGCTAGACACAAGGTAGAACTTCCCAGTGTGTTTTCTGGGATGATCTCAGGGTACCTCGCCTTCGCCCCCTCTCTGTCCTCCAGTGCCCACCTCGCCTTCGCCCCCTCTCTGTCCTCCAGTGCCCACCTCGCCTTCACCCCCTCTCTGTCCTCCAGCGCCCACCTCGCCTTTGCCCCCTCTCTGTCCTCCAGCGTCCACCACACCTTCGCCCCCTCCCTGTCCTCCAGCGACCACCTCGCCTTCACCCCCACGTCCTCCAGCGCCCACCTCGCCTTCGCCCCCTCCCTGTCCTCCACCGCCCCCTCAGCACAGCGGTTACCTTTGGTCACTTCAGCAAAACCCCGGGTGTGGGCCTGGGGCCCTTTCAGGAGGACGTGGGCCTCAAGCTGGGTGGATTTGCTGCCTGGTTCCCAGTCTGCCCGCAGTGCACCGGGGAGGTGGGAAGAGGGGCCACTGTCTCCAGCCTGCTTCTTCCAGGGGAGAGACACATGCAGCACCCAGGTTTGCTCTGAACTCTCAAGCTGGGGACCCTCTGAGGTGGGCAGGCAGCAGAGGCCGCTGCCATGGCCTGTTATGGGACCCTCTCTTCCCACTGCTTGGGGCTCGGAGAGGAGACAAGGTTGGTGTCACTCCTGGAAGTGGAAGGAAAGGCCCTGGGGCCCACTGGGGAGTTGGGGTTAGCTGGGCCATAAGCCGAGCCCCGCTCCTCCGGTGGGATCGCCCCGAGGTCCTGTGCACCTCCAAACCCAGCAGGTGTTTCTCCACACGCATCGCAGTGCCATCCCAGTGCGTAACTGTGCAGGGAGCTGCTGAGGGGCGCTCAGCTGCTTTGCCGTGTGCGGCCGGCCCAAAATTCTCAAAACAAGGACTATCCATATGTTGCTTATTTAATTAAATAAAAAGAAATAAGGAGCTAAAAATAATGGTCATGTGCCTATTCCAGAAGTGTCGGGAATACTGGGAGTATAAAGAAAGCGAAGTTCGATGTCTGAGCCATCCCTGTGGGCACCGGGGCGTGTGTGTCTGGATTTGGCAGTTGCCCTGCAGCTTTGCAGGATGATACCGTGGGGTGGGGCAGGGTGCATGGACACCTCTAGGCTTCTTTGCAATTCTGCATCTACAATGATTTCCAAATAAAAGCTGGGAAAACCCATATGCCTTCTCCCCGCTGAGCGGTAAGCACTGCTGTTACTATTTTGCTGTTTTCTTCCAAACATACCCTAAACATCTTTATTTGCTATTTGCCCATTTTTCAAAATGAATAAACATCTGTCAGTACCTAGGAGGGCCCCCTGTGATGCCCCCTGGATCCCTGTGAGTCTTTACAATTAAGTCTCCCAGCTGAGAAGATGTCAGATGGGGAGCCGTGGGGAGAGGCCTCCAGGTCAGTGAGAAAAAAGCCCTGGGCCCAGCAGGGACTCCTAGAAGCCCCAAGACCCCACAGTGACTGGGATTTGCAGCTCCCTGCAAGATTCAGAACCAGCAGGAGTTGGAGGAGAATATCCCCAAATTGCCCCCCACAGTGATGGGGACTAGCCTATTAAGGCAGGAAAAGAGGACCGTCGTCAGGGCCGGGCTCAGCATTCTCCACCAACAGCTCACACCTCCCCCAAAGCCACCCAGCCATCCGGGAAAGTCCACGCCCTGAAACTGCGTGTGGGTGCCACACGAATGAGCCCTGCTCTACTCCATGAAGCCTGGGGTTGGGGCCACGTGGGCAGATAGGTGGACCCGCTGGGCACAGGGTTCGTCTTCCTGTGCAGAGATGGGGGGTCTCAGGAGGGGCCTCCAGAGAAGAAAACATCTCCCCCAGGGCTCATGCCTGACCTTTCACCGCCAGAGCCTCACAGTCTCCTCCTGTTAACTTTTCCTCTGGGAATGCTTTGTGAGTCATTAACACTTTAGTATAAACAAGACTCTCAACTTTCTCAGAAGGAAGTTAGTGGGATTTTTAGACGGGGATGGGATCAGCCTGGGATAAGAGGGCTGAGTCAGAGCCTGTGGAGGTCCAAATGCTCTGAGCAGAAGGTGAAACCGTCAGAGGCATGTGAACCAGAGCAGCTCCGTGTTGAACGGGAGCTGGGTAAAATGGTAAAATGAGGCTGAGACCCACCGGGCTGCATTCCCAGACGGTGAAGGCATTTTAAGTCGCAGGATGAGACAGGAGGTCAGCACAAAATACAGGTCACAAAGACCTTGCTGATAAAACAGGTCGTGGCAAAGAAGCCGACAAAAACCCACCAAAACCAGGATGGTCACGAGAGTGACCTCTGGACGTCCTCACTCTCCACCAGCGCCAGGACAGTTTACAAATGCCATAGCAACATCAGGAAGTTACCCTAGATGGTCTAAAAAGGGGAGGCATGAATAATCCACCCCTTGTTTAGCGTATCATCAAGAGATAACCAAAAAAGTGGGCAACCAGCAGCCCTCAGGGCTACTCTGACTATGGAGTAGCCATTCTTGATTCCTTTACTTTCCTAAGAAACTTGCTTTCACTTTACAGACTCACCCTGAATTCTTTCTTGCAGGAGATCCAAGAACCCTCTCTTGGGGTCTGGATCCGGACCCCTTTCCTGTAACAAAACTGTCTCCACAGGGCTGACAAGAATTGCATGTCGGGTTCTGGACAGAAATATTATTATAATTAAGCATTAATCAGACTGCACGGTGGCCCGCTTTCTCGCTGCTAAACATCACCACGTTGCCCTCGGTCGTGACCACTGTGTTCCCACAGATGCGATCCCTGATATTACAGTCATGAGGCTTTTGTTGATTCCTTAAGATGTTTTTCAGACCCCAAATTCCAGCAACCAGTTTGAAGACCCTCATGGAGGGATGGGATCCACATGAGAACAGCTTCTTCACTCTGTCCTGTGGCTTCACCCTGCAACCTTCTACTAATCAACCATCTGCACATTTGGCCCACTCCAAAACTCTGGAAAACCCCAGCCTCAAGGCAGGAGGACTGCTTGAACCCAGGAGTGCAAGACCAGCCTGGACAACATAGCGAGGCTCCATCTCCACAAAAAAATTTTAAAAACATAGCTGGGCATGGTGGTGCACAACTGTGGTCCCAGCTACTCAGGAGGCTGAGGCAGCAGGATTATGCGAGCCCAGGAGTTGAAGGCTGCAGGAGTGGTGGGCAGGGAAGTGCTGGCTAGAGGAGGGCATGGTCCCTGGCTAGGGCTCCACGCACAGGCCTGTGCCCACGGACCTAGGTGAGGATAGACACACCCTGCCTTCATGTCCAAATGTTGCATTTCCCAAGACCACCCTGCCCTGCCACGCCCCCATCTGGTGCCTATAGAAACCCTGAGACCTAGCGGGCAGGCACCTAAGCCCTGGACACGGAGAGGAGCCCATTGGCAGAACACACAAGCGGCTGGACGTCGAGAGGCCATCAGGGGGAGCACGCCGGCAGAAGAGCACACTGAGACTCCGGCAGGCGATCAGCTAGTGGAACGATGCAGAGTTTGGTTGGGATGGTTGGAGGAGAGCCCCGGCTGCTGAGCGGCCTGATTCCAGGGGAAAGCCATCTCCCTTCTGGCTCCCCCATCTGCCGAGAGCTACTTCCACTCAATCAAACTTTGCACTCATTCTCCAAGCCCATGTGTGATCTGATTCTTCCGGCACAGCAAGAACCCTGGGATACAGAAAGCCCTCTGTCCTTGCGGTAAGGCAGAGGCCTAACTGAGCTGGTTAACACAAGCCACCTACGGACGGCTAAACTAAGAGAGTGCCCTGTAGCACATGCCCACTGGAGGTTCAGCTGTAAACATTCACCCCTAGAAGCTGCCGTGGGGCTCCCTGCCCATCTATATGCTCCCCTAGGGGTTTGAGCAGCGGGGCCCCAAAGAAGCGAGCCAGTCCCCATCGCAGGCCCTGCAAGGGGACAAGGAAATCTTTGCCATTTCACTATGATTGTGCCCTTGAATTCCAGCGTGGGACTGTCTCAAAAAACAAACAAACAAACACCAAACAGACACCAAACAACAACAACAACAAACCCCAGCCCCAGATTCCTCTGGGAGATGGATTTGAGGTTCCCTCCCAGCAACTTCTTTAGTGACCCTATGATTAACCCCTTCTTTGCTGCAACCCAGCATCTCAGCATACAGACTTGCCGTGTCCATCGGCAGCAAACTATCATAGTTACAAAGAGACAACTGGGGCTAGGAAGGAAGAGAGTTTCCCTCCAGCTGTAGCAGGAGGAGTCATAGACAAAATTCCTCAGACACTGGATTGTGGAAGGAAAGAGCTTTATTCAGCTGGGATCGTCGGCAGACTCACGTCCTAGAAACCGAGCTCTCCGAATAAGTGATTCCTGTCCCTTTTAAGGGCTCACAACTCTAAAGGGGCTGTGGGGGCGGGGGTCGTGATCTATTGAGCAAGCAAGGGGTATGTGACTGGGGGCTGCATGCACCAATGATCAGAACGAAACAGAACAGAACAGGGAGTTTCATGATGCTTTTTTACACAATGTCTGAATCCATAGATAGCACAAGCCCTGAGGTCAGAGGTTGAATTTTAACACCAGGTCTGAAATGTGGTCCCCAGTTGTCTGTGATTTTTCACTTCTGCCAATTCTAACTTCTACTTTTTCAGCAAACAAGAAATTAAGTATAAGACAATATAAGGAATGGTCTCCTCTCTGACAGCTAGATGTCAGCTTGCTTTGGGATTCACTGGGAGGGTCCCAACCAGGACAGTGTGCCAAGCCCTATGCTAAGGCCATCACCCACATTCCCTCACTGATCTCCTCAGTTACCCTTCGAGATGGGCACAGAGCTTATTTCAGAGGTGAGGAAACCGAGGCTCAGAGAGGGGCACAATGAGTTGGCTGAGAGCGGAGATGGAGGGCCAGGAAGCCTGTCCAGGGAGGCAGCGGCAGCCGCTGCCGGGGGAGACATGATCCCCACGCGTGGGGTGGGGCCGCAGGAGGGCGATGGCCTGAGAACCTGCCGGGAGGCCAGTGCTCCTGTACCCTTCTTCATCAGGGAGGGGAGACGGGGAGTGTGGACGGTTCTTTTGATGGGGCATGAGTGATCTTCGGGGAGAAGGGAGGGACTCCAGAGACAGGAACTAACTTGTAAGTGATTCCCTTTGGAATTCGAATGACCTCCAGAGGAGACATTATCTGGGGCACAGGTCCGTCCAGGTAAGGCTGCATTGCTGCTGCCCTCTTTTCTGAGGTTTCAGGGAAGGGGTGGAAGGTGACTGCGCTTCTCCATGGTGGGGCCCGGCCTAAGGCAGAAAAGGGGTTTCAGGGAAGCGGTGGAAGGTGACTGCGCTTCCCCATGGTGGGGCCGGCCCTAAGGCAGAAAAGGGAAAATCACAGCAGAGCCTCTTCCAGCATCTGCCGCCCTTCAGTGGCCTCTGACTTAGAGCAGTGAGTACGCCCGGGCACCATATGTGAGCCAAAAAAAAATTCCAAGCCCCTAGTTGACTGAATGGAGCCCCCTCTTGGCCAACGGTACTCAAGGAAATCTGAAAAACAAGTTCAGCCCATGACAGGAAGGTGGGGGCCAGACAGGCCTCGTGAGACCCTCCTCCTTTTGGAGTTCAGGAACGACTGACCAGCGTTAACATTAAAATCGAGCTCTTAAGCCTGACAAAACAGGCCAGGCGCAGTGGCTCACGCCTGTTATCCCAGCACTTTCGGAGGCTGAGGCCAGAGGCTCTCCTGAGCTCAGGAGTTCAAGACCAGCCTGGGGAACATAATGAGACCTCATCTCTCAAAACAAACAAAAGAACAAATTAGCCAGGTGTGGTGGTGTGCACCTGTCCTCCCAGCTACTCAGGAGGTAGAGGCAGGAGGATCGCTTGAGCCAGAAAGGTCCAAGCTGCACTGAGCTGGGCCACTGAACTCCAGCCAGGATGACAGAGGGAGATCCTATCTCCAAAAAAAAAAAAAAAAAAAAAACACCAAACTGACTAAACAGACTGTAAGATCCCGAATGCCAGCCTGACTCTGGCATAATATCACATGACAAACAAGGAAAGAAAAATATTTTATCCCCAAATACATTTCTTTGCCATAGTTTGGAAAGGCCCTATTGGCCGGGCGTGGTGGCTCACGCCTGTAATCCTAGTACTCTGGGAGGCTGAGGCGGGTGGATTGCCTGAGCTCGGGAGTTCAAGACCAGCCTGGGCAACACGGTGAAACCCTGTCTCTACTAAAATACAGAAACGTAGCCGGGCGTGGCAGCGTGTGCCTGTAGTCCCAGCTACTCGGGAGGCTGAGGCAGGAGAATTGCTAGAACCTGGGAGGCTGAGGTTTCAGTGGGCGGAGATCGCACCACTGCACTCCAGCCTGGGCGACAGAGTGAGACTCCGTCAAAAAAAAAAAAAAAAAAAATCAAGACCGGGCACGGTGGCTCACACCTATAATCCCAGCACTTTGAGAGGCCAAGGGAGGCAGACCACCTGAGGTCAGGAGTTCGAGACCAGCCTGACCAACGTGGAGAAACCCTGTCCTTACCAAAGATACAAAATTAGCCAGGTGTGGTGGTGCATGGCTGTAATCCCAGCCACTTCGGAGGCTGAGGCAGGAGAATCGCTTGAACCCAGGAGGCACAGGTGGCAGTGAGCCCAGATCACGTCATTGCACTCCAGCCTGGGCAACAAGAGCAAAACTCCATCTCAAAGAAAAAAAAAAAAAAAAAAAAGAAAGAAAAGAAAGAAAGAAAAGGCCCTGCAAAGCCATCTTGTGTGGGGGAAAATTTGTGTCTGTAAGGAATCTCTATTAACATAACTAGCTCTTTCCCCTTCCAGGCCCTCCCAATCCTGAAGAGGTTACCTGAGGGTCCAGCACCTTCTAAAGGTCTGCATAGGAAACATTTGCCATCTACTGTCTTTAAGGACAGACACCTATGGGACTTCATCTTCATAGTAAGAACCTCAGTCTCCACAACCCCTTATCTTAACCCAGATGCTCCTTCCTATTGGTCTTTAGATAATAACTTAACTCTTTCAACCAACTGCCAATCAGAAGATCTTTGAATCCACAATCCACCCAGGACCCGTAAGCCCCCACCTAGGACCTGTAAGCCCCCAACTAGGACCCGTAAGCCCCCACCTAGGACCTGTAAGGCTCCACCCAGGACACGTAAGCCCCCACTCAGGACACGTAAAGCCCCACCTAGGGCCCATAAGCCCCCACCCAGGACCCGTAAGGCCCCACCCCCTGCTTTGAGTCGTTCTGCCTTCCTGAACCTGAGCAATGTACACCTCACATGTACTAACTGATGCCGATGTCTCCCTAAAAGGTATAAAACCAAGCTGTCACCCAACCACCGGGACACATGTGCTCAAGACATAATAAGACTGTACCTCAGGCCATGGCCACCGGTATTAGGCTCAGAATAAACCCTTTAAATATTGTACAGAGTTTGGCTCTTTTTGTCACACGTATTTTGGGGTGAAATTCGCCGGGCTGCTTCACCATCCTGGCCTGCTGTGGCATGGCCATGCCCCACACCCAGATCTGCCTGACGAGGGCCTGGGACAGAGGGGCCTTGGGGGCCTGGTGTGGTACTGCAGGATCTCGGGTTCCCTTCCCCACCCTTGCCCATGTCCTGCTTAGAGATCTGTTTGTGGCGGGAAAACCTTGGGGCGGGGTCCAGCCTGCCTCCACCTGTGGGCCCCACAACCACTGCGTCTGGGCCGTCCAGTCCTGGCAGTCCTGGGATTCTGGGTCAGTGGCTGCAACGAAAGTCTGGGCTTGTGGTTGCAGTCACATGAGGCCAGGTCCTGCTCACCTCCGGGCCGTGCCGGCTGGAATGAGGCTGGACCTGGAGCCCACATAAGCTGAGGAGAAGGAGGAAAGGGGTGGGAGGGAGGAGGAGGAAAGGGGTGGGAGGGAGGAGGAGGAAAGGGGTGGGAGGGAAGAGGAGGAAAGAGGTGGGAGGGAGGAGGAGAAGCTCCAATTCCTGTCCAGGCCTCAGGCCTGGGTTCCCAGGAAGCTCAGCAGGTGTATGCTGGGCAAGGTGGGCCGGTAACCCCTGTGACAGGCAACCCTCCCGCACCCAGCCCCACTCCTGCTGAACAACCCTAAGTGCCCTCACCAAAAGTGGCTGAGCCGGTCCCCTCCTCCTCAGCTTGGGGGGCCAGAGCCTGCCAGCACTGGAGCAACCCTCCCTGTGGCCACAGAGCAAGGACTCCAGGGGACCGCAGGGCTCCGGACAAGTGCATCAGAGGCCCACAGGAGGGGCTTCCAGCTTCTGAGGCTGGCAACGGCATTAAGAAGCTCGAAGTGAGACAGGCAGGCTGGCTAGTTTCCTGTTTTCAGATGGTCTGGAGGGGCTGGGCGCGGTGACTCACACCTGTAATCCCAGCACTTTGGAAGGCTGAAGCAGGTGGGGATCACTTGAAGCCAGGAGTTGGAGACCAGCCTGGCCAACATGGCAAAACCCCGTCTCTACTAAAAAAATTAGCTGGGTGGGGTGGCGCGCGCCTGTAATCCCAGCTACTCGGGAATCTGAGGTGGGAGAATCGCTTGAACCCAGGAGGCGGAGGTTGTAGTGAGCTGAGACTGCACCACGGCACTCCAGCCTGGGCAACAAGAGCAAGACTCCATCGCAAAACAAGGCCAGTGCAGTGGCTCACGCCTGTAATCCCAGCATTTTGGGAGGCCAAGGCGGGCGGATCACCTGAGGTTGGGAGTTTGAGACCAGCCTGGCCAACATGAAGAAACCCCATCTCTACTAAAAATACAAAATTAGCCAGGCGTGGTGGCGCATGCCTGTAATCCCAGCCACTTGGGAGGCTGAGGCAGGAGAATCGCTTGAACCCTGGAGGCGGAGGTTGTGGTGAGCTGAGATCACGCCATTGCACTCCAGCCTGGGCAACAAGAGCGAAACTCTGTTTCAAAACAAAAACAAAAACAAAAACAAAAACAAACTCAGGACCCCAATTCACTCTGCCACAAGAAAAAAATTAAACTAAAAGCTAAGTCATGTGAGAAGCTGCCTTTCTTTTTGTTCCTAAGCAGGTAGTTACAGATAACAGGTGAAGCATCTCTACAGGAGACGTTCACCTTATTTCATACAAGTGCAGGTTTCCGAGCATGAGAGGAACACACAGCTGACGATTCCCCTGCCTGCTCCTCTTCTCTTGCAGCATGTGATTACCAAGGCCTCCCTCTTGCCCCTCCAGCCTGCTTTCCCCCCCTTTAAATGGTGGAGCCCTCAAAAGCATCTTTGGAGAAAGGCACAGACCACAGACTAAAAGGACATGTGACTCCATGTGCTTTTCTTCTAGGCATGTCCTTAACCTTGGCAAAATAAACGTCTCGATCGACTGAGCCCTGCCTCTCATGCTTTTTGGTTTACAGCTTCCTCCCCGAGTCTTAGGTGGAGCTCTCCAGAGCAGACCCCAAAACAAAAATGAGCAGTAGGTATGTTCCCGAGGGGTCACTGCCCTGGGCACCCCGCTGAGGGCCTCCCAGAGCCCAGGGACTCCCCAGGTATCCTGCCAAGGGGCCAGCATCCTGGCGCAAGTCCATCCCTCTGGGCTTTGGCTGCGGTGAGCGCTGGCTCCCAGCCAGCGCCTAGAGAGCCACAGGCAGAGTTGCAAGAGGCCAGCAGGGAGCGTCCTGAGAAGACCAGCGTGGGCCCAGAGCAGGCCCCACCACGGGCTTCTCCCCACCTGCTGGACTGGGCTGGGCTGGATGCTGACCCGACCATGGGTCTCAGTCTGGATGGTCAGCATTCCTCAGTGCCACGGCAGCTGTCTGGACCACACCTCCCGTGGCTGTGGCCCCACCTGGGTCCGTTAGTCTGATTTATTTTCCTGGCATGCCTGGCCCAGGCCTGTTGGGGGCAGGGGTGGGGAGAAGCTTATTTAGTACAGCTGTGCCTGGCTCCTTCCTGCAGCTTCCCAAGCCCCTGTGGCTTGTGAAGTTGAGCTGAGAGGCCACCTAGGGCCAGGGATGGACAGAAGGCCTGTATTAATGGGGAGGGCGGGAGGATGAGAGCAGCAGGCCTCTGTTCCCGCAATCCTGCAGAGCCCAGACATCCACCGAACAGCCCTGCTATCTGTGAGCTTCTGGGCATCATTTGAAAACATGAGATGCACCATCTCTGGCCCCAGATTCCAGCCTGGGAATCCAGGAGGTGGTTGAGTCAGCTTTAGGAAAGGCTAGATCAGGGAGCTCTGGGACCACAGGGAGGACTCTGGAGAGGGAAGGGGAAGCAAGAGGCTGCAAGAGGCAAACTGGACACTGCACTCTCCAGCTCCACACGCAGAGTGAGCAGGGCCAGTGAGCACTCCCCAGCTCCACATGCAGAGTGAGAGGGGCCAGTGAGCACTCCCCAGCTCCACACGCAGAGTGAGAGGGGCCACTGAACACTCCCCAGCTCCACGCAGCAGAGGGAGCAGGGTGGGTGAGCAGGTCTTAGGAGCTTGCCAACCTCGCAGAGTGCTAGGCACATGTGCAGCCATCAGGCTCACCTGGAGGTTTCAGGCTCAACCAGAGGCCTCCTGACCATGTAGGTCACCAACTCCACCCCAGACTACTTTGATTTCTCTGCTGGGGGTCGGTGGGGGGCAGAGGGGTGGACATGTGTGTTAATTAAAGCTTTCTGGGAGTGTGAAGGATCAGCGTTGAGTATCAGTGCCTGGAGTCTGAGCTTGGCCGTCAAAGACATTAGCCACTAGCTGCGTGTGTCTGCTGGAATTTAATTAAATAAAATTGAAAGGGCAGTTTCTCAATTTCAAAGGTTCAATAGCAGCACCTGCTGGACACAGCAGGCCACAAGTTACAGAATGCCCACCAGGTGGGGTGAGCCCCTCTGGCGCTCCCTTCCACATGCTGCCTCCCAGCTGGGGAAACTGAGGCAGGTCCCTGGGGAGCTGGAAGGTGCACACCAAGGACCTAACTCCTGATTCAGAGCTCCCTCTGCTGGACATAAAGCAGGTGACAGCACAGAGGTGACACCAGGGGCCTTGGAGCTGTCCCTACAGACAAGTGATGACCCAGTGGTCCCAGGTGTCCCCAGGGTGAGCATGAGATCTCGAGGAGCCACACGAAGCTTTGGAGAGGAGGTGAAGCAGGCGGCTTCAGGCAGAGGGAACAGCGTGGCCCTGGGGGATGTGCATGTGGCTGGCATCCTGGGGACTGTAGGCAGACAGGGGTGCAGAGGTGTGTGGGGCTAGCGCACGGGTACCTGGAGCCCCTGGTCCAAGAGGCGCTGGGAACAAGGGAGGGATCTGAGCAGGGCTGGACTGTCCAGACACACTCCTCCTCTGTGGAACTGTGGGCCAGGCCCGAGGTTCGTATGTTATGCTTGTCCCTATGGTCAGGACACTCAGCTGCAGGTGACAGAAACTCAAAGCTAAAAATGAAATGTATTGCTTCACCCAACCAAAAGCACAGAAGTGGACCATTTCAGACTCAGCTGGATCCTGGTGTTCAAGCATCTTCATTCACTTGCTTCTCCCTCTCTGGACTGGCATCAGGCCCAGGTGAGGCATCCATCCCCAACCACAGGGGTTGAGGAGGGGACGCCCTGAAAGAATATCAGGAATGTGGTCACTCAACTGAAGGGAGCTACATGCCGGGCAGGCCAGTAGAGTCACCCAAGACAGCTAGCAAGCCACGTGGAAGGGTGGGAGAGTCCAGGTGGCCTTCCTCATCCTGGGACAGGTGCTCCCCTGGGGAGAGGCTGCTGTTTGCAAGGGCAGATGAAATCAGCAGCGTCTTTTGCTAGCACAGTACTCAGCACCCGGCACGCCTCCCTGTAGCACCGCCCAACCCCAGGTCCTGTTCTCCAGAGCTAGCCCTGCCCATTCTCATTCCTGTCCCACCTGTGGCCCTCCCCAGGCACCTGGCCCAGGTAGATCCAGCCATTGTGGGGCCTCCCTTTCTGGGCCACCTGCAGCTCTAGCTGTGAAGCCTGAGCCTGCAGGTGCCTATCTGTGTCATCTGATCATGTTGGTTACTCTCTGGTCCCCCTCCTGGCATGGTTTCCTCCCCACTTTCTAGCCTGAGTCGTCCCCATGGTCCCCCTCTTTGAAGACCTCTGGTAGAGCCCCAGAGTCCTGGTGGCATCCAGGGACTCCTCTGGTGTCTTTCAGACCCAGGGCTGGCCTCATAGGATGTGACCCAAGCGGCCCCACACCCAGAGGGTGCTGTCGTCACCATCTTGATATTAACACTTTTGTCTGAATCTGTGTTTTGTGAGTGCCATCTGATGAGATGGTGGCATGCGCCTGCACTTGGGGTCTGGGAGCCTGGCTTGGCACAACCCTCCTCCCCCCACCCCCAGGAATGGTGTTTAGCCACCCAGTGACCCCTGCCAACCCTCATCCCAGCAGGGACCTGGGTGTGGGCACAGAGGGATCAGGGGCATGGCCCATGCATGGAGCCACAGGGACAGGTTCAGGTGCCTGTGAGAGTTTCCCCTCCCCTTGCCCAAGAGCACATGACGTTAAATAACAAATAAAAACACCATCACAGGTGCAGGGAGGGGCGCTGGAAGGAAGGAAAGAGCCTTCTCTTGCTGTTTGAACGAGGGCCCCGAATTTTCATCTTGCCCTGCTGGGACTCTGTCTGGCTGCCAGGCGAGGCCTCTCCTCACCAGAGCAGAGCCCAGTAAGCACCTCTTGTAGCAGAGCCTGCATTGTCTCACTGCTGAAGGTGTCCACGGAGGCGGGTGGTGCTGCAAGAGCAATGCAGTCCCTGCAGTCCCTGCAATCCCTGCAATCCCTGCAGTCCCTGCAGTCCCTGCAGTCCCTGCAATCCCTGCAGTCCCTGCAGTCCCTGCAATCCCTGCAGTCCCTGCAATCCCTGCAATCCCTGCAATCCCTGCAGTCCCTGCAGTCCCTGCAGTCCCTGCAGTCCCTGCAGTCCCTGCAATCCCTGCAGTCCCTGCAATCCCTGCAATCCCTGCAATCCCTGCAGTCCCTGCAATCCCTGCAGTCCGAAGCTACTGCGATGAGCAAGGCACGCTCACATCTGCTCCCTGAGCCTCCACCTTGGGGCTAACGGAGACATCGGCCCCAGAGCACCTGGCACTGGTACTTACAGGCAGATGACAGTTCTCTGCAGTGGGAGAAGAGGCTCTTGGCAAAGTGGAGTTAGGAGAGGCCCTGTTTCAACTCCTGGAAAAGCAGGGAGGGAGCTGAGGCCTGCAGACCAGCAGGACCGGGGCTAGGAGCTTTACTGTTCAGGCTGGGTTGCTGGCCCCTGGGGGATGTCATGCCGATGGAGCAGGGCCAAGGACAGGGCAGGTGCCAGGGCTCAGGACCAGGTGAGAGCTCAGGGAGCTGCCAGAGTAACTATGCGGCCTGGACACTTTCATTAACTTCTCAGAGGCTTAGCTGCTCCAGCAATCCAGAGTTGCTCTAACTCCCTCGGCTCTCTGGATGCAATGCAGAGCTTCCTTCCACGTGCTGAGCCGTCTTCCCTGTACCTGCACTCGGCAGTGGACACGAGGGGACCTGCTCAGGGACCTGACCTTCCAGTGGGCAGGCAGGTGTTGCTGTGTCCTGCCTCCTGCTGTCCATCCACCTGGGGCACCCTGCCCACCTGCCTGCATCCTCATTTGGTGAGTGCCTGCCTATCCTGAGTCTCTGGGCTCCTCTCTGTCCTGCCTCCATCACAGCTCAGATCTACAGTGACCCATCTACCTCTGCCTCCCATCTGGGTTGCAGGAGCAGCACCTGGCCTGTTCTGTCCCCGTGTGTGGAGAACAGCAGGTGCTCAGTGAAGCTAGATGAACCTTTGTAGGGCTATGGAAGGTCCCAGCACCAGGAGCTCTGCTGGGCAGGGGCCACCTCGTGCCCCCACGCCCCATACACATAATAAGTATGTGCTCAGTTCACACTTGTGGGGTGAATGGTCCAATGAGAAGCTTAGAGAGAGAAGGTTTGAAAACTGTAAAGTGCCGTGCATCATGGGAGGCACGTCAGCGCACTCCACGTCAGCGCACTCCACACACTCCACGTCAGCCCACTCCCCACACTCCACATCAGCGCACTCCACACACTCCTCCATGTCAGCCCACTCCACACACTCCACGCCAGCCCACTCCACACACTCCACGCCAGCCCACTCCACGTCAGCGCACTCCACACACTCGTCAGCGCACTCCACGTCAGCCCACTCCACACACTCCATGCCAGCCCACTCCATGTCAGCCCACTCCACACACTCATCAGCGCACTCCACGTCAGCGCACTCCACACACTCCACGTCAGCACACTCCATGTCAGTGCACTCCCAAGGCACAGGGAGGCAGGAGGAACCAAGAGAGCAGGAGCCAGTTTCATCAAGGACAAAGCAGCCCCGCCAGGGAGTACGGTGGGGAGCGGTTTTGGAAGGAGGCCTGCCGACTGGGGATGAGCCCGGGGTTGAGGTGAGGGAGGAGATGAGGACCTGAGACAGCATTCGTGGAGAGGGCAGCTGCGTGAGTGGCTGGTGTCCATCGAGACAGATGGGTATCTTCACTGAGAGCCCCCAGAGGCCAGCTGCAGGGTGAGCTGTGTCCAGCACTCAGGAGGGGTTTGGTTCAGCCAGGGATCATCTGAATTCAGGGCCCACAGCGTTTGGACCCTGCACCCAGCTCAGAAACCTCCTCTTGGCTGGGGGTTTTGGTACAGCCTCCTTGGGGGCCATCTGGCAACATCAGCACAATGGCCAGTGTAAGCGCCTTTGGCCCAGTGATTCCATGGGCAGGAGCCTCCTGCCAGGTGTCTTCGCACACGTGTGCATGTGTGTTGGGGCCAGGACACTCACTGGATGAGGCTGGAGCCCATGCCCTCCCTGGAGAGGGACGAGGTGGGTGGACGGCGGGTGTTGATACTCAGCAGCACTGTGGATCCCCAAAGTGCGGTTTCCCAACACGTGAGATGCAAGGGCAGATAGTGGAGACAGAGACTCATGCTTGCATGCACAGGCAGGCATCTGGAGGGCTCCCTCTCTGAGGGGTTTGGGGGTGGTGGTTTTTGCTTCCCACCTTATATCCTTTGAGTGCAAAGATAGCTTTTTAACCATGCGCCTGTGTGACTTTCAAATAAATAAAAACCCAAACCTTCCTAATGCTAGTCATGTTTAGACAATCCCATACCACTTGAGGGTGCTGCCAGGAGCGGGTACTGCTAGGAAGGGCTCTTGGATGAGCAACAGGTTCCCCGAGCAAGAAGGTTCCCGTCTGAAGGCAGACGGCCCACAGGGGATGGGCTCTTGTCTGTCATTGACGGCACAGGCTTAGAAATGGCAGGCTTTGTCTCAAGACCGCTGGGCCACCCAGAGGAGTGGCCAAAGCCCTCTGATCCGTTTCCATCCATGACATGAGGAGCTGCCTGCTCCCTGTGAGGGAGAGACAGTTGTCCCCTGACATTCGGTGCTGGGTGACCTCCCTTTTCCTGGCCGAGAGCTGGGCTGGGGTGTGAACCTGGGCAGGCTGGGCAGTGGACGTGGCCCTCCAAGGTTACAGGCAGCTCAACTCCTGGTTTTCTGTGACACCCTCCCAGGTCCTCAGGCCTGGCCAAGATAAAGGCTTTCCCCCCAGAGCTGGCCTGGGGACCTCAGCACCCCCTGCTGGTGCCACACCCCCTGCATTCAATTCACTTTAGGGCCCCCTGTTCCCGCCAACCAGACCTGTCCTGCCCCTGGGCAGCCCCCAGTCTCCTTCCATGTCAGGGTCAGCATGGAGCCTTCTGGAGTTCACAGCAAAAGCCTGGGTGGGTCCGGGCAGTGGCTGTGGGATCCTGCCAGCCTCTTCCCTGGCCAGTGGGGCTAGGCTGGCATGGTGGTGCCTCCTCAGGCCTCACTGTGGGGGCCTCTCCTTCCATCTACATTTGTGAGTAGAACCTACTCAGCCCCAGGAGTCACCCTCCAAAATCTCTCCATAGGCATCACTGTGAGGCCTCCCCAGTGATCTCTGTAGTGAGCTGAAGAGTGTACCCCCAAAACTCATGTCCACCTGGTACCTGCGTGACTTTATTTAGAAATAGGTTCTTTGCAGATATAATCACAAGACGATGAGGTTATCCTGGATTAGGGTGGGCTCTAAATCCAGATGAGTGTCCTTATAAGAAGAGACACAGGCACAGAGGAAAAGGCCATGAGGTGACGGAGGCGAGGAGGAAAGACCAGGAAGGGCTGCGGCCTCCACCGGAGGCTGGAGGAGGCTAGGATCCTCCCCGAGGGCCCTGGAAGGAGCTTCTGTCTCCACTTCAGCCCAGCAATACTGATCTGAGACTTCTGGCCTCCAGAACTGGGAGAGAATAAATTGCCGTTATTTTAAGCCCCCCAGTTCCGGGTACTTTGTTGAGATAGCTCCAGGAAACTGAAACACCTCCAGGGTCCTGCATTGCCGGCACTCAGCCATCTAAGAAGGCCCCTAAGCTCGGAGTGGCCACTTCCCGCAGGGCCAGTGCTGCCTCCTGTGACTGGCTGGGCATTTGTGGGTGAAGGCAGCAGGTAACAGCCAGTGTTGACAGAGCCCTGGCCTGACGCCAAGGGCTGCATACCCAGTTTCTTCCACACACTCATCCTGTGAAAGGGGAGTAATTAACCCACCACGGAGGAGGAAAGTAGGCCTGAGGCTGAAGGCCCTGTAACTGGCTGTGAGGCTCTGAACTCCAGTGGTGACCACTGCACCGTCCTGGCCCAGGGATGGGAGCTGGGTGAGAAGACAGACAGGGGCTCCAAGAGTCCGAGTGTCTACTCTGACCACCCAGACACCCCCTTGCTGCAGTCTTGGCCGCCAAACAGTTCAGTGTCCTGGGAAGCAGGCACTCAGGGCCTGCCCAGGATGCGCAGGCCTTATCACACAGAAGCAGGTGGCAGGGTGCCCCCAGGGACCCCACTGTCCCTACAATCCCCACACATCTTCTCCATGTGGGCCACCATCCTGGAAACGTGCTGTTCATTTTCGGATGTACCCCAAATGCACAGATTTCATCCTGGCCTGAGATGTCTGCCCATGGCCCAAACACATCAAAGTCCCAGGGGATCCAGATTCATCCTCAGGGCACCAGACATCCCCCAGCTCTGTTCCAGGGAAACAAGCCCAGCCCGCTTTCCCCAGCTTTAGGCGAGGCAGGGCTCCAGGGAGACCTGGAGCAACTTGGAGCAGCAGTCCTCTCTGTGGCTGACCGGCCTGCTGGGGGCAGTTTCCACCTCCTCCTGCAGCAGTGTGAGAGGCTGTCTGCTACCCCACTGATGCGGATGTCCAGGCTTGGAGCCGTCTTGGGACTCCATTGCCGTCCCTGCTGTCACTGTTCACCCTGCTTAGCGCATCTGCCCGGGCCCACTTTGTGGAAAACACTCATTTGACGTCAACCTGCCTGACACCCCATTCCAGGTCTTTCTCCTTTAGCAGGACCCAGATCCAGGCCACGTGAAGATGTTACAGCTGCCAGAGCTGGAAAGAAAAATATCAACCTGGAAGCCTCTGTAGGGAGTTAGCCACAAGGGTGGCAGGATTGGATACTGGCTGCAGGGAGCGAAATTCAACACCTTGACCAGAAGGGCGTCCAGGTTGGGGATGCTGAGGGGTTAGGAACTGAGAACTGGGCTCTCTTTGCACAGTTGCTGCTAAGAAGGGGCTGTCCATCCTCGAACAAAGATGACAAGTCCCCTGGCCCGGCCTAGGCTGGGGCACAGAGCACTGCTTTTCCTCCTGGTGATGAAATCGGGGTCAAGAATCTAACATGAGAACTTGGTTATAAGCCGGCGAGCCTCTCGCAGGTCCAGGGGTGCATCCACACAACAGCTGACCTCCGGGACCGGGCCCAGGGCTCCGCTGCGGCTGAAGGCCAGGGCCGCAAAGCGAACAAAGCCCGCAGGTCCCGCGGCAAGGGCCGAGGCGCGCGACCTGGAACACGCGGGGGCTCGGAGCTCTGGGCGGGCAGGTGTTTGCGCGCGGGGGAAGGGCAGACCGACCCCGGACAGACCCGTAGCCCAGCTGTCGGACCAGAACAGCGTTTAGTCTTCGGACCTTGGGGAAAACTACAGAGGCCTCAGTGCCGGTAGCGCGTCGGGGGTGCGGCTGTGGCCGGGGTGTGTGTGGGCGGCTGTACACCTGGCAGCAGCCCGCCAGCCCCTTCCCGCCAGGCCCCGCGGCGCCTCCGGACACGCCCCACGTGACTTCCCCGGCTCAGGGCTTCCCCGCCCAGCCGGCTGCGGTCCCCGCCCCGCCGCACGAGACTGGGACCTGAGAGCGAAATCCATCCCGTAAGACGGGAGCGCGCAGGCGCGAAGTGTGGCGGCCCGGCGCGGCGCTCCCGGCCTGCCCCGCGTGCACGCTGACGCCGCGCAGTCTCGTCCCCTGCCGCCGCCGTCGCCGCTGCTGTCGCCGCCGCCGCCGCCATTGGAGTCGACGCCTCCTCAGTGCGTCCGCGTCCCGGGCTCACCGCCGCTGCCGCCTCGCCAGGGGCCCGCGCGCCCAGCAGCCGCCGCCGCCGCCCGGCCGGCGCCCGGGGAATTGGCGGCGGGGCCCGGGGCCGCGCGAGCTAGGGTGACAGGCCCGGCCTCTAGGGGAGGCCCGAGCCGGCGGGCGCCCCGGCCCCGCGTCTAGTTGTTCATGAAGCATGTCGGCCACCAGCGTGGACACCCAGGTAGCGGGGCCGGGTTACAGGGGCCGCGGCCGGGGCCGAGGCGCGGGGTCTGGGTTGAGGTCCTGGGGCTGGAACGCAGAGCCCGGGGTCGCGGAGGCCGGGCCCAGGCGGGACCGGGGTCTCGGGGCCGGGGTCGCACGTGACCGCGCGTCGGGGCCGGCGGAGCTCGCGGCCCGTTGGAGACCAGTTCTCTGGTGAATAACTTTGTGTTTCCCTCTTCCCCCGGGTTGTGTGTACCCCACGTCCCGGCCTGCGGCGGTGCAGAGAACAAAAGGACAAGATAATAAAGGTGAGCGGAGTCCCGGGACGGCCGGCGCGGGCTGGAGTGGAGGAGGACGGGGAAGGAACGGTCCAGGAAGCTGCGTCTGGAACCGGAAACTTTCTCTCTTCCGCCAGCTTCAGGGAGATAAAACTTGAGGTTGTGCGACGATTCTGGGAGATTTGACAGGTCGAAGACAGGGGCTTCTCAAGAAGTGAATAAATGATTGCTCAGAGTAGTTTGGGCCCGTCTCTCCCCACCGCATGATCATGGATTTGCTTTGGGGAAGGGGAGGTAGGAGAGCCGGGTGGACATGGCCGCAGGGGTTGAGCGACTTGCCTTTTTCCGCCCAGCAGGGGCTGCTCTAGGAGAGGGGCAGTCCAAGGTTCTGCAGGCTAAGCTCCACATCCCCGGTAGTTGCAGCCCGTTTTCCAAGTCTGTTAGCATCTCCTGTGACATTATGGCTTGGGATAAACCCTCAGAGCGCACTCATGTGAAAACTGTTAAGTGACACTTCACGTTTACTTGGAACACTTTTTTAGCCAGTTTGTGTGTCAGCTCAGGTGTAACCAAATACGGTTCATCGTGTTTTAAGATTGGAAAAGGCCCAGCACTTTATTTACCTTTGCTTGCTTTTTCTGGCTGAGCATAATAACAGTGGGAAGGTAAGTGGTGTAAAAGGAAAACCAGTCTTGGGGCACCCAAATCACTGAGCCAAAGGGAGAAAGCTACGCTGAGAACTGCTGAGGGCAAACCTGCCTCCCATTCTATTCCTGAAAAAGATAGCTTCTAAGACAAAAAAAGTTACATACTTCCCCCACAGTTTGCCCACAAGGAAATTCCTGGTGGACAAAGGACAGAACTCAGAGTCATTCCTGCTCACTGAGATAAATGCTTATCTGATTGCTTCCTTTGGAAAGGCTAATCAGAAACTCGAAAGAATGCAGCCGTTTGTCTCTTATCTACCTATGACCTGGAAGCCCCCTCCCTGCTTCAAGTTGTCCCGCCTCTCCGGACCAAACCAATGTACATCTTACATTGATGGTTCTCATGTCTCCCTAAAATGTATAAAACTAAGCTGTCCCCCGACTACCTTGGGCACATGTTGTCAAGACCTCCTGAGGTTGTATCATGGGTGTGTCCTTAACCTTGGCAAAATAAATTTTCTAAATTAACTGAGACCTGTCTCAGATATTTGGGGTTCACTGTGGAGAGTCAGATAATAGCTCCCAACAGTCCTTCAGTTGCAGCCCCTTCCCTCCTAAGTTTTCTTCCCTCCGTTCTCCATACGTTTGGGCATACATTCTGCATTTGGGCTTTTGGAGGCTCCACTTCTTTTTGCCACACATAAGTCTTCTTAGACCATGTCAGTTTTCACCCTGGTTATGTGTTCCTTGCATTATGTGTTAACACTTGATTTGGTTAATCTCACCAAATTACGATTAAGCCTTTATTTAAAATTTATCCTAAATTATTGAAAGTTTCCCGTCCCCCTTCTAATTAGTTGTATAAACATCAGTTCTATACTGGTTGTACTCCTTTTAAAATTAAAGCATAATTTCTGCTAGAAATAGATGGAAATAGACTTTGCTAACTTTGCCTTCCAAGCTTAAAAGTAATCTTTTAAAATTTGAGGGTAATATTTTGCAACTTTTTGTTCTAGTACAAAATGGTTCGTTACATCAGAAGGATACAGTTCATGACAATGACTTTGAGCCCTACCTTACTGGACAGTCAAATCAGGTGAGTTTATTTTGTTAGCATATATTTGTTTTTAAGTTGGTTTTAATTGTTTTGTACCTTTACTGTCATTTCTGATTTTTAAATTATCCTAAACAACAAAGCAGCAGACTATAAAGTATTAGGAATGATAGACTGCTCATGAAGATGTGACTCCTGTTAACCTTGGGCATCAGTGGGGTGAAAATGATTTTCCCTGTGGAGGAGGCGGCATCCCACTGGGGCTGGGATGCAAACAGGTCTAGTTGGCTCTAGTGTTTGTGGGTCAGTGGTGTGTCTTGCCTTTGACGCAGTGGAGGTGTGTGTGTGTTTCTGAAGCTTCCTGGTTATTCTTAGCTCTGGATGATTGGAATTGTGGTCTGGGGAGGCAGCTAAGAGCTGGGCTGTGGAGCGACTGTGGAGCCAGAGGCCGCCTGGGTTTCAGTCCTTTTTTTGAGACAGCGTCTCACTCTTGCCACCCAGGCTGGAGCGCAATGGCGTGATCTCAGCCTGCTGCAGCCTCTGCCTCCCGGGTTCAAGCATTCCTCCTGCCTCAGCCTCGGGAGTAGCTGGAATTGCAGGCACCCACTACCACGTCTAGCTAATTTTTGTATTTTTAGTAGAGACGGGGTTTCACCATGTTGGCCAGGCTGGTCTCAAACTCCTGACCTCAGGTGATCCACCCGCCTCGGCCTCCCAGAGTGCTGGGATTATAGGCGTGAGGCACCGCGCCCAGCCTGGTTTCAATTTTAACTCCACCACTGACTGGCCTGTGTCCATGGCTTGCCTTCTCTTGCCTCAATTTCCTTTTCTGTAGAAGAGAGAGAGTAGTAACTGTTTGTAGAATTGTTGGGAGGATGACATCAGATGGTGCACATAAAGCGCTGAGACAGTACCTGATACAGCAGGGCCCAGTGAGTCATAGCTGCCCTGTTTTCTTAGGTAATTCAGGCTTTCTCTGCCTTGGCACTGTGGACATTTTGCACGGGAACATTCTGTTTTGGGGGCTGTCCTGTGCATTGTTGGATGTTTAGCAGCCTCCCTGGCTTCCCACCCACTAGATGCCATTAGCAACTCCTTCTCCCCATCCCCAGTTGTAGCAAGCAAAACTGTCTTGGTGGATGTTTTTTGGGGGATACAGTTGCCCTGGTTAAAATCTACTGGGAGCTGCTCTCTCTCCTCTGTGCTGCTGTTGCAGCAAAACTCCCAAGAGAAGCGGTATCTGTTTATGTCTAAGAGTCCAACTCGGGAATCAGACTTCCCCTGCCTCACTTTCCTACCTCCAGGCCGTTGGCTTGGATGAGGGGCTGCACCTCTGTGAGCTCCTCACTTTGGTGAGCAGGCCTCATGGGGCAGCACAAAGCAGATGCTCTGAGTGCTCCATTTCGTGTGCTGTGATTCACATTCCTTCCTCCGCCACTCCAAGTAGCCCTCAGCTACTGGGCATGTTTACTTTAAAGTAAAACCAGGCTTCACCTCTTCTCTGTGAAGGAATAAAACTAGTCTGCCCTTTTCTGAGGTGTCTTAGAACTTCTTAGAATGTTCCTTCATCCCCCTCCCTCCTACTGCACTTGGCGAATCAAGCAGCTTAGAGACCAAGAAACCTTGTACAGGTGGAGCCTCGGCAGCGCTGCCCCGCGCTCCGACCCTGCTTCTGTTTCTTGTCTCTTGGTTGCCTTCTGAGAATCTGCCCTTCCTCTGGGCAGAACTGACTTGACTTTAGTGATGGGCCTTTGGATAGAGGTAATGGCAGGAAGTTAACTAATTTTTTGAATTTCTTGTTTTCTAGTGTGTTCTTATTATTTTAGTACTTTAATGGTATTATGTACTGAATTTTAGCCAATAAAGGGGGAGGGAGGTTGCATCAGTACACTTAAAAGTGTGTGTGTGTGTGTGTGTGTGTGTGTGTGTGTGTGTGTGTGTGTGTATTTTGGAGACAGGGTCCTGCTGTTACCCAAGCTAGAGTTCAGGGGCATGATTATAGCTCACTGTAGCCTCAAATTCCTGGGCTTAAGCAATCCTCCTGCCTCAGCCTCCTGAATAGCTGGGACTACAGGCATGCACCACTACACCTGGTGATTGATTGATTGGTTGGTTGTAGACACAGGGTCTCTTTGTGTTGCTCAGGCTAGTCTTGAACTTCTGGGCTCAAGTGATCTTCCTGCTTTGGCCTCCCAAAGTGCTAGGATTACAGGTATGAGCCACTGTGCCCAGCCAAAAATATTTTTATAAAGTCGGAGCTTTTGTGTTGTTTGGGAGGATTTCTTTACAAATCGATTATTTTTATGTCAGTGGGTGTCTTAGCTCCATATGTAGAGTATACAGTATGGTTTTATAACTTTTGATTTACACAGACATACCTTTGGAGCCATGGCCACAGTTAAGATAGTGGGCATATCAATAGCTCTGGGTCCTTTTTTGTTGGAGACAGGGTCTCACTCCATTGCCCAGGCTGGAGTGCATGATGTGATCATGGCTCACTGCAGCCTCGACTTCCCAGGCTCAGGTGATTCTCCCACCTCAACCTCCCAAGTAGCTAGGACTACAGGCATGTGCCACCACGCCCAGCTAATTTTTAAATTTTTAGTAGACATGAAATATTGCTGTGTTGCCCAGGCTGGTCTTGAACTCATGGGCTCAAGCAATCCACACGCATCAGCCTCCCAAAGTGCTAGGATTATAGGCATGAGCCACTAGTGCCCAACCTAACCCTGGGTACTTAAAAGAGAAAAATCTAGATATGGTTTGTAGTAGCCAGTTGGAGGCTACCGTGTTTTGTGTGAAACTGTCATACTTAGAATGGTTTAGAAAGTCTTAGGAGAATGCCTGCCTGTTAGGTTGGTTTAACTTGTAATGGGCTGTGAGGGGTTGTTGCCGTGTGGTGGGGGTCCTTCCCTCAGAGAGGCCTCACCCGCCTTGCTGTGCTTCTGGTGCTAGAGTTTCAGTCCTAGTTGCCCCTGAGGCGCTTGCGACTGTAGCCGCTCAGTATCTGTCTTCTAGTCTGTGACTTGAATGGGAGTTGGGGGAGCAGAGGAACTGGGAGTGAAGGGCTCTGGGTTGGGCTTGATTGTTGTGATTTTCTCTCTTTTTTTGTTTTTTGAGATGGAGTTTCGCTCTTGTTGCCCAGGATGGAGTGCAGTGGCGCGATCTCAGCTCACTGCAGCCTCCACCTCCCTGGCTCAAGTGATTCTCCTGCCTCAGCCTCCCGAGTAGCTGGGATTACAGGCACGCGCCACCACGCCTGGCTAATTTTTTTTGGTATTTTTAGTAGGGACGGGGTTTCTCCATGTTGGTCAGGCTGGTCTCGAACTCCCGACCTCTGGTGATCCCCCTGCCTCAGCCTCCCACAGTGCTGGGATTACAAGCATGAGCCACAGTGCCCCGCCGATTCTCTCTTTTGAGGCTTTTCCTGCTCGGGGACTTCTGGTTTCCCAGTTCTCTGTTGTTTTCTGAAAGGAAAGACTGTGAAATGACCCAGAACAGTTCCTACTCAGAGTTTAGAAGACACTGTCTTGGCATGATGCCTGAGTTGGGAATAGATGCCGCTGGCCCCCCAGGCTTCCTGCACACTCCCTGACCAACAGACTGAGTGTGTTTGCTGTGATCCCACTGACAGAAATTACCAAGGCCATCTGGGCATGCCTGTACCTGTGCTGCCGGATGCAGTTTGGTCAGCAACAGACCACAATATGATAGTGGTCCCATAAGACTATGATGGTGCTGAAAAATTCCTGGCACCTGGTGACGTTGGAGCTACCATGTTGAGGGCAGTGTATTACTCGTGTCTGTGGTGCTGCAGTAGGTGTGACCAAACCTACTGCCCCAGTCATACCAGAGTATACACCTACAGTTACGTACAGTACCATACAGTACGTAATAATTGATGATAAACGACTGTTACTACTTTGTGTATTTGCTATACTTTTAAGAGCATATTCTGCCTACTTACTAGAAACAAAGTCAACTGTAAAGCAGCCTCAGGCAGGTTCTTCAGGAGGAATCCAGAAGAAGGCAATTGGTGTGACAGGAGATGACAGCTCCATGTGTGTTGTTGCCCCTGAATACCTTCCAGTGGGGCAAGATGTGGAGGTGGAAGATCCAGACCCTGTGTAGGCCTAGGCTAATATGTGTTTTTTGTGTCTTTTTGGGTTTTTGGTTTTTTTGTTTTGTTTTGTTTTGAGGCAGGGTCTCTCCCTCACCTGGGCGGAAGTGCAGTCATGACTCATTGCAGCCTTGACCTCCTGGGCCCAAGTGATCTTCCTGCCTTATTTTTGATTTTTTGTAGAGATGGGGTCTCACTGTGTTGCCTGGGCTGTTCTCGAAATCCTGGGCTGAAGCAGTCCTCCTGCCTCGGCCTCCCAGAGGGCTGGGATTATAGGCATGAGCCACTGTGCCTGGCCGTGTCTTCATTTATAACAAAAAAGTTCAAAAAGTTAAAAAAAATTTAATAGAAAAAAGCTTATGGAATAAGGATATAACAAAAAAAATTTTTGTACAGCTATATGATATATTTGTGTTTACAAAAGAGTCAAAAACCTTAAAGCTTTTAAAAAAGTAGTTTGTAAAGTAAAAAAGCCATAGTAGGCTAGGGTTTATTATTGAAGAAAGGAAAATTTAAAAATTGAGTGTAGTGTTAAGTGGACGGTGTTTCTAAAGGTGACAGTGGTGTCCAGTGAGGGCCCAGGCCTTCACATTCTCTCCCTGACTCACCCAGTGCAACTCAGGCCTACCTGCTCCATTCACCGTAAGTGCTCTGTACAGGTGTCCCGTTCTTGATTTCTTATACCGTATTTTTACTGTACCTTTTCTGTGTTTAGATAATGTTTAGACACACAGATACTTATCATTGATGTACAGTTACTTCCATTATTCAGTACAGTTACACACTGTACAGGTTACGGCCTCAGTGTGTGGTAAGGATACTGCCTCCATGCTCACACGTCTCTGTTTGTGTGAGGACACTGATCACACAGTGACGAAATTGCTCATCAGGTTTTGGGTGGTTTTTTTTCACTGAACACAATGCCTCATCAGAGCATCTAGGACTTCTTTGAGAACAGCCTGGAGATGCTTGGCACAGGGCTTCCTGCTGTGCCTGGGCAGCTCTGGTGGGCCCGGGGTGACCTGAGGGCCAGCAGGGGAGTGTCAGTTTCTTGTGGCTGCATCTAAAAATATGGGCTTCCTTAAAATACCCAGTGGCAGCGCCTGCTAAGTAGGCATTTGCCATCACAACGGCTTCCCAGAAACGCAGCTGGAAGGACATAGTGGGATCTTAACGTGCTTCTTACTGGCAAGTTGCTGAAACAAATGCAGAAATTCTGTCAGAAACTGCTGTCTCTGCATATTGATGCCACCAGCTGAGGGGCTGAAATTGCAGCCTCAGAGGGACCAGTCCTGAAAACAGATCTGAAAAGTGAGCAGCCAAGTAAGTAAATTAGGGTTTTTCGGTTATTTTCCTCTAACATTTTCTCTGTGCTCCCTAAGGCTTCTCCTGAAGAACAGGTCATCCTGGTAGGCCTGTTCCCAGTCCTGGGTCAGAGCTGCTTCCCAGGAGCCATATCACTCCCTCACTTTTCAGCAGTACCCTTAATACTTTTCCATTTTACATAATTAATTATTTTGTTTTGTTTGTTTGTTTTTATTAAGCAAATGCTTCTCTCTGTTCCTCTTGGGCTTCTGAAGGGATCCTTTCTGCTTCTCCCTCTAGTCTCTCCTTTTGGTCATTCCAACTCCATCTCAGAAAAATGGATATAGGAAGTAAACTTAACCATTGAACTTCAACTTAAATGGTTCTGGTCATTCGGATGGAAGTTTCTTTTTTTTAATGTGGTTAAATTTGAGTAAATATGTAAAACTGCTCTTAGTTCTTTTTTGTTTGTTTTTGTTTTTTTTTTTTTGAGACGGAGTCTCACTCTGTCACCCAGGCTGGAGTGCAGTGGCGTGATCTTGGCTCATGGCAGCCTTCACCTCCCAGGTTCAAGCGATTCTCCTGCCTCAGGCTCCGGAGTAGCTGGGACTACAGGTGCCTGCCACCATACCCGGTTTAGTAGAGACGGGGTTTAACCATATTGATCAGACTAGTCTCGAACTCCTGACCTTGTGATTCACCTGCCTCGGCCTCCCAAAGTGCTGGGATTACAGGCCAGAGCCACTGTGCCCGGCTAAAAATGTGTTAGCCTTTCTTCGATGAGGTCGTCAGTTCTCCGCAGGGGCTGCAGTGAGGCGCCTAGCATGTGGAAGTGTTCAGCAGTCTTCTGTGGAGGCGGCTGCAGAGTAACAGGATCATGGTTTTGCTTGTATTGTCCTTAAAAGATCTGTTTATGCCACTCATTTACGAGGACCAAAATATGCTTGCTCAGAGGTAGTAATGTGTTAAGAACAAGCTTTGAATTTGTTCTTTTTTTTGGAGGGGGGTGGGGGGGACAGAGTCTTGCTCTGTCACCCAGGCTGGAGTGCAGTGGCTCGATCTCGGCTCACTGCAAGCTCCGCCTCCCGGGTTCACGCCATTCTCCTGCCTCAGCCTCCTGAGTAGCTGGGACTACAGGCACCCACCACCACGCCCGGCTAATTTTTTGTGTTTTTAGTAGAGAGGGGGGTTTTACAGTGTTAGCCAGGATGGTCTTGATCTCCTGACCTTGTGATCCGTCCACCTCAGCCTCCCAAAGTGCTGGGATTACAGGCATGAGTCACCGTGCCCGGGGTTAATGCAGCTGTATCCCTGAGAAGTAAACTTTCACACTCATAACTCAGTGCCCATGGAGCCGTGGCACTAAGGAATGTTGAGGGAGCAGCACAGCTCGCCTCCAGCACTTGGCAGCGAGTGAGCGCTGAACCTGTGCCTGGCTGTGCGGGAGACAAAGGGAGATCAAAGGCCCTGAAAGGAGGCTGCATGTGTTTTCCAGGCAGCCCGAACTGTGCGTTTCCAGTTGTCTCCCACGCACTGTGACCAGGACTGTGAATGGGACAGCTTCCCTCACCAGGGAAGGAGTGTGGGGCAGCAGCCTGACATGTGGCTCATAAAGAAGGCAGAGGACAGCATCTCCAGGTTTTCTTATGTACAGAATGACTGACTTCACATAGCTTTACAAATTAACCTGCTTCTTTACCTTCAGAGTTTTGGAGGAAAGATGGCAGATGTAATAGGAAATGGGCTGTCAGTGAGATTGAGGTAAAAATGGAAATCCGGCCCACAGAACCCCAGGTCACTGTATCCAGCCTGCCTGTGTGGCCGTGGAACCCGGTGAGCACAGAAAGTATCAGGAGGGTTTAGGGCTGCCAGCAGAGCTGATTAGCGTCACCGTCTTCTGTGGCTCAGGATGTGAATGGTGGTGATCTGGAGCTGAAGGATTTGCAGAGTACTGGCTAGAACTGCAGGCCCTGCACCTTGGGTAGAGGGAAGCTGGATGGGTCATTTATGGGCTCTCTGTCTGTGCAGCGTGTGTGCTAGGTGTGTCCATTTAATACTTAAAACGGATTTTCAGGAATGTTACATGCCTCATGTAATGTGGATTTTTTCATGTGGTAAGTGATGTCCTGTCTTAGTTAAGGCTTTAGGTGTAAGTCAGAAGTGTCCCTGGGCATCTGTTTCTGTGGCCTGACTCCTCTGGTTGGTGTTGGGGCCAAGTGGATTAGAATACCACACAGCCATCGAGGTCTTTTTTTCCCATCTGCTCTTTTTGCGTGGAAGGAAGATGTGTTGTGATTGCAGCGCTGCTGAGGAGCACGTGTCCAGCTAATGGGAGGAGGAGGGCTGGCTTCCCTGTGGGGGGGACTGTCCCCTTGCCTGCCGTCCTTGAAGGCACCTGCGGCCAGTGACTCGAGGAGCAAGTCCTGTGCACAGACCGCCCCCCTGATTCGCTCACCCCCCCAGTCTGGGCCTGTTGGCCAGGGCAGCACCCGAGGGAAAGGCTGCAGCAAAGGAGCCAGCATCATGGAAACTGTTTTGAGGGAGAATAAGCTCAGATTAATCTCATGTTTGTGGAACACTGATAGCATCCCACTTGTCTTCTTATACCCCCAGAATCTCAAATTTATATTACGGGGAAACAGCAGTTAGTGCATTTTAAAAGATGATTCTGGGGCCAGGCGCTGTGGCTCATGCCTGTAATTCCAGCACTTTGGGAGGCCGAGGCGGGTGGATCACCTGAGGTTGGGAGTTCGAGACCAGCCTGGCAAAGATGATGAAATCCTGTCTCTACTAAAAATACAAAAATTAACCGGGTGTGGTGGTGGGTGTCTGTAATCCCAGCTACTTGGGAGGCTGAGGCATGAGAATCGCTTGAACCTGGGAGGCGGAGGTTGCAGTGAGCTGAGATCGTGCCACTGCACTGCAGCCTGGGCGACAAAGTGAGACTTCGTCCCAAAAAAAAAAGGGGGGGGTTCTGGAATTGTCTGCTCACAAGTGGAGAAGTCAACAGGAAGAAAATTAGAAAATAAATTGGATTTCTGAAGCCCTCAGTATTCTAGGATGGGAGCAGGAGGCAGGAAGTGGTGGCCGGGTCATTGGTTCATTAGTCCACCAGTGTTGGCTGGTGTTGGGGCACTGCCCCCAGGGAGAGCTGCTTGTGGTCACCCCTCCAGTGAAGCAGGCCTGTTTCATTGTCTGGGATCCCACAGTCTCCCTCATTGCCTCAGCTACTTTCCCACCTGGTGTCCCCGACTGGGTGCTGTTATCCTTCATAGTGTAGCCTTTGATGCCAACATGAAAGGTCAATGTGGCAGGGATGAGGTTGTGAGATGAGGTCTGGAGCATATTCTCTTTATGTAGAACCTTCTGGTTACTTGGGGGACTGGGGGGCGGGGAGCGGGAAAACTAAAAATCCAAAAACGGGCGTCACAGACTGGAGAGCCCCGTGTTTTACTTCCGGCTCTGTTTTCTGTAATAGCATCTTGGCACTCTCAGACGATGCGTCTAGGTGGGAGCCTTCTTACCTCACACTGGACCCCGTCTCACCGGCCTGTGTACAGGTGTGTGTGCGCACACACATACAGACACACCTCACACGAAAGTCATTTTAAGGCAGTGTTGGAGGGACCCAATCATGACCAGACCCTTAGTTGAGTCTCTCCAAGGAGATGCCGTCCCAGAACTGCTGACCCTCAGTCTAAATTTGTGCCCTGGGCAGCTCTTCAGAGACCCCTACGATGGGGCACTCAGGCACTCACCTTCTCTAGCAGACCTTTTTGCCTCATGGTTCCGTCACTTTAAAACCACTCTCTGAGGTTCCAGTCACTACACAGACATGTTTTCATAAGGAAGCCCAGGTGAGTTGGCATCCAGAGTGAGGGCTGCTCTGCACCCGGAGCACAGAGTCCACACTTCGGATGCTTTCTCTTGGCTGAGGAGCTGGAGCCAGCCAGGGCCCTCTGTGCAGGGGCCTACTGCAAGAGCCCAACGCTGTGCCCAGGAAATCATGGGAATGTGAACCCCCTTGGACTTAGAGGCAGGGGCCATCTGCTAGGAAGGGTGTGTGGAAGGAGCCTCTGAAGCACCCTTGAAGGATTCTGGGAGAGCTTTGGTCCAGGTATGGGAGAGTGTCCCAGGAGGAATGTCAAGGCCCAGAGGTGGGCGCCCAGGGCCTGCTGAGTAATCAGCGAGCTTGGGGTCTGTTCTCTGGAGCAAACTGCCTCACGGCCCTGCACATCCTGGTTTGCCAATGGAAATATCTCTGCCTTACAAAGCTGTTTCAGTTCCCATGATGCCGTCCGTGTCTGTCATAAGCGTTGTCGTCAGCAGGCAGGGGTTTACTCCTCTACCTCTGGATTCCTTTGCAGGTAAGAGTAGAGGGGGCTGCTACCTTGCCAGTTCTAGAGAGGCATAGCTTCGTCATTTAGCCTGAATTCAGAGCCTTGCCAATGATGCTTCGTATTTTGAGACGGCACCCTGGTTTGTGTTCGTTATTAATTTCTCTGTCTTGATTTGGTTCTCACATTGGCGACTACAGCTTTCTTTCTGGAAGGAGTAGCCCCATGCTGTGCAGGTTTTGTTTTTGCTCCACCTGTGCTTAAGCAAGAGGCGGTTGGCATTCTCAGCATCTCGTGTTGTAGAAGTGGTGTAACTTGTCACGTTTGCTTTTGCAGAGTAACAGTTACCCCTCAATGAGCGACCCCTACCTGTCCAGCTATTACCCGCCGTCCATTGGATTTCCTTACTCCCTCAATGAGGCTCCGTGGTCTACTGCAGGGGACCCTCCGATTCCATACCTCACCACCTACGGACAGCTCAGTAACGGAGACCATCATTTTATGCACGATGCTGTTTTTGGGCAGCCTGGGGGCCTGGGGAACAACATCTATCAGCACAGGTTCAATTTTTTCCCTGAAAACCCTGCGTTCTCAGCATGGGGGACAAGTGGGTCTCAAGGTCAGCAGACCCAGAGCTCCGCGTATGGGAGCAGCTACACCTACCCCCCGAGCTCCCTGGGTGGCACGGTGGTTGATGGGCAGCCAGGCTTTCACAGCGACACCCTCAGCAAGGCCCCCGGGATGAACAGCCTGGAGCAGGGCATGGTTGGCCTGAAGATTGGGGACGTCAGCTCCTCCGCCGTCAAGACGGTGGGCTCTGTCGTCAGCAGCGTGGCACTGACTGGTGTCCTTTCTGGCAACGGTGGGACAAATGTGAACATGCCAGTTTCAAAGCCGACCTCGTGGGCTGCCATTGCCAGCAAGCCTGCAAAACCACAGCCTAAAATGAAAACAAAGAGCGGGCCTGTCATGGGGGGTGGGCTGCCCCCTCCACCCATAAAGCATAACATGGACATTGGCACCTGGGATAACAAGGGGCCTGTGCCGAAGGCCCCAGTCCCCCAGCAGGCACCCTCTCCACAGGCTGCCCCACAGCCCCAGCAGGTGGCTCAGCCTCTCCCAGCACAGCCCCCAGCTTTGGCTCAACCGCAGTATCAGAGCCCTCAGCAGCCACCCCAGACCCGCTGGGTTGCCCCACGCAACAGAAACGCGGCGTTTGGGCAGAGCGGAGGGGCTGGCAGCGATAGCAACTCTCCTGGAAACGTCCAGCCTAATTCTGCCCCCAGCGTCGAATCCCACCCCGTCCTTGAAAAACTGAAGGCTGCTCACAGCTACAACCCGAAAGAGTTTGAGTGGAATCTGAAAAGCGGGCGTGTGTTCATCATCAAGAGCTACTCTGAGGACGACATCCACCGCTCCATTAAGTACTCCATCTGGTGTAGCACAGAGCACGGCAACAAGCGCCTGGACAGCGCCTTCCGCTGCATGAGCAGCAAGGGGCCCGTCTACCTGCTCTTCAGCGTCAATGGGAGTGGGCATTTTTGTGGGGTGGCCGAGATGAAGTCCCCCGTGGACTACGGCACCAGTGCCGGGGTCTGGTCTCAGGACAAGTGGAAGGGGAAGTTTGATGTCCAGTGGATTTTTGTTAAGGATGTACCCAATAACCAGCTCCGGCACATCAGGCTGGAGAATAACGACAACAAACCGGTCACAAACTCCCGGGACACCCAGGAGGTGCCCTTAGAAAAAGCCAAGCAAGTGCTGAAAATTATCAGTTCCTACAAGCACACAACCTCCATCTTCGACGACTTTGCTCACTACGAGAAGCGCCAGGAGGAGGAGGAGGTGGTGCGCAAGGTGAGGCTGGGTGTTGCAGGCAACTGCCATGCAGATGTGTCCTTGGTGCCGTACTTAGACCAGGTGGCCCGGTGGTGAGCAGATGCGGCAGGTCCGCCGAGCTGAGTCTCGTGACAGGCAGCTCCCAGTTGGCCGCAGGTGGGCGGGCCCAGGTCCTGGCAGCCTCGTGGGCTTTCCCTGCGGAGAGTACTGCTAGTAACCAGTGATGGTATTTGGGTAGATGTCACCGAACGACTTTGATCACTTTCCAATTATAATTGAATAATTGGGACCACAGTGTACACATTCTGTTTTTCTGTTACAAAGAATTTGAGGGTAACTTTCTCCTCTCCTTTTTGAATTGTGATACTTTCTGGAACAGTGCTTCCCAGCCTCCGTCCATGAGGAACACTTAGGTGATATTCACGAAGCACTGCGGTGGGCACGTAGGGCATCGAGACCCCACCTGGCCAAGGGCCCTTGCTTCCCAGGGCACTGTCCCTCAGTAGTTGGGAATCTCTGGTCTTTGATCTGGAGGTCGTTGCTTTATTTTTCTTTTAAAAACCCAGTATCCTGCAGTTTTTGGAAACAAACTCACTCCATCTAGGTCGTAAAGAAAATGGTGGTGGTGGGGTAGGTTTGGAATCCAGACATTTTATAATGACAAATATGGATCCTATATCAAAAATTCATTGACTGGGCCTTTTTGAGACAGTCCTGATTTCCTGGGATACTTGTAGCCAAACTCCTGAGTCTGTGCTGTCATGTGATGTCTGACGGGATTGAGTGTGTTTGCTCTTCAGAAGGGCTCAGATGCCCGTAAACTGGCACCAGCAATGGGAAAATGATGATGCTGACATACTTCATAATGCTTCCTTTATTCGAGAGAGTTCATCCTGAGATTCTCTCCTGCTTTTTAAAAAATATCCCTTCCTGAAATGTCAGTTGATAATAGATGGGTTTTCAGTGTTTTTTTCAGTTCTCTATGTTAAAGGAATTATTCACCTGTGAGCACCAAGTGTCCTAATGTATTTTGGGCAGAAAGGCGTGTACATGGCATATATAGGGATGTATAGAGTAGAGCCGCCTGCACTGTCTGCAGTCTTACATTATGCAAGTCCTGAACAACTTGGGGCTTGTAGAACTTTGGAAAAGTATCAGTCCCTCTCTTTTGTGAGAAAAGAAGTGGATGTCATTTATTTCCAGTTACTGAATTCTGAATTAGTTACTGAAATTCTGTGTTTTAGGTCTTTTTTTTTTTTTTAAATGGAGTTTTGCTCTGTTGCCCAGGCTGGAGTGCAGTGGCGCAATCTCGGCTCACTGCAACCTCCACCTCCTGGGTTCGAGTGATTGTCCTGCCTTAGCCTTCCAGGTAGCTGGGATTACAGACAATAGCTCGGATTACAGACTTTTAGGTATAAAATGAATACTGAATTGCTAAAGTTGCAGGGATAATTGCTAATGAAGCTTTAGGTCCTTAGCTGGCTAAACTGGAAGCTGGCTGTGTGTGTGTGCGCGCACAGTTTTTCTTCTTAAATACCGTAATACTTGGGTTTTCATAAAGTGTGCGGACTCCTGACCTGGTTGGTGTTTTTAAAACTCTAGTGTCCTACAACTTGCATTATAAAAACTTGATCTAGATAACTGCTTTTGTGTGTCGGGTTATGGGTTAAGCATCTTGGTAAGCGGCCTGCAGGGTCTGTGGGCATCTGCCTGCAGGCAAGATCCAAGTGTTCCTCAAACCACTGGGTGCTCCAAGGCGAGTCCAACAGAGCCGCTGGTGGAGCATCATTGGAAGGAACTTGGTAACCCTCCCCTAAACTGTTAGCCAAGCTGGAGAACTCTGGGCCCATATGGGTCAGTGTTAACATTAATTCATTTTATTGAAAGTGACAAATGAGAACCTGGTTTGTTAATGTTTGGTGGAATTTCAAATAGCTTTTTTTTTTTTGAGCCAATCTCACCGTCAGCCAGGCTGGAGTGCAGTAGTGCAATTTTGGCTCACTGCAACCTCAACCTCCGAGGTTCAGGCCATTTTCCTGCCTCAGCCTCCCAAGTAGCTGGGATCATAGGCGCCCACCACTGCACCCAGCTAAATTTTGTATTTTTAGTAGAGATAGGGTTTCACCATGTTGGCCAGGCTGGTCTCGATCTCTTGACCTCAAGTGATCTGCCCACCTCAGCCTCCCAAAGTGCTGGGATTACAGGTGTGAGCCACCGTGCCCCGCCTCAAATAGCTTTTTGTTTTTGTTTTTGAGACAGGTCTTTCTCCGTCTGCCGGGCTGGAGTGCAGTGACTTAATCACAGCTTGTTGTAGCCTTGACCTCCTGGGCTCAAGCGGTCTTCCTGCCTCAGCCTCCTGAGTAGCTACAGGCGTGCACCACCACGCCTGGCTAATTTTTGTATTTTTTTGTAGAATCAGTGTCTTGCTATGTTGCCCAGGCTGGTCTTGAACTCCTGGGCTCAAACAGTCTTCCCACCTTGGCTTCACAAAGTGCTGGGATTATAGGAATGAGCCACTGTGCCCGGCGTCAAATATCTTTTAAGCTTATTGGGCAGTGTAGAGAAATGGAAGTGGTCCTTGAGGAGGTCCCCAGACTGGACTTCGCTGCTGGCTCTCCCTGCCTGCGAAGGTGCTCTAGGCCTTGTGCTTAACGGGCTGGGCTAGTGGCTCATCCAGGATTGGAGTCTTAGGTGTCTTGAGGCTGAGACTCTGGGTGTCTAATGCTTTCTCCCTCTGGGTTTCCCATGAAGAGTCAGTGCAGTTTTGTTTTGTTTTTTTTTTTTTTAAGACAGAATCTTGCACTGTTGCCCAGTCTGGAGTGTAGTGGTGTGATCTCGGCTCACTGCAAGCTCTGCCTCCTGGGTTCACACAATTCTCCTGCCTCAGCCTCCCGGGTAGCTGGGACTACAGGCCCTTGCCACCACGCCCAGCGAATTTTTTGTGCTTTTAGTAGAGATGGGGTTTCACCGTGTTAGCCAGGATGGTCTCGATCTCCTGACCTCGTGATCCGCCCGCTTTGGCCTCCCAAAGTGCTGGGATTACAGGCGTGAGCCACTGCGCCCGGCCGAGTCAGTGCAGTTTTAAGAACAAAGTAGTGTGCCGAGGAGAGGGTTGTGCGCCTGTGCTGGTAGAGCCCCCGGGCGGTTTTCTCAAGGTTCTCTCAGGACTTCGAAGAACAGACCCACCTTTTCTTTATCATTTAGAGTTTGGCCCCATTGCTGTAAAGGTCATAAACAAGTTGAGTGTTGAGAAAGTGAAGTAGAGTTAGCATTTTGCAAGATTGCTGTCCAGCTATAAATTTAGAAACATACTGATTTCTTAGGATGGCAGTAGCTTTTATGGCAGCAGAGTCAGACCAAGTCCTGGGTTGATACATTTTTTGGTTTTAAAAAAACCTAGAAACGGCCACTTCTTAGCTTAAAACAGTGAAAGTGGTGAGCGTCCCACACTGTGAGCATTGCTTAGTTCCTCAGACTGACTGTCCTTGCCCTGGCGGCAGGTGCCCCTGACCTGACCCCACTTCGACCTCCAGGCCGGCTCAGCAGAGTGGCTCTTTGACTTTGGAAATTAAGAAAGAGCATAGAGAATCTTAGGCCATAAGCATTTCCTGGATGCTTGTTGAGCATTCCTCAAAAGAACGAGCTGTGCTTCGTCATTTTTTTTTTTTTTGAGAAATTTTATGAGGAATAGTATTTTTTAAAGAGCACATAGTAAACTTTGTAGCTGTTTATAAGGGCTGAAGGGAGATGGGGATCTGGGGAGTTTACCTGTGAGTGGCTTTAACATCAGCTATTTGAACTCAAGAGATTGGTATTTGCTTTTTAGGAACAGCAGTACCTCTTTTGTTAAGAGATTGATTGATTGAGAGTTTCGCTGTCTCCCCCAGGCTGGAGTGAAGTGGCACAATCTCAGCTCACTGCAACCTCTGCGTCCTAGGTTCAAGTAATTCTTGTGCCTCAGCCTTCAGAGTGGCTGGGATTACAGGCGCCGGTCACCATGCCCTGCCAAATTTTTTTTTTTTTTTTGTATTTTTAGTAGAGGTGGGGTTTTACCATGTTGACCAAGCTGGTCTCAAATTCCTGAGCTCAGGCAATCCACCCACCTTGGCCTCCCAAAGTGCTAGGATTACAGGCATGAGCCACCACACCCAGCCTGGGAAGAGATTTTTTTTAACGGAGAATGTTTAAGAGAATGTAAAATACAGAGTTCTTAATTTTTCCAGTTTTACATTTGAGGGTAGGGAGGAAATGTTAATTCTTAAGAGTAGGACCTGCCTATCCAGGTCCTTAATCCAAATACTCTGGAGCCTTCTCGGGACAGGGAACACCACATCTGCTTCTGAGAGCAGCCACAGTTGAGGAGGCTGGTGTTTATTCCAGTGCCCAGCAAAGTTTATTATTAACCGGAAGACACATTCAGTCCATTTTTAGCAAAAGAGGAGGTTTCAGGTTAAATGTTTGGGTGTCCTGCCCGCTGGTTTTCTTTATTAGTTTGCATCTTGATAGATGGCCAGATGAGGGTGGATGTGCCTGGGATGCATCTTTTTGTTTTGTTTTTATTTCGAGATAGGGTCTCTCTCTGTTGCCCAGGCTGGAGTGCAGGGCAGATAATAGCTCACTGCAGCCGAAAACTCATGGGCTCAAGCGATCCTCTCGCCTCAGCCTCCCGAATAGCTGGGATTACAGGGTGCGCCACCACACTCGGCCTGGGACACCTCTCTAGCAGAGTGGTGCAGCGTGTGCTCCTTAGATCGCACATTTTCATCTTTGTATGCTGCCTTGTAAGGAGACTGAAGGGGCTTCTAGACCCTGCTACTCAGGGAGGCCAGTGTGGGAAAAGATTCGGGTGTAAGTCTCAAGCTTGTGTGTCACATACACTCTGGAAAAGATGATTCTCTTACGGGAGTGGGCAGCAAACCTGGTCAGAGGAGCTTTGCCTTGAGCCAGTCTAGCCGTGGGGGAGTGGGGAGGGGCATGCTCTTCCCCTTGGCGTGGGAGTGAGCTGGGGAGTGGGAAGGGCCTGAACTGGACAGGCCCACACCGGTCCTCCTGCCCTTCATTAGCCACATGACACAGCACCTTGTTAGCCAGTTGGAAGGATTTTGGTGTCCTTTGTGCCACTGAGAAGTTTAAATGAGATAAAATACAGAAGAACAGCTTCTGTCTCCCTGGCCTCCTTGAGAGCCTGGTGCGTGCCAGCTCCTCCCTCTGAGTGCAGAGAATTTCACATTGCTAAGTGTCTTTCCATGTGGAATGATAGTGGCACATGAGGGAAAGACAGCTGTGGGAAGTGAGGCTTCCCAGCAGACAGGTGGCCCATGTGACCGTTGTGGTTGATGCTTTTCTCCTGGTAGAGGGGGTGGGGAGAATGCCATGCCCAGTGTGGCCAGTCCCCCACAGAGCAGGCCCCAGTGCAGCTCAGAGTTGTGTGCTGGTGTGGCTTGGGTACCATTCAGGGTCCCGCCTCCAGATTTGCAGGTGCTGCTAAGGGGCAGCCTCGGATCTCACTTTTGGGAGGGATTCATTGGTGTGGTTACTCTGCGTTCAACTTTTGTTTTTTCTTTTTACAGGAACGGCAGAGTCGAAACAAACAATGAGGGCGAACCAGTTTCTTACATGTTCTAACGTTTGACTTTGAAAACAGTTTAAAACACGTGTGCTTGGTCAGCTCCAGTGTGTCGTCCCGTGCGGGGGTTGAGTGTTGCATCTTTGCCTTTCTTGTCGTTGATTTTTGCCCAGATGGATCTGCATTTATTTGTACTTTTTCTATGTATTATAATCCTGTAGAAGTCACTAATAAAGGAGTATTTTTTTTGTCAGCTTATCAATCAGACTGATCTAATGTGAAATGTAAGTATCCTTAAAAACAAAGCATCTATTTTGGCAGAAATTGTGTTCTTAAATTCAGTCATTTGATATTCTGTGAGACTTCATATTTCTCATCCCTTTATTGCTTTTTAGCAAACATAAGAAACCATGAGTCATTTTGTCATTTAGAGTATTCTGATAAAATCTCTTGAAAATACTGAAATCAAAAGGTTAATGATTTTTTGTTCATTCTGATTTGTCATTTTATTATCTGTTATCGGTCTAAAGTGCTAATTTACCCATTTGATTTTTCTGCTAGACAGATAACTTTTAATTTTTCAAATTTGGCAGACACTTTTTTTTTTTTTTTGAAAATCTTTCCTTCCAGATCTGTTGCCCACTGAACAGCCACCCGTCCCTCACTGTCCTGGTGTCCGATTGGGCTGGATGGTGTTGGGGCATGATGTGTGGAGGAACTGGAAGGTGCTTTAGGTCTGGTTCAGGGTCGGGCATTCTTTGTTGTTTGCACATCTTTTTAAATTTTACACCTTTTCTTAAGAATTCTAATGCCGTCTTAAGTTTTTATACCAATAATGCTGAGCTTTAAGTGTAGGATCTGGTAGTACAGACAGTGTGATGGATGATGCTGCTGGTTGTAAATTTCATCGTGTGTGTCTAATTTTTTTTCCTGTTGAATGGGTAAAAACAAAACAAAACTTTTTTTAGAAGATGAATTTGCTGTCATGTTTTGTGGAATGAGGGACCGTTGAGCTCACTACCACCTGGAGTTTGAGTTGAAGCATGAAAATGGTGCCCATGCCTGACGCTCCAGCGCCTGGATCTGCACGTGCCCTTGTAGAGGATCCTTACCGTCCTAGAGAGCAGACGCTTTCTGAAAACTACTTGCTCCAAAAGACCCTCTGAGTTAACGTTTCAGCTGTATCATTAGACTTGTATTTAGAGCGTGTCACTTCCTCTGAACTGTTACTGCCTGAATGGAGTCCTGGACGACATTGGGTTTTTCCTCTAGGAGAATACAAGCCTTAATAAACAATACTATTTAGCAAACTTGGTGTCACCTCATTCTTCACCCTACTTGATGAGTTTATGTGTTGGAGCTTTTTAAGCTGCAGAGCCATTCGGGGAGTCACCGTAGAAAGCCCTGTGTTTCTCAAGGTGTGGGATTCTCGTTCCCTCGCTTTGGAAGAGGGAGCTGTTAATTTCCTTAAGACTATAAACTACATGGCACCGTCACCCACCCCTCATCACATGAATGTGCAGACGCAGCGGTGCGTGCAGCACCTGGGCACCGCTACCCCCTTTCTGGACTTGGCTCCTCACCGTCTCTCTCCATTCATCCTCCAATGCCTCTTATTATTTATGCAATAAGAGTTTAATACCTGTTTAGTTTGTTTTCCTTTTGAGGTAAAATTTATAAGCAGTGAAATGCACATTGTGTACATCTGCAGAAGTTGACAAGTATGTGATAAAGTTATGCAATATTAGCCTCAGCCCAGAAAATCCTGAGCTCAGGCAATCCGCCCGCCTTGGCCTCCCAAAGTACTAGGATTACAGGCACGAGCCACCACACCCAGTCTGTGAAGAGATTTTTTTAACAGAATTTTTAAGAGAATGCAATGCAAAATACAGAGTTCTTAATTTTTCCAGTTTTACATTTGAGGGGTAGGGAGGAAATGTTAATTCTTAAGAGTAGGATCTGCATATCCAGGTCCTTAATCCAAATACTCTGGAGCCTTCTCGGGACAGGGAACACCACATCTGCTTTTGAGAGCAGCCACGGTTGAGGAGGCTGGTGGTTATTCCAGTGCCCAGCAAAGTTTATTATTAACCGGAAGACACATTCAGTCCATTTTTAACAAAAGAGGAGGTTTCAGGTTAAATGGGTGTCCCGCCCGCTGGTTTTATTAGTTTGCATCTTGATAGATAAGGGGGCCAGATGAGGATGGCATCTTTCCCAGGCAGTCACCACCTCTGCCAGAAGTTAGTAGTTGGTTTAAGGAAACACAAAATGAGAACGGGAAAACGTGTCTGTTCTGACAGGCCAGTTAGAGGTAGGCTGTGTGCTCCCACCTGCAGCTCCAAATGCTGCTGTCATTTTAGGGAAGTGTGTTTTCAACCTCGAGTGGCTAATTCCTTCATTTTATGCCATTTTCTTGCTTGTATTCAAGTCCTGGCCTCCTTTAAAGATGAGTTCCCGGCTTTCAGAATGCTGAGCCGAGAGGTGCTGAAAGGTGGCAAGCATGACGACAGGTGCCATGCTTTATCTTTGTTGTTTCGTTGTTGTGGAAGAAGTGGATGCTGTTGTCCCCACAGAGTGGGAGGTGGTGGCAGGGACTCTGGCAAGTGGTAGTTGCTGACTGGCTTGTGAATGGATAGTGGATTGGGCGGTCTAGACAACACCTCCCCTGAGGCCTCCAAACCGGAGGAGGCAGTGGCTTCTCCTTCTGCCAACTTGGAAAGTTTTGTAGAACTGACACCGTGTCTGGGTGTTTGGGGCCTCCTGCCTGCATTCGTGGTGCATGGTAATGCCAGGCAAGGAGCCAGGCCTACCAGGGGAAGGGAGAACCGAAAGGCATAGGTTTGTGGAGTGAGAATTGGGGGGGCGGGGGAGGGATTTCATCTCATTTTGCTTTATAAAGAGCTGTAAGTTGTTAGTATTTCTCACACCTGCCTCCCTAAAAGCCAGCCACATGAGCCCTATTCCTTTTTCCCTCTTCCCCTCCCCAAAGCCCACCATGCTAGAATTCTCTTTTCTTTTTTTTTTTGAGATGGAGTTTTGCTCTTGTCACCCATGGTGGAGTGCTGGAGTGCAACCTCAGCTCAGTGTAACCTCCGCCTCCCGGTTTCAAGTGATTCTCCTGCCTTAGCCTCCCAGGTAGCTGGGATTACAGGCACGTGCCACCACACCCGGCTAATTTTTGTATTTTTAGTAGAGATGGGGTTTCACCATGTCGGCCAGGCTGATCTCGAACTCCTGACCTCAGGTAACCCACCCGTCTCGGCCTCCCAAAGTACTGGGATTACAGGCGTGAGCCCGTGCACCTGGCCTATGCTAGAATTCTTAAATGTCATAATAAATTGCAAGCTATTGGAAAAGCCTTCAGCTGGATTTACAGTTTGAGGTGCCTCTGCCTGTAGAAGTTTCCTTGGAGGGGCTGGGTGGTAGCTCAGGTGCAAGCCCAAGTGTGCTCTGGGCTTCTGGTGGGTTACAGGCTGGCTCTGCAGGTTGCTGTCTGCATTGGGTCTTAAATGGCCAGGCTAGGGGATGACATGGAGGAAACGTGTGGCCTGTGGTACTTTGGGCTGAATCCTGTCCCTCCAGGCCCCTCGCTGTCCAGAATTGTTGCAGTCTTTGGTAGGACAGAAATGCCCTCTCTGGCCGGAGACCAGCTGTAAGCCCAGGCCGGCTTCTGCTGTGATCTCACCATAGGAGGCCCGTGAGAAAGGAGTCCGCACCTTGGCTCCCAGCTTGGGGCAGCCCCGTTACTCTGTGACTTCAGTCACCAGACCACAACTCATGGCTTCCCTCAGTATCCGTCTCCATCCTGTGGACTCCACACAGTGTGGGCGAGGCATTGGTGGCCCGCCCTCCTCCCCGCGCATCCCCACGGCCGGCGCTCACGTTTCCCTGCAGCCTGGAGTTGCTCCATCACGTAACTGTGGCTAACTTTCGGGTGCACACATCTGGAGTTAAAAGAAGCGCCTGGGCCGGGCGCGGTGGCTCACGCTTGTAATCCCAGCACTTTGGGAGGCCAAGACAGGCGGATCACGAGGTCAGGAGATTGAGACCATCCTGGCTAACATGGTGAAACCCCCTCTCTACTAAAAATACAAAAATTTAGCCGGGCGTGGTGGTGGGCGCCTGTAGTCCCAGCTACTCGGGAGGCTGAGGCAGGGGAATGGCGTGAACCCGGGAGGCGGAGCTTGCAGTGAGCGGAGATCGTGCCACTGCACTCCAGCCTGGGTGACAGAGCGAGACTCCGTCTCAAAAAAAAAAATAAAAAAGAAGCGCCTCAGCCGGGCGCGGTGGGTCACGCCTGTAATCCCAGCACTTTGAGAGGCCAAGGTGGGCAGATCACGAGGTCAGGAGATCGAGACCATCCTGGCTAACACGGTGAAACCCCGTCTCTACTAAAAATACAAAAAATTAGCCGGATGTGTTGGCAGGCACCTGTAGTCCCAGCTACTCGGGAGGCTGAGGCAGGAGAATGGCATCAACCCGGGAGGCGGGGGTTGCAGTGACCCGAGATCATGCCACTGCACTCCAACCTGGGTGACAGAGCAAGGCTCTGTCTCAAAAAAAAAAAAAAAAAAAAAAAAGGCTCGCTTATTCCTTCATAGTGCTTAATGATAAGAAGAGAAAGCCGTGTGCGGTGGCTCACGCCTGTAATCCCTGCACTTTGGGAGGCCGAGGCGGGCGAATCACCTGAGGTCAGAAGTTTGAGACCAGCCTGACCAACATGGAGAAACCCCGTCTCTACTAAAATACAAAAAAATTAGCCGAGCGTGGTAACGCATACCTGTAATCCCAGCTACTTGGGAGGCTGAGGCAGGAGAATTTCTTGAACCAGGGAGGCAGAGGTTGCAGTGAGCTGAGATCGCGCCATGGCACTCCAGCCTGGGCAACAAGAGTGAAACTCCGTCTCAAAAAAAAAAGAAACAGCAAAAAAAAGCCCGGTTCAGAGGCTCCTCGAGCCACCAGGCTCCTCCCTGGAAGGTCTCTTCTCAAGAGTTCCTCCTTATGACTGAGAAGGATTATCTGGGAGGCGACCCTGGTGGAGGTGTGAGAGAGTGGCCTGCTTGCTGGTAAGTCACGGGGTATTCAGATGGTGAACAGCAGTCTAGGTTCCCTCCTTTCCTGGCAGCCGGCCACAGGCCTAGGTGTCTCATACGTTGTCACCAGCTGGACCAGGCGGAAGCGTCAGCGTTGGGCACGGGCCAGGCCTCGCCCTGCTGCGTCGCTCAGCTCGTGCAAGAGGGAGCTAGACTTGCCAAGCTAATCAGGCTTCAGGTGTCGGAATGAGCATCAGGACCAGGCCTCAACTCCAGTGAGTTCCAGGGGTGCCCACCAGACCTGCTGGCTTCCTGCTGTGGCCCAGGGCTGAGGCTCCTATCTCAGGACAGGTCTGCCACAGGGCCCCTTTGCCTTTGGGGAGTCCACACGGCCTGTGGGGTTGTTTGGGGCCAGCACCCTCCCTCCCGCAAGTGTCCTGGCCACCCAGAGTCAAAGAAGGACCAGCAACTGCTAATGTCTGGGCAGAGCTTGGGCACAGGGGCCTCCAGTGTATCCTGGACAGAGGCGCCTCTTGGGCACTCCTCCGAGCTCTGTGGCCGTGGAGAGGGCGAGCCGCCCGAAGTCGGTCCTAAGCTATGGGAAGCCATAGCCCAGCACTTGCCCGTCACGGGGCTCTGTGGATGGCAGCATGCTGACGCTCCTGGTGTCCTGCGGAGGGTGAGGCTCGGAGATTGCAGTGCTGCTTCCCGTGGGTGATGGCGGGGCTCCTATGGGCAGACGGGGAGCTCGGACACCGCAGCGCCACTGCTTGGTGCCAGGAGAAGCTGTGGGGTAGGAAGGGTCTCCTTCAGGGCCGAGGGCAGCCTTGACATGCTGCCACGGACAGGGCTGGGCCCCTGCAGGCTGGGCAGCCCCAGGGCAGCTTCCGAGGGGACGGGAGTGGAGTAGGTGGTGCACAGGTGATGAGGCCCTTGGCGGCTTTGGGCTTTGGCCACCACTTGTGAGACCAGGAAGAGTGTTGCCTCAGTCCTGTGGAACTGTCAGGCTTGGAAGAGGAGACTTTCTGTGGGTGGGCAGCAGCTGTTTCTCTGGAACAGCATCCCCCGCTTGGCCCTGTGGAGGGTCCAGGTTCTCTGGGACAGCGTCCCCCGCTTGGCCCTGTGGAGGCTCCAGGTTCTCTGGGACAGCGTCCCCCGCTTGGCCCTGTGGAGGCTCCAGGTTCTCTGGGACAGCGTCCCCCGCTTGGCCCTGTGGAGGGTCCAGGGCACAGGGGTGGGCAATGGTGTGCTTCGGGGTGAGAAGTGCCTGGGTTCGGTGTCCAGCCCAGACAGGAGGGGACGTCCAGAGCTGGTGTCATGGTTCCCCTGCCTCCCCCAAGTGCCGGCTTCTGCCGTGATGTTCTCATCACGGGAGGAGACCTCAAGGTGCAGTTTGCTGCTTGGGCTCGTCCAAGCTGGGCTAACGTAGCCCTAGCCTTCTCCAAAGATGGTGGCAGGTGGCAGGTGAGGTCATTCCTCAGTCTGGGTACAGGTGTGCAGGAGGGTGGCCTTGACGGGGCCTCAGAATACCAGGTCCCTAGGCCAACTTGCTCTGCCAGGCCTCAGGGATGGGATGGCCTCCCTTCCCCCTCCCCCTTATATTTTGGGAAGCTTGCTGCACCCTGGGGCTGGGCGTGAGCACCTGGAGGTGCAGGGACAAGCAGCAGCTTGGGGCTGGGGTGGGGGCACAGGTGTCTGTCTTCACTAGCTGGGGACACTGCATCCCTGCAGAGGAGCGGTGAGAGAGGGACTCTGGTCCCAACATCAAGAAGAGCTGCTTGAGGTGTATTCGAGGGGGTGGTATGGGGTGGTGGCTGGTGAGGTGACGGCATTCCTTTTTTAAAAAACTTACTTTGGAAATAAAGTCAAATATACAGAAAAATTGCAAGAGTAAGCATAGTATAGAGAATACTCTTCACCCAGATTCACTTATTGTTAATATTTTGATCCCTTTCCTTGATCATTTGGTTGCTGTGTATGTGTCTGCATGTGTATTGCATGTTTGTGCATGTACTGTGATGCTTATGTGCATGCGTGTATATGTGTAGATACATGTATGTATGCCCGTGTGTGTCTGTGTGAGAACGTGTGTGCAATTGTGTTTGCCTGTGTGTGCCCGTGTGGTGTGTGCACGTGTGTGCCTGTGTGTGTGCCTGTGTGGTATGTCTGTGGTGTGTTGTGCACAGGTGTGTGCCTGTGTGGTGTGTGTGCATGTGTGTCTGTGTGCCTGTGTGGTTTGTGTGCTGGGGTGGCATTTGTTTTGGGAGCCCTGGGCAAGAACAGGAGGATGCAAAGCCACTGCTCTCCACCCCTCTCCCCTGCCTACTGCAGAGGGTGACTCCTCCCTCCTCCTCCGCAGGTGCAAGCCCCTCAGCCTGGTGGGGTCTGGGTTCAGTGGGAGCCTCAGAAGTTGTCTGGCTTCTTCCTGCTGGGTCCCCTGGGGCTGGGCCCTCAACCACCTCTTCTGAGCTCTGGGCCATCCATCCTCCTGGCGATCATCCTCCTGGCGATCCATCCTCCTGTCACCAGCCCCCCTGCCGAGGTCCTCATCTCGAGTTGTTCTAGTTTGACAACTTAAAAGCCTCAACATCCCAAGTTGCAGGATGGGGAGACAATGGGGGGGTCACTGAGGTCGTGGCAAGGTCTGGAGGGGCCACACCAGTGGGGGACCCTTGTCATCACCAAGGAGAGCAGTCCCCAACTTGGGGGGGTTGTTCATGGAGAAGCCAGGCTGGTTGGGGGAAATGACGAGTCCAGCAGGTTTGGTTTTGCAGGTGGACCAGGCCGGGGGTGTGCTTGGGTGGAGGCTGGGCGGGGCCTCTGCCTGTGTACGAGGTTGGAGGGGTGTGGGCAGGGGGCAAGGGGTGCCAGGGCTGTGTGGAGCAGCCTGGCGGAGCAGGGAAGTGGGCCCCACTGTGGGAGCACGGTGCAGCAGACTGCAGGCCTGGGGACAGCCGGAGAGCTTTGGGATGTGGGTGTGGCCAGGAGCACGCTGGGATTTGCGCCCTGGAAGAGTAGCACCTGTGGAACGGTCCCACATGGGACAGTGGGTCCTAGAGGAGTCCCGGGAGGGGGTGTTTCTGTCCTGGGGGTGGTCGCTGTCCCAGGCACAAGCTCTCCTTTGTGGCTGGGGAAGCCCTGGGCAGTAGAGTCCGTGGAGTTGGAGGTGGGTTTCATCCCTGCAAGTGCACAGAGTAAAGGGAGTGCCTGCAGCCTGAGGCAGGAGTCCCAGGAACTGGGCCAGGACCACAGCCCCTTCTGCCTTCCTGAGAGGCACTGAGGGGCCCTGCCCCCTGGGGTCTGTGTAAGCCTAGGGTAGTCTCCTTGTCGTTTGTGAGACTGACCATCCCGGGTGGGAAGTCCTTCTGAGTGACAGCCATCCGTACCCCCTGCCCCACCCTCGGGAGACTGGCTTCTCCACACCCAGCACCTGCTGCAGATGGAGGTTCCACTTACGACAGGGCCCCTGTGCTTCGTGCCTGAGCCTGAGACGATCCCGCCGGAGGCCGATTTCCAGCCCCGCTCACCGGTGGATCGGTGAGTGGCTAGTGGCTGGGGCTCAGCCCCTTTTGGGGTCCTTCCACCTCCCCAGGGCTGATGTCTGGGTTTCTTTCCTCCCCCAGGAAAGGGCCCAGAGTGCAGGACCCTGGGCTGCATGAAGTACAGGCAGCACCATGGCCAGCATGGAGGCCCCCAGTCACTGAAAGTGCCTTTATGCAGCTCCAGCAGGGCCTCCCCAGTCTCCCCATCCCTAAATTCACTTGGAACCTGCAACTGAACCTTCTGGGGCTCTGGTCACTGGCTGCCTTCAAGGGAGTGGGGCCAGGGGACCAGGACTGACAGAACATGATCTGAGGCCAAGGACGGCTGGCCACGGCAGCTCAGAGGAGGAGGCTGGTGTGGACCGTATGTGTCCTGGAGCCTTTCCCAAGGAGGTGGGGGTGTGTGAGGGCCAGGCTGGAGGCTGCTGAGCCCTGGGGTGGGGCCTGAAGTCTGCAGTCTCCCCAACAAGCACAGTTGCTTGTTGTCCAACAGGCGGGGAGGCAGGTGGCAGGGTGATGGCAGACACAGCACTGGAGAGACTGCAGAGGCTGGGATGTGAGCCTACATCAGGGCAGGAGGTGAGAGGACTTTGGGGTGCAGGAGGTGGGGGTGGGGCAGGCACAGCACGGGAGAGAGAGCAGAGGCTGGGATGTGAGGCCACATCAAGTCAGGGCAGGGCAGGAGGTGAGGGGACTTTGGGGTTCAGGAGGCGGGAACAGCATTGGCAGCTGGGCACCTGTGTCTGAGGGTCAGGAGCAGGCGAGGGCATGGGGTTGTGGTCTGAGGGGGACTTGGTTAAGTGTGGCATTGAGGAGGCCAGGGGCTGGGGTAAGAGTGTCCAGAGAGACCTGGAGGGCAGGCCCAATCCCTGCCATGCCCAAGCCCCTCGGGGCTGGTCCTTCTCTCTGCCACTGCCCTGCTCCAAGCAGACCCCCATTTGCCCCCCACCTCTCTGTGAGCCAGGGGCAGGCAGCTCAGTCTTCTAGGGGACTTCCTGACACTCAGGGGCCTGGCCACAGGGTTCTGTTGACACATGCTTGTGCTACACAGTGGGTGGAGGCCCAGGGGACACAGGGTACTGGGAGGCAGGAATGTGTGTTGCCCGGAAGGCAAATTGTCCCACCTGGCCTTCCTGGGATGGAAGACATCCCTGAGGGTGTCTTGGCCCCAGGGCCATATGGGGAGCAGCTGATGTTGGGGGCTGACCACTCTGGGCCACACTCAGCCGGGGGTCCCTGCATGAGGCAGTGTAGAGCCTGCTCTGCTCTGCTCTTGCCCCCTCCACAGGTCCTCAGGCTGCTATCTGGGGAGGGATGCCACCAAGCAGATGTCAGAATGGGGTGGAGGAGGACCTGCCTGGCCTGGGAGGGTGGATCCTGGTTGGAGAAGGAGGTGGACTAGCCGCACCCGGTGACTAATCCCTGTCTGGCCTCTCCTTGCCAGTCACCACCCCTAGTGGCTGGTGAGGGACTTGAGAGTGGGGCGGCTTTGGGAAGTGGAGGCCAAGGGGAGCCCATGCCCCAGGAGTGCCAGAGCTTTGACGCACATGGTGGTCTCTGAGACAGACCAAGTTGGGACCTGAAGGATGAGTTGGGAAAGGGATGTGGGAGCATGAGAAGAGCCTTCCAGCCGGAACATCCTCATGGGCAAAGACTGCCAGGCAGGAGGGCCTGAGCATTCTGGGAGTCCGGAGGGCCCAGGGTGGTTCTTTCCTACCTTGGAGCTGCTCTCTGTACCTCAGCACTCCCCCACACACAAATGCACAGGTGCACACAAAAGCACACATACATGCATGAGCATCTGGGTGCACACAGGCACATACATGCACACATGTACAGAGAACATACAACAAACACGTGCATACAACACACATGCCTGTCATGGGCACACAGACACGTGTGATCATATGCCCTAACATGGGCGTGCACTGACACACGTGATCATGTGCCCTAACATGGGGATGCACCGACATGTATGATCATGTGTCCTTCCATGGGCACACACCGACACATGTGATTATATGCCCTAACATGAGCAGGCATAGACACGTGTGATCATATGCCCTAACATGGGCACGTACAGATATGCGTGATCATATGCCCTACCGTGGGCACGCACCGACACACGTGATCATGTGCCCTAACATGGGGATGCACCGACATGTATGAGCATGTGTCCTTCCATGGGGATACACAGACACATGATCATATGCCCTACCATGGGCACATGCCGACACGCTTGATCATGTGCCTACCATAGGCACACACCGACACACGTGATCATATGCCCTAACATGAGCAGGCATAGACACGTGTGATCATATGCCCTAACATGGGGACGCATAGACATGCATGGTCATATGCCCTAAAATGGGCATGTGCCGAACATGTGTGATCATGTGCCCTACCATGGACACACACTGACACACGCGATCATATGCCCTACCATGGGCACGCACTGATACGTGTGATCACATGCCCTAACATGGGCACACACTGACACACGTGATCGTGTGCCCTACCATGGACACGCACCGACACACACGATCATGTGCCTTACCATAGGAATGCACAGACACACATGATCATATGCCCTACCATGGACACACACTGACACACATGATCATATGCCATAACGGGCACACACCGACACACGTGATCATATGCCCTACCATGGGCACACACCGACACACGTGATCATGTGCCCTAACATGGGGATGCACCGACATGTATGACCATGTGTCCTTCCATGGGGATACACAGACACGTGATCATATGCCCTACCATGGGCACACACTGACACACGTGATTATATGCCCTAACATGAGCAGGCATAGACACGTGTGATCATATGCCCTAACATGGGGACGCACAGACATGCATGGTCATATGCCCTAAAATGGGCATGCACCGAACATGTGTGATCATGTGCCCTACCATGGACACACACTGACACACGCGATCATATGCCCTAACATGGGCACACACCGACACACGTGATCATGTGCCCTACCATGGACGTGCACCGACACACACGATCATGTGCCTTACCATAGGAATGCACAAACACACATGATCATATGCCCTACCATGGGCACACACTGACACGCATGACCATATGCCCACAGGCATCCCCAGGCATGCACGCACACACGCACACAAATGAATACACACATGCACATATGCATACAGCCACACACAGGTGCACACACATGGGCCGTGTAAAACTAATGTAAAGATGATAATGGTCCCAGATAAACAGGAGCCCCTTGGGAAGGATCCGCCTTCTGCTCTGTCTGGGTGCAAGCCACAGCACCTCCTCAGGTCTGTAATTCTTGGGGGGTCTGCACATGAGGAAAGGTGGGGTTTGGCTGGAAATGGGCTTTTCTGTGGGCTGTTTGGTCCTTAGGCTCTTGGGACATCTCCAGCCTTTTGGCAGGTGGGCTCTGACAGGGGGTGCCACTCTCCCAGGGTAGCCACTATGTCTTCTAAGCAGGACTACCTGCCCCCAGCAGATTCTGCACTTCTCTGGGTGTGAAGTCACGGAAATACCTTTTGGGGGCCAAGACAGGGGTATTCTCTAGACATTTGGGAAGACTTGTGGGGAAGGGACACTGGAGACTGTCCAAGGTTAGCTGGTTCAGGGGCTGCTTAGGTGGTGATGACCAGGGCCTCTGTGGCCAGAGGAGGGCTGTCCTTATGTGGAGTCGGGGACCTGAGCATCACCAGGCTGATATGGCACTGAGGCCCTGTAGCTTCCCCTCCTGTGTCCTCAGCATGCAGTCACCCTCCTAGAAGTATATGGGTCTATGGAGTGACCTTTGGGTGGCCACAGTTCAGTGGATCTGCATCTCTCCCACATCCCCACTGCTTCAAAGAACTGAAAACAGGACCAGCCAGAGGGAGTTTAAATGGCCCCACTCTGCAGGGTCCATGGTGATGGTGCTCCTGCCACTGCTGCTACTGATGATAACAATGATGATGGTGGCAATGGTTATGTTGATGGTGGTGATGTTACTGATGATAATGGTGGTGATGGTACTGATGGTGGCAGTAATTATGGTGATGATGACCGCTGACATTTACTGAACGAACATGTCTAAACTTACCCTCCAGCTTCCAGAAGGGAAGCACAGAGCGGTGAAGTCTTGACTCCAGGAGTCTGAGACATGCCCTTGTGTCCTTGTACCAATGGCTGAGGGGGCCCCGCCTTCCCACCCACTGTGACCAGGATGCTCCCGCTCTGTTCCAGACTCTGTTCCAGGTGGGTTCCAGGCAGAGCCCAGACTACCCTCTCTACCCATGGAGGTCCTGTCCCTGCAGGCCCACCTGGACCTTGGTGGTGCTTGTGGCACCATTCCTAGGAAGGGCTCAGAAATATCTGTTGAATGAACGAATGAATGAACAAAGAGCATCCTGATGTGCAAGGGCCCCCGTGTGTCCCTCCTCCCCTGGTCTGAGGTGTGTGGGGCAAAGGGCAGTCTCCCCGTGGGGAGGGGCCTGCCTCTACACATTGCTCATGCAGACGGCATTCGTGTCTGTGCAATGCTCCAGGTCCTTCTGGGGCCTGATTCTGCCAGGGGTCTCCCCATTCCTGTCCAGGTGCAGGATCCTGTGGCAGCTCCAGGGCGCCCTCACGTGGTAAGTACAGGCACCTGCAGGAGGGCCTGGCCACACATACCGAGGTAGCCAAGAGGTGTGTTGGGGAGTTCTGCCTGTGCCCCTAGGTGGATGGTTGTGTGCCACATGGTTGTACTTTGAGACTTTACCTCAGCTTGGTCTGTGTGCTGCGTGGACATCTCCATCCTGTCCCTGCAGAGACGTGCCCACTATGGAGCACTGACCCTATGTGCTGTGTGTGTGGACTGGGTGCAGCCTGGGCCTGGAAGCCTGGTCCCCAGCCTGGTCTTGGTCGTTTGTTCGTGTGGGGCTCAGATCCTGCTCACAGGGCTGGACATTCCTGGGGTTGGCCAAGGGTCTGTGTCTCAGCTGGGGCTCTCAGCAGGAGGGTCCAGAGTGGCTGTGCCCTAGCCCAGCCCACATGCCTCCCAAGTGTTCAGAGGTGGTGGCATAAACTTGTGTGGCAGAGCGGCCCCCGGACCAGGCTGGAATGCCCGGCCCACTGGATTCTGGGGCGCCTCTGGCCCATGTTCCCAGCTGGCAGTGACTCGGGGCTGGGGAGCCAGGGAATGAAGGAGCTGCAGAGGCCACAGCATCTCAGGAGCAACCCGACCAGGTCTGCTGAGATCTGCTGAGGATGCAGAGGGGCTGTATGTTTCCATCTGGCTCAGTTTTACCACTCATGGCCCTGAGGAGGGGGCTCAGCTGCCCTCGGCTTTGAGCTGGCCCCCAACCCCATGGCTCCATCAGAGCATCTGTGGAAATGGCTTGTGGTGGGGGAGTCTCCCCTGAAACAGTCCTGTTCCCCAGCACTAGGGCCTATTTCCGCCCCTGTATCCCTGTATTCCTGCTGTGAGTCTTCTGGGTGGTGAGGGCTGCCTTCTGGGATCTGGCCTGGCCAGCTGGGGTGGGGGTTGCAAAGCTGAGAAGAGGAGGGGTGTGGCCATCTCTGTGGCGATCATGGCTTGGCTGATGCTGAGTTCCAGAAAAGGAGCCGGAATGACCTGCGTGTCTCAGCCCTGCAGGGATGAGGATGGCAAGGAGGGGCGGGGGGAGGGGGGCGGGTGCCTGGCCGTGCTCCCCCTGAAACACATCCCCAGCCCCGGGCTGGGCCCCACCCTGGCCTCAGCTTCCCCTGGAGAGCCTCTTCTTGATCTCATTCATGGTGTTGCCACCGGTTACCCCGAGGCAACCGTGGGAGACACTGGCTTTATTTTTCCCCTCTACCAAGGAGGAAATAGAGTGCGGAGGGAACTTGATGCTGGGGCAGGGCACGGTGGCTGAAGACATGGAGCCTGGGCCTCCATCTGGTGAATAACCAGCAGCCTCCGTCAGGCCAGGCCAGAGTCCAGGGTGGAGGAGTGTGGCTATGGCGATGCATTTGAGGGAGGGTCCTGCTTTCTGGTGGTGCATGTGAGGGAGGGTCCTGCTTTCTGGCGGTGCATGTGAGGGAGGGTCCTGCTTTCTGGCGGTGCCCGTGAGGGAGGGTCCTGCTTTCTGGCGGTGCCCGTGAGGGAGGGTCCTGCTTTCTGGCTCTGTGGCAGCCCTGGGGGCCACAGGACATAAGGCTCCAGGGTGTCTGTGTGTGCACGTGCATGTCATGAGTGGTCCCAGGACCAATGCCAAGCCTGCTGGATTCCAGGGCTGCCTCTGGCCCATGTCCCTGGCTAGCGGTGACTTGAGAAGACCCTGCTACCTTCCTGGCACCTCGGGACAGGGTCACCAAGCAGAGGCAGACTTCTCTGCTCTGTGCTCTCACTGTCGGGCAAGGCCTCTCCATCCCTCTAATAAGCTGGAGGGAGTCACCCTGTATCATTTCATTTTTTAGTTTTTAATTCATTCCCAAACATTATCCCCTATGCCCCACCCCACCCAGCTGCCAACTGTTCCTGGCACCCACAGCCCCAAAATAGCAGCTGGTCTGGGCACCAGGGGTGAAGGCTGGGCTGTGAGGGTCTGAACTCTGGGGTCATCACTGCCAGGAGCCCGGCTTATGGGCACGGCCAGGAGGCAGCCAGGGGCAGGGAGGCTGAGAGCCAGCTCCTAATCTCTGCCCTGGCCAGAGACCTGCCAGGGGGCTTGGACTTGAGGGGAAGGAGGGTGGGGGCTCCTGGCCAATGGCCACACAGGGAGCCCTACCTGGAGGTGAGATCAAGGTGGAGACCAGGGGCTGCAGAATAGAGGGACTGGCTGCCCTGGCCCCTGCTGATTGTGGCCTGGCCCCTGCAGCTCCTCCCACCTCTGCTGCTCGTGGACCGGGGGATTTGGAGGAATTTCAGAGGGGACTGTGGGGCCTGTGGCTTCAGCCTCAGCAGCTTTATTAGGTTTTATTCAGAATAAAAATCTTTGGGTCAGGGAAGGGATGTCTTCCTCTGGTCCCACACTGGGGAGGGCCCTGCTGGATAGCCCTGAGCTGGCCTTGCTGGGTGTCATGGTCTGGTCAGAGGGTGTCCCAAGCCCTTGGCTCAAGTTTGCTGTCCACCAGGACCACTGCCTGGCAGCCGACCCAATGCAGGCTGGGTGCTGAGGATTCAGTTGGGGGTATGTGCCCAGCTCTTCCTGAGTGGAGGCGGGCAGTGTCTGTGTGTGCGTGGGAGGTGAGACTGTGTGAGCATGTCTGTGACTGTGGCTGCGGGTGTGAGCAGGAGGAGGAGAGGCTGAGCTGGACATGCAGGGCAGTCCATGTTGGCTGCAAAGCATGGTGATGGTGGCCCCTGCCCCAAGGGCCTCTCACTGAGGCCAGCAGCTCAGCTGCTGCAGGTCCGAGTGGACCCTGTGGCACATGGGGCCCTCCCCGCACTGCGGCAGACGGTGCTACAGCTATGGTAAGGCCTGGCCCAAGAAGGTGCGCACTCAGCTCTGCAGCTCCTTCGCAGTGAGCTTCCCCCCGTGTGCCCCATACCTACTGGGCTGCCCACCTTCCTGTGACCCCCTGAGCTCCAGCCCAGAAGCCACAAGTCTGCCCTGGGGGCTGGGGCCCAGGTGCACCACTGGGGGCAGGCATCAGGAGAGGTAGCTCCCTGACCGTGACAGAGTCCAGGAAGCTCTTCCTAGGAGACCCCACAGAGACTGACTGTCTAGGGACAGTGCCAAGGGCAGTTTGCCCATGCGCTCCCACCAGCTCTCAAGTGTCCCCCTCCCCAGGCTACTGACATGGAAGGTCCATTCTGGCTAGGAGCCAAGTCCCCTCCCCAGGAAGGAAAGTGGTACAAGAACAAAGCCCCAGCCCCCATCTCTGGCCCCAGAGGAGGGAGCAGCCAGGGGCCACCTTCCCTCCGAGGGAAGGGCCAGGCTGGAGGTCAGAGCTCCAAGAGGAAGCTCCAGCTAGGCTAGGGCCACATCTTGTACCCCGAAGGAACACCCCACTCCCACCAGTCCCTTTGGTGTTGTCCTGGAACGATCCTGGGGCCCCTTCCCCTTCTCTAGGACCAGAAGTGCCCCTGGGGGATGCTGCCTGTCCCCTCACAGCGGGAGGAAGGAAGAAGGGGACGCCAAGCCCCGGGGTCAGTGTTGTGGTCAGGCCGGGGCTTGCTGGGGCTGCCTATGCCACTTCTGTGCCCTCCAGGGGGAACCTGCCCCTGAGGAGACTGGTGGACCGTGTTCTGACTCTGCCTGGCTGACTGGGGTGGGGGTGGGAAGATGGAGGCACCAGTGGCTCCTGCTTGTGTCTGCAGCAGGCGACTTGGGTGGAGGGGCTGGAGGTCTGTGCTGAGGACAGCCGCAGAGGCAGGTTCCCTTTGTGGCCCTGCAGCGGCGGTGGTGGGGGTGGAGATGCCACTGCCTGAAACTCAAATGGTTCCTTTTATCCTGATCTTCTGCTCCCTGCCTTGGGCCTGGAGCTGGGAGAACTTCAGGTGACTCAGACTCCTGCCTCGGATTGAAGCCGGGGAGGAGAGGCTCAGCCTCTACCTGGTTAAGAGGAAAGAGGCAAAGCTGCAAAGCCAGGTCTGGCACTCGCCCCAGGGGAAGGGGGCTTTTGGGGAGGGGGTCGTCCTCTGACTGTTACCGGGGCATCACAGCCCAGCCGGGGCCTGGGATGGGCGCGGGGGAGGCGGCGCAGAGGCGGTGCCGGGCGTCAGCAGGTGGCGCTGGCTTCCGGGGACAGAAAAAAAACCCCTGCAGCAAACCCGAGTGGGTGTCACTGCGGCTGCAGATGGCGGCGGGGGAGGGATTTGTCATTTTCTCCCTGGGCTGCGGAGTCTCACGTGCCTGGTCCTGCACAGCCCAGAGCCGGCTTTGGGGGCGGGATGCGGTCCGGCGTGTCCACCGCCCTCGTTTGGACCCTGGACGCGGACGCAGACCCCCGTCCCCATGCAAGCCTGGTCCTGGGCTGCGGGGGCTGCTCTGGGGCCACAGCGAGCGCCGCCTCCGCCCCGCCCCGCGGCGCAGCGGCCCGAGGAAGGGCAGACTTAGCGGTGACCTCAGACCCTGCCCCACCTCCTCCCACGTTGCCGTGGCAACTGTCCAGGGCGCCCGCTGTGGGGGCGAGGGCCGCACTTGGCCGCCCTCCCGTCCCGCGGGGGCCGCCCCGCCGCCAGCACCGCGGACAGCGCCGCACCCTAGCCCGCCGCCCCACGCACCCGCCCGCCGCTCCCCGTGGACCCTCCCTTTGTCTCCCGGGCCCCGCCGCCCTCTGCGGGCGCCTGGGCGCTCCGCGCTGCGGACACACGTGGCCGGGGGCCGGCTGGCCGCAGCCTGGCCCCGGCCGCAGGCTCCCCCCTCGGCCGCCCTCGGCCGCCCCCACCCGCCCCGCGACGCCAGAGGCGTGCGGGCCCCTTTGTGTCCCGCGGCCAGATCCCCGGCCCGGCAGCTGGGCCGCACTCTGGGCGGGCGCATTGTTCGCCGGATTTGTCCGCGGCGCGAATGGCCGCCGGGGGCCGGGCTCGCCTTCCTCCCGCGGGAGGGGCGCTGGGCCGGACGGGCTCGCGGGCCATTTCCATGAGAAAGGAGCGGCGGAGGCGCCTCTCTTGGCATTCACCGCGTGCCTTAATTGTATAGACATTAAATCAAGGTCCGCTGTGAACACGCAGAGGGGCCCTCAGGGCTGGGGCGGGCGGCGAGCGTCGGGGCCAGGGTCGGGACCGGCTCGGGCTTGCGTGGGGTCCTCGCCCGAGGGGCGCGAACGCTCAGGCGTCTTCGCCGCGTGGCGGGCAGGGCGGGGGCGCTGCGCTCAGCCGACTGTGCTGTCCCAGTCCGCCCCCGACTCGGAGGAGCCCACACTTCTCCCCTTTCCGCGGCAGAGAGTGGGCCCCCAAGTGCGTCCCTCCGGGCGTTCCTGGAGCTGGGGCGCCCGGGAATCGCGAAGACGGATTCCGGGGGTGGGGGTGGTGAGCGCGTGCGCACCCGGCCGCCTCCCGCGGGGCTCCGAGGGGCGCAGAACCGCTCCGACTGGGCGGCGCGAGCTCCTCCGCAGCTGCCTTCCCCTGCCGTCGCCCTGCCCGTGCCGACCCAGGAGCGCGCACCGAATGCGGTTAAAAGAACGAATCTCGATGCTCAAAGATGAAAACTCGTCTCTTTTTACAACCCAGCGAGCTCGTCCTCTCCGCGCGCAGCGGGCCCGCGAGAAGGCGCTCGAGCTGTTCGTGGAGAGAAAGACGGGGAGACCCAGAGAGGCCGCTTGCCCGGCTCGCCCCGGCCCGGCCCCGAGCGTAATTACCAGTCCCGGCGGGAGCCGCTGCTGCCGCCTCCGCTCCCTGCGCCTCCCGCGCCGCCGCCAGTTCCCGCCTGCTCTTCGGCTCCCGGGGGCCCCGCGCGCTGCTGCCCTGGGCGGAGAAGGGCGCGGGAACCCCGAGAAGGGAGCCAGGCAAGTCCCCGAGCGCCGCAGGCCGGCTGCGAGCCGAGTGTCCACGGGGTCCACGCTGCAGGCGCCCAGCTCCTGCTAGCCCGGCCCGGCCCCGATGCAACTGTCCCCGCGCCCGCCGCCGCCGCCGCCGTCGCCGTTGCCTCCGCGCGTATCCGCGCTCCGCTCCGGCACCGGCCGATTATCACTGGGGCGCGCGGTGACGTCACCCGGACACCGGCCCCGCCGCTGCCTCCCCGAGGTGTCCTTGAGAACTGCGGGGCACGCGCGCCGCGCACACGCGCACACACGCACTGCGCGCCTCGTGCCTCCCGCGCATTCGCACCGCGTCCCGCCCCGCGCGCTCCTCGGCTCACGCGGACTCAGCCATCGAGCGCCCTCGACCGTGCCCTGCGCCCGGCGGCCACACGGAGACCCAAGGAAACGCCTGTCTCCCACACACTCCAGCCCCTCACATGGCCCTCCTGCACCCACGCGCGCAGCCCCTCCAGCTGCACATTGACACCTCTAGCCACACCCCGCCACGCGCACGCCTCGCCACGCGCACGCCTCGCCGGCACGCAGCCCAGCGGCACCCGCAGACACGCACCCGCACTCGGGCCCTGACCGCGGGTTCGCGTCTCCTGTCTGGCGCCTGCAGAACGCACTCTGCCGCGCAGCTCACACCGCGGTCCTCCAAGCCTCTCAGTCCTGAGAAAGGCAAGGGTCCCGCCGGCCTCCTGCGGATGGCCCTGCTGGGCTCCGTACAGTGGGGTGGGAATTAAAGGTCGTCCTTCCCCGCCCCCATCGGAGCTTGCGGTTCTCACAGTTTCAGACCGGGATGGGAGCTCTTGCCCGTAGGGACCACGGAATCACAGGCGACACTCCACGGCCCGACTGCAGTCACTGCCAGCTCGATAGGGTCCTTGGGGCGCCCCCGATCTGGCCCTCTAGGGCCAGGGATCAGTGGCTTCCCCAAGCCTCACCGTCCGGAGCCTCCCCCGCTGGCCTTTGTTTAGACTGCAAGGAGCGCAGGCCGGCGCGGCCGGCAGGCCTCTGTCCCCATCTCCTTCCTCCTAGGGCCAACCCAGCCCCTGCGCCATCTGCCCTCGGAGCAGAGCCTGGGCCTCCCTGGGAGCAGGTCCTGCTTCCTTCCTTTTCCACCCTCTCCAGCACTGCCCAGCCCATGGACAGCCGGTTAGGAAGGGCGGCAGGAACTCGGGTTGGTTCTGCCCGCACCGACTCCGCCGGTCCTCAACCATCAGGACGCCCCTCCCCCTTTGGTGCGGCTTCAACCTGACCCTTCCCAGCCGCAATTCCTCGCCCTTCGCAAGTGTCAGGGACAATCTTTCTTTCTCACAGGTCACGCACAAGCCCTCTACTCCTCCACAGCCCAAGGGGAACCTTCTGTTCCAAGCGCAAAGCTCTGGAAGCTGCCCCAAGCCTGCGGGTGCCGGCAGCCTCAGCAGGTGCAAGCCGGACGCTGGAGGGGCTGGAGGGCTGGGGAGGCCAGGCTGCAGCAGCCCCGCTTCATTGGAGACAGTTGCCCTTGGCCTCCAGTGGTCGGAATCGGACCCTCACCCTAATGAAACGGGGGCAGTCCCCAGGGCGGTCCTAGGCTCCCAGTCTGAGGCATCCGCTGTCCATGGTGTTGAAACGGAACCCTGAAACCTCCGCCTCACTTTCGGACTTTATACCCCCAGCCCTCTTCTCACCAAGGGTTGGGGCCAGGGAGGCCGGCTCCCGGCCCCCTCCCCTCCCGTCCCCCACCCTTAGCTTCCTGGACGGGTCCAGGACGCCTCGGGATTCCAGCTCCTTGGAGCTTGTTCCCATTCTAAGGGGAAAGACTCCTTAGCACCCCCCATCGGTACCTTGGCTTCGGGGACCCCAAATCTTTCTTTGGGTCTCTTTTCCGTACAGGACCGGCTCCACCTGGGGCAGGGTGGATCGCCGCCCCTGGCAGACCTGTTCCCTCACCTGGCGGAGCACCTTCGTCCTTCCCACTTTACCTTTGGCGGAGGGCTCTCTGGCAGGCCGGGGTGGGTAAGGTGGAAGGCTGGGGGTCGCCCCCTTCCCTTGGGTCACCCTAGATTTTTGTACATCCCTAGAAGAACCCGGCCCCTCTTGGAGTCCTGAGTAGCGATCGGGGTCCCCGGCTCCCCACTTCCACCCCCGGTGTGCAGCGGCCCCCAGCCAGGCGGGCTGGGGGAAGGGCCGTCCAGGGCTTGGGGGCGGAGCCGGCCGGTAGGAGCCGCGCGGGAAGGGGAGCCCGCCTGCAGCCTCTGCCCCGCCCGCCCCGCAGAGTCCGCTCCGGTGGGGACCTTTTCGGTGGCCCCGCGAGCTTCGTAGGTTTCATAAAAGTCAACTTACTGCTGCCGGGCCCGGGCTGGGGTCTGTGCTTCCCCCGCTCCGCGGGGGCCTAGTCTCGCCTTGCCCGGCGCCTTCTCTCCGCCGCCGCCCACGCCGCCGCCTCTCCGGAGCACACGGATAATTTGTTTGTGGATTTGTTTATTTGCCAGCTCCGGGGACAGTGGGGGAGTGAAAAGGGGCGCGAAGGTGGGGGCGGCGGCGCTGCCGGGCCAGCTCGGGCTCCCGGTTCCCGGCGGCCGCCTCGGTGCGCACAAAGGCCGGCGCGCAGCGGGGCCGGCAACTTCGCTACGGGTCAGGTGGCTCCGGCGGGGGCGGGAGCGGGAGGAGGGGAGGAAACACGGGCCGAGACCCCCACCCCCTCCCCCTCCCTCTTGTCCGCCATCCGTGAAAGCCTCCGAATAGCGTGGGATTAAACAAATCAACAGAACCCGTGGAGAACCCCTCCCTTTCCGCTCCTTCTCCCTCGTCACCACCCGCTCCTCCTCTGCGGGAGGCCTGTCATTCCTCCAGAAAGAGGAAAGGCCGCGGCCCACATCTGGGAACAGCTGGCTCACCACCTCTTGACCCTTGACCCTCGCCTCCTTTGGAGTCTGCTGCAGACCACCCCCCACCCAGCCCCTGCAGCATGCGGAGGTGGGGAGGATGTGGAAGGCCAGATGGAGGTGCCCACAGTACAGATGTGGGTGGCAGAGGGGGTGGGGACCCTTGCCTCCCAGTGGCCCACAGCTTCCCAGTTCCAGCTGGGGTGGTCAAAGGAGCTCAGAGGCCCCCACCCAGTGCCTCACCCAGGGATGGCGGAGACTTCTGTCTGGCTCTGCAGCAAGGCCTGGGTCCCCCTCCCACCCAGCATCTGTGACTGTGACCCCAAACATCTCCCCTGTGGGTAAGGGGGCCTCCCATTCCTCCCACGCCAGGCTTAACCTCCAGAGGTGGGCAGATGCTTGGTGCCATGAGGAGCAGGGGCCCCCGAAGGCCCATCCCACCTAGCAGGGGCCCTCTTCCACCCCCAGGAGCTCCAGGGACACTGCCAGGCAGCTTGATCCCCAGGACTAGGGGGTGGGAGTGCAAACATGGCAACTGGCCCCACGCACAAACTCAGAGGCAAGGTGCAGGGAGCAGGGAGACTCCATCTGCAGGTGCTCCCTCCACACCTGTCCCCTGGGCTTGGGTCTGGACGAGGCCAGTCGTGGGGCCCCGTGCCTGGTGGGGAGAGGGAGGGCCTCTCCTGGTCTTGCTCCTCCTCACCCTTTGTAGCGGGTGGCAGGGACCCCGCCTGCCTGAGCGCTGAGGGTGGGAGTGCAGCAACCGACCACAAAGACCTCGATTGTCAGCCCGCCCAGGCGCACAATAGGGTGGGGATAGCACAGGGCCTGGGGCCTCCGCATGGAAATGAGGCCACGGCCCCTTTCTCTCTGCTCCCGGCCTGGCCCCCTCCTCCCTGGCCCCAGTGAGAAGGAATACATAGACCTTGGACTGACCGTCCCAGAGGCGGAACTCCTTGTGGGTCCCGCCAGAGCTACTGGGCTGAGAGCTGGGCAGAATAGAGGCCAGGTAAGCACTGCGCCTGGGCGGGCAGGGAGGCGGGAGCCAGTGTGGAGCGAGGGGAGCTGGGTGCCTGGCCCATGGCGGGAATAGGCCTTTTGTTCCCCAGGGGCCAATATTTCAGCCTGAGGTGCGAACCTGGCCAGTCCCAGCCTCCCTGGCCATGCACTGTTGCTGGGGAATTGGGGATATGGAGCCTGGGCCAGCAGCCCCCGGCCCCCGCCCCTTGCCCAGGGCTGGCCCCCTCTACAGGGCGCCTCTTGGCTTTGGGCAGCTGCCTCCTTCCCATTGCCTCCAAGCCTAGCCTAGGGTCCTAGAGGGTGTGTTGCGGGGAGGGTAGGGAGGCTGGCCCCTGCTGGCCCCACCTAGGGATCTTGGTGTCAGCAAATTACCCTGGAGGAGTGAGGGGTGAGCAGCTTGCCCCAGCACTGCTCTCTTCTCTAGAAAGATGGAGGAGTTTGAGAGCAGGAGCTTCGAGAAGGCTCTGGGGCCTTGTGGCCTCGACTCCTCCAGCGGGAACCCCTCCTGCTTGGCTTTGGGGCCACCCCAGGCATGCAGCAGGACACCCATTTAGGGCACTTTCCTTTTGAACCTGGGCCTCAGGACCACCCAGAACAGACCTACGCAGAGCTGGGGCAGGGTCTCTCCCAGCCCTGGGTCCCCCTCCATGGGACCCAGCAAAGTTGGATGCGGCCAGCGTGGCCACAGGGTGAGGGCTCTTTGTCCCTGAGTCCACATGGGGTGGGGACTCTGTGTGGCCTCCTCAGTTACAGCCTGACCTCTAAGTGGGAGCAGGCGGCATCTGACAGGGCGCCCTCTCCTTCCTCAGGCCCTCAGGTGTCCCCCATGGAGCCCCCTCCTGGTCACAAGGGCGGGACTTGGCTCAATGCCCCTCCCCCTATGTTCTCAGCGGCCCCAGCACTCAGGACCCCACCAGAGGGAGCTCCACCACAGAGGCGCTTGTGGGGCCCAGCTGGCCCAGGCACCAATCCTCCAAAGGTGGAGCTCCCTCAGAAGTGGCTTGGCTCGGGGTGCAGAGAACAAGGCCATCCTTGGCTGGGCTGACAGCTGCTGGATGGCCTGCAGCTCATGGTCCCGGGGTAGGGCTGGAACGGCCCTTGTTCTGTCCCTCCCTCCAGGACACATCTGCCAGTCCTTTCTCAGGGTTCAGGTCCCCATCACTCTCTCAGCACCTGCCCCTGGGTCTCTGTGTCTCTCCCCTGGTCTCTGTCTCTTTCCTGTCTCTGAGTCTCTCCCCTGGTCTCTGTGTTTTTGCCAGTCTCTGTGTCTCTCCCGTGTCTCTGTGTCTCTCCCCCTGGTCTCTGTGTCCCCCCCAGTCTCTGTGCCCCCCCCTGGTTTCTGTGTCTCTCCCCTGGTCTCTGTGTCTCTCCCCTGGTCACTGTCTCTCCCCTGGTCTCTGTCTCTCCCCGGTCTCTGTCTCTCCCCTGTCTCTGTGTCTCCCCTGGTTTCTGTGTCTCTCCCCTCGTCTCTTTCTCTCTCCTGTCTCTGAGTCTCTCCCATGTCTCTGTGTCTCTCCTGTGTCTCTGTGTCTCTCTCCCTGGTCTCTGTCCTCCCAGTCTCTGTGTCTCCCCCCGTCTCTGTCTCTTTCCTGGTCTCTGTGTCTCTCCCCTGGTCTCTGTCTCCCCCTGTCTCTGTGTCTTTCCCCTGGTCTCTGTCTCTCTCTTTGGTCTCTGTGTCTCTCCCTTGGTCTCTGTGTCTCTCCCCGGTCTCTGTCTCTCCCCTGGTCTCTGTCTCTCCCCTGGTCACTGTCTCTTCCCTGGTCTCTGTCTCTCCCCTGGTCGCTGTCTCTTCCCTGGTCTCTGTCTCTGTCTCTCCCCGGTCTCTGTGTCTCCCCTGTCTCTGCATCTCTCCTTCTGGCCTCTATGATTCTCCTCATCTCTGAATGTCTCTCCCATAGGTCTATGTGTTGCCATCTCGCCTTTTCTTGGTTCTCTCTCATCGCTGCACCATCTTCCTCCTCAACTTCCTCTTGCTCATCTCCATCTCTTTCCATTTACCTCTCAGGAATGACTCCAGCAAGAAAGGAGGGCCATCAAAGGGACTTCTCAGGCTGCTGTCTGCTTTTAGGGACATGGGTATTCTCTTACCTCACTCTTGGGGGATGCCCCCTCCACCGCTAAGTCAAATGCCACAGGAGTGTGCCATGCTGGGAAGAAACTGGAGCGTCCACCCCAGGCCATTGCCCTAGGGCCGCCTACCTCCCTGTGTAACTGGGGCCAGGCATCTAGGGGCAGGGGAGGAGAGGACAAGCCCAAGGAAGGATGGGCTTAAGAAATGGGAGGGATTCCTGGGGCTGAGCAGAACAGCAGCCCACCAGGCAGAATGCACCCCTCCTGTCTGACCAGTGCAGACCCTCCAGGGAGGGGGCATGAGAGCCCTGGGATTTCCCCGGGTCGCAGAGAGGCATGGGTCTCTGTGCTGTCCTGGGTCTTGCTGCAGGGAAGGACACACAGCCTGCTCCTTGTGCCCAGCTGCCTGCCTGGGGCTGGCCCTCTGCCTGGGGCAGCTCTGGGAAAGCAGGCAGGGTGGACCTAACAGGGCGGTATCCTGGGGTGGGGGCTAAGGATGGCGCACCTGTAGGGTGCAGAGAAAGGACCTGTTAGTGCTGGTTTGTCTTCGAGTCTCAGACACTCCAGAATGTCCTTGTTTTGACAATGAGGGCAGGCGCTGGGCTCAGAGCCTTCAGTGGCTGTGCGACGTGGGTAGGGGCAGGTGAGCCTGTTTAAGTGCAGTTGTGTTCATTTAGGGTATTGTTTATTTAGGGCAAGTGATAGTGATTTTCCACTAATAGCGGAAATAGAAAGCTGTCTTTAAAACACAGTTACTTAAACGAAAGAGTGGATAGAAGGGAGATCTTCTGTCAGGAAAGGGGCTCAGTCGCCACAGGGGCTTCCATGCTTCTGGAGGGCCTCACGGTTTCTGCACAGAAGGCTTATGTCAAGCATTGGATTTCATGCTCTAATTTGTGACTTTTGAAAATCTGCTATTTTCCTCCCACGCTCGCCTGATGGGAGTTGTGCCTGGAGTTGGCATCAGATTGGGGTGGGCTGACCCTGGGGCTATCTGGGGCACTCTCCTTGTCACTGGGGGCTTCTCAGGCTGGACAAGGGAGTGTGGGCCTGCATTCTCAGGAGAGGCAGCTGAATGTGTCTGCTGGGGAGGAGCAGAGGCAAAGGATGAACTGGGCCCTTGGAGGTGCACCATGGTCTCATCCCTTGGCCATCCCCAGGACCACTTTGTGCAGCTCTGTTTCCCACTGTCTTTCCAAGCCTTCTTTCTCCCTATATCTTCCCTTGGAAGTGGCTTAGACACAAATTCTCACTAATGTGTGAATGACTGACTGTGAAGATGTGCTGCATCCCAGCCAGTGCACAGAGATCCCCTCCTCCCCTTGGCTCTGGTGGCCACCTGTGCTGCACCATGGGCTCTGAGCCTCTGGCTTTGGCTGAGGGAGGGGAGGATGTGAGGGAAAGGAGGGGAGGGAGTGTCAGCCCCCAAGCCCCTTGCAGGACTACTCACCACATCCCTCTGGTCTGGAGGGGTGGCAGCCTCAACCTCTCCAGCCCCAGGATGCCGTTCTGTCCCTGGGTTTCCCCACAACTGCCCGTGTCACTTGTTAAACCCTCCTGCAATCCTCAGCTCAAGGGCACCATCTGTTTCTTTGCCAGTTGTCTTTACTGGGAGGGAAGGCATCAATGGCAGGACTTCCTGCCCCTCAGACCAGGGCAAGAAACTCTGGGAGCCCAGAGAGGCACCTTCACCCTGGTTCCCCCGCCAGCAACAGTCTCTGTGCAGGTTGATGGAAGGGAAGAGCCTTCTGGTGGGGGACCAGTGAGGCTGTTGAGGATGCCAGGCAGGGGTGGGGCGAGAGGCAGGGATGGGGAGAGCTTAGGCCCTTCCTGAGCTCCACCCAACGAGGGGTGAAACAGTGCTGGGAGATCCGGGGACTGGGAGGTGCCTGCATTCCGAAGGTGACTGTGCAGAAGCTCAGAGCTGCCCCAGGAGACTAGGGCAGAGTGGAGCAACCTGGCCCTGAGCAGAACAGGGAAGGTGGCAGTGGTAAGAGTGATGCAGTCGCCAAATTCACAGGGATCTTGAGGGCCAGACCCTGACCCCAGAGCTTTACAGGAACCCCCACCTAATGCTGAGGGAGGGTGCAGGGAGAGGAGGACAGGAGCCCTGAGGGTTGACGATGGAGGCTGCAGAGACCAAGTGAGGGGCTCACCCTTCAGGCCCTGCAGGCTTTGGGAAGAGGAAACCCCACCCAGGGATGTTGGGGGAGCATTTACAGAGAACAGACCAGAAGAGCAACCTATCTTTCCAGCCCTGCAGGAGGAGAAACTTCTAGAGAATGGACCAGGCTTGCTCAGCTCCCTAGGCCCCAATTCCTGATTTCCGGGGGCCTCCCTTAGCAGGGGGTAGGATGCCTGAAATCCTGCCCACCCTCTGCCCAGATGTCCCTGTACTCCCTGAGGCCTGGGAGGGAGCCACACTGCCCTCCCCATCCTGTGCCTGGGATCTGTGGGCTCTGCCAGCAGGGGCAGGAGGTGCCACATGGTGAGGGGTGCCTTTGCTCCTGGCTTTGCACTGCCCGGCCTGGGAAACGCAGACCCTGCATCTCACCACTGCCTGCAGGGCCCCTACACCGAGCCTTGGGGACTCTCCTGTGTGCTGGCTGGCTGAGGGTCATCGGGGGGCTTGGGGTGCCACAGGATATCAGCCCCTGTAGGGGTAGATCAAGGCAGCCAGCAGTCCCGCCACGCAGGTGTGGGTGAGGATGGGGTCCCAGCAGTCTGCTTATCATTCCCAGCTCTGAAGAGGGACCTGGAACCATGCCTGCAGGGCGCCAAGCTCCAGGCTGGGTGGGGCAGCCACGGAGGCGCTCACTGCTGTGTCTGTGCCATGCTACTGCCCCAGGGCTGGCACGTGGGGTCCCCGGGTCCCTGGCTGGGGCCTGCCGAGGCCTGGGTGGTGGCTGGTGCCATCCCAAGGCCCTTCCTATGGGGCTGTTTTGTTCATAATTTGGTTTAATTCAAAACAGAAGCACCTGGAACCTGCCTTGCATCCCTTCTCCTCCCCTCTGGGCAGCAGGTTTTGGAGGGGACATGCCATTCGCAAAGCTGCAGTGGTACCATCAGGGTGGTCGGGGTCTGGCTGTCCTGCCCCAGGAGCTCAGCAAACAGGCTCGCTGCAGGCTGTGGAGTCTCTCTGGAAGATTCTGGGGTCTCACAGGGCAGGAGCCACCGTGAAGAGGACAGAGGGACGTCATCCAGGGCGTGGGTCTCACATCCCAGGAAATGAGGGTGCCAGCTGCACCTGAGGACCTGGGGCGGGAGCCTCGCCATGGTCCATCTTGGGGAGCGCCTTCCCTGAGCCAGCTGCACCTGAGGACCCGGGGCGGGAGCCTCACCATGGTCCATCTTGGGGAGCGCCTTCCCTGAATGCTTCCTGCTGTCCCCGCCGGACCTCAGGCGTCCTCTCGGGCTGTGTGTCTCACATGATAGGACCAGGAGGTGCTGCTGCCTGGGGGGCCCGGTGTGGGGCTCCTCCAGAGGCTTTGCCTCAGAAGGGGCAGATGAGGCCTCTGCGTGCCGCCGTATCTGCGGGTGGGCTGGCACCACTGTTCTATCTCCTTCCAAAGCAGAGAACACAAGGGCCGCCCTGCCAGCCCCTCCCATGCCCGCTGGCCCCTCAGAGCCAGGCCCAGACGCCTGCCAGGGGCGCCTCACACCTGGGCTTTGTTGCCACTGGCTGGAAAGGACAGAGGTAGGGCAGGAGGGAGGGGCTGAGCCAAGCTCCGGTCTCCACAGGGCGGAGTTTCCCTGGGCGTCCCCAGAAAGCATGGACAACTGCCACCTTTTCCTCCTAGGACCGACCCCAGGGACCCCCCAGTTCCCCCACACACCCCTCAGTGAGCCAGGTTCGAGGCTGCAGCTGCCAGAGTGGGCCACCCCCAAGGGCAGCAGCAAGAAAGCAGGTTCCAGGTGTCCTCCTTCTTTCAGCCCTGCTAGGAATGGGAACTGGTGGTTTCAACATTCGCTGCAGCCGTGCTCCGCTGACGGGGCCCCAGCAGCCTGTGGTGTGAGAGGAGGCTGGGGATACAAGGCGCCCAACAGGGTGCAAGTTCCCTCCCAGCAGCTCCCCATTTTTCCCTCGTCAGGGTGTGGCGGAGGTGGGAAGGGAAGGAGCCTGTGGGGTGCCAACTCCTGAGGGTAGCCCATTCCAGCAGCTGCTGAGGAGGGGATGAGGAGGGGCTGAGGAGGGTCTGAGGTGGGGGCGGAGGTGGGGGCTGAGGAGGGGCTGAGGTGGGGGCGGAGGTGGGGGCTGAGGTGGGGGCTGAGGAGGGGGCTGAGGTGGGCACTGAGGTGAGGCTGCGGTGGGGGCTGAGATGGGGGCTGAGATGGGGCTGAGTGCTGGTGGGAACCATGAGTGACTCCAAATCTGGAATTAATTTGGTAAGTATTAGTCGAGGGGATGGATAGCAACTTGTTGCGGGAGGGATTTGGCATGTCCACTGGCCTCGGCGGGACGGGCTGGCCATTCCAGTGAGCTGGTGGCAGCCAGTCTGGATGTCTGGACGTCGGTGTCTGCTCTGTGGAAACAGGAGCAATGAGGATGTGACTTAGTCAAAGACTGAGCTGTGGCTATAAAACGGGTTTCCTTGTCTTTGTTTCACAGATGATGAGACTGGGGCTGCAGGAGCAGCCGATTCCCAGTCTTCCCCTGCAGGAAAGACCGGGAGGCTGTCCCCGTGGTCTCACCGGCCCTGTGCATGGTGACCTGGGCCTCCAGGGGAGTGGCCGGGTGCCCTGTTGGATGTCCTGTAGCGAATTTGTCTCTGGGAGAAGAGCAGAGAGATGAAGGCCTCCATGCCACAGCCCAGGCCGTGCACATTTGTGTTGACCTTGGCCACAGGCCGACGGCGCGTCTGCGAGGTCTCTGCATTGCAAGGCCCTTCTCCTCCTGAACTGAAGGCCTTCTTCCTCCTTTCCCCTCCTGATTCTCTCGCCCTCCTGGTGCATCCAGGTGCCCGTGATCCTGTTCCCGTCCTCGGCGTCCGGGGCTCCGTTCTTTCCACCTGGCGTGTCGTTCCCTGAGCTGGAAGCTCCTGCCTGGGTCCTGTCCTCCTGCTGTTCCTCATCCAAAGTTTCATGGACACCAAGACAGGCAGTGCCCTCCACCATAAGCTGGGGAGCCCTTGGGCCCTGGTGTCACCACATCTTCTCAGAGACCTCCACCTTCCTGGCTTCTCCCTCTTCTTCCTTCCGACGTCTTTGTCCTGCAGACAGCCTGGGTCTTGCTCTGGGTGAGGCATCCTGGAGCTGAGACCTTGAGGCCTGACCTAGTGGTGCCCCTTGGCACGGCCCGTTCCTGACAACACAGTGGTGTCACAGGATTGATTCTAACGCCTCATGCTCCCTAACAGTGAAAGTGACAGTCAACTGGGCCTGTAGCGTGTTCAGAGGAGCTGGTGAGGAACCCCCTGGAGCCCCGGAAAGCTGGATCTAGTGCAGCCCCGCACAGCCCTGGTGGAGGCCAGCTCTGCCGTTTGCCGTGTGCCCTGGGGTGCATGCTGTCTGAGGGTGCACCCTGTGCATGACATGGTGGCAGCCCCCACCCTCCCATGTGGAGGGAACAATAGCAGTGAAGACCCAGGAGCCACCGGCTTCCAGGAGGAGGCCCTGGTCTTTCTTCAGAGCAACTTCGAGGTGCGACCCAGGATACACTTTGGGAAATGCTGGCCGATGGGCAGCCCCGGCCTCTGGTGGAAGTACACGTCCCTCATCCCAATATAAGTGCGTGCCACCTCCTTGTGCGGATGCCCAGGTGTTCACTTCCCTGTCCATGGAGCATACATGAAGCACCTACTGAGTGCAGGGGCACCACAGGTGTTGGGCAGAAGGGGCAGCTCGAGGGCTTTGGGGCCGGGGAGGGACAGGAGGTGCTCGCTCTCATCCTTCCTTGAGTGGGGCTCTCTCAAAAGCTGGGTTCAAGGGTGATGCCTCCCTTGTCCATTGTAGGCCTAATGGAGGATTCGGGGCAGCAGGACCCAGAGAAGTTGTCCCTGGCCATGAGCTTGGCCCTGAGCTCTGTGAGTGGCTCTGCCCTCCCTGCTTGTCCAGGTGCCTCCCGCATCCCAAGCTCAGGGCAGCCCGGGTCTTTCAGTTCAGTGCTGAAGAGAGTGGCTTCCATGTGTGCCCGCCCTCTCTTCGGAAGGCCGCCTCTGCTCTGAGTGTGCGGTGTGGGCCCTTGCTCTTTAAACGGTTGCGGCGATGGGTGGGTGAGCATGTGTGGGGGCCACAAGCTGAGTGTGGGGTTCGAGAGTGACCCAGGTCGGTCCTACCACCTGGAGCTTGCAGACGGGAGCCCCAGGTGAGAGTGGGGTTCCTCCCAACTAGGGGGCAGTGGGAGGTGCTGGCCGAGTCTGTCTCCCATGAGGGCCAGGCCCAGGTGACTGTTGATGGTGAGAGGGGTGTGGCCGCTCTCCCGAGAGCCCACAGTCAGTGGATCAGGGGCGAATGTCTCAGCCTTGAAGGTGCCTAAGGACCTTGCTCGGCTGTGGTTGAAAACCTTCTGCAGGCCAAGCAAATGGGAGCTGCAGCAGGGAGATTAGGCAGCCTGCGGGCCACGGGATGGGCTGCAACAGGGAACCTGGGGTCTGCTCCTGGGAACACCTTCCTGGGCTGCCCCCACCCGGCCGATTGGACCCAGGTGGCGGCTCTAACCCGTCCTGCCCACCGTGTGGGCCTGAGGTGCGTGAACAGGATCCAGGTCCATGGCCGCTGACTGTGTTCTTCCCGTGCATTCCTTGCCACTAACCCTCCCACCCCAGACCCCTCCACCTGAGTTCTCAGCCCTAAGGGCCCGTGTGTCTCTGCCCCCAGAGCCAGGCACGGGGCCAGCACCCAGAGTTTGTGGCCCTCTTTGGCTACTGATTCATATGTCTGGGACTGGGTTCTGGTCAAGGGGACTTCCTGAGAAGCCAGTGGCGGTTAGCTTCCAGCTTCGGGGTCCCTTCTTGCACGGACCTCTGCAACACCCTGCACCCAAGTTTTGTGAGGCCCACCATCCTCTGGGCCTGGGACTTGAGGCATCCCAGCCTCTTCCCACCACCATGTGGGGCGTTAATCATAGGGTTGACATTCTCCCCGCTGCACACAACAGGACGTCCACTTCTGAAGCTGTCAAAAGAGCTGCGTATGATTCAGGGCAAAATGGAATTCTCAGAATCCCCAGAATTCACTGGGGAGAACAATGAAATGAAGGAGAAATATAATCCAGCAAAGACCCTGCTAGCCCCCTGGGGGTTCTGGCAGAGCCGGGGTCCCTGCCCCAGCTTGCACCCCAGGAGTCACGTGGAGGAAGCGAGCAGTGCCTCCTTCATGCTTTCTGACTGCTCTGGCCAGAACCCCACTGCAGTAGATGAGAAACTGCTGCAGAGCCCAGGAAGGAGATCCTGCCCTGGGCTGGCCCCCAGCTTTCTCCAACCGCCACCCACAAAACTGGTTGTGCCTAGATGCTCCCAGGGGTTGTGAGGTCATTGCCCAGATGTGTGTCGGCCAGGCCTGTGGTCGCTAGTTGGTAACTGTCCAAGGGGGGTAACTGGACCATCTCCTGCAGGAGCTGCTGCACTGTGCCTGGTCCCAGGTAGGAATTCAGGCCTTGCCAGGGCACCAAGGGACCCACTGTGGGACCAGCGACCTGGCTGCCTGCATAGGTGGCAGAAGATTTCAGTAGAAACAGCACCAAGCAATGCCAGGACCCCTGGGCCAGGTCAGGATTAGGAAAGCAAATTGGACCTGTTAGAAAACTCCGGGGCCAGCAGGAAAGCGGGGAGCCTGCCCTGTGTCAGCCAAATGGTTAAAGGAGAAGAGTAGAATCCAGGGGAAATCAAGCCGTCAAGTCGTTAATTGACTTTGCCTCAATCAGCCTGATGCATATTCATGAGGCGCCAGCCCTCCCCAGGCCTGTGCAGCAGTGTGCTCCCCTCTGTCTGAGCTGCTGTGACATGGTGGCTCCCGCCTCCGCCTGCCTGCAGTCAGCCTTGATTGGCCCAGCCGCTCTCTTGAAAATGCCATAGCAACCCCTGGCTGGTTGCCTAGCAATTCCTCCCTTTTCCCTTTTCCTCCCCTAAAGCCCAAGCGAGTAGTCCACAGGCTTCTGGTGGAACATGTCTCTGTGCCATGGCAAGTGCCTGTGTGTGTGTGTGCGCACTCATGTGCGTGAGAGGACAGATCCGGAAGGGAACACTTCCTGCCAGCAGCGTCTCAAAGACTTGGGAGTGCACCTGCTGCCTGTCTCGGTACCAGCTCACCTGCTCAGGGGTAGGGGACATGGGGGCATAGACCCCTGGCCCTGGCAGGGCATCCTGTGCTGCTCACTTCATTATCACCAACCAGGATCCCCAAACCTGAGTCACTGGGGAGCCGTGGCCGCCATCAGCATGGTGGGATGGAGGGTTGGCTTTCAGCCCTCCCAGGTTCCTTGATTCTGAAGCAAAGATGACTTTGATGCTCAGGCCCCAGCCAGCGGAAGGACAACAGGCTTCTGCCATTCCATGGACCAATGTGGGTCCAAAGGGTCTACCATTCTGCACAGGGCCAACTTCAGGGCAGCTGTCCGGGGCTGCAGATGCTCCCTCACAGGCCAGGTGGGGCTTTCAGCTGTGACAAAGTCTGGATGTCCACCCCTGGTGAAGCCACTAGGAGGCTGTGGGGGAGCCGAGGGTAGTGTCCAGGAGCCATTGAGTCCATCTCAAGGCTCTCTCTCCTCTTGGATAGTGTGTGCCCGTGTGCATGTGTGTGCCTGAGCATATATAGGGTGCCCTCAGAGAGTGCATTGGGTGATGATGACTGATGTGGGCAGTCTTTTCTTTGATCAATGGAAGCAAAATCATTTATGGCCCACGCTGAGCTTCCTTCTCTGGTTTCCTGTTAAACACAGCAAATGTGTGTCTCCAATAAAAAGCTACACAGCAACTTAATCTCTGATCGATTGCGAGGAAAGGAAAATAAAACCCTGCTCCCTGGGGATGGGCAGCCTCTAGGCAGTTGTTCCTGATATAGAATGTGGGCAATAAATGCATTAAATATAAATGGAGTGACGGAGAAGAGCGATAAACCCTGGTTCCTCCACGCTAATTGAAAACCACGTCAAGGGTTGATGAATGTAGAGGTCCTCTGGGGCAGCGGGAGGCCCTGAATCTGTTTGTGCTGGGCGCTCACCCTTCCTGGCAGGCAGGGGCTATGCTCTCTGTCTGGGGTAGGGGGTGGGGTTGGGCAGGTGGGGAGGGCATTTGCAGCAGGTCCCAGGAGACACCCGGCATCTGCCCGCCCGAGCTTGCTCCACTTCCTGGGAGCTTCCCTGGACGGTCTATCCGACTGTTGACCTGTCAACTCCCTAAGCCCCAGAGCGTCCTGTAAAGCCGATGCATGATTCACAAGTGTCCCAAATCTCCAGAGATCATGGAAAGGCTGGGATTCCCCTTTTCAGGCCGGGAGGTGTTTGTGGACCCCAGCGGGTGCCACGGCGGTGCTCCAGGTGCCGTGTGGAGCTTAGACCATGGCCTGAAAAGGACTCGTTCAGCCCTGTGTCTGACTCCAAGGCTCTTTCATTCCATATTTGACCAATATCTACCAGGACACAATGACGGTCCAGGCCCCACGCTGGATGCTGGGTGCAGGCAGGGCTGAGCAGTGGCTCTATCAGCACGGGCTCTCTGGTTAGCCAGGAGACCAGTCTGCAGCCCCACAGCGCTAAGAGCTGTGGAGGGAGCCAGAAAACAACAGAAAATTCTTCCCTCATGTTCTGGAGATCAAGGATCTGAAATCAAGGTGTGGACAGGGCCTGCTTCCTCCAGGAGCTCTGTTGGTGGGGGATGTCCTTCCTGCCTCTTCAAACTTTCAATGGCCCCAAGCGTCCCTTGGCTTGTGGCTGCCTCGCTCCAGCCTCGGCTCCCCTCTTCACGTGGTGTTCTTCTCCGAATTTGTGTCCATCTCTGCTTCTCTGTCTCACTGGATTTGGGACCCACCCTCATGCATGGTGGCCTCATTTCAGTATCTTTCCCTTCGTTATGTCTGCAAAGACCCTTATTCCAGATAAGCTCATAGTCTGAGGGTCTGGTGGACAGGAAATTTGGGGTCCAACATGTGCCCAGTAGGGATGTGGTCAGCGGGCCTGCATGGCCACTGGAGGCGGAGGAGGTGGTGGGATCCTGGCGCAGGTGAACCTTGCCAGGGGCTCCACGTCTGCAAATGGCCATGGGGTGAGTCAAAGGCGGGAGTGGGGGCACCCAGGGCAGGGAATGGCAGGAAGGGGACTTGGAGGTCAAGGGAGGAGGCAGAGGCCCTCCTGGGGCTGGATGTGTGTGACTGTGGCCAACACTCTGTAGTGTTTGGGGGTTAACTGGGGAGTCAGGGGCTGGAAGGGCCCCTTGTTCTTGGGTGCAAAGCTTACGTTAGGAGCTACAGGACGTGGTCAGCGGCTGGCTGACCCCTCAGGCAGGAGGCCGGGCCCTGGTGCTTACTTCCCACTGTCCTCTGTGTGTGCCCGGCCAGGCCTCCCTGGTGTGGTGCCCCAGGACCCTGTGAAGGAAAGAGGCGGAAAAGCCTAAAACAGCACCGCAAATGTCACCATGGAAGCAAAAGGTGTGTTCCTTGCAGGAACCTCCGGGACAGAGCAGCAATGGAGGGGGCTTCTTGGGGCCTTGAACGGTGGGCACGTGACCCATGACCACCGGTTTGTCCTTCCAAAGTCTTGGTTGAGCCACCGGGTCTCAGTATGGGCAGCAGAGGAGGTGACTGAGTGGGGGGCAGTGGGTGGCTAGTGTGAAGCTAGGGCGCCTGTTACCACTCAGCCTCCTCCAGATGGGCCCAGGGGCTCCCAGCCATGCTGCAGTTCTGGCCCAGATCCCAAGGCCCCTCGGCAGGTGTCCTCAGCAAGCCTCCCCTGGCTTTGGTCTCTGCACCTCCAGGGTTGGAGCAGATTTGCCTCCCGGGCTCTAAGGCCTCACTTTTCCCAGGCAGGTGTGGGAGGGGCTGTGCACACGGCTGACAGGGGCCTGCTTTTCCCATGGCAGTCCTGAGTGCTCAGGAAAGCACCCTGGCCTTGGGGTCCTCCCTCCATGGAGAGGAGCCTCCCCTGGCTGCCCTGGGCTATACTTCCCCTAGCCCGTGAGGATTGTCCAGTCCCATCCAGCAGGACACATGCCCCTGCCAGAGCTTGGATGTCAGAAGAGGCCAACGTCCTGTTTGGGAGCTGGCAGCTCAGCCCAGCCACATAGCCTGAGGCCCCCAACAGTGGAGCTGCTCAGGGTGGATGTCCCCTCTGGTCACTTGGGAATGTCCCCTGTGACGGCAGAAGCTGCACAGTGCCCTCTGGGACCAAAGTGGGATGTTTGCCCGCTCCTGGCTCCATCAGCCTGTAGACCCTACCAGTGGATCCCATAGCTGACAGGAGACTTGCCCAGGGCCAGCCCTGGGGCCTTGGCTGTCCAGCTTTTAACGAGAGGTGTGGCCCAGCTCCTAGTGGGTGTTTCTGAAATGCATGGCCATCAGGCTGCTTCCACAGGCCAGGGCTGCGGGGCTCAGAGATTGCCTCCCTGGGCACATGGGATCCCCCAATCTGATGAGCCCCTGGGGGGGGGCTCACTGCTCCCCTCCCTCTGGTGGGAAATGGACAGCCTGGGCTGAACAGGAAGCACAGTGCTGTCCTGCCTTGTGAAAAGAGGGTGACCCAGTCTGTGCAGGGCCAGGCCCAGAGGTGAGGAGCGGAGCAGGCTGGGGCTGGCAGCATGGTGCAAGGTGGCCCCACAGACGCCCGGCCCAGGGCCTTGTCCTTGTTCCCCAGCTCCTGAGTTGAGCCTCACCCACAGGCCCCTGGGAGGAAGCAGGGTGATGGGCCTGACCATCTCGCTTTCTGTGCTTTTCTTGGGTAACTAATAGCTTTACTGAGATACAACCCACATGCCCCACTTCACTCTTTCAAACCGCACAATTCAATAATTCTTAGCACGGTCACTTTTTTTTAATGTTTTTTTTTTTTTGAGACAGAGTTTCGTTCTGTCGCCAGGCTGGAGTGCAGTAGTGTAATCTCGGCTCACTGCAACCTCCGCCTCCCAGGTTCAAGCAAATCTTCTGCCTCAGCCTCCCCAGTAGCTGGGATTACAGGCGTGCGCCACCACATCCAGCTAATTTTTGTATTTTTAATAGAGACAGGGTTTCACCGTGTTGGCCAGGCTGGTCTCGAACTCCTGACCTCGTGATCCGCCTGCCTCGGCCTCCCACAGTGCTGGGATTACAGGCGTGAGCCACCCGCCCCGGCCCCCGGCCAGCATAGTCACAGGCCCGTGCAGCCATCACCCCTGATCCGCTTTAGAACATTTTTATCCCCCAAAGGAAGGTCTGTGCTGCTTTACCTTGCCCGTCCCCACATCTGTCCCAGCGACCGCGCCTCTACCTTCTGTCTCTTTGGAAGGATTTGCCTATTCTGGATGTGTCATACACACAGAACCACACGATACATGCTGTCGTGTGTGTCTGTTTATTCACTGAGCACGACGTTTGCGAGGCTCCCTGACGTTGTAGCATGAATCTGCACATCAGTCCTTTTGTGACCCTATCACATCCCTTTGTCTGGGTGTGCCCCGTTTTCCTGATCTGTTCATCAGGATAGACATCTGGGTTGTCTCCACGTTTCGGCTCGTCATGAATGAAACTGCTGTGAACGTGGGTGCACGTGTTTTTGTATGGCTGCTGTGAACGTGGGTGCACGTGCTTTTGTATGGCTGCTGTGAACGTGGGTGCACGTGCTTTTGTATGGCTGCTGTGAACGTGGGTGCACGTGCTTTTGTATGGCTGCGTGTTTTCATTTTTCCTTGCTACATGCCTAGGAGCAGAATTGCTGGGTCACGAGGTAACTGTGTTTACCCCAAAAGAATGCCCCCCAGGGCTGGGTGAGCACCACCTGAGTACATGGGGCCCCACGGCTGAGCCCTGGGAGGGACCTCACAGCCTACCCCAGAGGTTTTGAGGAACTGCCAGACTATTTCCCAAAGTACCTATGACATTTCACATTCCCACCAGTGGCGTACTAGAGTTCGTCTTGCTTTTCTTACTCTCTGGAGACTAAAGTCATCCATTCACCCACCTAATCCTCCATCCACCATCCACTCATCCACCATCAATCCACCACCAATCCACCATCTATCCACCCACCTAGCTACCATCCATCCACCATCCACAGCCCACCCACCATCCATCCACCATCCATCCACCAACCACAACCCACCCACAATCCATCCACCATCCACCACCCATCCACCATCCACAACCCACCCACCATCTATTCACCCATCCCCCATCCACCATTCACCCACCTACTCATCCACCCAGCCACCATCCATCCACACCCCACCCACCATCCATCCACCATTCACCATCCAGTCACCCATCCCCATCCATCCCCATCCACAACCCACCCACCCCCTATCCACCATCCATCCATCCATCCATCCATCCATCCATCCATCCATCCCCTGAATTATCCTCCTACCCATCCGTCCTTCTATTCATTCATCCTTCCACCCACCCACCCAGTCATTCACCTATCCATCCACGTGTTCCCCAACCACCTGCTGAACACTAAGCCTGTGTGATCAGGACTCAGCGCTGACAACCCTCCTGTCCTCTAAGTGCTGTGAGGATCTTGAGCAGGGGAAACGCAGTTGTAAGCATGTGCACGCTCACTCAGGAGTGTGGGCACCTTCCCACCCTCACTCAGGAGCGTGGGCACCTTCCCACCCTCGTTCAGGAGCGTGGGCACCTTCCCACCCTCGTTCAGGAGCGTGAGCACCTTCCTGGGAGCTCTTTTGCTTTTTTTTTTTGAGACGGAGTCTCACCCTGTCACCCAGGCTGGAGTGCAATGGCATGATCTCGGCTTACTGCAAGCGCCGCCTCCTGGGTTCAAACGATTCTCCTACCTCAGCCTCCAGAGTAGCTGGGATTACAAGCATGTGCCACCACGCCTGGCAAATTTTTGTATTTTTAGTAGAAACGGGGTTTCACCATATTGGCCAGGCTGGTCTCGAACTCCTGACCTCGTGATCTGCCTGCCTCGGCCTCCCAAAGTGCTCGGATTACAGGTGTGAGCCACCGCGCCCGGCCTCTTTTGCTTTCTAAAGGAGGAGTGTGATGGGGCGATGGCTGCACCGGCGCCCTCTTGTGCTTGGGGGAGCTTCAGGCCCTGATGACCCTCTGGCTCAGGGACCACACACTGCTTCCCACGTGGCTCTGCCCATCTGCAAGGCCCCCACCTCTAGGACTGACCTCCCCCAGGAGCCTAACAGGGCAGCAGCACTTCTCAAACATAAATGTGTGTTTGAGTTGCCTGGAGGTCTTGTGAAAATGTGGACTTGGATGAAGAGGGTCTGAGGTGAGGCCTAGGATTCTGTTTCTGAGGAGCTCCTGGGAGAGGCTGACACTACACTGTTTTGGAGAAGCCCAGGGACCAGGCGCCTGCGCTGCACTCTTCCAGCCCTCGCTGCTGTAACGTGCATCTCACCCCGTCAGTTTCCCTCCCTGCTGTAACGTGCATCTCACCCCGTCAGTTTCCCTCCCTGCTGTAACGTGCATCTCACCCCGTCAGTTTCCCTCGCTGCTGTAACGTGCATCTCACCCCGTCAGTTTCCCTCGCTGCTGTAACGTGCATCTCACCCCGTCAGTTTCCCTCGCTGCTGTAACGTGCATCTCACCCCGTCAGTTTCCCTCGCTGCTGTAACGTGCATCTCACCCCGTCAGTTTCCCTCGCTGCTGTAACGTGCATCTCACCCCGTCAGTTTCCCTCGCTGCTGTAACGTGCATCTCACCCCGTCAGTTTCCCTCGCTGCTGTAACGTGCATCTCACCCCGTCAGTTTCCCTCGCTGCTGTAACGTGCATCTCACCCCGTCAGTTTCCCTCGCTGCTGTAACGTGCATCTCACCCCGTCAGTTTCCCTCGCTGCTGTAACGTGCATCTCACCCCGTCAGTTTCCCTGTTGTTGGCACAGGGAGGTGTTATTTCTCTAGACAGACAAACCTGCCCAAGGCAGGAGCCTCCCCTTGCACACCTTGAAACCTGGCATCATTGCAGGGCCCTCCGTCATAGGACGCCCAATGGGCTCTGCAGGAAGCGCTGGGGGGCTGATGGAGGACTCCTTAGCCTCCCCAGCTAGCGCCCCAAGTGAGTCATCTGTGGTCACCCTAGCCACAAAAGGGCCAGGAACTTTGAATCCCTGGGGGGAAACTGGACCCAGGAAAGAGGTGCAGCCACAGCCCACAGGCCTTTGCTGCCAGGAAGGATGGCTTTGGCGGTGGGGGGCATAATCCCACCTGAATCCAGAGCTCCGTGACCCAGTGCGCTCCATGTGGCCAGTGCACTGTGGGCTGCCACCAGCCTGGCACAGTGAGGCCCCTGCCAGCAGCTGGCAGCCAGCAGGGCTGGCAAGGGCTGGGCACACAGCGATAATCCCGGCCTGCTGTCCCCAGGGAATTAGTGCCCGCTAATACCTCCTGCTCCCCGGGCCGGCACTCTGCCTGACCTCGCCACCACAAATAGCAGCACACACGAGCCAGGAGCTTCATCTTTAAAAATTAATCCAGCTCAGCACAGAATTAAGGAGGGCATCCCTTTAGACAAAGGTGCTCAAGGTCAGGGGAGACAGGGCTGGCTGGGAGCCACAGAGCATTGTTTCTCCTGTAAATAGGGCGGGGAGATTTTACGGAAGGGAAGAGATGCCACCTTCTCCCGCAGGCTCCTGGCCACTGCGGAGGCCATGGGCGGGTGGAGGCCCAGGGGGCTGGCTTGCGGGAGAGATTTTATTGAATGAGGGAGCAGAGTTTGGCTTGGAAAAGGCCCAGAGAAGTGGCGGGGTGAGAAGAGAGGAGCAGGCCCACTGGGGATCAGGCTTGGGGTCAGCCAGGGCCACTATCTTCACCTGAAGCCAGTGGGACTCCACAAAGGCCCTCCCAGCCCTCACTCCGCCCTGTGCTGTACTGTGTCCAGGGGCTGCAGTGGGGCAAGGGGAAGATGCTGCTGGTGGGAAGTAGGTGGGGCTCATGGGCCCCAGGAACCAGTGGGCTCCCAAAACAGAACTTCCTCCTCTGAGGCCTGCAGGGTCCGTAGACCTGGCCTCTGTATCCAGCCTGACTTCCACCCAGGGCAGCCATGGAGCTGAAGCCGTCCTGAGCCTGCTCCTGCTGCTCCTGGACAGAGACTCTGGGGCAGGGTTAACCTGCACCCCTGTACCCTGCTGCCTCTTGGACATCTCAGCCAGGCCTGGATGGAGCTGCCTCCAAGGGGCCCCTCTGCCCTTTAGCAGGTGCAGAAGAGACATCACTGGCACCAAGGGCGGGACCTGTGAGAACCCCGAGTGGGGAAGAAGAGGCCGGAAGAAGGCATGTAGGAGAACTGGCCCTGCTCCCTGCTCGCCTCCTCCCTCCCCTCCCACTCCCGTATTCCAGCTGCCCTGCCAGCCTCCAGCCTGGGACATCCCCTTCCTTCTTACACAACCCCAAGGATGTTTGGGGTCTAGGGTGGGGAGAAAAAGGTTTCCAGAAAGCCAACAGCTCTATCCATGGGAAACCAGCTCTGCTGAGCAGGGGGCTTGTTCCCATTTCTGAGACAACTGGGGTTGCCTGCAGCCTCTAATGTGAACAGGAGGGAGGGCTGTGTCTTGCTTGTCTGCTGTTTCAAGAGCAATTTCTGCCTTGTACATGTGTTTTGGAAACCACCTTGTGTCCTCATTTAAAAGCAGAGAGCAGAACTTTGTAGCTGAGACAGGCCCTTGGATATGGGCTAGGACCAGGCAGCCTGCAAATGGACAGTGTGGGGAGGAGGGAGGAGGGAGGAAGGAGGGAGGAGGAGGAAGGGAGGAGGGAGGAGGAGGAAGGGATGAGAAGAGGGAGAAGGGGAGAGGGAGTCGGGAGGAGGGAGGGAAAGGGGGAGGAGGGTGGGAAAGGGGGGAGGAGGAGGAAGGGAGAGGGAGGAGGAAAGAGGAGAGGGGAGGAGGAGGGAGGAAGAGGGAGGAGGGAGGGCAGAGGGAGGAAGCAGGAAGGAGGAGGAGGGAGGAAGAGGGAGGAGGGAGGGCAGAGGGAGGAAGCAGGAGGGAGGGAAGAGGAGGGAGGAGGAAGGGAGGAGGGAGAAGGAAGGACGGGGGCAAGAATCTGGGCATTGCAGGAGGAGACTAGGGGAGATCAGGCCTGATCCACACCCCCACCTGCCTCTCACTGGCTCTTTCAGCCGCTGGAGGGCTGGTGTGATGACATCCCTGTACTCCGGGGTGGCTGAGGCCAGTCCATCTCCCTCTTCTCTTTCCTCTCCCTCCTTCCTGCTTCTCTCTTCTGCCCCACCTTCCCCACCTTGCTCCCCCTCCCCCCTGCCTGTTCTTGGTGGCCCTGCACGGTGGTCCCTGGGAGGCAGCGGGAGGGCACCTGAGGCCGAGGTGTGCGACTCACCCTCCCTCCTGCCTGGGGGTTTTTGAAGGAGCCTCTGAGAGCGATCTCTACCTCGGGGAGGACATACACTCCAGTCCTGAGAAGAGCTTCGAAGTCATTGAGGGTTGTGGCTTCAACAGTGATTTTACAGATGCTCAAGATGTCCTTGCTCATTTTCTTTGATTATGCTTTGATTTAAAAATCCAGGCTCATTAGATGCTGTAGAAAGGAACCTTTCCATAATTTAGCACCTCCTTCTATGAGCACGTTAGTAAGAGATGCGCCTGTACGCGGTGCAGGTGTGGGACCCTTGGAGGGTCTGACTCCCTGAACGGCACCCTGGCCTTGATTACTATGTTAATTTGGAAAACAGGTCATTGGAAATTAAATTGCCTAAAATAGGTCACCAATTATAACTCCTCATTCTATTAAAATGAGAGCATCTGAAATCTTTATTAGTTTATTGTAATTAAAGGCAAAATATTCAGAGTTGAATTATTGCTGGTTCTGTTTTGCATCTTGGCACTGCACCTCCTCCGGCGGGCCTTGCGAAATGCCGTTTAGAAAGACCCTGTCCCTCCGGCACCTTGACTCAGAGTCTATGAGAATCATTTTTTGACTGAAGTCCCAGCAGGACAGAAAACAAAGGAATAATAAACACAGTTTTTAGTCATTATTAATCAAAATGAGAAAAAGTTTTATCCATTAGCAAAATGGGACCTCTACACTGACCCCTCCTCCAGTGGGACCCACCCCTGTGCGACTTTGTGTCTCAGAGCCCCGGGGGGGGCCAGGAGAGCCAGCAGGTAAAGACCCAGGTCCTCAGCCTTTATTCCTCTCTGAGTAAGCTGCTGCAGCCTCGTTTTGCAGGTGCGGTGACTAAGGCACAGAAAGGCTAAAGAACAGGTCCAGGGTCACACAGCACATGTGTAGGGAGCTGGGGTTTGAGTCTGGCCACCTGGCTCCAGAGTGTGTGCCATGACCCCTCACTGTCATCCACAGAGCATCTGCAAGGGTTGTTTCTCCAAGAGTCCTGCTCACGTCCCAGACGGGACAGCTCAGGGTGTGGGTCTGGCTCAGCCACCTCAGCCCCATAGGGCAGGCTGGCTTCCATTCTCCCCAGAGGAGGAATAGCTCACCCAGAAACCCGCTTTCCTGGGACATAGCTGAGGCCTTGGACACGTCAGAGGCCTCCTCTGTGGAGGGGCTGCTTCTGGAGAAGCCAAAGCCCAGGACTCGAGAGGCACTGGGCCAGCCTTGTCCTCCACGTCCTCCCGGGCTCTGGGTCACTTCAGCCACACTGGGCACAGGCAGGACTCTCGGGAGCAGAGGACCGAGGCCACTTCCACCCTGCCCCACCCTCTGGGCCCCCAGGATGGGTCTTCTCCCAGGCGGTGGAGGAGATAGGCGGGCAGAGCGGGTCCAGCCCGCAGTGGCAAGCAGGGAGGTGGTGTGGCCCCCTTGGGTGGCCCCTCGCCACCCTACCCCCGGGCCTGGCTCTCCTCTCTCAGCCTGAGCTCTCCCCCTGAAGCACAGTCCCTCGCTCTTCCCTGACACCCTTATCGGAGTGGAACGCCTGAGGTTTGCCCGAGTGGCTCCAGGCGGCTCAGGTGTGCCGAGGGGGGAGCACCGCAAGGAGCAGTAAAGTAGGACTCGTCTGGCACTTGCTGGGGGAAGGGACCCTCATTGGTCCCCTTGTGGACGGCAGTGAGGGGTCAAGGCACACACTCTGGAGCTGGGTTCAAATCCCAGCTCCCCACACACCTGCTGTGTGACCTTGGCCAGTTCTTGACCCTCTCTGTGCCTTAGTCTTCCTGTGCTTCCTGCTGGGTGGTCCTGGTTGTGTTTTTCCAGCTGCATCACAATCCACAGCCCAAACACACTCAGCTCTGGGGCTCACTCATCTTCCTAGCGGACCACACTGAGGATCCCCGTCGGCCTGCAGGAAAACAGAGAGATGCTGTGCTGCCTCCGCCTGGGCCTCCCAGGAGGAATCTGTTGCCTGCCCCAGGAGTCAGTACCCGAAGGGACGCCTGCCCTCTGGCCTCCGAGCCTGCCAGCCTAGGAACCCGGACGCCGTCACCCAACCCGGCTTCCCTGGCTCCATCTTGGTCCCAAGCATCTGTTTTGGAAAAGGAAGCTCTGGAGCAAAGCCCCGGCCGGCTGAGCTTCCTCCGCAGGGCTCGGCGTACGCTTAGTCATTTATCCTGAGCCAACCCAGCTGGCCTTTGAAGCCGGTTGCTGGTGTTATTGCGAGAAATCATTTTGCACTTTATTTTGAACAAAAGGACACGTTGCCGAATGGGCTTCTTGCTGGCGGGATTGCACTATTTTTATTGCAATTTAGCTCCGTCGTGTGATCCTGAGTGAAAAGCACACTCTAAAAATAAGTAAGTGCTCCTTTTAAAACTCGCCCCTAGGTCGCGTCGCTTGGGGGTGATGTGCTTTCGTTTGGAACGCGGGCGGGGGTGTTCCGCGATGCCAGCGCCACCCCCGGGCCCCACCCGGCTCCCTCTGGCTCTCCAGGCGGCTGCAGCTGTTCCGGTGGCACCAGGTGGCTCAGAGGCCTCCTCGGGAGGGTGCTCTCCGAGGGGCCTTGGAGACCCAGCAAACTGTTTTCCTCCCAACTGTTTTTCATGCTGGGATTTTCTCAAGAAACAGGGCCCTGGGGCGTGGCTCTCAGGGAAGCCTGGGTGGACGGCACGGGGCTGGACTTTGAAATCCTTTTCCAGAGAGTACTTGGAGGGGCCTGACCGGCAGCACGGAAGGGATCCTTTTTTAAGGTCCCTGCCTGGAGACCCCTCTCTGCCCAGCGCACCCCCTGCTCCCTGCATCCAGCTGGGCCCAAGGCCTTAGCGGAAGTTTGGGCACAGCTCGTGGGCGGGAGCTGCAGGCCTGAGGGGAGGTTTGGGCACAGCTCGTGGGCGGGAGCTGCAGGCCCGGGGCGATGTTCCCTGCACCACCATCACGTCCCCAGAGCACTTGCCATGGGCCAGGCCACAGGGAAGTCACTGCATGAATCATTCCGAGGGCACCTCCCAGCCACCCCGGTGGGGCTGCGGCACACGCATAGCCACTTCCCAAGGTGGTCACGGACACATCTGTGGGCGCCCCCAAGTGCTGGGCACCAGGGTGCGGGTTTGGGCACAGGGATGAGGAGGTGGGTGGGCCTCAGGTGGCTGCAGGAGAGGAGGTGGGGCTGACGTCCATGACACCCGCACCCCCCACCCCTAAGGCTGCAGGTTGCCCCCGACTCCAGCAGACCCAGGAGAAGACCCTTCGTGTCCTGACCTCGGTGCGGCCCACTCTGCCAGGGGGACGTCAACCTTGGGACCAGGAACCCATTTTCCCAAAGTATCGACACCCCCAACAGGGAAACTTTCCCCTGCTCTGGCTCTGATCAAACCTGGGAAGAAACCTCTGCCAGCCATGTCCCTCTCATCAGGCCAGGCCAGTGTCTGAGGGCTGGAGAGGGGCACCTTGTCTGAGGCTAGAGACGGGGGTCGCTCTGAGACCCAGCCTGGCTGGACTCTGACCTCTCCAAGCACCTTCAAGCTCGCCCGGCCTGTGATCAGCTGGGCGTGGTCTGGGCTGGGGTGCACGTGGGCACAGATGAGGGGTGGGGGCTGGAGCCAGACGCAGCCCCACCTCAGGCCATGGGATCCTGCTCTGATCCCACTGGGAGACCTGGTGGCTTAAAGGGCCCCACGAGGAGCCTCGCAGGGCAAATCCCCTCCCAGATGCTGCACCCACCCGGTTTCCCTGGGGCGTTCTGCTGACCCGCGCTCCCAGCCCCTGCTGACCTGGGTGGGTCTCAGTCTCCCCCCGACCTGCAGCCAACAGCATGGCGACTGCCTCTTTGGCAAGTGCCTCCTCCTGGGACAGCCCTTCCCCACCCTTCCCCGCCCGGGGCTCTGAGTCTCCCCGGGGACTTGCCTGGGTTGCTGTCATTGCACGTGTTTCATCTCCTGGTGGGGAGGGGTCCAGCACCCACCGCCCTCCCAGACGCACAGCCGGGGTCACCGTGTGGGTCCCGCTGCACCACATGCAGCTCGGGGAGGTGTTATTTCTCTAGCCAGAGAAACGACCAGAGAAATCTGCTGCCGTTGGCTGGTGGCCGCATCACTGTCACCCCATCTCACGTGGCTTCTACCTGTGTCTCCGTATCTCCCACTTCTTATAAGGACAGTTACTGAATTTGAGGTCCCCCCAATCCAGTGTCACCCCATCTTAACCGATAACATCTGCAAGGACTCTGCTTCCAACTAGAGCTCCCCTAGCAGTCCTGGGGGTCGGGATTTCAACATTTCAGGCAGACGAGTCAGCCCAGGACAGACAAAAGGAGCTGTGGCTTCTCCCCAAGTCCCCTGTGCCCCTCTTACACACTTCCCTCTCCAGCCTCGAGGGAGCCTCTTTTTCTCATCTTTCCTTGCAAAAACACACCAAACCAAAAATAGCTGCCTTCCTCTGAATCTCTCATGCTTAAGTCTATTTTTAGTTGAGCCTTGTTTGTTCCAGGCCTCTGTCTGGAGGGGACATTTCGGTTGTGGGGGACTCGAGGCAGCCTCGGTCCCAGCAGTCGTGGGCTCATCTGGTTTCTTGTGTGCACTGAGTCGAAGGGACAGGCACGTGCTGGGAACAGCTGTGTGCACTGCAGGCCTGGGCCCAGCTGCAGACCCAGAAACCTCAGGGCGGGTGAGCTGTTGGATCCCTCAGGTCAGTTCTGTGCTGCGTCTGCATGATGTCAAAATGCCCAGACAGGCTGGTGTGGTGGCTCACGCCTGTAGGTCCAGTGCTTTGTAAGCCCTAGGCAGGAGGATTGCTGGAGGCCAGGAGGGAGTTTAAGACCAGCCTGGGCAGCATAGTGAGGCCCTGTCTCTACAAAAAACAAAATATGAATTAGCTGGGTGTGGCGGCACACGCCTGTAGTCCCAGCTACTCAGGAGGCTGAAGTGGGAAGATCATTTGAGCCCAGGAGGTGGAGGCTGCAGTGAGCCGTGATTGTGCCACTGTACTCTAGCCTAGGCAGCAGAGCGAGACCCTCTCTCAAAAACAAACAAACAAACCCAGGTGGAAAGTGAATTATTGTGGCAAATCCCAAGTCACTGGAGAGCTGCCAGATCAATACACAAGTTAAACATTCCCGTCCGTTGCTTGGGACCATGCAGAGCAGGTTCCTCTTTTGCCAACAGAACACAAATGCAGCTGCAGAAAACACCAGCACGGGGCTGCTGGGAAAACAGATGCTGGGACTGGTGGTCTCAGTGCCAGGCTGTGACTTCCCGGGAGGACCCAGAAGCCAGAAGCAGCCTAGTCCTGAGCTGCTTGGGACCTGGAAATTGAAGATGCAGGCCATGGGAGGTGGGGCCTGGGAGGGTGAGCTCTGGACTCGCTGGGGGCTCCTGCCTGTTATCTCGCAGCTCTGTGACCTGGAGCTGCCTCCAGTCTCCTCATCTGACAAACGGGGCCATCAGCGGCCCAGCCCATCTGTGTGAGGTCAGGCGGGGCCACGTGAGTGACATTTAGCTGCATGCTTGGCACGTGGCAGGTGCCCGGGTGATGCCAGCCGCTGTTCTATCAGAGACTTCAGGATTGCCAAGTGTGTGCTCGGGACCACTGATGTCAGAATCAGCAGCACAGGCTCCAGGGGGTTTCAGATGGCCCAGATGGTCCCAGCAACCCAAATGCTCATCAGCAGAGGAACGGATGGGCACACGAAGTCTGTTTGCACCATGGAGTATTATTCACCTTAAAAACGAGTGGTGTTCAGACACATGCTACAATGCGAATTAGCCTTGAAAAGATGATATAACACGAAAGAAGCCACACACAAAAGACCGATGACTCCATTGATAGAGGATGCATGGAGCAGGCAAATCCACAGAGACACAGAGTGGATTCTCGGCTGCCAGGGCCTGGGAGGGGATGAGGGAGTGCTGCCGGGCATGAGGATGGGGATGATGAAAATGTTCTTAAATTGACTGTGAGGATAGTTTCGCAGCTCTGAGTATACCACGCACCATTGAATGATGCTTTTATTAAGTGAGCGAACTGCGTGGTACGTAAGTTATATCTCAGTACAGCAGTTACACATGAAACATACACATGTTGAAATACAAAAAAAGAAAGAAAAAATGCAGAAGATAGAAATAGAACTTGCAACGGTACAGATGTTGACATTTGCAGACAGGAACTTTGGAATGCATTCTAAATATTTTTGAGGATGTGAGTGAACAGATGGGAATTCACTGTGTGGCTTAACAGCAGAAGAAAATATCAGTAAATTTGAGGAGAGATCAATTGAAATTATCCAGTTGGAAGAATAGATAAAAAGAATAAAGTCTTAGTGACCTGTGGGGATAATATATGTTATATGTTAATATATGGAACTAACATATAAAGTGGCCTAATATATATGTAATTATAATCCCAAAAAGAGGAGAGAGAGAAAAAGGTAGCAAAAAATTTGAAAAACTAATAACCAAATATTTCCCAAATTTGGTGAAAAATATTAATGCACAGGTGTAAGAAACAGGACAAATACGAAGAAAACCAAACAGAGGCATATCATGGTAAACTGCCACAAACTGAAAAGAAGGAGAAAATCTTAAAAGCAGTCAGAGAAAAAGGACACCTAGGCACAGGGAAACAGCTGATATTCGTTTTAAACAATGGATTCCTGAAGACAATGGAATAATACCTTAAAAGTGCTTAGTTTGGAAAAAAAGCTTGTCAAGCAACATATTCAATAAAAGCTATCCTTCATAAATGAGGGTTAAATAAAGACATTTTGAGTTTTTTTAAAGCCAAGAAAATCTATTGCCAGGAGACATAAACTACCAGAAATATTAAATAAAGTTCTCCAGGCTGCAGTGAAATGAAACCAGATGTAATTTAATATCCATAGGAGGGAATGAAAAGCATTGAAAAAGGTAAACATTTTGAGTCCATAAGTATTGTCAAATTTATAACATATGTGGAAGTAAGTGTATTTGTCAACAATAGCACCAAAAACAAGGGGTGAGTAAATGAAATTACATTGCTATAAACTTAAGTTGTATATAAAGTGATTCAGGATTAATTTTAAGTGGCCTCTGAAATTATACTGCTATAAACTTAAGTTGTATATAAAGTGGTTCAGGATTAATAATTGTAAAAGGGTCTGTTATAAAAATGCTGTTGTAACTCCTACAGCAACGACTAAAAAGTTTTATTTATAATAAGTCAATAGAGGAGATAAAATAAAATACTAAAAAACATTTTATTTACCCAAAAGAAGATAGGAGTAGAACATAGGATCAAAAACCATGTGGAACAAAAAGAAAACAAATAGCAAGATGGTAGACTTAAACTGAACCATACGTATCCTAATTGTATCAAATGTAGATGGATTATACCCTCAAGTTCAGAGGCAGAAATGGTCACACTGGATCAAAGAAGCAAGACCCGACAGCATGCTGTGCCCAGGAGACACACTTGGAAGACCCAGGGTGGTAGAAGGTACAAAGATGGACAGGTGCGTGTGACACAAAGAGTGAGCACAGGAAAGCCAAGGTGGCTGCATCCATACCAGACAGGGTGGGGTCTAAGACAAGTAGCATCAACAGAGATAAGGAGGTATATTTCACAATGAAAAAAGGCCCATTTCATCAGGACATCAGTCATAAATATGTAGCACATAATAACAGAATTTAAAAATATGTAGCACATAATAAGAGAATTTAAAAATATGTGACCATACACAAAACTGACATAATTAAAGAGAGAAATAGACAAACTCACAATCATAGTTGGAGATTTTAACACCCTTTTCTCAGTCTTTGATAGAACAAGTAGACAAAACATTAGTAATAAGATATAGATAACACCACCAATGAACTTGACCTAATTGGCATTAATAGAACCCTACACCAAATGCTGCAGAATATCCACTTTTTTTCAAATATTTGGAGAATTCACTAAGACGGATCATATGTTATACTTTAACATAAGCCTCAATACATTTCAAAAGTTTGGAATCTTTAAGAGTATATTCTATTATTACAAAAGAATTAACTAAGAAATTTATTTGATATTTAGGAAAGCCCTCAATATTTGGAAATTAAGCAATGCACTTCTGAATATCCCATGGGGTCAAGAAAAGACCATAATGGAAGCCAAGAAATATTTCTAGTGAAATGAAATAAAAATATAACATATCAGAATTTGTGGGATACAGCTAAAGCAGTGCTCCCAAGAAAGCTTTAAATGTTTATATTAGAAAAGCAGAAAGGTCTGAATGTCTAAAATCAGTTATTTAAGTTTCCATCTAAGAAGATAGGAAAATAAGAGCAAATTAAACTCAACTCTACTTAAAACAAGTAGAAGGAAGAGAAAAACAATGGTAAGAAAAGAAAGCAATGAGGCAGAAAATAGGCAAACAATAGAGAAAACACAGCCAAAAGTTAGCTCTTTGAAAACATAAATAAAGTTGATAAACCCTTAGCAAGAGTGATCAAGAACAAAAGATAAAACACACATTTTCTACATCAGGAATAGTATTCTAAAGATTAGATGGGTAATAAGAGAGTATTATGAACAACTTTATGCCAATAGATTAGATAATGTGGATAAAATAGAAAAATCCCTAGAAAAACACAACTAACAAAAACTGACATGAGAAGAAAGAGAATAGACCCACATCTGTTAAATAAACTGAATTCCTAACAACCAGACATTAGCACAAGGAAGACTCCAGGCACAGCTGGCTTCACTGGTGAATTCTGTCAAACACTTAAGGAAGAGATATTATAAATCTCACACAAACTCAGAAAATAGAGGATGAAGAAAAATGATTTGTTTTATGAGGCCAGCCAATGGTTCACTGGTAAATATTTAACAATTAGCTTTCTGGGGGAAACGTATGATTTGCAGTGTTTGCCAATTCCAGTGATGTACATACTTGCACCATGGCTGACGTCACTACCAACGTGACACTGGTGTGTGAGGTGGGGAGAGATGCACACAGTTGGCCCCTGGGGGCCATGGTGAGTTGGCTCCTGCATACCAAGGCCAGCATAATCCTGATACCAGAGTTGATGATGAAGACATTCCAAGTAAATGACATTACAGAGCAAATATTCCTTATGAACAAAGACATAGAAACCCTTAACAAAATACAGGTGCTCCTCAACTTACGATAGGGCTATGTCCAGCTAAGCCTTCAACTTATAGGATTTTTGACTTACGGTGGGTTCATCCAGATGTAACTCCATCATAAGTTGAGCACTTACCGGTATCGCTTTCATACCATGGTAAAGTAAAAATATTTTAAGTCAGAGACCATCTTTACAGTCCCTTGACATGCACATGCGGGGGAATGGTTTCAGGAGCCCCTGTGGGTACCAAAATCCAATGATGCTCAAGTCACTCATATAAAATGGCACAGTATTTGCACATAGTATGTATTTGCATAGTATACCCATATCCACCCATATACTTTAAACCATCCCTAGATTATTTATATACCTAATAGAATGTAAATGCTGTGTAAATAGTTGTTATACTGTATTATTTTTTATGGTTGTATCTTCATTTTTTATTTATCTTACTTTTGAATACTTTCCATCTCAGGTTGGCTGAATCTGTGAATGAGAAACCTGTAGATATGGAGGGCCAAATGTATTAACAAGTCAAATCCAGCAATATAACACAAGGATTATGCATTATGACCGAGGAATATTTATCTCTAGAATGCAAGATTGGTTCAATATTCAAAAATCAGTGATTTTATTTTTACCATATTAACGTAAAGGAGAAATCTATATGATCATCTAAACAGATGCAGACCGAAAATTTCAATTCGACTGGTACCTGGATCTACCTCCGTGTCACGAAGGGCATGGACAGAAATCCTGCAGCTTCCCTCTAACATTATGAACTAGGCCAAGACATGCTTTTGATCTTGACATAGGCAAAGATTCCCTAGAAAAGGTACAAAAAGCGTTAACCCAAAATTAACCCAAACTGGTAAATTGGTAAGTTGTTCTTCAATCAAAATTTTAAAAGACCATCAAAGCCACCTTTAGGAAAAGGAGAAGACAAGTCACAGACTGTAGAAGCGTCTGCAGTCACACAAAAGGGTCCTCAAACCCTTTAAGGAAAATGTGTATTGTGAAAAACTATGCATAGATGTCAAAAATTGTGCAAAAATAAACTCATACTAATTTGTTATAACATGTCTGAACAGGATCTGGTGTGAGGCACTAAGAAGGATAAGACATCAGTTTGGGCCAGGCGCAGCGGCTCAAGCCTGTAATCCCAGCACTTTGGGAGGCCGAGGTGGGTGGATTGCCTGAAGTCAGGAGTTTGAGACCAGCCTGGGCAACATGATATAACCCCGTCTCTACTAAAGGTACAAAAATTAGCTGGGTGTAGTGGCGCATGCCTGTAGTCCTAGCTACTCAGGAGGCTGAGGCAGGAGAAGTGCTTGAACCTGGGAGGTAGAGGTTGCAGTGAGCCAAGATTGCACCACTGCTCTCCAGCCTAGGCAACAAGAGTGAAACTCCATCTCAGAAAAAAAAAAAAAAAAAAAAAAAAAAAAGAAATCTGTTTGAAAAGAGCTCCTATTGGAGCAACATGAATTCTGCTAAAATTGAAGCAAGAAAGAAGAAACACCAAATTAATGAAGAAGCTTCGTGAAAGAATGTGAAATCATTGATACTTTACAAAAAGTTTATGGGGACAATGTCCCAATGAGATCAGCAGTTTACAAGTGGATAACCTGTTTTAAGAAGAGACAAGACAATATTGAAGATGAAGCCTTCAGTGGCAGACTATCCATATCAGTTTTTGAGGAAAAAATTAATCTTGTTCATGCCCTCATTGAAGAGGACCAGCGATTAACAGCAGAAAAAATAGCCAACACCATAGACATCTCAGTTGGTTCAGCTGGCACAATTCTTACTGAAACATTAAAGTTGGGCAAATTTTCCACTCGATGGGTGCCAAAACTGTTGTGCCCAGATCAGCTGGAGACAAGAGCAGAGCTTTCCGTGGAAATTTTAAACAAGTGGGATCAAGATCCTGAAGCATTTCCTTGAAGAATTGTAACAGGAGACTTGGCTTTCCCAGTACCATGCTGAAGACAAAGCCCAATCAAAGCAACGGCTACGGAGAGACTGAGGTGCTCAAGTCACAGCAACGGCTACGGAGAGAGTGAGGTGCTCAAGTCACAGCAACGGCTACAGAGAGGCGGAAAGGCCCAATCAAAGCAAAGGCTATGGAGAGGCGGAGGTGCTCAAGTCACAGCAAAAGTGGACTGGTCAAGAGCCAAGGTTATGGCAAGTTTTGGGGATGCTGGAGGCATCTGGCACCCACCTTACAGTTTTGATTTGGCTCCGTCTGGCTTTTTTCTTCCTAATCTTAAAAATTATTTTTAAAGAACAGTCATTTTTCTTCAGTTAGTAATGTAAAAAGACTGCATTGAGATGGTTAAATTCCCAGGACCCTCAGTGCCTTAGGGATGGACTAAATGGCTGGTATCATCACTTACAAAAGTGTCTTGACCTTGGTGGAGCTTATGTTGAGAAATAAAGTTTATATTTTTATTTTTATCTTCTAATTTTATTTTTCCGTGAACTTTTTGAAGTCCCTTCAGATGCCTGGCAAATAACTTATATGCAGAATACAGAAGTAGGTTCTGTAAGACATAACAAAGAGACAAACATGAAAAGCTCCTTTCGATTAGTCACCAGGGAAATGCAAATTAGAACGACAGCAAGGGGCCATGCGTGCCTGTGAGAATGACCCAGGCGGACATGCCTGGCCATCCTGCCTGCCGTCAAGTGGAAATCTAATCCATTGCTGTTGAGAGTGTAAGGCACTTTGATCACTTTGAAAGATAGTTGGTCGTTCTCATAAAATAAAACAAACACCTCCCTTAGGATCCAGCGATTCCATTCCTAGGTGTTCATGCAACAGCAATAAAAACATACCCACAAAAAGACTTGTACGTGGATGTTCACAGCAGCTTTATTTGTGGTATCCTCAATCGGGAAGGAAGCTCCGTGTTCTCTGATGGTGAATGGAAACGCCACCATTGTGCCACGTCCGTCCAGTGGAATACTACTCAGCAAGAACAAGGCGAGAACCACGTCTCACCCCAGAACAGGCGTCTCTCAGACATCATGTTGAGTGAGAGAAGCCAGACCCAAAGAAGTGCACGCTACGTAATCACCTTTACTTGAGGTTCTAGAATAGGCAAAGCTACTCCCTGACCATAAAAATCAGAACGTCATTGCCTGGTTTGTTGGGGGTTAGGTGGCGGCTGGGCAAGGGGCATGAGGGAACTTTCCAGGGTGATGAAGTGTTGCGTATTTTGAGTGGGGTGTTGTCACATGGCTGTAAACATTTGTAAAAGGCCATAGGATTGTGCCCTCCAAGTCTGTGTATTCATTGCAAGTAAATTAATCTATGCAGATGGAGTATTTTATTACATGGTTTTGAGAGATTCTTAGGTTAAGTCTAAGAACCGCTGAATCTGGGCCTCCGGGAAAGATGTGAAAATAAACTGCCAAGAACAACAATGGGTCTCACGCTGGGGACCTCGGGCTCCGGTCCGTCCGGTCCATCTGTGTGAGAGTCCAGCATCTGCAGGCTGGGAAGCCAAGTGCATTATGCCCCACCTTGGCAGGTGGTCACCCTCTGGGCGTGACACTCACTAAAGGCACTGAATGTATTTGTGCCTCAGTTTCTCATCAATAAAGGGGAGGTGGCCCTGACCACGCAGGGGGATTCACGCTGATGAGCGGCCTCTGCAAACCAGGCACTGGCCATCGACTGTCATTCTCCAGCCACCAAAGCTTGAGGGAAAGAGGAGGGTGGTGAGTTCAATCCGGGGTGTGAAGCCACCGCACCCTCTGCAACCCCAGCTGGACATGGGCCTCACCAGGAGGCTGCAGTGCCGGGATCCCATGGCAGTGGCAGGGTATGTGCGGGGGGCGCCTGCCCTGGCACCTCTCTCCTCTCAGCCCCCGAGCAGGCCTCATGTTCTCCTTTAACGATGCCCTTGACAAGAAGTCACGCTTGGCTGTCAACACGCGTGGGGTGCCTGAGGGCAGCTGCTTGAAACCTTCCTCTTCCAGGGAGCCTCCTGGGTGTGCAAGCTCCTCGGCACCCCCTGTGTGGTCCTGGGCTCCGTTCCCACCTCCCACCCGGCTCAGGCACCTGTCTGCCCAGGTGGGCGGCTCTCTCATCCTTTCCCCACGTGAGCCCAGCAAGGTGGTGCCACCTGTGTGGCATGGAGTCTTCCTGGGGGGTACTGGGGAACCCAGGAGTGCAGAGCTTTGTGGGACTGGGGGCAAGTCCCAGCCTGGTGCATCCTGGGTGCTTGGAAAACACTGGGATAAATGATGGAATGAAGGAGCTGCTGGCAGGGCCAGAATGGTGGACACCAGGTGGGTGTTTGGAGGAGGCAGTCACATGCCAGGCTGAGAGAGGGGCACCCGCGCACGGGAGCAGCCGGTGGGAACTCAGGGGCGACTCAGAGGGATCAGCCTGCAGGTCACAGCCCGGGCTGTGGTCCCATGGGCTCTGTGCTGCCTGTGTGCTTGCGAAGTTAATTACAGCCACACACAAACTCACTGCAAATTGTTCCCAGTTAGAACTGCAAATTCACTGGAACAAGGAGTGCTAATTACATTCCACTTGTTACCACTGCCTCTTGTTAATATTCCAACAGCTGCTTCAGCAAGATAATGATGGCTCCAGCCGAAATGATTGAACAGATAGATTTAAAAATCAGTACTGGCTGGGCGCGGTGGCTCACCCCTGTAACCCCAGCACTTTGGGAGGCCGAGGTGGGTGGATCACCTGAGGTCAGGAGTTCAAGGCCAGCCTAGCCAACATGATGAAACCCCATCTCTACTAAAATATACAAAAATTAGCTGGGCGTGGTGGCGTTCGCCTGTAGTCCCAGCTACTCGGGAGGCTGAGGCAGGGGAATCACTTGAACCTGGGAGGCAGAGGTGGCAGTGAGCCGAGATCACACCACTGCACTCCAGCCTGGGCAACAGAGTGAGACTCCGTATCAAAAAAAAAAAAAAAATCAGCACCAACATAGTTCCCACAGTGTTTTCCTCCACACACAAGGTGAAGCCCCAGCATAGGGGAGCATCTGTACTCCCTGAGAGAAGGCAGCAGACACGTGCACGCAGCCGTGAGTGCATTTGACACCCTCCACGATGAGTTTGTGAACGCTCAGGTGAGTGTGCAGCTCCCAGCCTCGATTCCGTGCTCACAAACAGAGCTGCCCCGCCCCGGCCATAGCCACGGTCTACTTTGGGCTAATACGTCGCATTGCGGGAGAGGACTTCAGAGGTACGAGCGCTGCTCTGGTCTCCTTTCCTTGCTTCTCCTTCTCTGCCAAGGCGATCGCAGTTGCTTGCTGTCTTGCTGTGCTGTTACGGCAATGAGGCTTTTTTCATAACGTTGTGAGATAAAATGATATGGGAATCACAGTCACCACAACAAGAGGGTGCCCAGACCCCAAGCAGCACAAATGCCTCTGGTGAGTACCCGCAAAAGGGCTCGGCGTCCAACTCTCCTGAGGCAAAGCAACGCCTGCTGCCATTTTAAAAATAAAGTAGTTTTTAAGAGACAGAGTCTCTCTCTGTCGTAGGCTGGAGTACAGGCCCACCGGAGCCCACTGCAGCTGTTGCAATGATTGTAGATGTACAGGAAGTTGCAAAGACAGACACAGTAGTACAGAGACAGCCCATGCATCCTTCACCCAGATCCCTCCACTAGAGGACGGCCTCGCAACCAGGACGTGCCTCCGACAACGTCTCTGCTCTTTGCCATTTATCACACGCGTGACCACTATAGTCAAGATATAGGGCCCCTCTGCGGCTGCAAAGATCTTCCTCCTGCTATCCTTTTTAGTCACAGCCTCCAGCTCTTTCCCCACTCCAACCTCCTCCAAATTCGTCATTTTGAGAATGTCACAGAAATGAAATCACGCAGGGTGTGACCTTTGGAGACCGGCTTCTTTCCCTCGCGTGGCGGTAGACGGTGGTCTTTCCCCAAAGACCCGCCAGAGCTGTTGTGTGCTTCACCGGTTCTTTCTCTGCAGCTGAGTGGAGTCCCAGGGTGTGCAGCACCCCAGCGTGTATAGCCATTCATCTATTGTTGGGCATGTGGTTGTTTCTGGTTCTTCGTGGTTACAAATAAAGTTGCTATGAGTAATCGTGATAGGGTTTTGTGTGAATGAAAGTCTTCCTTTCTCTGGGATGCATGCCCAGGAATGCAGTTGCGGGTTGTAGGTGAGCACGTGCTTGGTTTTGCAAAACACTGCTACACCGTCTCCACCGTGGCTGCCCCGTTTTAGATTCCCGCCAACAGTGTATGAGTGATCTCGTTTCTTCATGACCTCGTTAGCATTTAATGTTGCCGTTATTTTTTATTTCCGCCATGCTGATGGGTGCGTAGTGACATTTCATCGTGAGTCAAATGTGCAGTTCCCCCTGGCAGAGGACATTAGATGTCTTTGCCTGTGTTTATTTCCCTGTGTACAGCCTCTCTGGTGAAATGTCTCTTCTGCCCATTTTCTCACTGGATTGATTGTTTGTTTTTACTGTTGAGTTTTGAGAGTTTAAGGAATATATTCTGTGAGTCTTTTGTCGGGCATGTGGTTTGTAAATGTTTTCTCTCAGGCTGTAGCTTGTTTTCTCGTCCCCTTTTCTTTAATTTTAACTAATGTCTTTAACTATTTTTAGTTATTTCCACTGAAACTGATGAAGCTGTGCAAACTTCAAGTAAATACAGTGACTTCCTCCCTGACGATCCTTACAACAAGGTTTCTTCTATAACCTAATACCCGTGTGCCGAAACTGGCTTCAAGCAGCTGACAGCACGCTGGGCTCAATGCAATCACTGTCTTCTCAGACAGATCTGTTTGAAGATATAGTCCGGGGTGTTGGACGGGAATGTTGCCATTCAGATGTGAAAACACCCCTCCCTTTTCCATGCCCTTGTTTCTGCTTGGTACAAAGGAAGTGGGAGCTCGGGCTGGGTTACCTGCAGGGGCTGGAGGAGCTGTCCATATTGAACCTGCCTCGGCGCTCATGGGAAAACGTGCAGCCGCGAGAGAACTCTGGTCACCCGTCAGCAGCACCGTCAAAGGCCGACAGCCATTTACATTTTCACAGGTGCCAGGGCCACCTCTCCAAGAGCTTATCTGGGTGGAGGAGACCAAGTGTGCTGGTCTCTGTCTCTGCATGGTGAGGGTTGGGTGGACAGTCGCCTCTGAGGGTGTCCCAGCTTCGCTGAGTCCACAGCCAGGCAAAGTCACCTTCGGTGTGAACGTGGTAGTGGGCCAGCATGGCAGTGTCCCTTCTGTGGCCCTGTGTGTCTGCTGGCTTGTGGACTTGCACCCACACTGTAAATCAACTCATAGACACACGCCAAGGGAGATTTCAGAAGAGCAGTGTGTTTTATTATGGAGAGCTGTTTTTTCCCTTCTTTAAACAATTTATTTTTAATAACAAAAGTTTGTGGAAAGAGAAGTTCAGAATCTATGCATTGCTGGTGGGGATATGAAATGGTGCAGCTGCTTTGGAAAGCAGTTTGGAAGTTTCTCAAAATGGTTAAACATGGAATTACCATGTTATCTAACAATTCCAATTCTAGGTATGTACCCAAGAGAAATGAAAACATACCTTCACATAAAACCTTCCCATGAATGTTCATAGCAACATTATTCATGATAGTCAAGAAGTGGAAACAAGGCACTGCCCGTCTACTGATGAACGGGCTGGCAAAATGTGGCTCCTCTGTGCAATGGAATATTATGCCGCCATCAAAAAGAATGAGGCACAGATGTATGCTACCACACGGGTGAGCCGTGAAAACATTTTGTTAAATGAAAGAAGCTAGACACAAAACAACATATATTGTGTGATTCCACTGATGGGAAATGTCTGTAACAGGCAAACCAGGAGAGACAGGAAACAGATTTGCAGTTGCCAGGGGTTGGGGGTGTGGTGGGGGCAGTGGGGAGTGACTGCTAATGGGGACAGGGTTTCTTTTTGAGGTGATGAAAATGTTCTAAAATTGACCGTGGTGATGGTTGCACAACTCTGTGAAGGAACACACTCAGACCATCGAGTTGTGTGCTGTAGATGGGCGACTGGTATACCATGTGAGCGACAGCTCAATAACACTGTTTTACATATTGAACCTGTGTCTGAGCGCACCGGAGACGCCCTGGGGCTCCCCTCCCTCTCTGCCCATGCTCTTTCCTGCCCTGATTTCTGTTCTACTCTGATGACATTTAAGCGATTTCTCAGGCCACCAGTGAGGCCGAATGTTTTGACCAGGAAAATGATTGGAACACTCACTTCTTACAACTTTCCAAAGAACCAGTTGTTGGACTCAAATTCCGTAGCTTTTCTCCCTAATTCATCAGCTTTGACTTTTCCCCATCTTCTCTTTATTTGTTACTTTTCTTGAATGACTTGGGCGACTGTATTCATTCCATTCATCTTAATATTCATCTGGAATATGAAGTTCAAGGCCACGTACCTTTCCCTGAGCTCAGCCTGGCCAAACCCCACCCACTCTCCTAGGCATGGGGTACTTATTTCTTGGTCATGTAACTTAAAATAAATTGGGGAATTTTTATTTCTATTTTTATTAATTTTGATCGAGTGAGATTTGTACTGTTTACCTCTTTTGAGTTTCTTTTGGTTTGTCTAACAGATGGCCAGTTTTTGGGACACCGCCGGGCCTCCTGGGGCTAGTGTCTGGCGAGGCCCCTGAGTCTTCTCAGTGTCATTGCTCATATCCAGCCTGACCCACTCCCCACCTCCCGGGGTTGGGGTGTCCAGGCCTCAAATGTACCCCAAGGGAGACATGAGACAGGGCTTGGACCCCTCTTCGCCGGGGCCGGCTGCCCAGGGTCTGGCTGTTGTTTCCAGGGCTCCTGCCCCCCACCTGGGAACATCAATCTGGACACAACACAGCCAGCCACTAAGGAACCAAACTTGCCCTTGAATCCCAAACCAACAAGTTCAGATCAATTAGGCTAATCCAGCGTCACCGATCTTGAACTCAGAAAACGATTTTTCCAAAGTCAGCAGTCTTTTAATTCACTGCCTATTAATTAAAGTGTGTCTTTTTGATTCATGTTTTTAAAAAGTCTTGATTAGGGTCGGGCGTGGTGTCTCACGCCTATAATCCCAGCACTTTGGGAGGCCGAGGTGAGTGGATCACTAGGTCAGGAGTTTGAGACTAACCTGGCCAACATGGTGAAACCTTGTCTCTACTAAAAATACAAAAATTACCCGGGTGTGGTGGCAGGCTCCGATACTCCCAGCTACTCGGGAGGCTGAGGCACGAGAATCACTTGAACCTGGGAGGCAGAGGTTGCAGTGAGCTGAGATCACGCCACTGCACTCCAGCCTGGGCGACAGAGCCTCCGTCTCAAAAAAATGTCTTGATTAGGCTTTTCATCAGCAAGTAGGCCCTCACTGCTCTTTAGGGGACAGTTACCTTTTGGCATCTGGTCCTACGGGGAAGCCAGGCCACCTTCATCCTCCCCTACCCAGGGCCAGAGGGTGGGCAGCTGGAGCCCTCTCCCCACTGGGCAGGGCCGTGTTGCCCTCTGAGGCGTTGCCAAGTGGTGGGAACAGCGCATTCCAGAGACAGAGCAGCCAGCCCAGGCCTCCTGCTTGGCAGCAAGAGAGGCCCCCAAGACTTGGCGGGGCTACCGCCCCCTCTGGGCCCCGCCTCCCCTCTGGGCCCCGCCTCCCCTATGGCCCCGCCTCCTCTCTGGGCCCTGCCACCCCTCCGGGCCCCGCCTCCCCTCTGGGCCCCGCCTCCCCTGTGGCCCCGCCTTCTCTCTGGGCCCTGCCTCCCCTGTGGCCCTGCCTCCCCTCCGGGACCCGCCTCCCCTCCGGGACCCGCCTCCCCTCTGGGCCCCGCCTCCCCTCTGGGCCCCGCCTCCCCTGTGGCCCCGCCTCCTCTCTGGGCCCTGCCACCCCTCCGGGCCCCGCCTCCCCTGTGGCCCCGCCTCCCCTCTGGGCCCCGCCTCCCCTGTGGCCCCGCCTCCTCTCTGGGCCCTGCCTCCCCTCTGGGCCCCGCCTCCCCTGTGGCCCTGCCTTCTTTCTGGGCCCTGCCTCCTCTCTGGGCCCTGCCACCTCTCCGGGCCCTGCCACCTCTCCGGGCCCTGTCTCCTCTAAGGCCCTGCCTCCCCTGGGGCCCCGCCTCCCCATCCAGGCCCCTCCTCCCCTCAGGCCCTGCCTCCCCTGTGGCCCCGCCTCCTCTCTGGGCCCTGCCACCCCTCCGGGCCCCGCCTCCCCTGTGGCCCCGCCTCCCCTCTGGGCCCCGCCTCCCCTGTGGCCCCGCCTTCTCTCTGGGCCCTGCCACCCCTCCGGGCCCCGCCTCCCCTGTGGCCCTGCCTCCCCTCTGGGCCCCGCCTCCCCTCTAGGCCCTGCCTCCCCTGTGGCCCTGCCTCCCCTCCGGGACCCGCCTCCCCTCCGGGACCCGCCTCCCCTGTGGCCCCGCCTCCTCTCTGGGCCCTGCCTCCCCTGTGGCCCTGCCTCCCCTCCGGGACCCGCCTCCCCTCCGGGACCCGCCTCCCCTCCGGGACCCGCCTCCCCTCTGGGCCCCGCCTCCCCTCTGGGCCCCGCCTCCCCTGTGGCCCCGCCTCCTCTCTGGGCCCTGCCTCCCCTCTGGGCCCCGCCTCCCCTGTGGCCCTGCCTTCTTTCTGGGCCCTGCCACCTCTCCGGGCCGTGTCTCCTCTAAGGCCCCGCCTCCCCTGGGGCCCCGCCTCCCCATCCAGGCCCCTCCTCCCCTCAGGCCCTGCCTCCCCTGTGGCCCCGCCTCCTCTATGGCCCTGCTTCCCTCTGTGGGCCCCACCCCCGCACGAGTGTGGCCTCCTCGCCTGTGGGATTTACAAGGGGCCATTTCTTCCTGCCGCACCCAGGGGTGCACTTGCCTGCCCAGTGGTCATGCATCCTGGCATGCACGTCAAGGCGAAGGCCGACCGTGAGGCACGGAAGGAAGGAGCCGAGGGGACAAACCTGGTGGGCGATGGTCAAGTGCCCGGAGCTGGCACAGGAGCTCCTGGGTTTCCAGGGCCCCTCCTTCAGGCTGTAGTCCGCTGGGGCAGGGGCACGGGCCCAGTCTTTGCTCGGTTTATCAGTACAACCTTTACTAAGGTGGTTTCTTAAAAGTTAAAACAGGGACGTGAACCTGCTGCATGACCCACAGGCAATCTTGGCTGCCAGTTGGTGGTAGATTCTTGGCTATCTTTGCCCGCTGGGCTCTGGGGATGCCGACAGCTTTGTTACCTGGCAGCTTCCTCAGGTCGTCTGGGGCCGAACCCAGCCCCAGGGCCACTCTGCAGGGGGCTCTGCTGAGACTTATCGCCAGGTGGGCATCATTCTGGAGACAAGCACCCTGCCAACCTCTGAGCAGGAACCTTGGAGACCCTGGAGTCTGTCCGCATCCTGGGTCCTGGTACCTGAGCATCCCCCTCGATGGCCAAGGCTGTGTCCTCCTCTTGGCAGTGGCCCCAGTGGATTGGGATGAGAGGAGCCCTTGCTATGGAGCTGCCGTGACCCGAGGAGCTGGCCATGGGGGCTCAGCTGCAATGACATCTAGGCTGGCTCCTTTATTGGTGGCCGATGTCCCCTGAGGGTCCGATCTGTGTGGGTGAAGGGCCAGGATCTGGGGGAATTTCCGCAAGGCTCCGTACTTGGCTGTGAGTGCCTGCACAGCTGTGGGCGGTACAGCCTGGGTGCTGGGCAGCATGGTGAGCTGTGAGCTCCTGTACTAAGGGACAGGTGCCTGGAGAGAGGCGGGAGGCAGGGAAGGGGGTCCCCAGGAGTGAAGGCGGCCCCCAGTGTCTGCAGAGCCAGCGCTGGACGTGAACATGACAGGGAGCTGTCTGGAGGGCAGCGGTCCTGGGCACAAAGGCCTGGCTGTCCCTGAAAGGGGCCGGAAGGTCTGAAACCGCCCTGGAGATGGCCTGTGCTCAGTGAGCTCGCTCCGGTGGCTGACGGGAAAGGGCCTTGTCTACTGCACTAGTCTTGGGGGAGGCCACCCTCTCACTGGATCAGGCCCGGCAGCCCCCAGGAGTCACTGGCAGCTGCACATGGAGAACGTCCTTGAGTGGACCCTGGACCCCCGGCCAGTTCCACCAGCTCAGGTGCTCTGAGCGGCTCTGCACTGCACACCTGCATCCTGCCTTGGACGTGAGCGTCTCTAGGGAAGTGTGAGCTCTGAGTCCAGCTTCTCTGGGGACGTGCTACAGTGTATCTGGGGCTTGAGCGTCCGGTCCCCGCCAGCAGCAGTTGTCGTCACTGGCGCTGTGTGCAGCCAGTCCTGGCCCCTTCGAGGCTGTGGGTGCTTCTGAGGCCCGTGGTCATCGCGTCCCCATCGCTGGGCTCCATGCAGATGCTTAACCCAGGGTGGGCTGGCATCTGATGTGGAAGCCATAGTTAAGGCCCTTCCTCCTCCTGGGGTGACGATAAGCCAGGCTATGAAGATAGGTGGCACCTGGGGGCCTGTGGGCTTCACTGCGGCTGGCACCCCGTCCACCTTTTCCTCAGCAGAAAATGAGGGGCAGCAGTGCCGTTCCCTGCCTTGCCTGCTGTGTGACCTCAGGCAGCCACTCAACCCTCTCTGAGCCTCGGTGTCCTAATCTGTGAAGCAGGTGAAGACTCCTTTCTGCTGTACATCCTGGAGTTGGGGTCCTCATGGGGCTGATGAACCAGGAAGGTATATGTCAGACTGAGGTGTGGCCTACGCAGCTGGCATCACTCTGGCACTGGCAGCCCCGGGTCATGTGCCTGGTTATGGGTGTGTGTGTTTGTGGATGTATTTCCCATGTGTACAATGATGCTCAGGTGCACAGTGGGGATTGTGCATGTGTGTATGTGTGTGCACACAGTTACGTGTGGATGTGTGCTTGTGTTCCTGTGCACATGCCCGGCTGTTTGCGTGTGTGCACGTGTGTGCACGAGCTCCAGTGAGTGCCTCTGCCCTCAGGGCTGCCTATCTTTAGGACTCGGGCCGGCGCCCGGCGTAACAGACATAGTGAGTGCCTACCCGGTGGGAAGCTTCATGGTGCCCTGAGTCTGCCCAGGGGAAGTAATGTCACAGGGCTCACGGGCCGGTGAGCCCTCCAGGCCTGGGGAGGAAGAACAGATGAGGCTTTAATGTACAGGCTGGAGAAACCGTGGCCCCAAGCTGGGAGGGAATAGCATTTGTCACCCATGGTCACATGGCAGGGCCATAAAAGTCAGTTTTCAACAAAGGGCAGCATGGAACACTTGATACCTGTATGGTTAGGCTTTGTGTCCCCACCCAAATCTCATCTTGAATTGTAATCCCCAGGTGTTAAGGGAGAGACCTGGTGGGAAATGATTGGATTACGGGGGCAGTTTCTCCCATGCTGTTCTCACGATAATGAGTGAATTCTCATGAGATCTGATGGTTTTATAAATGGTAGTTGTCCCTGCACTCTCACACACTCTTCTCTCTCGCCTGCCACCGTGTAAGACCTGTCTCTTTCCCTTCCATCGTGATTGTAAGTTTCCTGAGGCCTCCTCAGCCATGTGGAACTGTGAGTCAATTAAGTCTCTTTTCTTTATAAATTACCCAGTCTCGGGTATGTCTTTATAGCAGTGTGAAAACAGGCTACTACAATATCCTTTTTAATAAAGACAATAAATTGGGCTCAACCCCCAGGCGTGTCTTTAAATGCTGGCTGCTACTCGCTGCTGGCAGGAACTAGCCGTGACTTCCACGGTGGGGCTTCCGTGCACCCCGTGTCACACGGGGCAGCGTCTCCAGCAGCAAGTGCTGCACCCACCCTGTGCTCTGGTGAGGCCGCTCCTCCGTCCACCACCAAGTACCAGGTTATGTGGGAGACAGCCCTGCACATGGCCGGGTGGGCTGGATTTGCTTTTTGGTTTTAATCAGAGAATCCATTTCCACAGCATCGAACTTACTTCTTCATCGCTGACGGGAAACACCTTCTTCGGCAGAAAGCCCTGCTCGGCCGAGGGAGGGAAGGACTCACTGCGCCTCCTCCCTGAGCTGCACCCACCCTGGGGCCACACCGAGGCAGAAGGACTCTACGCCACCTGAACAGAGCATGCATCTGGGCCGCGCCGGAGCACAGGGTGCTTTCAGGCGGCCCCTGCCCCTTGCTGTGTGGGTGGCCCGGCCCAGGGGCAGCTTGGGGACCCGACAGGCCTCCTCTCAGGTGGGCATTGTGATCCAATCCACACTTGCCAGCCCAACGATGGAGGCGGGTGAAGCCATGGAGTTCAGCCACGGGGTGTATTTCCCACGTAGTGGAACAACGTCTGTGTTATTTTTCCAAAACAGGGGTGCCAATGGTAAAGGTGTTGGGAGACCCCTGGGCTGGGGCATGAACCTCCCACCCTTGCGAGCCGTGTGGTTCATTCACATCTGATTTTTACGATTTGCACGTGGCCCTTTTTTGGTCTTTTGGGGGTCAAGACGGTAACAGCAGCAGCCGGAACCTCCCCCTGCAGCCCTGGGTCTCGTGCTTGCGGACGGTCGACCCCGGCCTATGTGTCCCCAAGAGGATCTGCGAGTTCTTGGGTGACGATTCCCTTCTCTCGGGGAGGGGGTGTGAGGGAGGAGCCCTCACTTTGCATTTCAATGGTTTTTTATTAATCCACCTGCACATACACAAAAAATCCCTTTCTGTGCTGCGCAGGGCATAATTTAGGCAGGCTTCGGAAATAACAGGGCAGCCAGCGCTATTGTTACTCTCCGGATACAGATGTTTATTCTGCTCCCGCACTTCCACGTCTGTCTAGGCAGTGACGACGTAAATAGGACGTGTCTCCTCGCCATCTTCGAAAGCCTTTGTTTTCTGGGACAGCAGCCTATTATGATGTCACACAGTGGGACAGTAATAACCACCCCCCCACCCGAGAGCCTTAACACAAGACAATGAAAGGAACCGTATTGTGTGGTGGCGGGCGGGTGGGTGATGAGGGGGCGGGGGGAGGAGAGGAGGGGAGGAGGGCGAGTGGGGGAGGGGAGGGAGCGGCCCCTGCTGACCACACGGGCAGAGTACACGGGAAGCGCGGTGTTGGGTGTGGACAGTGATCTGAGCCTGTCCACGGCTTTGGTTGGAAAGGTGAGTGGGTGAGTGAGGAGGAGTCCCACGCACCCTTCTCTGGGGATTGAGACCCAGAGCCCTAGAGTGAGCCCTCCGGGGTGGGGGTGGCAGCCCCTGGCGGTGAGGCTCCTGCACTCCAGCCCCAAGGAATCTGCCCCAAGTCGGGAGCAAATGGTCAGGTGTGGCCCCGATGGCAGCAGGACCTTGAGGGGATAGAACCCATCACGGTGACACCACAGCAGCACCTGGAGGGGGAAAGTCTCATTCTCTTCATGGGTGCAGAAAAGAGCTCCATAAATTAGACTTCCACTTAGGACATTTAGAAAGCCTCACAGTGCACCTGGAAGACGAAGGAGGCTTCACATGATGGGAGGCAACGAGGGTGCACCCCACACCCCAGGAGCAGGGCAGGGTTAGGGAGGGCGAGAAAGTGGGGGCCCGGGGGTGGGGATGGGGAATAACGCTGTCCCGGGGGATGGTGGCTGTGCTCAGGGGTCCCCAGTGACCTGCACTGTGGGCATTGGCGAGAGAGTTGACGCTTCTAGGTTAAAGACAGTGTAAGAAAATCAGGGCATTAACCACAAAAAGGGAGAAAATAAATGTAGGAAACGTCATTTCTAATAACATCAAACTATGAACCACACCAGAGTAAACAGCAAAGAAATGTGACACATTTATGGCAAACCCACAAATCTGGAGACACTGAAGAAGACCTGAGACATCCCTTCCATGGATTGGAAAGATTGCTGTTAGGAAGGTGACCATTTTCCCTGGGTCTGTCTGTAGATGCACATCAGTGCCAGCAAAGTCCAGTGGGGGAGAGTGAGAGAGAGAGATTGATTTTAGAAGCCAATTCTAAAATGTACAGAGAAGTACAGAAAGGCTGGGAGCAGCCCAGACCCTCCTGAGGAGCAGGTGGACGGTGCAACAGCGGATGGCAAGTGGGACGTGTTATGGGGCCGCAGTTGCCCAGAGCACGAGGAGCTGCTGGCGGGGGGCTTGGCCGCTGACCCACGAGGTAGGACACCGCCTGGGCACCGAGGGGGGCCTGTGCTCGTGCCCACGCACGCGGATGTGTGATGAAGGGAGTGGCGTTGCAGGTTATTGGGGGAAGGTTGGACTCTTGTTCTGGTGCCAGGAAAGTCAGGTGCCCACGTGGGAAAAAAGGAAAGTAGACTCCCACGGCATTCAGATCCCCCCAGGTGGATGCCCAGAGGGCAGCACTTTTGACCCAGAGCCCCATCCTGATGACCTCACAGACAAGGCCCCCAAGAGCCTTTGCTGCAGCGGAAGCGGGTAACATCAGCACACATGACTTTGTTTCTCAGAAGACACGGGAGAGGGTGAAGGTGCGGTCATTCATAAAACTCACAGGAACTCAAAACCAGAATATGAAGGACTCTGAATCAGCAAGAAAAAGAGGACTCCTTAGAAAAACGGGTGGCACAGCTGAACAGGCGCCTCCCCACACACGGGGCAACACTCGTGAACACTGCCGTGGGATGCCGCTGCGCGCCCGTCAGGACAGCCCGGTTAGAACGACCGACAGCATTGCGTGTCCGAGGACGCGGGGGCCGACGGGCCCATGTGCTTCTGGGGGAGGGCACTACAGAAAGGCCCTGCACACACTCTGGCGAAGGGTGCCCCTGCCTGCAGAGTCCTGGAAAATAGGCCAGGTGTCTGCAGCGGGCAGATCAATACGTGGCGGCGTGGCCACGCCGGGAACGCGACACAGCCACAAACGTGCGTGGACAAGAGTCACACGTGCAGTGAGGACGGAGTTTAGAACTGAGATGGCAGGAAAGCAGCAAATCAGAAGAACACACTGAGAATAGTCCTTTTACAGAGAGTTCACGAACAGGCAAAGCTGCAGACTATGGTATCTAGGAGGCATATAAAGAGGTAAAAGAAAGCAGAGATCCAGAAACCCCCCTTTTGGGTCAATCTCCAGAGAATTGGAAGCAGGAACATGAAAAAATACTGGCACACCTGTGTTCACAGGGGCTAGAGGGTGGAGGCCACCTGCGTGTCCGTCGACAGATGGACGGAGAAGCGAATGTGTCCGTCCATCCAGCGGAAAATGATTCAGCCTTAAAGAGGAAGGGGAGCCTGTCGCCCTTGACAGCACGGATGAAGCTCGAGGACGTTATGCTAAATGAAATGAGCGTCACAAAAGGACAAGTACCAATGGAATGCATATTCCACTGGAACTGGAATTCCAATGATAAGAAACACGAGAGTCATCAAATTCACAGAGAAGATAGACAGGCGTCTCCCGGGCTTGAGGGGAGGGGATGGGGAGTCGGTGTTGAATGGGGACAGAGCTGTAGTTTGGGAAGGTGGAAAAGTTCTGGAAATGGATGGTGGCGACGGCTGCACAGCCATGGGAATGTCCTTGATGCTCCTGAACTGGGTGCTTATGAGTGGCAAGAATGGTCAGCTATGAATGGTCATATACGTTATGTTACGTATATTTTATCACAATTAAAAAACTGAGGAAAAAAATAAAGTCAGGAACAATGATAGGAAAGACATGGATGGCGTTCCTCTCTGGAGGGAGGGACGCAGAGGGCCCCTAGAGGGCTGACAACATTTGGCCTCTGATTCATAGTCACTTAGACACACGCACTTTTGCACTTTCTCCTGTGATATGATATTCCATGATAAAAATGGTAAAAAATTAAAACAAGCCAACAGGCACCCACCTCTGCCCACCGCTGGCTGTGCTTGTGTGAACGTTATTTGCCACGAATTCTTTTTGGCAGAATGAGCAAACGTGGAGTCCAAGCTGCCTCCGGATGGGGCCCAGTCCCTGGCACACGGTGCCTCTGTGTGGGAGCCAGGAGGCTCCAAGGAGGGGGGCTTTCAGAGGGAGGTGATTGTGGAGCTCTCTGGGCAGAATGAAGCATCATCACTTTGCAGCAAGATCTTGGAAGTGGAAAATTTGCTAATTTCTCAAATGTTTCACTTGACAAAATATTTTTCAGGGGAAACGGTAGCGTATGGGGCCGAGGCTTTGCTGTTTGCCTTGGGGAATGTGATTTTTATGGTTATGTTCAGAGATGAGTGCCACTGGCAGGCAGGTGAGGAGACTGATCCGCGGGCCCACTGGCAGGCAGGTGAGGACACTGACCCGTGGACCCTCCAGCTCCATTCTCAGGGGCAGGTCTCTGTCACCACTGCACAGATGCCCAGCTCCATCGGGAGGGCACCTGGCATGAGCATTCTGCCTGACAGAGTTTCTTCATTTATGCTTTGTCGCCTACACCTTTGAAAAACGAATAGGCTTGATTTTTTGGTGTGGCTTTAGGTTTACACATAAATTAAGCAGAAAGCACAGAGAGTTTCCTGTTCCCCACTCCCCTGCACACGGCTTCCCCCGTGATTGGCCTCTTGTGTTGGTGTGGGACGTTGTCACAGGGGAGACATCTCTATTCACCAAAGTCCAGAGTGCACCTGAGCGCACGCTTGGCCTTGTGCATTCTGTGGCTTTGGACAATGTGTAAGGTCAGGTATCCACCATTGCTGTATCATACAGAACAGTTTCACTGCCCTAAAAATTATCTGCTCCCCCAACCTCGGCCACTCCTGGTCTCTCCACTGTCTCCAGGGATTCACCTTTTCTAGAATGTCCTATAGCTGGACTCATACATTCCCCTCAGCCTTTCCACACTGGCTTCTGTCGCTTAGTGACATGCATGTGTTTCTCCACGCCTTCCTGTGGCTCGAAAGTCGTTCCTTTTTAGTGCTGAGTCATATTCCATTGTTCCTGGGCCTTTTCCCCCCGGAGGGTTGGCAGGAATGCGCCAGCCCTACCTGCTGCTGCCAGGCCCCCGTTCACAGCACCGTGCACCACCAAGCTCACTGCCAATTCCAGGCTCTGTGGTTCCCAGGTCAAGTGCAAGTTCTCTCCCAGTGGGGCCCATTTCAACGGAGTATGTGGAGCAGAAACATTTTCCTGCGTCTCTGCTGGCTGAGGGTGCTTGGGTGGGTGGCTACCTGCATCTGCCTCACCTGTCTGTGGGACAAGAGTCCCGTGGGGCGGAAGAGTCCTGGGTTGCTGAGGCTGCGGGAGCCCTCAGGACGGTTTCTGACCTGCTTTATTTTTGTGGATGCCCCCCAGCTTCAACCAAAGGTCGCCCACAAACCCAGGGACTTGTCCTCCTGAGAGCCTGGGGCAGCAGGCGAGGGGATTCAGGCTTGCGGGGGTCTCAGAGATCAGTGTGCAGCCTGCCTGCTGTGAGCCCTCCTGCCAGTCTGCAGATACGGCAAACCCAGCGGCTCCTCCCCACAGAAGCTGTGATGGCTTCTTTCTCTGCCAAGTTTCTAATCACTGTGCACCCATCTCTTCCTCATTAGAGAGACTCAGCCCATGTTCATTAAACGCAAAACTAACCTCCCACCAGCAAAGAGGCCTGGGTGAAGAGGATAATGATCGCATTTGCTTCCTTTCAGAGAATTGCATCTCTCATCCTGGGGCAACGCATCTATAAACACAGAGACAGTCATCTGAGGCTCTTTTTACGAGGCTGATGGAGTGGAGGGAACCCTTCTTCTTGGCCACCTCTGGCTGTCCCTGGACCGAGACAAGGCCTCAGGGGAGCTCTGAGGGCCAGGCTGAGAGAGACAGTCCCAGGAGCAGAGCCCACCAGACCCATCACCTCGGCCCCAGCCCGGCCCCCACAACCATGTGGTCTTAGATAATTTGGCTTCCCTGAGCCCCACTTCCTGCCTGCAAGGAGGAGATGATCACAGAACCAGCTCCCAGGGTGTGAGGAGGACCAGATGCAGACGGAGCCTGCCCACTCCCTGTCCAGCAGAGCAGAAGGGCAGAGGGGGTGCTGCCTCCCTCCTGCTGGGAGCCCCATGCCAAGGCCCACCTGCCCGCTCTTTACTGCACGAAACATAGCCAAGTCTGTTGGTGCTGGTGCCATTTCTAGGTTCAGTTTGTTTAAAGAGCCGTGGAGAATCAGACACCCACAGTCCTGAAGGAGGCGAGACAGCTCCGGGGTGGGACGTGCCTCCTGCTGTCTCCCCAAACACTTCGCTCTCAGAGGCCCGGCGAGATGGCTCCAGGGTGGGACGTGCCTCCCGCTATCTCCCCAAATACTTCACTCTCGGTGACCTCCCTGGCCTCTCTCCATTCTCCACACTGCAGCCTGTGGCCTGCGTTCATCCTGACAGCCCTCAGTGGCCGCCGCTGGCCTCTCCCCTGGCCTTTCTCACTTTTGCTCGTCTCTCTCCTTGGGTTTTGTTCTGATTTACTGAGTTGTGTAATTTCCATGGCTCCACAGCTGTGTTGGGCATCCCCGGCCTGTCTGAGGCCTCCTCTCCCTTCAGGGGACGGTCCTCCTGGCAGGGCCCCTCAGGAACATGTGGGTAACAAAGCCTCCAGAGGCGAGCTTCCTTGGGCTCTGGAGTCCGGCCCCCCTGTGTGGCTCACCTCCATTCCCTCCTCTGCCTCCTGCCCCCCAGTGCCCGGTGGCGCCCATCAAGCATGTAGAGAGGGCCTTGGGGCAGGACGGCTGTGCAGTGGCCTGAGCCGGGAGGGGGACCAAGGCCCCAGCCCCATCCATGTCTGCCCTGCTGCCATGTTCCTGCAGCGGTGGCTCCCGGGAAGGGAGTTAATAACTGGCTGTGACTAGTAGATGTTCTGGGTGACTCAGGGAGGACTCATCCAGCCTTCTTTTTTGGCAGAGAAGGGGTTTACGTTTATTACGTTGACGTAGGCCTGCTGGCCCTTGATTTGGTGCGAGAGGGTTGAGGGGCTGCTAATCTGGCCTGTGATTCATCCCCAGGCTCCCACGCCCAAACCAGAATATTCATGACGTGACCTTGGGCTGAGGACAGCCACCTGCCACAAGTAAGTGTGGAATGACAAGCTAAACATACCTGGGAGGGAGGAGGAGCTGGGAGGTCCTGTCTCATCCACTCGACTTGGGGCAGAGACGCTGGAGAATAGGACGCCGGCCCCACCCCGAGGTTTGCATGAAGGATGCCCTGTGCAGGTGTGAGATGTGGTTATATGAAAAAAGAATTTCATGGGTCGGGCACGGTGGCTCACACCTGGGATTCCAAAGTGCTGGGTGGATCACCTGAGGTCAGGAGCTTGAGACCAGCCTGGCCAATATGGTGAAACCCCATCTCTACTAAAACAAAAATTAGCCGGGCGTGGTGACGCACGCTTATAGTCCCAGCTACTTGGGAGGCTGAAGCAGGAAAATCACTTGAACTCAGGAGGCAGTGGTTGCAGTGAGCCAAGATGGAATCACTGCACTCCCGCCTGGGCGACAGAGTGAGGCTCCTTCTCAAAAAAACAAAAAACAAAACAAAACACACACATACAAAAAAAAGAATTTCTTGTTTTTCTGGAATTCAAATTTAACTGGGCACCTGTTTTTTCATTTGCTAAACCTGGAGACCCTAACAGCAAGGAGCCCTGGGGCTGATGAGACGTTGGAAAAGGTCAGCTAAGCCCGTGCCGCCATCTACCCGGGGTTAATTCCAAGCCCGGCGAGGTTGGGGTCTGGCCTCGGGCCACAGTGGTCCACGCTTCAGTTTTCTCTGCCTCGGTGTGACCATTGGGAAACCAGGACCTTGAGAGCCCTTGCGGGGCTGCCGTGATGGCCCCAGGACTCTGCGGCTGAGCGTCAGTTCACGTGTGTGGTCCAGGTCGCCCTCCCATCACCACGTGTGGGCTTTTCTGCCCTGTGGGCACCTTGGGACCCATGAGACTCTCCAGCATCTGGCTCTGGCTCTGGCCAGTCTCTGCAGCCGGCGTCATCTCGGCCCTCCCTTCCCACAATACGCTTGTTGCCGTGACCCTTGAGGTCTCTGGGCTGGTCCATGGGTCACGGGTGTCTAGAAAGGCTCCAGACAACAGGAGCTTGGGGACAACATCCACTGTGTCCACTGCAGGCTGAGGGACAAGGGCCACCATGGTGCAGAAACCACGGCTGTGCTCAGGGACCACCTTATGCAGATAGGTTTGGCTGTCACCCAGGCTGGAGTGCAGTGGCATGACCTTGGTTCACTGCAGCTTCCTGGGCTCAAGGGGTCCTCCTGTCTCAAAAAAAAATAGTTAATTAAAATATAGTCCCAAACAAATGGCACTGGGAAAACTGCACATCTACATAAAAAAGAATGAAGCTGGACCCTTACCTCACACCATATGCAAAAATTAACTTGAAATGGATCAAAAATTAACTTGAAACCATGGAGCCACAGCAGCACCAGCCCCTACTGCACTGAGCAGGCTCAGGGTAGATCCAGGCCAAGTTCAGTCCTGGCTGCTCTGTGGGCACCATTGTGTTTCCAAGTAAATCCAACCCTCGTCCCATCTCCTTCCACAACTGGACGTTGAGCTATCCTCTGTAAGATCATATCCACCCTTTAGAAAATAACAAGTGGAAAGCACAGCGAAGATACAGGTGTGGCCCCATACAGATGCCCTCTCCTACGTGACCACCATTCACACGTTTATTCATATATGTATTATTTGCATATAAGCGCAAATGCCCCCTGAAAACACACACAGGGCCACATGGTGTGGTAGGCAGAGTAATGATCCCACAAAGTGGCCGTGTCTGAACCCTGGAACCCATGAATGTGACCACAGGGACCCTCCAGGCAGGCTTAAGTCAGACGCCCTGAGGTGGAAAGATGACCCTGGGTTACCAGGGTCTGAGGGTGCAGTGTCATCACAGGGTCCTTACAGTGGAAAGAGGGAGGCGGGAGATTCAGAGGAGAATGTGGATTCAGAGGATGTGAGGATGGTGCCATGAGCCAGGGGCTGTGGCAGCTTCCAGAAGCCGGAAAAGCTACGGCATCAGCCCTGCTTGCACAGACATCAGCCCAGGGAGATGGCGTTGGACTTCTGACCGCTGGGCCGTCCGATGACATGGAGGTTTCCACCCCTCTGTTTGTGGTGAGTTGTTGCAGAGCAACAGGACCTTGATGCACAAATGTTTGTGCCATGGCTGACTTTGGCCTTGCCTCCGGATGCGTTCTCAGGAGCTGCGGCTCTGATGGGCGGTGGGGTGTGGCCGGGGGGCCCGTTACGCATCCAGCCCTGGGTAGTGCCTGTTCTCCCTGAGGGTCGCCAGTGCTGTGGCGCTGCCTGGCCGTGAGCTCGCTGCCCCTCCCTGACTGGCCTCTGGGTTCCTCCCTGGGGGCCAGGGTCAGAAGCTTTGGCCCTGCCTGCAGCGTCGGCCTCTGCTGATGATCACACGCATCGAGCTTCATAGTTTCATACATTTTTTGCTAGTTTGAAAGTCAAACTTTATTTAAATCTGCATTTCTTTAATAGTGACACTGGATAGTTTCAAGTCATTTATTGGCTTTTGGGATTTCTTCTGTGAGTGGTCTGCCCAAGCCCATTCTTCAGTTTGCAGTTTAGTTGTTTTCCCACTGATCTGTGATGTTTCGTCACCTTTCTGTATCACGTGTGTCCCAAACAAGTTGCCGGCAACGCTTTTGTCTCTTCCGTGTCGTACACGAGTTTGTTTGAGCTGCATCTGTTGCACGCTTGGTGCAGTTTGGTGCCTTTTTTTTTTTTCTGCTTTTATGCAGAATGACAATGGGCTGGGGTGGAAGACAGGCCCTGAGATGCTGCAGGCTGTGATTTTGCAGTAGCAGGTCTTGTGGACTCGCCTGACTCTTAAGTGACCCTGAGGGGAGCAACTGGAAACCCTCCAGCCTGGGTGACCTGGGGGTCCCTTTCGTTTCAGGGCGGGTGACCGTGGGGGCGCCGTGCTGGGCTGTGCAGTCGTCATGGTTCCTGCCTCCCAATGCACACACATATGTGCTTGCACGGGAGCATACATACATGCACCTGGGCACCGCAGCCACAGGTGCACACTCAAATGTGCTCAAGCACACACAAGCATGCGTGTGCACACTCCACACTCATATACACACGTGAAGGCAGACACGAGCGTGTGTATGAGTGCCACGCCCCGGGCTCTGTGCGTGTGGGCTCCAGTGCAGCTGGCTCTCTGGGGGAGCACTTGGCAGAATGCTGCCAGCTCCACACATCCCCTCTCCTTGCACTTAATTCCCAATTCCAGGAGTTTCCTGCTCCCTGCTTTCCTGAGCACCTGGCAGCTGAGCACCCTCAGCCTCACCCTGGCCTGGCTCTTCCCCAGGGCTGGATACCCAAGGCCCAGCTTCCCTGCCCCGCCTCACCCTGTGTGCATGTGGGGGGGCCAGGCAGGCCAGAGGGACAAGAGCCCATGTCTGGGGCCCCACCCTCTGGTGGGCAAGGGGAGATGGAAGGCGGGGGGCTGGGCTGGAGGCTGAGCCAGGCAGGTGGCAGAGCCTGGGCCCGGGAGGCGAGGACTTTGGGGAGGAGGATGGAGAATGGCCCAGGAATGGAGTCGCCTTGACAGGAGGGTGGGAGCAGCCCCTGCCCCTGCCCCTTGACGGGGGCCTCAGGGCAGGGCCAGGCTTTCGTTGGGTGAGAAATTGAAGGGCTCATTCTGGGGGAGGGGAGGGGCCAGGACCTGGAGGGTACAGGAGAAAGGTGCAGGGTGAGGGAGGTCAGGAAGGGGGGTGCAGGGACTCGTGTTGGGGTGACTGTGCAGGGGATGAGGGGGACACAGGCACTTCCTGGGCTTCCTGGGCATCGAGCGATCAGACCGAGGGTCCTGAGGTGCTGAGCCTGGCACACACAAGCCTCTGGGCCCGTGGAGGCGCATGGGACACACAGTGGTCATTCGGACCGTGTTGGCAGCAGGGGCAGGCTGAGCGGTGGCCAGGAGCACAGGCTGGGGGCGGCCTGCGTCCAGGTCCAACTCCATCCGGCTCTACTCTGCAGCCAGGGGAAGGCCACTGAACTGCTCTGAGTGGATCCTTGGCTGAGCATGGACAGGAGCCATCCAACCTCATGAGCCATTGCTAAGATGAACGTGACAGTGCTGGAGGGTGGGCCCAGCAATGCACAGGCACCTGATGTCGGTCAGCGGCTGGCGGCTGTGTCGGAAGGCCATGGATGGGGGCAGCTGGGAGCCTGGGAGGACCTGCTGGACAGCATGCCCGGGGCCCCTGCACATCCAGCAGCTTGCTCTGGGGAAGGTTCCCCAGCTGAGAGCATCTACAGTGGCAGCCCCTCCCCCAGCACCAAAAGAGGTCAGTCTGTGTGGAGGCCTCCCTGGCAATCCCCTCACTGGCGCACACCAGGCTGGCACCAGGCCTCCCTGGTGATCCCCTCACTGGTGTGTACCGGGCTGGCACCAGGGGTCAGCTGGGATGACAGCACCTTTTGCCCAAGGCTGGCTTGGGTGCTGTGGAGGGGGCCAGTCCCAGCAATAGTCCTGCTCAGCAGAGGGGACAGGCAAGATGGCAAGGTGTGCTTGCCTGGTCCCTGAGTTGGCCCAGGTCCTGGCCTCTGCTCAGGCTCTCTTCTTCGTCCTTGGTGCTGTCTTCCATCCTCATGGTGGCCGGGGAGGCGCAGGAGGGAGCTGGGAGCTGTGGTGTCCCCTGGCGTGGCTGTCTGTCCTCCAGCAGCTGGCCCAGCACTGGCCCTTGTCGGGCTGTGGAGGAGGAGGCTTTGTGGGCTGGAGGCAGGGAGGGCTGCGTTCTGTGTCATGGAGGCGTCTATCACTCTGCTGTCTGTGGGTGGTCAGGCTCCGAGCTCAAGCTCTTCATCAGCCCCAGGACTCTCGGTGTCTTTTCTCTCCATCCCTGCGTAGCGGGAGAGGCACCCAATGCCAGATCCCAGCAAAGACCCCCTGGGATACTCGGGCCTCTGTGGCCTCCTTCCTAGGCCTTGGCGTCGTGCCTGCTCTTCTGAAACTGCCTGGCTGGGGCCCCCTGCACTTGCCAGCCCAGCAAAGCCCCTGTGTTGGCACAGTTGTGGGTCCCACCAGCCCGGAGGCAATGATGGGGACCCGTGGGTCCCTGCTCCATGCCCAGCAAGTTGTTGCTTCGCGGCAGGGGGGCCCTTGTTAGCTACTGCACATCGCACATCAAGGACTTCCTGGCCGCACGGTCGTCACTAATGAGGTTGGCTGAAGGGTGGCCTGTCTCATTAGCTCTGGCAGGCTAAGTCTGCCAGGGAGGAGCTGACACGAAGATTGCTTTTTTTAATTACTCTGTTAATTGATATAAAACAGAAAGGACGCAGATTAGTTGCGTGCAATTAGCAAATTAATTCTCAGCAATTACAGACTTAATAATGGAGCGGCTTTGCGGTCGCATGTTGGGCTCTGTGGCTTATTGATTGTGTTTTTCAGAGGGAGAGATTTATGGAGAAGGCAGGAGGGGGCGGGGAGGGTGCCTTGAGTCCCCCGTCCTCCAGAGAGAAAACATATGGGCTTCGGGAAATGGAAATAAGACCCTGTGCAGTGCTGCCTCACCCCCACCAGAATGGCCCAAACCGGAAAGACTGGCTGGGCAGTGCTGGGGGGCTGCAGGCAGCGGACGCTCACACTGTCTGGGGCTGTGCATGGTGCGGCCACTTCAGAACCGCTTGACACTTTCTAGTACAGTCAAATATACACCCACCATATGACCCAGAAATTCCAGCCCCAGATGTTGCATGGGAGAAATGAAAGCATTTGCTGGCTCCAAGGCCGGTACCTGGAGGCTCACAGCAGCGTCACTCACAATCGCGTCCAACGGGAAGCAGCCTGAGCATCCATGAGTGCAGGAGCGTCCACCGTGCAGTAGACACTGCCCAGCAATGCAACGAGCGGCGTGCAGCGGACACTGCCCAGCAATGCAGCGAGCGACATGCAGCGGACACTCCCCAGCAATGCAGCGAGCGGCGTGCAGTAGACACTGCCCAGCAATGCAGCAAGCGGCGTGCAGTAGACACTGCCCAGCAATGCAGAGAGCGACATGCCGCGGACACTGCCCAGCAATGCAGCGAGCGACGTGCAGTGGACACTGCCCAGCAATGCAGCAGGACACAGCGGGCATGTGCTTTCCTGTGTGAGCATGTGTGAGTATGTGTGGATGAGAGAGCTGCACGTGAGGGGCACCTGCTACGTGCTCCTACTCACCCAGGGTGGGGGTCAGAGACGTGGGCACCTTTGGGGGCGCTGTGGAGTGGAGGGGAGTGTGGGCCTCCTGGGGGCTGGAAGTGGTCTCTGTCTGGATCTGGGGGTCACATGTGGCTCCCGCTACTGCTCCCTCGACATGGCTCTGAAGAGCAAAGCCCCAGGGCTGCAGCAGCCCTTCAGGGGCCCGCAGCCACTTGGAGACATACATTTCACAGCCTGTGTGCATGTGTGCCTGCGTCTATGTTCGTCTCAGTGCTTTGGGAGGCTGAGGCAGGAGGATCACTGGAGCCCAGGAGGTTGAGGCTGCTGTGAGCCATGACAGCGGTCCACACCGCGTTAACCCCCTTGCTCCTGTCTGCGTGGTGGCTGGTCGTCCAGACAGACTGTGGATTCGGTCCACACCGCGTTCACCCCCTCGCTCCTGTCTGCGTGGTGGCTGGTCATCCAGACAGACTGTGGATTCGGTCCACACTGCGTTAACCCCCTCGCTCCTGTCTGCGTGGTGGCTGGTCGTCCAGACAGACTGTGGATTTGGTCCACACTGTGTTCACCCCCTCGCTCCTGTCTTCGTGGTGAGGTTGTCCAGGCAGGCTGTGGATTCAGTCCACACTGCGTTCACCTCCTCACTCCTGTCTTCGTGGTGAGGTTGTCCAGGTAGGCTGTGGATTCAGTCCATACTTCGTTCACCCCCTCACTCCTGTCTGCCTGGTGGCTGGTTGTCCGGGCAGGTCGGGTGCTGGGGGATGTCACGTGCCCCTAAGAGGCAGCCCTTTGACTGGAATGACACTGATCAGCCTCAGGGCCATCTCCCCATGAGAACCACCAGCCATCTCTAGCCCTTTGTAAAGTCTATGTCTACATGCAGACACGTTGTCATCTGTCGGCCAAAGGCAAGCCTGCTTACGGAGCTAGTTTACTCCAGCCTGTGCGATGGGAACACGAGGAAGCAACCCACCACTTCCCTCCAATAAAACCTGTACTGGCAAAGTGCCCAGCTCTGCAGAGATCCAGAAAGTTCTCAGGTTTGTTTACTTTTCTCTTTCCACTTTAGATTGAATTCTGCTGGCATCCATGCAAGCTGGAATACAGGAAGGAAAGGGGAAAGCCGTGGTCTCTTCACTCCGTTGGTGACGAGGTATTAGCTTCTGCGATGTGCCAGCACCAGAGGCTCTGCCTCCTACGGTCTTGTTTGAAGACACAGCAGATGACTTCTTGGCACAAACAGAGGTCTCTGACTGGGGAGGTATCAAAGATGCCAGAAGGCGAACCAGCGACAGACAGCAGGTGACATACAAGGACCCTCAAAGAGGTCTCGGCTCAGATGGGATGCCCTCCTTCCAGGCTGAACTAAACCTCTTCCTCCTGTGGGAAACAGCCCCAGAGACGTGAGGAAGCTCCACCCCAGATCACACGGCAAGGCAGCAGGTGTTGAGGCCGGAGCCTGCACCCGTGCCGCGTTTTGGGGGGTGCTTTGGGGGATAAAGCACTCTGGCCCCTATCATGGCAATACTCCGTAATCCTGGAGTCCCCAAGAAAACAGATGAAACCCAGCTTCTGGCTGGCCGGATGGGCCGCGGCGCTGTCCGAGGTTCTGAACGGCATCTCCGCACCCCGCCCTCCGCCTGCCAGAGCCTCGGCAGTCACCGGTCACCGGGACTTAATTCGCAAGTGCCCAGCTCTGCGGCTCCCCCCGCGCAGCTCCCTGCAGCTGTGCTCACCTGGGCCATGGATTCCACTGCAACGAACTCCAGGGAACTTTGAAAATTATTTTTTTCCACTGGAATGTGTGTGTGCTATAGTTTCATTGTTCTTAATGACATGAGAGATGTATGGGTAACCGGCTGAAAGTTGGGGTGCTGCTGTACTCTGTGCCTAGCTCTGGTCTCCATGGGGGATATAAGTAAAAACAGCACAAGGCCTGGGTCCACCCCATGGAGCACAGTCTAGGGGGAGAGACCTCCCGTGCGGTTGCCGGACTGGGCGTGTGGTCACATCTGACTTAAGAGCCACAAAGAGGAAATGTGTTGCTTTATAATGGCATAAAACCGGGGCACTGGCCTAGTGTGGGTGCCAGGGAGTGTGGGTGCCAGGGAGTGTGGGTGCCAGGGAGTGTGGGTGCCAGGGAGTGAAGGTCTCCATGAGCAGGGGGCATTTGAGCCGAAGATGGAAGATTGGTTGGAGGTACTTGGTGAGGCTTTTCCATGAGATGGTCCTTTGTCCAGCACTGATTCAAGTAATCAGAGACAGCAGGAGCGGGGGAGGCAGCCCTCACCTGAGAAGAGGATCTCTGTGGTCCTCCCACCTCTTCCATAGTTTCCAGTCTGGCCAGCCCCTGGCTGCTGCCTCTGGACTCTGCTTCTAAGCAGCACCTCTGGCAGCTCTGTGAAGGCTGGACCTGGGGTGGAGAGGGCCTTTGCCTTGTCCCGGCGAGGATGTCTCATGCATCCAGCCTCAAGTGAGCCCTTCCCGTGCCAGAGGGGTACCTCCCTACCAACTGCCCCAACCTACTGACTGCCTCAACTCTGCTCATCCAAAGTACACCTAGGTGGGCTGCAGCACGGTGCCGTCCGCAGCTCACGGCACCCACTCATCACATCTCCTCCCCATCAGGCTGCCCTCTCCATCTGTCACCATGTTTGAAGTTCCATCACCTCCTTGGGAGGTGGTGGGGCAGGAGCCTTCACCAACATGCGACACATGAGAAAACCGAGTCTTAAGGAGGCCTCAGAGCTGGTTTGAGCAGGGAGACCAAACCAGGTTTCCCTACCCCGTAAGCCCCCAACCACACACTCCCTCCTGGTCAGTAACCACAGACACAGACTGTGTGCACATGTGTGTGTCCGTATGTGTGGTGTGTGTGTGTATGTGTGTGCCTATGTGTGGGATGTATGGTGAGTGTGCGTCTGTGTGTATCTGTGTGTGTGGTGTGTGGTACGTGTGTGTCTGTGTGTGCACATGCAGGTTTGCATGCATGCAAATTTGCATGTCTACGTTTCTATGGTGTGTGTGTGTGTGTGTGTGTGTGTGTGTTTGTGGTGCATGAGCATCCGTGTATGGAAGGGGCGGGGGCTCTTTCCATCTGGTGCTGTCAGTGATGCTGAATGAGACGTTGCTACCTGGCATTGTCACCCGTAGCTTTACCCTGGACTCTTAGGCAGCTGTTTGGGAGTCTCGCTTGCAGAATTTACCAGAATGTACAAAACCAAAACAGATTATTTGCTTCTCACCCCCGTCTCTGCCAACGCATTCAGAAAAGTCACACTTATGCAAACATTAGAGCCGTCGACTCCCCGCTCCTCAGAGCCCCATGACAAACATCCTGGAGTGTGACCGCAAAGGTCATGCGTGCCAGACAGAAGAGACCAGCATCTGCAAGAGGCAGGGATCTGGGAGTGTCTGGTGGCCACCAACTGCCAGCACTCCCCAGAAGCTCAGCAAGTATTTACTGAGAAAGGAGGGGCCTCTGTCCTCTTTTGGTGACCACGTTTACAAATGAGAAAGTGCCTTGAAAACCACGAATATTGGAAATGTCACGGCTGGTTTAAATCTAAGGAGCAGGTGCCGTCAGCTCCAGCCACTTCCCTCAGGCCTCGCCACCTCACCCAGCCCAGCGGAACCCCACCTGCCCAGAGCCTCTGCCTGAGGCCTGGAGCAGCCTTAACCCATGACGCGCTGGGGGTATCAGGGCAAAAACATGCGGCTCCCTTGCCCCTCCGGCGGGAAAGTTGAGGCGCACGGGCTGTCCTGGCTCCCCGAACATCCCTGCAGCCACAGCCGATCCTGCTGCAACCTTTATCGGCCACACTCCCTTCCTTCCCCACACCCTACCGGATTTCCTAAGATCACCCCCTACACAAACAAGTTGCCCTCCAGTGTGTCTCTGGGGGACCCAAACCAAAGTGCAGGTCTCAGGTGTCAATTCTGAGCATGGTGACAGCCTGGCTCCCTGGCAGGAGCAGAATCCAAGCACCTGGAAACCCCAGCACCCGGCCATCCCCACGCGGCTCCCTGAAGACGGAGCTTTTGGCAGCAGCCAGTGTGTGGGCCCAGGGTTACTCAGCCTGTTTCGTTCCCCATGCTCATTCATAAAGATGCACTCTTGGCCTCTCTGAGTGCTGCTGCCTTATGAGCCAGACGTTTATTCAGAAGCAATTTTATGTTCCCAAGTATCATTATTCCCACTTAAAGGCCCTGGATGCCCTAAACAAACATTTCTCAAAGATGATCATGACATCTTGCTTTACCTGCTATAAAAGAAAGACCAAGAAAATTAAAATTCCCCTGGAAATAGATGTGGAAGTGCACCCTGAAATTGCCAACTCATTGATTGCATTAAATTCCCAAATCTACATTGCATGCAATTACTTTTTTTTTAAAATAGACTCTTAAACAGCAGTTTTACTTTCTTTTTTTTCTTTTTTCTTTTTCTTTTTCTTTTTTTTTTTTGAGAGAGTTTTACTCTGTCACCCAGACTGGAGTGCAATGGCACAATCTTGGCTCACTGCAATATCCATCTCCTGGGTTCAAGCGATTCTTGTGCCTCAGCCTCCTGAGTAGCTGGGATTACAGGTGCACACCACCATGCCTGGCTAATTTTTGTATTTTTGGTAAAGACAGGGTTTCACCATGTTGGCCTGGCTGGTCTCGAACTCCTGACCTCATGTGATCCACCTGCCTTGGCCTCCCAAAATTCTGGGATTACAGGCATGAGCTCCCGTGTGCTCAGCTAATTTTACTTTCAAACCATCTGTGAAACATTGGTGGCAGGCATCTGGGTTGCACAAAATGAGATAAAGAGAGTGATTCTGGGGAAGGGGCCTTGCCAAGGTCACCGAAGGCCATTTGCATGCAGAGGGAGGCAGAGATTTGGGCAATTGTGCGGAGAGTCTGTGAGGTCTCCTCACAAGCCCCCAGTCTGATAGGAACTCTGGTACAGCCCTGGCCTGTCCGAGTTCTTCAGGAAGCAAGGCTGGCAGGACGTCCTGGGCCCCATCACTCTGCCTGATTCTAGCCGTGCTAGGGGCCCTTACACTGAGCTGAACTCGCCTGGACTCACAGCACCTGAGGCACAGTGTCACCTTGAGCCTGGCTCCCCTGGGAAGGGCAATTCAGACGAGGCCTCCTTCCTTGCATGGCCCGAAGAGGAGGGGTTGAACAGGACAGGAGTTGAAGTCTGAATTCTAGTGCATCCGACACCCCACCTGGCCCTCAGCCTCAGTCCCTCCATCTGGAAAATGGATCAGCAGGCCACATTCCAGGGCCTGAGGACCCGCCGTGGAGTGCCCATGAGAAGTGAGTAAAGTCCAAGTGGGGGGCCCTTGTTACTCTTGGCCACAAATGCCTCTCGGGCCTCTCCTTCTGTGGCCCCACCCCTCCCAGCCTTCCCTTCAAGGTACCTTCCTGCTGTCCATGCCCTGCACCATCCTTGCATCAGGGACTCCACGTGTCTCAGTTCTCTCCCTCACCAGGCGTGAACTTGTGGCAAAGACACTGTTTCTGTCCAGTTTGGTTCACAGCCAAGGCAGTGTTGGTCAAAGCTGGCACAGGGAGAGTCCTTCCTTGGGCTGTGGGGGCAACAGAGGTGGCCATGGGGCACCTGTGAGAGCACTCCCTGGCATGGTCCAGAGTGGCCAGGTACAGCACAGCCCTAACCCACCATTCCCACCTATGTCTGTGTCTAGATCCCAAGATGAACCTTGCATCAAAAGCTCCTGGATCAACAGCTGCTTTGCCTGCTGTTCTCCTCCACCACGGGGTCTGTGCAGTCACCAGGATTACATACTTACTGCACGCATGCTGTTTCCATCAGTGCTGTGTGTGTGCATGTGAGACACATGCAGGTGGGAACAGATTTTTAAATTAGGATAGAGAAAAATAGAATATTGTGTGTTTGTAGACACAGTACAGATTTTAAAAACTGTAAATCACACCAAGCACTTTATGTTAGTAAATTGGAAAATACTGATAAAATAAATAATTTTACAAAAACTATGGTAAAATTGACTCAAAAATACAAAAGAAGTGAACAAATCAGTTACCACTGAACAAATCAAAATGGTAACTGAACCTCTCTCCCTCTATCTCACACACGCACACCTCTGGATCCAGGTTTTATAGGCAAGTTTCACCAAACTTTCTAGGAATAGTAAATATCTGTCTTTAAAAGTTTTTCATGTAAGGAAACTACCCAAGTAATGTGTAAGTCTAGTATAATATTGATATCAAAACAGGACAAGGACTAAAGAAACACTAGAAAATCAAGTCCATCCATATATAAAACAGTATGTCATGAAGAGGAATGCAAAGCTGGCTCAATCTCAGAAACACTTTGTTTTAAACCACATGAACCACTGGAAGGAGAACAGCCATGTGATCACCTCAACAGAGGCAAGAAAATGCAGTCCACAAATTGCAGCGTTAATCAGATAAATTCTCAGCAAGCTAGGGATACAAGGCAAAAAAAAATACAGCAAACATCATAACATTTAATAATAGAACTTTGGAAATATTATTGCACAAGTCAAAAAGGCCCATTATCACACTTATATTTAGTTTGTATTAGAGGTCCTAGCCAATATCACAAGACAAAACAAAAAAGACAAGGACTAGGAATTGAGGGAGAGACAAATAGTCCTTTCTCGTATAGAATATAATTGCACAGAAGCTCAGAGAAATATGCAGCTAAACTATGAGAACTAATCAGCAAAGTATAGGCTTCATGTACAAAAATCATTATCATCCCTATAAAAATAATAAAGAACAATTAAAAGTAATTCCCTTTGCAATGGGGAAGAAAGATATGAAGAGTCGCCCATCAAGGACACATGTGATCTTTGTGAAGGCCACTGAGGATGGCCTGGTCATGTGGACATGTGTGCCGTGGATGTAGGAAGACATGCAGCATGCAGGTGCCAGCACTCCTCAGATTTGCCTCTGAAGTCATCACGTTCCCATCAAAACCTCAAAGGATACTCAAAAGGGGGTGAATTGGAGACTTCTGTTTCCACCAAAATGGAGCGGCCCAATCTTCCTGGATCTTCCCACTAAAACCCAAAAGTCCTGCACATAACACAACCAAGGAGCCTAGAAGGCCACCGCCTGGGAGCCTCCAGACTCAGGATGACGTGGTGCTGAGTGCCCTGGGTTTCCTTATTGCCTCCCACACATCATAGACAGGACACTGCAGTGGCCTTCAACCTGCAGTCATCACTGACAGAGTAAAACTCTCCAGGAGAAGCCTGGAGCTTTCCTCCCAGCCAAAGCATGAGGAGAGGGTGGTCAAACAACAGAGCCCCCTTTAGGCATTGTCATCCCTACTCTAGCCAGACACCAATGTGGTTTCAGAGAGGCCACTCCACCTCACCCCCACCCTGCAGAGGCAGGTGGCAGTTCTCTGATGTCCTCACTCAGTGGTGTCGACCGGCTGAGCAGAGAGTGGATCATTTATCCCCTGCATGGTGGAAATAGGTGGTGACCCAATCTCTTATGGGATGGGGTCAGCAGGGCCTAGTGGGGAACTGAGCCTCCACACCCTCCCAGGAGCATATGAGAAAGATTATACATCCTGACTAAGTTTGATTTATCCCAGGAATGCAAGGACGATTCCACGTATAAAACTCAAGCACCAAAATAGGCCACATTAATAAAACAAAGTTGAGAAATCCATATGGTCATCTCAACTGAGGCAGAAAAAGCATTTGAAAACTCCAACACCCTTACATGACAAAATACTTGGAAAACTAGGAATACAAGGGCATTTCCTCAATACGATTGATCTGGTTTGAATATATATCCCTGCCCAAATCTCCTGTTGAACTGTGATCCCCAGTGTTGAAGGTGGGGCCTGGTGGGAGGTGTTTGAGTTGTGAGGGTGGATCTCTCATGGCTTGGTGCTGTCCTCGAGATGGTGAGTGAGTTCTCGTGAGATCTAGTTGTTTAAAAGTGCGGCATCTCCCCACCCCCTCTTGTTCCTGCTTTTATCATGTGACCTGCCTGCTCCTCCTTCATCTTCTGCCGTGATTCGAAGCTTCCCGAGGCCTCCTCAGAAGCTGAGCAGATGCCAGCACCACACTTCCTATACAGCCTGCAAAACCATGAGCCAATTAAACGCCTTTTCTTTATAAATTACCCAGTCTCAGGCATTTCTTTATGGCAATGCAAGAATGGCCTAATACAATGATAAAGGGCATTTATGGAAAACCCACATCTAACATTATATCCAGTGGTGAAAGACTGAAAGCTTTCCGCCAAGACCAGGAACAAGGCAAGGATGCCCACTTTCACCACTAATATTCAACATCATACTAGAAGTTCTAGCCAGAAAAATGAGGCAAGAAAAAGAAATAAAAGGCATTCAAACTGGGGAAAAAAGAAAAAAAAATCTCTATTTGCAGATGACATTATCCTATATACAGAAATCTCCAAAATATTTACAAAAAAAAAAAAAACCCTTTAGAGCAAATGAATGAATTCAACAAATTTGCAGGGTGCAAGATCAGCACACACAAATCAGTTGTGTTTCTATACACCATCCATGAACAACCTGAAAAGAAGGTAGGAAGCAATTTCATTTATAATCTCACCCAAAAGAATAAAATACCTAGGAATGAAGTGGAAAGATATCTCATGTTCATGGATTGGGGGCCTTAATATTAAGATGGCAATATTATCCGTAATGATCTACAGACTCAATGCAACCTCTATCAAAATTCCAAGGATCATTTGCAGAAAATGAAAACCCAATCCTCAAATTTATATGAAATTTCAAGGAGATTCAAGTGGCCAAAACAATCTTGAAAGAGGAGAAAAAAATGGAGGACTGATATTTTCTAATTTCAAAACTTAGAACAAAGCCACAGTAGTCAAAATAGTATGATGCGGTCATCAAGATAGACATATAGACCAATAGCATAGAATCTATTTCAGAGAAAGCCTATATATCTATGGCCAACTGATTTTCAACAAATGTGCCAAGACAATTCAATAGAGAAAGAATAATCTCCTCAACAAATGGTGCTGAGACAACTATATATTCACAAGCAAAAAAAAATCATTTACCTCACACAATATACAAAAATAAACTCAAAATGTGTCAAATATCTTAATGTAAGAGCTAAAACTATAAAACTCAGAGTAAAATGTTAGAGGTAAATCTTTATGACCTTGGATGTGGTAATGAACTCTTAGATAAGACACCAAAAGCACGAACAAGACAAGAAAAAAAATTCAGTTTCATCAAAATTAAAAACTTTTGTGCATCAAGGGGTATTATCAAGAAAGTAAAAAGACAATCTATAGAATTGGAGAAAATATTTGTCAATCACATATTTGATAAGAGACTCAGGTCTAGAATGTTTAAATAATTCTTATAACTCAACAACAAAAAGACAGACAACCCAACTATAAATGAGCAAAGGACTTGAATAGACCTTTCTCCAAAGAAGATATACAAATGGCCAATAAGCCTGTGAGAAGATGTTCAACATCTTTAGTCATTAGGAAAATGGAGATCAAAATTACAAAGAAATACAACTTCAAATCCACTAGGATGGTCATAATAAAGGTCATGGAAAATAACACGTGTTGGTGAGGCTGCAGAGCAGTTAGAACTCTTGCGCCTTGCTGGTGGGAATGGTGCCGAATATAGACGATATACATATATATGGCTGGAAGTTCAAGATCAAGGCGCCGGCAGGTCCTGTGTCTGGTGAGGGCCAGCTTCCTGGTTCATCCATGGTGCCTCCTCTGTGTGTCCCCACATAGTGCAGGAGGTGAGAGGTCAGTCTGGGGTTCCTTTTCGAAGGGCACTAATCCCATTCAGGAGGGCCCCACCCCCATGGCCTAGTCCCCTCCTAAAGGCCGCACCTCTGAATACCATTGCCTTGGGTGTTCTAATTTCAACATAGGAATTTGGGGGACACATAAACATTCGGGCTATAGCCCTGGGAAAGAACTGCAAAACAAGACTACAAGATTTTGTATTATTGGCTGATTTTATGGCCCTTGCCACCTCACTCACACATTATGAATAAGGAATTATGCTGAAATGAGTGGAGTTGCTTGGCTAGAGGTCCCTGCAATCCAGGGAAAGAGACGTGTCTATTTCTTGCCCTCTGGGTCCCACCATTGGGGGCGGGGGTGACTGCCTGGAAGGTGGCTCCCGCCCAAGGGCCCTTTTGAAGCCGAGCCTCAGTCCAACCTGAGGGGACCGGAGCAGGGAGCAGCCCCTCCAGCTGCAGGGAGGCTCCCTTTGTGGGCAGTGGTCTCCATGTCCTGGGGTCAGGGGTGCTGTCAGGGGTCATCTGGGAAATGGGGTTCTCACCAGAAGCCTCCCTCCCTCCTCAGTTCTCTGCCCCACCTTCCCTCAAGTAAAACAATTCCCTCAGGGTTCACAGTTGATCACAATTAATGAGCCACCAGCAGCTCTGCTCCCCTGGAGAGTATCAGTCTGAGAAAGAGGAAAGTAGGGACTCCAGGGAGATGCAGCTCCCACGCCCATCCTCCTGACATGACCCTTCTGGGCCAGAGAATCGAGGAGGGTCCATGGGGTAACCCTTCCCCACCTGGAGTGGAGGGAGCCGCATTGTCTGACCCCAGCACCTGGCACTGAAGCTGGGCTACCCCTACCCTTCCAGCCACTGGAGAGCTTCTCTGAAAGCACAAAGCAAACCCTACCCATCCCCTGCTGGAAACCTTGCCAGGCATCACCAGGGATGTCTCACACAGCATCCTGTCCCCATCACTGCTGGCCCCTGTGTCTCCATCTCTCCAGCTGTCCCCAGTCCAGCCTCACTGCTGCCTTCTGGGTCTGAGGTCACTCCTGCTGGATGGCTTCAACCTGACATGGTCTTTGGAGTCCTCAGCTCCCAGATGACCGCACAGGTCCCAGCTCAGGTGTCCCCCGCTCAGAGGTGGCTGCCACACATGCAACCCCTCCCAGCATGGGCTACCCGTTGTCTGCTTTCGCCTTCTTTGGCCCCTCCCTGCTCTAGAGCCATCCTCCTGGAGTGACAGCCACATGAACGGAACTGGGGTCACCACAGTTCCCTCACCGTGTCCTCAGCCAGAGTGGGAGTCTGTTCTGTGCTCTTGGACTCACTGGAGGAATCAGGGTCGATTGGTGTCAGAACCAGTGGCTGCCTCCACAAACCACAAAATGAGCCCTTAAAACAGTACGACGTGTCGTCTTCCTGTCCTGGAGGTCAGAGCGGGTCTCACTGGGCTAAAATCTTGCTGTCTGCAGGGCTGGCTCCTTCCAGAGCCTCCCGTAGAGAACCTGCTTCCTGCCACCCCACCCTCTGGAGCCGCCCGCATCCCTTGGCTTGTGGCCCCTCCTCCATCCTCACACTGCAGCTCGCTGACCTCTGCTCCCATGGCCTCACTTCCTGCCTCGCTCCTATAAGGAGGAAGGAACATAAATAAAATATATAAATACAGATTACATACAATTAGGTTTATTTTATATGTAAAGAGATTATGGCATAGAATAGAATTATACAGGGATGACCTCCTGGCTCAAGATCCTTAACTCAGTCCCACCTGCAGGGTCCCTGTGCCACGTGGGGGCAGAGTCACGGGGTCTTTAACTCAGTCCCATCTGCAGAGTTCCTGTACCACTTGGGGACAGGGTCACGGGGTCCTGGGATTGGGGCGTGGACACGTTTGGGGGACTGTTGTTGTCCTGCCAACCACAGTTTCTTCGGGTAAGAAAGAGGGGAGCCTCTTGAGGCTTGAGACATGGGGCAGAGATAGCCTCAGCCCTGGAGAACTCAGGGGACACAGGGTGTCCTCTAGGGATCTCGATTAGGATAAGAAGGGGCTGGGCGCCCTGGGGCCACTGTCCAGAGGCCTGTGAGGAGCTCATTCCCTCGACACCAGCAACGAGGCCCCTCCCAACACGGTCCCGCCCATGCCTGGCCCAGCATCCACAGATACACAAACTTCTGGGCATGCCTCCAAAACTGCCAGCAAGTGCAGGCCATCGTCCCTTCCCATGGGAAAGCAAAGGTTATGTGGAAAATATGCTTCTTGTTCGGCCTCCTTGGTCTCTAAGAAAAGCTCGGGCTGCAGGAGAGGTGTGGTTGTTCCTTAGGAAGAAAGACGGAGTGCCCACGGGGCCAGGACCCTCCAGGACCAGGTCTTCCTGTGGTCTCCCCTCCTCCAGGAGCCCCGGAGCCTGGCTCCAGCAAGCCCTTAACCTCCCACAGCCCCTGTTCTGGGTCACCTGCGCCGCCCCTACTGGGCCAGCTGCCCCCACCCTCAGCCCAGCCTTGTGGTCACCAAGCCCGGAAGCCCAGGGAGGTCCGAGCTGCATGGCAGGTGCCTCCTGCAGATTCGGAGAGCGGCTGGGCATGTTTCCTGCCACATCCCCTCCTGACTCTACCCACCCCCACGCCCCAGAGCATAGAGGTCCTCCCTGTGCCCATGTCCCAGTCCAGGTCTCCCAGGGGGATGCAGGAATGAGTTTCTGGAGGGTGTTGGCCAGACTCGGCTTCCTGCACCTTCTGCTGTGCTCCTCCTGAAACACTGACTTGGGCGGGAGCGCAGTGGCGTTCTGTGGGAGGGTGGGGGTGGGGCAGATCCGGGGTTATGTTGTGGCGGAGGTGGGGTTGCCAGGCTGGCCCAGTGCAGAGGAGGGTGTCAGGAAGTGGAACAGGCTGACCCCGTGGGCGTTGAGGCACCGGGCAAGGCATAGGGCCTGTGATTGACAGGAACCCCCAAGTGTTCGATGGGGTCTGACCCGGCCGGGCCGGGTCCACGTGTTATTTGGGTCTAGCGGCCACCAGGCTGAGAGGCCTCAGTCCACAGATGGGGGATCTGAGCTCCCATGCAACATCAGAGGCACACAGCCCACAGTCCCCGAGCGGCCAAGGCTGGCGGGATGGCGGCCACCACATTGAGAGCCGTGGGCCCGGCCAAGACAGGCACAGGCCTGGCGAACCTCTGAGCACTGCAGGAGAGTCAGCACTTCCCAGGAATTTCTATTTTTCAATTTTGCACACTCCAGGGGCTGGCCCAGAGAGACCAGACTGGGAGGTGGCCTCTGCGTGGGCACAGGCCAGGGGTCAGCGGTTGCCTCCTGTTCACACCAGGCCCCTCTTCTGAGTCCTGGGAGGGAGGAACAGAGGGCGGCAGCAATGATCCGTCCACACAGAGAGTGGGCGGGGAGCAGGCCCACCCCGGGGCCAAGACTGTTGGAAGAGGAGTGGTGACATCGGCCAGGAGGAGCGTGTGGCCCCAGGCTCAAGTCCCCGGCATGGCCCAGCGTCCAGCAGGCCTCAGCTGCAGAAGTGCCATCTGCTCCCAGCAGGGTCTGTCCACACTCCTGGAACCCAGGGGAGGTAGGGGCACCACCGCGGGGCTTTCTGAGGGCAGTGCTGCCCTCCCTGCCCCAGCCGCTCTCCCCCAGGGCAGCTCGTGGGCATGTCCCTCTGCCATGGCCTTTCCTGGTAACACCACAGTGGGGCCAGGCAGGGCAGCGGAGTGGCAAAGTCAGAGTCCTCCTTTTCAGGCAGGCTTGCTCCTCTGTCTGCCCTTCACAGGTCAGATTGCGTGGGCAGTGAGTGGCACATGGTGAGGGCTCCTGGGGGGGCAGGGGTGGGAGAAGAGCTGGGGAGGAGGGCACTCAGGGAGCCATTGGCCCCCAATGTCCTGGGAAGCCTGGGGTCTGGATCCTGAGAGCCATGGGGAGCCTCAGAGCAGGGGTCAGCAATGCCTCCAGCAAAGGGCCGGAAAGAATCCAGCTCCGTCTGTAGCCTCCTGGTATGTGCCTGGACACACGAGCAGCCATGGACAATATGAGAAAGAGTGAGCATGGCTATGTCAATAAAACTTTATTTATGGATAGCAAAGTTGACTTTCATAGCATTCTCATATGTCACAAATATTAATGTTTTGATTTTTTTCCAACCATTTTTAGCTTGTGGGCCCCAGAAACACAGCAGTTGGCCTGACCGTGGCAGACATCATTAATCAATCCTGCACACTCTCCAGCTCAGCCCCGTCCCTGATCCCAGGGGGCTGCTCCACAGGACAGCAGGAGCCCCCAAGCCAGACTGGAGGTCCTGGGGGTAACCTGGGTGCTCAAGGCTCGCTCTGTGTGTTGCCACCTCCGTTTGCACCCAGACCCTCCTGTGACGTGGCTCAGCAAACCTCTTAAATGGGTCATTGGATGCTAAACTTGAACTTTCACAGGGCGGGGTTTCTTCAAACGGGACACACCAGAGTCCAGGCCAGGCTGGAATCCTGCTGCCGGTGCCTGACCCAGATCAGGGATTCCAAACACCCATGGGGCCCCTGGTCCCGCCCTGAAGCCAATTCCAGCTGCCCCCAGGAGTGTGAGGGGCCTGGGGGTGTCTTCCTGGGAGCTGCCAGGTGTGAGATTGACCCAAGAAATGGGACCACAGGAACCCAAAAAGCTACAGCTGGGTGGCCAGGTCCACCATCCACGCCCTCAGGTCCACCAGCCACGCCCTCAGGTCCAGTCTTCTAAAGGTCAAGGGTCTCTGACCAGGTGGAGCAGAGCACGTGACTGGGCAGCTCTTCTCTGCCTGGAACGCCCATCTTCTGTCTTGAGGCAGAAAAATCTATTTTAGAGGGTTTCCAGGCCTGGCTCCTCAGAGGTGCGGGAAGATGTTCAGAGCTGAGACTCTGGAGGGAACGGAGGGGCAGGGACATCCCAGCCTCATCCACAAAGGCCCCCTGCACGACGATCCTCCCTCCCGCTCTGCTCCTCTGCTCCCCGCTCCTTCCTCCTTCCTCCCCGCTCCCTCCTCCCCACTCCTCCTTCCTCCCCGCTCCCTCCTCCCCACTCCTTCCTCCCCGCTCCCTCCTCCCCGCTCCCTCCTCCCCACTCCTCCTTCCTCCCCGCTCCCTCCTCCCCACTCCTTCCTCCCCGCTCCCTCCTCCCCACTTCCTCCTCCCCAATGCTAGAAACAGGCCCCTCCGCACCTTGCCCTGGCTGCAGAACGCAGCTTAATTACATGGTCTGCGGGTTGGGGCCCTGAGCGAGGCTGGGGCTGGTTCTTGGCCAAGACGCCTCCCCAGCCGGCTCAGCCTCCATCAGAAGCGGCAGCTCTGATTGGCCACCGTGCACCGCGTGGAGCGCCGTTCCTCGCAGCGAGTTCATGAGGCATTTCACTGGGGGCCCGGGCACCCGCCTTGACATCAATTACGCCAAAATTAAGTGGCAGCGTCCACTGCGTGGGGCCCGAGCTGTGGGGCCTCTTCCGTCTCCCGGAGCCCAACCGCGGGCCCCTGCGCCCCGGCAGGCAGGATCTCACCGCAGGGGCGGCGGTGGGGAGGGGAGGTCAGGCCCGCTTCCCCGGAGCGGCCCGCAGCTCCCGGCCCAGGTTCCCAGGCTGCAGCGTGAGGGGCGCGCAGCGGGGCCGGGTGGGCTGGGGCCGGCGCGGAAAGCCCTCGCCCTGAAAGCCCAGGCCGGCCCCAGCCCACGGCGCTCGCGCCCACCGTGCCGCGCGGGCCACCGCCCACCCGGGGGCTGGTTAGAAACGCGGACTCTGCCCCTTCGCGCCGCCTCCGGGGCTCACGGGCGCCCGAGTCGGAAGCCCCGCCCTGGGGAGGCCGGTCTCCTCGCGAGGGCCTGGGCCGCTCTGGGCGCTCGGCCCGCGTGTCGGGGGCTCCCCGGGGCGCCCTGGGCTCCTGCTGCTGTTTCTTCCTGGCCGGCCTTGAGGTGCGGAGCCCCCGGGCTCTGCTGAGGGCCTCCCGGCCCCGTGGCCTCGGTGACCTCGGTTCAGGCGTCCGTGACCGTCTCGCCTGGTGGCTCCGCGCCGCTGACCTCGGCACGCCGCGGGCCTTCCTCCTCTTGCGGACCGGAGGGAGAGCCGGGCGCAGAGACCGAGGCACAGTCGCGCGGCGCGGCGTTCCGCGTGACCCTGCGGTTAAAACCCGCGCGCTGCAGCATCGCGGAAAACGGGATTCGCCTCATTTGAAACTTGAGGAAAATCTCTAAACACTTTCATTTTGATAGAAACCATTTCCGCCGCTGACGTGCGTCTACGCCCATCATTTCAGCTGACACGTTGCTGTAACGTCTCCTCCGTTTCATGCTCTTTCGAACCCTGTCAGCTGCGGGTAAGACTGTAGAAAAGAGAGGGGAGAACAGGGCCCAGCCGGTGGCGCCGGCGTCTTAGCAGCCGATTGCGCAGCTCCCGGGCGCGGCGGAGAGTCCGGGCTCGTGGGGAGCGCCGGCTCCAGAGCCCGCGGAGCAGCAGCCCAGACTCCCAAGACGGAGGGCACCGGGCGGGCGCACACACTAACCCACGCAGGGGACACTCAGGCTCTAACTCACGTGCACACACGCTCACATGTACACACGCACACACGCACCCGGACGTACACACACAGCTGTCGCCTACCACACACATTCATACTCCATTCACACTGCAGGATGTGCAAATGTGTGTGACAGAGAGAGGAGGGAGAGAGAGGGGGAGAGAGAGGGAGAGAGAGGGAGAGAGAGGGAGGGGGAGAGAGGGAGAGGGAGAGGGGGAGAGGGAGGGAGAGGGAGGGGGGAGAGAGGGAGAGGGAGAGAGAGAGGGAGAGGGAGAGAGAGGGAGAGAGAGGGAGAGAGAGGGAGAGAGGGAGAGAGAGAGGGAGAGAGAGAGAGGGAGAGAGAGAGAGAGAGAGAGAATGTGCCTCTCAGGAATGGTCAAATATCCTCCTGACACACCTGGTTGGCCCAATGCAGGGACAGAGAGGGGGATGACCTGATGGCTTTGCCTTCCACCCACCCAGCGCCTGCCCATCAGTACAGCAGGGCTGCCCTGCCCGCCTGCGACCCACCTTTCCCGACAGCCTGTGTGCTTTCTCCCCGAGTCTCCAGGACAGCCCACTAGTGGCATGGCGGTTCCCTGGGTGGGAGGAGCGGAACCCTTCAGGCCCCCTCAACACTCCCCCAAAACCTCCCTGGGGGCCCCCACTGGCTTCAGCGCCCTGCAAAAGGCTGACTAGGATCCATGTGCACACTCCGTGTGCCACTGCTGCCAGGGCCCCCAGCCCCAGGCTGCCTCCCTCCCTCTCTGTCAGGAGCTGGGTTGGCCTGGGAGGGTTGTGGTGCCGCTGACTGCTCCCGGGCAGGGGCCATCTCATCTCTGTTCTCACCGTGCAGGCAGCAGCAGGAAGGGAGGCAAAAGGAGGGAGTGGGGAGAAGGAGGGGGCGCTGACCACATGAAGAGACGCTTCTTCCCTGGTGCTCCATCTCCCTCCCCGTCCCCCAGTGGACACCCTGGACCAAGCTGAGCCCACAAGGGTGCCCACCCTGCATGCTTGTCCCCATCAGCTCCGTGTGGCCCCCTCAGGCAGTTTCCACAGTGAGCTCAGGTGCAGCAGGGGTCCCGAGCACAGAAATGACCAGGAGACCCTGGCCCTGCCCCTGGGGCCCTAGAAACAGCTCCTGCTCTTGAATTCCCCACCCCTGTGTGCTCAATTTCTCTGGGCCTCTGGGTGCTTTTGAGGTTCCTGGCATTTACCAAGGAGAAAGATGCAGGAGGGGAGGCTGCAGGGCTGTGGGGATGGTGAAGTCCAACCCAGCCACCCCCAGCAGGATGGTGTGTGGGGCCGGACACCTACCAAGATCTCTTCCCAGCTTTTCTGTGGGAAGGAGCCGGCCAGGGCCAGAACCCTGGCTGAGACATGAAGCTAAAAGTGCCTGAGGACTTGGTCCCAGGTCTCTGTCCTCCTCCCCAAATGCCTCCGGAGCCTTCATCTCTTCAGGCACCTCACTCACTTCCACCCAACCCCGCCTGCCCTGGGCGGACCCTCCCCCAGCTCTGCCCTCCCCC